>NC_000009.12:125095552-125720552 GCF_000001405.40 Homo sapiens | reverse complement strand
TTTGTTTGTTTTGTTTTGTTTTTACTGGAGAATGGTATTAAAAAAAACACAGGATCTTGGCAATAGGTGTACACTCATGGTGAGTGAATTTATTTTTTTAGGATTACACATTCAGGAAAACGGAAAATGTCTAAATACTACATTTTTAATTCAAAATGAAAAGTTATTAATTAAAAATCGCTATTGTGGAATCTGAAGGAAAAATTTGTACTTCAAAAACTTATGCGGCCAGGCAGCCATGGTGGCTCACGCCTGTAATTCCAGAACTTTGGGAGGCCAAGGCAGCCAGCTCACTTGAGGTCAGGAGTTTGAGACCAGCCTGGCCAACATGGTGAAACCCCGTCTCTACTAAAAATACAAAAATTAGCTGGGTGGGGGGGCTCATGCCTGTAATCCCAGCTACGCGGAAGGCTGAGGCATGAGAATCGCTTGAACCCGGGAGGCGGAGGTCGCAGTGAGCGGAGATTGCGCCATTGCATTCCAGCCTGGGTGACAGAGTGAGACCCTGTCTCAACAACAACAACAAATGCAACTTATGGTCCTGGCGAGGTGGCTCAAACCTATAATCCCAGCACTTTGGGAAGCTGATGCTGGCAGATCACTTGAGGTCAAGAGTTTGAGACCAGCTTGGCCAACACGGCGAAAACCCATCTCTACCAAAAATACAAAAAGTAGCTGGTTGTGGCGGCATGTGCCTGCCTGTGGTTCCGGCTACTTGGGAGGCTGAGGCAGGAGAATCGCTTGAACGAGGAGGCGGAGGTTACAGTGAGCCGAGATCGCACCACTGCACTCTAGCCTGGGCAATGGCGAGACTCTGTCTCAAAAAAAACCAAAAAAAAAAAAAAAACTTATGTACTTCTTGAAGAAAGAATGTTAAAATCTAGACTTTTTTCTTTCCTTTCTTTCTTTCTTTCTTTTTTTTTTTTTTTTAAGATAGTGTCTCCCTCTGTTGTCCAGGCTGGAGTGCAGTGGCAGGATCGCTGCTCACTGCAACCTCTGCTTCTGGGGTTCAAGTGATTCTCTTACCTCAGCCTCCTGAGTAGCTGGGATTATAGGCACCCACCACCACACCCAGCTAAGTTCTTTACATTTTAGTAAAGAGCAAGTTTCACCATATTGGCCAGGTTGGTGTCGAACTCCTGACCTCAGGTGATCCGCCTCCCAAATTGTTGGGATTACAGGCGTGAGCCATGGCGCCCGGCCAAAATCTACAGACATCTTTGAGAGGCAGATTTACATCTTTTGTACCATACATACATACAACATTTTGTCACTCAAAAAATGGCATCATATGATTCTGCCCAGGTAGAGTCTATAAATGGGAAAACCATTCCACTCCATAAATGGGAAAACCGAGACACAGAGAAGAGGTGTGACTCTGACCACCGAAGTCACAAATGAGCTGAAGCCAGAATTAGCTTCTTTCATTCAAAGCAACACTTTGTGCCGAGATTTTGTCAAATAACTGGGAAATACAAAGATGAACAATTTGCAGCTCCACTCCTCTTTATTAATTTTATTTATTTATTTATTTATTTATTTATTTATTTATTTTGAGATGGAGTCTTGCTCTGTCGCCCAGGCTGGAGTGCAGTGGTGTGATCTCGGCTCACTGCAACCTCTGCCTCCTGGGTTCAAGCAATTCTGCTGCCTCAACCTCCCTAGTAGCTGGGCCTACAGAGGCGTGTCACGACGCCCAGCCAGTGTTTTGTATTTTTAGTAGAGATGGGGTTTCACTGTATTAGCCTGGATGGTCTCAATCTCCTGACCTCGTGATCCGCCCACCTCGGCCTCCCAAAGTGCTGGGATTACAGGTGTGACCCACCGCACCCGGCCACTCTTTATTTTCTAGAGCCTCTTTCTCTAGCATAATCTCCAGATTATGCAGGAAATTGTACTTGGGTTTGAGGAGAATAACAGGTTCTCCCAGGTGAAGAGGGTTTTGAGACTTTCTCCTTAACTATACCCTCTCCCCACCAATACCTCTGCTATGCAAAGGCAGAAATTCATTCTTAGGCTGTTTCCTAAAGCCAGACCAGGGGCTCAAACTCAAGTACCTGTAAGGCCTGTCAGGTCAAGCAAATGAGTGCTGCAGGCCAGGTATGACAAAAGCCACAGCCCAAGTGTCATGATGTGTAGCGGCTGCCACCTGGCCTTCATTACATCCACCAGTCATCACAACAACCAGGTAGCCTGATTGTTGACAAGGGGGCTGCAGACACAATGTCGCTAATCTTTCCAATTTTTCAAGAAAAGCAGAAAAGCTCTAAGCAGGCCAAGACTGTGTCTTCAGCCTTCAGACTACTTGTTTTTTTTGTTTGTTTAGTTTAGTTGTATATTACTTCTGAGCTAGTATTTATTAATTGTTCTAGGTACTAGTTTCGCTTAAACTCATTTCAGAGGCAGTATTCTTTCTTTCTTCTTTTTTTTTTTAGACGGAGTCTCACTCTATTGCCTAGGCTGGAGTGCAATGGCGCAATCTTGGCTCACTGCAACTTCTGCCTCCCTGGTTCAAGTGATTCTCCTGCCTCAGCCTCCCAAATAGCTGGGATTACAGGCATGCACCACCACGCCTGGCTAATTTTGTATTTTTAGTAGAGACGGGGTTTCACCATGTTGGTCCAGCTGGTCTCAAACTCCTGACCTCAGGTAATCTGACCACCTTGGCGTCCCAAAGTGCTGGGATTACAGGCATGAGCCATTGCGCCTGGCCTCAAATATCCTCTTAGATCCAGGGCAACATCTGCTTTCCTGGCTTGTATAAATTCTAGCACAGTTCACATGCCTATATGGGTGCTTAATAAATACTCTTTGAAGGTGATGATAATAAATTGAGATTTGGAAAACCTGAAACCTCTTTCTAGGAGCATGGCTCAGAGGGTGGAATGCTTTAGAAAGAGTCCCTGTGGGGCCTGGTACGGTGCTCATGCCTGTAATCCCAGCACTTTGGGAGGCCTGAGGCAGGCAGATCACCTGAGGTCAGGAGTTCGAGACCAGCCATGGCCAACATGGTGAAACCCCGTCTCTACTAAAACAAAATTAGCCAGCGTGGTGATGTGTGCCTGTAATTCCAGCTACTTGGGAGGCTGAGGCAGGAGAATCGCTTGAACCCGGGAGGCGGAGGTTGTGGTGAGCTGAGATCTCACCATTGCACTCCAGCCTGGGCAACAACAGCGAAACTCCATCTCAAAAAAAAAAAAAAAAAAAAGTCCCTGTGAGAAAAGGCAAAAGGAATTGGGGTTACTAATAACGTATCATGGAGAAAAGAAGGTTAAGGAGAATTTAATAGCCATCTTCAAATATCTAAAGGGATATTGCTCATGTGTTTTAAACATCAGTTCTTGTCTACTAAGGACAGGACATGAGGGAATTATCTTAAATGGGAGCAGGAGGGACTTAGATTAGATATCAATGGGGGGAAAATCCCAGCAGAAAGGATCGTGAGATGCTGGAAGGCAACATGATGTAGTGAAAGGACATGGTTATTTTCACAACAAGGGCTGCTCATTATCATTGTGGGAAGTGTGGCGCTTGGGGCTTCCAAGTCAGCCAGTTACTAGTTGTATGATCTTGAGCAAGTGACTTCACCTTTCTGATGCTCAGTTTCCTCATTTGTTAAATAGGGATAATAATAACATCTATCTATTGGATTGTTATGAGGATTAAATAAGACTAGGGGTACAAAGCCATTAGGCCAGGCCTGGCCCAAAGTAAGGCTCAACCAATAATGGACGCCATTCATTACTGTTAATCAGCTACAGTCTTACCTGGGAAAACCTACCTTACATGTAGACACAAGCTCCCTTTTCAGGCACATCAAATGAACAAATACGGTATTCCTGTGTGTTGTAGGACTTATAGCTCACTAAGGACACATGATGTGAACGCTCAGAAAGTTCAATAAATAGAATATTTTAAATAGTGGAGCTAATAGAGTGAAGTGGTCAAGAGCATGGCGTCAATAAAATATATGAGCACTTAGAATAGTGCTTGGCATCTTGGAGTTGTTTGCCCCTGATAGAACAAAAGCACAGTCAAGGTAAGGTAAATTTTTTATTTTTTTATTTTTTGAGATGGAGTCTCACTCTGTCGCCCAGCTCACTGCAAGCTCTGCCTCCCGGGTTCACGCCATTCTCCTGCCTCAGCCTCTGGAGTAGCTGGGACTACAGGCGCCCGCCACCACGCCTGGCTAATTTTTTGTATTTTTAGTAGAGATGGGGTTTCACTGTGTTAGCCAGGATGGTCTCGATCTCCTGACCTTGTGATCCACCTGCCTCAGCCTCCCAAAGTGCTGAGATTACAGGCATGAGCCACCGCGCCCGGCTTTTTTTTTTTTGAGATGGAGTATCCCTCTGTCACCCAGGCTGGAGTTCAGTGGCCTGATCTTGGTTTACTGCAACTTCCGCCTCTCAGGTTCAAGCAATTCTCCTGCCTCAGCCTCCTGAGCAGCTGGGACCACAGGCGTGCATCTCCATGCCTGGCTAATTTTTGTATTTTTAGTAGAGACGGGGTTTCACCATGTTGGCTAGGCTGACTTCGAACTCCTGACCTCAAGTGATCTGCCCTCCTTGGCCTCCCAAAGTTCTGAGATTACAGGTGTGAGCCACTATGCCCAGCAGGTAAAACCAATTTTTAAGTGAAAGGTTCAAAAAGACCCATAGGAGTTTTCAGGTGGGAGAAATTGCTCCAAATTAGTGTAGGCCAAGCAGGTAGGTAAGATTTGAATCCACGAGTCTGTAAATACACTTTCTCGGAAGGGTCTTGGTTATCTCAAATAATGATTAGTTATTCACTATTTGGGTGTCCTGTGCTTTTATTCTTCAATCATTGTAGGCACTACGTTGAATACCTGATTTGTCAGCTTTGAAGAAGGACAGCTATGCATTTCTGATATTTTGAATACACCCAAGAAACAGTGTTCTACATTGGGATTGCATTCTATAAACTTTACTTCAGAGCAATTATAACTGCTGCACATTTAAGTTACTAATATTTATTGAAATATTTTAGCTACAAAAACATTTTATGTTCACTATTATTTATTAATGCCCAGTTTTAAAATATTACACATAAAATTTATTCCAGTGCACATTAGTAAATAAATTATGCTTGTAATTTCTAATGCATTTTTAATTATAAATTTATCCATGTCTACCTTTATTTATGATAGTGGTGTCTCACTGTTGAACATACTGTATATTAATGGAGACACTGTTAATTATACATTCTTGGAAGTTGCATTCGACAAAACATACGAGTCTGTTTTTTACGTTCTAAGTACTGTTAACATCAATTAATTTAGGGGCTGGCACTCACAGTACTAGCTAACCTTTAAAGCAAGAAAAGGTACTATTAGAAGCTGGTTACAGGACCTGGATTTTGGAAAGGGACTACAAATATAAATGTAGCCGGAAAGATGTTCCATTTTTCATAATACCAGCCAGCTGTTCCATTTTCACCCCAAGTATCTAAAAAGGGGATACTCACCAGAAATAATACTCAGCATGAAAACTCAATAGAACAAAGCTCAGTGAATCTCTGCCCAGTCCCCAGGACCGATTTGTATTTAAATAGTATCTTCAAAGTGTGTTTTCTGATGGGTTAATTTTGTGCTTCCCTTCTATTCACCAAACTCACCTTACTATAAGCAATACATTTGCTTTAAAAAAATTCTTCACCGCCGGGCGCGGAGGCTGACCCTGTAATCCCAGCACTTTGGGAGGCCAAGGCGGGTGGATCACGAGGTTGGGAGATCGAGACCACCCTGGCTAACACGCTGAAACCCCGTCTCTACTAAAAATAAAAAAAAATAAAAAAAAATTAGCCAGGCGTGCTGGCGGGCACCTGTAGACCCAGCTACTTAGGAGGCTGAGGCAGGAGAATGGCGTGAATCTGGGAGGCAGAGCTTGCAGTGAGCCGAGATTGTGCCACTGCACCCCAGCCTGGGCGACAGAGCGAGACTCCATCTCAAAAAAAAAAAAAAAAAAAAAAAATTCTTCACATTGAGCCTGGGTGCCTGGTCCACGCCTCTAATCCCAGCACTTTGGGAGGCTGAGATGGAGGGATTCCTTGAGCTCAGGAGTTCCAAACGAGTTTGGCCAACATGGTGAAAACCCATCTTTACTAAAAATACAAGAATTAGCTGGGTGTAGTGGCGTGCGCCTGTGGTCCTAGCTACTTGGGAGGATCACTTGAGCCCTGAAGGCAGAGGTTGCTGTGAGCCGAGATTGCACCACTGCACTCCAGCCTGGGCGACTGAGGGAGACTCCATTTCAAAACAAAACAAAACAAAACAAAAATCTTCACATTGAAATATTACTTAAATTTAAAAAAACCCACTATATTTCTCTCTGAAATTGTACACTTCCAGGGCGCTTCTTTAAAATAGTTTGAATGGATTTTTGACGCAATTTACTCTTTTCGTAGAATTAATTCTTTATAGGACAGGAACACCCATGTTTTCCCTATGAGAGGAAACACCCATGTTTTCTCTATGAGAGGAAAAACCATATTTAAATAAAAGACCAAAATTGGGAAGAATATCAGGGAAACATATTCACACATATAAAATATTGAGATCACACATTTGCAGAAAAGCTAGAAGATGCCTCCGTTTCCCCAAAGCTTTGGCAGGGTTTCAAAGTGTTACTTTCATCCTATCACATGTACTCTTGGCTTGTTGGCATACATTTGGCAAAGAGGTATTTTTCCATGTGAAAATAATGCTTATATAAAATAAGATTTCCTCAAATCTTATGTAATCTTAAAATCTTATAATCTCTTATAATTTTTTTTTTTTTTTTTTTTTTTTTTTTTGAGACAGAGTCTCACTCTGTCACCAGGCTGGAGTGCAGTGGCGCAATCTTGGCTTACTGCAACCTCCGCCTCCCAGGTTCAAGCAATTATCCTGCCTCAGCCTCCTAAGTAGCTGGGACTACAGACTCGCGCCACCATGCCCAGCTAATTTTTTTGTTTGTTTGTTTGTTTGTTTGTTTTTTGAGACGGACTCTTGCTCTGTCGCCCAGGCTGGAGTGCAGTGGCGCAATCTCGGCTCACTGCAAACTCCGCCTCCCGGGTTCACGCCATTCTCTTGCCTCAGCCTCCCGAGTAGCTGGGACTACAGGCACCTGCCACCACGCCTGGCTAATTTTTTGTATTTTTAGTAGAGACGGGGTTTCAGCGTGTTAGCCAGGATGGTCTTGATCTCCTGACCTCATGATCCGCCCGCCTTCGCCTACCAAAGTGCTGGGATTACAGGCGTGAGCCACCGCGCCCGGCCTAATTTTTGTTATTTTTAGTAGAGACGGGGTTTCACCATGTTGGCCAGGATGCTATTGATCTCTTCACCTCATGACCGCCTGCCTCGGCCTCCCAAAGTGCTGTCTTATAATCTTAAAAATAAGATTGCCTCATTTCATGTGCATATTTTGAGCACCTTTTCATTTAACACACATTACCAAGTGCTTATGGTGTTTTTAGCTTTTAGTATATAAACAGAAATAAACATCCCATTCCTCATGGCCCGTTGGGGAGACAGGATATGTATTAAAAGAACAACAGAAATGTGATAAACGGTCAGCACAGAGAATAAAGTTCTTCATGTGTCCTGTTAGGGAGAAAAGGTGATCTAGGAAAGCTTTCTGGGGAAGTAATATGTAAATTGAGCCTTCAACAATGAATAGGATATACTTAGAAATGGGTAATATGGTATACATATATGTATATATCTCCACAATTTTATATATATATACACATATATATACACATATATATGTGTATATATATATACGTGTATATATGTGTGTGTGTGTGTGTGTATATATATATATATATATATATATATTTTTTTTTTTTTTTTTTTTGAGACGGAGTCTCTGTCACCCAGGCTGGACTGCAGTGGCTGGATCTTGGCTCACTGCAACCTCCACTTCCCGGGTTCAAGTGATTCTCCTGCCTTATCCTCCTGAGTAGCTGGGATTACAGGAATTAGCCGCCACCACGGCTGACTAATTTTTGTTTTTTTTTTTTCAGACGGAGTCTCGCTCTGTTGCCAGGCTAGAGTGCAGTGGCATGATCTCAGCTTACTACAACCTCCGACTCCCTGGTTCAAGCGATTCTTCTGCCTCAGCCTCCCGAGTAGCTGGGACTACAGGCACCCGCCACCATGCCTGGCTAATTTTTGTATTTTTAGTAGAGATGGGGTTTCACCATGTTGGCCAGGATGGTCTCAATCTCCTGATCTCGTGATCCACCCGCCTTGTCCTCCCAAAGTGCTGAGATTACAGGCGTGAGCCACCATGTCCAGCCAAGAACTGTAGTTTTAAAAATCACTTGCACATTAGAGCGTACTCTGTTAGAATTCTGTCATTATGTTATACAGAAAGCCAAGATAGCCACCAGACAGGCCACAAGGAGAAAAATCAAGATAGTCTGGCCAACATCTGCTGCCATGAGTGAGGCCATTTTAGTCCTTCCAGGCATTCTAGCTTCCATCTGACGGCAATTGCATGAGCAAGCCCAGGATAGATTGGCAGGAGAAACACCTATCAACCCACAGAATCCTGAGAAATAATACATGGTTGTTGTTTTAGGCTGCCCCCCAAAATGAATTGGAGTTTGCTGAGTGGAAAGGCAAACAACAATTGAGGCTTGAGGGGCTGTGAGGAAACTGAATGTGTGAAGGGACCTGATCCTTACTGCCCATCTTGGCGTGCCGGGCCAGAAGAGCTGGCATTTATGCAACACCTCCTGTATACCAGGCACTGTTCTAGTTACTCTCTCTGCAGTACCTCATGGAATTCTCACAACAACCTAGATGAGAAAACAGACACAAGAAAGGCAAGTAACTTGTTGAAGGCCACACAGGTAGTAGGTGTTTTTTTTGTTTTTGTTTTTGTTTTGTTTTATTTTGATTTTTTTGAGACAGAGTCTCGCTCTGTCGCCCAGGTTGGAGTGCAGTGGCATGATCTCGGCTCACTGCAAGCTCCGCCTCCCAGGTTCACACCATTCTCCTGCCTCAGCCTCCCCAGTAGCTGGGACTATAGGTGCCTGCCACCTCGTCTGGCTAATTTTTTGTATTTTTAGTAGAGACGGAGTTTAACCGTGTTAGCCAGGATGGTCTCAATCTCCTGACCTCATGATCCGCCCGCCTTGGCCTCCCAAAGCGTTGGGATTAGAGGCAGGAGCCACCACGCCCGGCCCGGTAGTAGGTGTTTTTGAACTTCTGCCCACTGACCCTCTCTAGTCCCGGGAACCAGAAGAAAAAGAACCTCCACCCCCTAACATGGCTTCCTTTCCAAGCTGGAGATGAAGGCTGTGAAGCCTGATTGTCATAGGTATGCCCAGGTACCTGTCCCGCTGCCCTGATGTCTATGGGAGTCCCCTAGCCAGCCCCTGGCCCAGCACCATCAGTGTGCTGTAAAAATGTTATTTTTGTGGCCGGGTGTGGTGGCTCACGCCTGTAATCCTTGCACTTTGGGAGGCAGAGGCAGGCAGACCACAAGGTCAAGAGATCGAGACCAACCTGGCCAACATGGTGAAACCCCGTCTCTACTAAAAATAGAAAAATTTGCCGGGTATGGTGGCGGGCACCTGTAGTCCCAGCTATTCGGGAGGCTGGGACAGGAGAATGGCTTGAACCTGGGAGGCGGAGGTTACAGTGAGCTGAGATCGTGCCACTGCACTCTAGCCTGGCGACAGAGCGAGACTTCATCTCAAAAAAAAAAAAAAAATTTGTATGTGTGTTAGCTCTCATGGTCCTACCACTGTACACCCCAGGTCAGGAGACAGGTCAATGTATGCTTTAATGACACTTCCACCAATACAACTCCTGCTTCTTGGAGGCTCATGCCATCCAATTAGTTTCTCCTCTCTCCTCCTCATCTACCTCCCCAGTGCTGTTCCTCAGTTGCAGATGCCATGGGGAGCACGTCTGGTTTCCTTTTCACCCCATGTCTGTCCACCATCTTGGGATGGACGTTCACAAGGATCTCAGTTCCTTGACTATCTCATCTTCAGTGATTTTCCCCCCATTCCACTTTAGCTGGGACCCCCTCTCACATGGCTCCTCCTCTGAGGTTATTTGTTGAAACATCCATCTGTGACAATAACCTCCATCCTTCTGCTTTCCTTCATCAGTGACTTCCATTACATCTATTTGAGACCTTTAGGCCAGTGATACCTGTTTTTCTGGAATTCTCTTGCTTCCCTATCCAGCATACTTTCTATGGCTCATTGTTTTAAGCACTCTTAAAAGCTGATATGACCCCATCACACCTGTCTGGCAAAATCCTTCCTTGGATCAATCCAACTTCTCATTCTTTGGGTGTGTGTATCGTGACTGCTCCAACTAGCTATAGAATAATCACACTAGCCATCATATTAGTATCACCATACATTTAGTCTCCATTCTCAACTGGGCCCTCAATACTGTCCTTGAAATCCTACCATATATCACTGCATGCCAACTTACCACAGTAACTACAGTATTTCAAACCCATAGTCGAACTTGACTACAAGGCTTCTTAAGGGTAGGGTCCCCGTCTGGCTTTTTCACCACTGAATCTCAATAGGCACTCAATAAGTATTGCTTACTGACTGAGGTATACTCATACTGGTAGGCATTAGTAAATAATAGTCACATGCCAGGCTCTGTTATATGTAAGCTACATGTATTAGGTCATTCTATCCTTGCAACAAACTAATGAGGTTATGTAGGACTTCTGTCATTCCCATTTTCCAGGTAAAGATAAGAATATTTAGAGAAGCAACTTGGAGAGATGAAGTCACAAAACTTGTAAGTGGCAGAGTGAGTATTCACTTTTTATTTTTCTAATTTTTTTTTCAAGACAGGGCATTGCTCTTTCATCCAGGCTGGAGTGCAGTGGCATGATCACGTCTCACTGCAGCCTTGACCTCCCAGGGCTCAAGCAATCATCCCATCTCAGCCTCCCAAGCAGCTAGGACTACAGGCATTCACCACCACACCTGGCTAAAAAAAATATATGTGTATATGTGTGTGTATATATATATTTTTTTATTTTTTATTTTTTTGAGACAGACTCTCACTCTGTTGTCCAGGCTGGGCTGCAGTGGTGTGCTCACTGCAACCTTCACCTCCCAGGTTCAAGCGATTCTCCTGCCTCAGCCTCTCAAGTAGCTGGGACTACAGGTGTGTGCCACATGCCTGGCTAATTTTTCGTATTTTTTTTTTTTTTTTTTTAGTAGAGACAGGGTTTCACCATGTTAAGACAGGATGGTCTTGATCTTCTGACCTTGTGATCCGCACCCCTTGGCCTCCCAAAGTGCTGGGATTACAGGCATGAGCCACCGTGCCCGGCCTATATAGAGATAAATTTTTTAAGGTAGTGATGGGGTCTCACCATGTTGCCTAGGCTGGTCTTGAACTCCTGGGCTCAGATGATCTTCCTGCCTTGGTCTCTCAAAGTGCTAGGAAATATTTACTCTTTAGAATCTATAACTGCTTAGCAGTTTTAGATAGGTCGAGTTTTATGTGTCTAGGAGACAGTCAGGCAGCTGTGCTTCAGATTGGAACTCGAGAGAGAGAGAGAGGAAAATGGAGAGTAAGATTTAGGAAGGAACAGATAACCTGGTGACCTCAGAAAATCAAATATCCAAACTTGTTCACACCTGCTGCTTTGTTAGAGTGCCTCTGACAGGTCCCTGATGGAACTGTGGTGGTGTGTGTGCAAGAGTGTGTCTGGGTGCTGAGGTGCACTATTCCCCCAGTATAGATATGTGGTAAGATACCAATTACATAAAGTAATGGGATGTAGTAAGAGATCAATCACATATGGTCATGCGTGGAATGAGGATGTTTTGGTCAATGACAGAGTGCATATGATGGTGGTCCCCTAAGATTATAACATGGTCTTTTAATTGTACCTTTTCTGCATTTAGAGATGTTTAGATACACAAATACCATTGTGTTAGAATTGCCTACAGTATATGGTACAGTAACATGCTGTACAGGTGTGCAGCCTAGAAGCAATAGGCTAATACCAAACAGCCTAGGTGTGTAGTAGGCTCTGACATTGTGTAAGTACAGTCTATGATGTTTACACAACCACAAAATCAGCTAACGATGCATTTCTTGTGTCCTCATCATTAAGTGATGGATGACCATATTTGAAATACATGGGTAGACCCACCGTGTTTTTTGTTTTTTTGTTTTGAGACAGAGTCTCTGTCACCCAGGCTGGAGTGCAGTGGCCTGATCTTGGGTCACTGCAACCTCTGCCTCCCGGGTTCAAGCCATTCTCCTGCCTCAGTCTCCTGAGTAGCTGGGACTACAGGTGCACACCACCACGCCAGACTAATTTTTGTATTTTTAGTAGAGACAGGGTTTCACCATGTTGGCCAGGCTGGTCTCGAACTCCTGATCTCAAGTGATCTGCCCTCCTCGGCCTCCCAAAGTGCTGGGATTACAGGTGTGAGCCACCGTGCCTGGCCCCATGGCATATTTATTAATAAGTTTAAAATTGGGCAGGGGTCCCTCAGGGCTGAAATTCAACCTTGAGTTTTTTCTTTTGCTAAGGTGCGTTTTTGAGAGACTTCCCCAAGCATCTTTCAGGTGGGAGAACCACTCTCACTGCACTCCCTGAATCCTTTTTCCCCCTTCATCGTGGCTTTCTCTACTGATTTCCTCCGTGAGAGAGGAAGGGAGCAGCATGAGACACACTGAACTTCTGCCCTGTGCCAGTCCTCCTACATCTCCTGGAAACCTCCCAGCAGGGCTTGAGGAAGATTATTGTCACCTCCATATTACAGATATTATAATAAGAGAAATAACTAACATTGACTGCATGTTTACTATGTGTCAGGCACTATGCTGGGTGTTTTTCAAGCATCATCCCATTCGATTCCCACAGCAATATACTCTAAAGTTGAAACTATTGCCCTGGATGGGAAAACCCGAGGCTCAGAGAGAAGTGTCACATCCTAGGACACACAGCAAGTTATAAGAGCTGGCATTTGAACCCAGGTCTTTCTCAGAGAGGCTGAGCTGCCTCATCACTCATTTCTGGACGAACTAAGGGCTTTTCTCCGTGGAAATGGGGAGAAAGAAGATTCGATGGAGAAGCCTAACACTGATTCCTGCTCAAGGCAAGTCCAGGCACTGGCGCATCTTGCCAGAACTCAGTCTCCGACCCAGGCCTTTCCCTGCACTGGAGAAGCGGCGCGCATGCGCCCGGCCTCCCTCCCGGCCCCGCCCCGCGGGAAGCTACCGCTCCTTGCTTTCAGCTCTGGGGCTTGCGCACTACGTCCCCAGCCAGAGGCTCCTTCCCGGTCGGGGACTTCCGGAACGCCGGGGTGTGGTTCCGGGTCGTGTGCGGCTCGGGGTAATAGGGCTGCTGCTCGGCCGGCCGGCGGCGGCGAGCAGCAGGGGCATGAGGGCTAACCCGGGAAGCGGCAGCTGAGCGGGCCGGGAGGAGCGCCGGTCCCCGTGGATCCCGAGAGTGCAGAGCTCGGGGCAGGGGCCGGGAGGCGTGGGGGAGCCGGGCCCTCCCCTCAGGAACGTGTCCCGGGGCCGACCCGGCCCGTAGTGTGGAAGCAGCTTCAGGTAAAGGTTGCCCCAGCCGCCAGCTCCCCGCCCGTCCGTCAGCCCACCAGCTTGCCCACCTGGCGGCCCTCTCACCCCTCCAGTTTCAGCGCTGCCCGGCGGGCCGCCTGCCGGGCCCTTGTTCAGGTGGCCCGGGCGCGTTCGTTTCCTGGCCATTTCCAGAACTGGAGGCTGTCAGGAGTCTGAGGCGGGTGTGTGGTTTAGGGGAAAAGAAGCCAGCTGACCTGGTAGTGTGGGGGTGGGGGGTGTAGTTGACTCCGGCAGTTTCTGGGCCTGCACTTGGCAATATCTAGGTGCCCTGGTCTTCATAATGTGAAAATCAAGGTTTTCAAGCATTGACTGTGTGGTCCTTGTTTCCTTGCGTCCCTTCTCCCCCTCCCCCTTAAAGAGGTTAACAGCCTTACAGACTTTTTTCTAGCTACAGTGCTGCTGGAACTTTGATTCATTCTTTGTTTATGGGAGTGGCAAGGAGTCATTTAGATTTGTTTAAGGCTGGGAAAAAGAGATTGTAGCGTAAACAAGATTATGACTTTAACCAGAGACCCCCAAATTGACTCAGAAATTGGTTAAAACTTCCTTTTGAATGAATGAAAGTCACTTTGGAAGCCCACCACAGTACCTGGCACTGTACAAAGCACCATGTTGTTATAAACCCAAATCGGCAAAGTTCAAAACTTTCCCAGGTGTGAAGAGTCAAATGGAGACCCATTGGTTTAAAAAAAGCAGCGTTCTCATTCTCTGACAAGCAGGAGAGGTGGATCCGTAATGTTAAAACCCACTTGAGCAGAAGCCTAGATATGGGTTTTATTCCTTATATTTTATGAGCCCACACAAGGTACCTAGTAAACACGGAAAGAGTTCTTGATGAAGCAATAATTGTTTTCATGTTTTTCAGTTTACACACCTGCGGGATTTGGGGCATGCTGGTAGCCCTTTCCCATTCATCTGTGTGCTCATGCCTACCTTCAACTACTGTGTGTCCCAGACTGCACTTACACCCCCTTACATCTCCTAATCTGGCTCCTGGTTACCTTTCCAGTTATGCTTGAAAAGGTCTCCTTCTTTAATTACCCCATCCTGATCCATTACTCTGAATAAGTAGGATCTCTAATCATTTTTGTTCTTTCCTATTCCATTGATTTTTGTAGAACATTCTCCCTACCTTGCCTAGGTTTCCCCTTTTCTCTTTCAGTCTATTGAGACGCTTCCCACGGCTCAGCTGAGTTGGCCTCACCCAACCAATTCAGGACAACCCCACCTGGAAATGATTTTTCCTCTAGAATTCTATAAGCGCTCATTTTTATCTACAATTATTTAACTTAGCAAATGTTTACTGAATATGGATATGTATATATATGCCAGGTACCATGCTAGGCAATTAGAGATAAATATAAGATTCAGTCTTTGCTGCCAGGGAGCTCAATTTAGTGAAAGAGAGATAAGGGAAATGAATAATTCTAACACCGTGATAAGTACATTGTGTGAGAGTTCTTGTGACAGTGGTAGGTGCGGGAGGGGAATGGGTTATTCACCTTTGAGGGATGGGATGTGGCCAGGTAATGCTTCATAATTTGAGGTAAACTAAACTTTGAGTATTTGGGTATTATATAGGGGTTTCTATTGTTTAATCATTTTAACCTCAATTTACAGATTAGGAAGACCCATAATAAATTACACAGCTGGTAGGAGACAGAGCCAGGATTCAAACCCAGGTCTGTCTGATGCCTAAATCTGTGCTTTTTCCATTACATGTCTTGCCTTTTTCTCACATCATCTCCCTCTTTTTATGCAAGTACATATTGAAACCAAAAGTTATATAGGACAAAACATATGAATGTTAAAATGAATGGTACAGAAATCTTTTAAATGTAAAGACTGTGCTCTTCCAAGGCAAGGAGATGGCAGGTAGGTTAGTTAGCTCAGCTTTGAATATGAGCAGAGAAGACAGTCTATAGAAAATAGGCATGGACTCTGGATTCAATTCCTGGTCCCTGTTCTTACAGGATATGTGACCTTCGACACATAACTCCAAGCATCACTTTCTTCAACTAGGGGTTGGGTTAGGGAATAATATTGACCACATGGAGTGTTGTGAATATTTATTGAACTAATGGGGATAAAGGGCCTGGTACGTGGTAAAGTCCCCCGAAATAAATAGCTATAAGATACAAAGGTATAATGCTTGAGGCATGGTTTTAGACTGGTGAGTGAGTTTACAGCCTGAGTCATGCAAGTCATTGCTTCTTTTAGCAGGGTACAAGGACGTAAAGTTGGAGGGGCGGTAGGGGTCAGAGTCAGTGAGGGCTTGAGTACCAGGCAAGGGAGGTAAATTCCAGTTTCTGCTAATAACTTTTCCAGTTAATAAATACTTCGAGGATCTACGATTCATTTCAGCAGTGCCAAGCAAAATGTTAGACCTTGGGGATACAAAAAGAAGTAAAATTGGGTCCCTATCCTGAGGTTATTGACATTCTAGTAGAGGAGATGTCTGTGTGTGTGCAGGTGAACCATAATAAAGTACTGTGGGTTCTAAGGTAGAAGTCCCCAGGAGGTACCATAGAACACTGAGAAGGAAACACTGATGATGGTAGGTAATGAGTACTTACTCTGCTGGTGTGATGTTAAATGCTTTATCTCATTTTTTTCTCGTGTGAGAAGGTGTTATTAGCATCCTGATTTTACAGATGAGGAAACTGGGGCACAGAGACCTTGAATAACTTCCTTGAGTTTATGCTGCTGGTAGAGCTGTAAGATAGAGGGGATTATCTGCTGAACACTGAGATCGGCACTCTTCATTACTACACCATGTTGCTTGTTCTTTGTGATGTGGATGCGGACCCTCTGGAAAGGCTTCAGAGAGAAACTTGCCCTTGAGCTGTAGCTTCAGTGTGCCAGTCATTGTGAGACAGGAGGGATCACGAGGAATGGAAGTGGCCTTTGCACTAAAGGAGCTCATAGCCTTATCTGTTACTTTAAATGTTTTTCTTTTTTGGTGGGGGAGCTTGTTTTGCTTATTGACTTATACCTGAAGACTTCAGAAACTTTTGCAGTTGAGTGGATTTATATGATTCAGCCTAAGATAATTTGCTGGCAATCTGTTATTCTGATGTATAGGCCTTACTGTTACGGACGCAGTTGTAGATGTCAAATTATTATATGACAAGGACTTCTGTCACGTTACTTGTTTTTTTTTTTTTTTTTGAGACAGTCTTGCTCTATCACCCAGGGTGGAGTGCAGTGGCATGATCTTGGCTGACTGCAACCTCTGCCTCCTGGGTTCAAGAGATTCTCTTGCCTCAGCCTCCCAAGTAGCTGGGACTATAGGCAGGTGCCACCACGCCTGGCCAATTTTTGTGTTTTTAGTAGAAACGGGGTTTTGCTGTGTTGGCCAGGCTGGTCTCAAACTCCTGACCTCAAGTGATCTGCCTGCCTCGGGCTCTCAAAGTGCTGGGATTACAGGCGTGAGCCACCATTCGTGGCCACATTACGTTTTTTCCCTATGGGAGGTGCCCTGACTTGTTTCTGTGAGTTCGAAGTTTTTGTGAAGTTTTTTGACTCAGAAGTCAGCATATTTCAGCTTGTGTTAAATTTAAGAGGCTTAGTGGTTAAATATGTTACTTAAGAGTCACAGAGCTAATGTGTGATAGAGCCACAAAAAACTGGCCAAAAAAGAGTAAACAAATCTTCATTAAATTATTATTATTGTTCTGTTTGAGCATCTTCCTCAGTGGTCTCCAAGTCCGATGCCTGTTATGTACTAGGATGAGTAGGCTGGGCCTTGATGAACTGGAGAGCACGGGCCCAAACTAAAGGGAGCAGTTGCTGCTCAGCTCCACTTGCTTGTTGCCATGTGAGGAAGTGGGCCCAGTGTCCTTGGATCTTTTGACACTTTTTGGAAAAGATGCTGGAAATCTGGATTTTAATTTATTCTTATTTATTTATTTAACTTTTAGAGACAGGGTATCGTCCTATCAGGCTAGAGTGCAGTTTCGTGGTAATAGCTCACTACAGCCTTGAATTCTGGGCTCAAGTGATCCTCCCACCTCTGCCTCCCCAATAGCTAGGACTACAGGCGCATGCCACTATGTGTAGCTAGTTTTTTTTTTTTTTCTTTTTTTGAGACAAAGTCTCGCTCTTGTTGCCCAGGCTGGAGTGCAGTGGCATGACCTTGGCTCACTGCAATGTCCGCCTCCCGGGTTCAAGCGATTCTCTTGCCTCAGCCTCCTGAGTAGCTGGGACTACAGGTGCCCATCACCACGCCCAGCTAATTTTTGTATTTTTAGTAGAGACAGGGTTTTGCCGTGTTGGCCAGGCTGGTCTTGAACTCTTGACCTCAAGTGATCCGCCTGCTTCAGGCTCTCAAAGTGCTGGGATTACAGGGGTGAGCCATTGCATCCGGCCATGTACTAGCTAGTTGTTGCTTTTATTTTTTTTGTGGGAAGGAGTTTCGCTCTTGTTGCCCAGGCTGGAGTGCAATGGCGCGATCTTGACTCACTGCAACCTCCACCTCCTGGGTTCAAGCAATTCTCCTGCCTCAGCCTCCTGAGTAGCTGGGATTACAGGTATGCGCCACCACGCCTGGCTAATTTTGTATTTTTAGTAGAGGCGGGGTTTCTGCATGTTGGTCAGGCTGGTCTCGAACTCCCGACCTCAGGTGATCCACCTGCCTTGGCCTCCCAAAGTGCTGGGACTACAGGCGTGAGCCACTGCGCCCGGCCTAATTTTTAAAAAAATTTTGTAGAGATGGTGTCTATCTATGTTGCCTAGGCTGGTCTTGAACTCCTGCCTTCAAATGATACTCCTGCCATGGCCTCCCAAATTGTTGGGATTACAGGTGTGAGCCACTGCATGTCGTGGATTTTAATGTATTTAGTTTAAAAATTTGCCATTAAAAATTATGTTGATCAAAACATATTTGTGGGCTGAGTGTAATTCTAGGCTGCCTGATTGTGAACTCCAACCTACCTGGCTGCTGAAATTTTGGTACCTGTTGTTCAGAGCAGGAAGTATACAATACAATGTTTTGATTATTGATTAGAAATCTCATGGTAAATTGCCAGTGTGAGGGGGCATTGTAGCTTGCGCTGATAGTTTTGGAGAGTGGCAAGGTCAATGCTTTTATTGTATAATCAAGCTAAAGTATAGATCTGGCTGGTGAGATGACCTTATAACACTTCTATTTTGTGCTCTTAGCACTTTAAATGCTACCAGATTTCTTGTCTCTTGGCCCTCTCCACAATAGTATGAAGTGGTATGGTAAATTTGTTAAATGCTCTTGTATACCTTATTTTCTTTAGTCTTCATAGTCCTATGAGATAGGTAGTATTACAAAGGGGGTAATCATCACCTCTTGAGATGAAGAAATCGGCACCCAGTGAATCACAGTTTAGTGGAAAGAGCAGTTGACTAGAGAGGGTGTTGCATCCTGAATATGCGGATACCACTAACAGCCAGTGAATCACAGTTTAGTAGCAAGTGCAGTTGACTAGAGAGTGATTTGCATCCTGAATATGCGGATACCGCTAACAGCCTTTGGAGTTTGGTCACGTCACTTACAAATCCTCGGATCTTTTTTCCTTTTTGGATAAATAATGAGGAGTAAAATTCAAGTCTTGCTGAAATTCAATTCGTAATATCCTATACTTGAGTATACTTTTACTAATATACTTTTATTACTGATGCAAAGTATACTGAATGTGTAAAACTTCAAAAAAATAACATTTTCCAGTTCCCTGCGGACTCATTTTAAGGTACTGTGTTACAAATAAGTACCATTTCAGCAGAGAAATTGGTAGAAAATTGAAGGAATGGTTTTCTTTTCGGGATGCCAAGCTTTCTGTTTCTAATTGATATGCTTAAAGTCACACAACTGATTACTGGCAGACTCCAGTGGAGATGACTCAAATCTAAAATGCTGCCCCTCCTCTCTTGCTGGCAGGTCAGGAACCACTACTCAGCTCTTCATCTGTTCTTTATTCATTACTTCCTCTGGGAAAGGCCCTTGATGGGCCAGGTGCTCCCCCAGTGCATGCAGTGCCTATTGACTATATGTACTCAAGATTGAAAGGGGGCGTAGAGACACCCAGCACAGTGAGAGAAATATGGTCAGGGAGTTCCCAGCCCAAGAGTTTAATTTATTTTTATTTTAATACCCAGCTTTCACAAGGTGAAAATTGAAGAAATACTGGTCTTGTAGATACTTGTTTTCATTCATACTCTATTGTATAAGGAAATAACAGAATATAAAAATAAAGGGAATAAATCCTGAGCAGTCATTCAAAATTTATTAACTCTAGTTGGCAGCAGTCTAGATATATTGGGGAAATGGATTTAATATAGGCAACACAAAATTTGGACTGAAAGTAGAATACAGTTTTATGTAATTGAAAGTGAGAAAAATGGGAGAAACCACTTAAAAAACAAACCCGAAACTCTAGAAAGAACAAGAAGGTATTAGAATAACTATTGGAATTAAGTTATAGTAATTGCTTGTGAAATAAGTGGAATATTATGTCACATTTATGCCTAAATATAAGCAGTGTTAGATTCTTAATATCCTATACGTGAGTATACTTTTATGAATATACTTTTATTATTGATGCAAAGTGTACTGAATGTGTAAAACTTCAAAAAAAATAACATTTTCCAGTTCCTTATGGACTCATTTTAAGGTACTGTGTTATAAATAAGTACCATTTCAGCAGAGAAATTGGTAGAAAATTGTTTGAAGGAATGGTTTTCTTTTGAAAATAAAGCGAGTATTTAATCTGAACCTTAGTTACTGACATAAAGGAGACTAACGAAGAACTGAAGTGCAGACTTGAATTTTAAGCAGTGTGACATGGGGCTTTGGGCAGACCCGCTTGGATTTGATTATTGGCTTTGTCAGTCTGTAAGCTGGACAGTCTGCAAAATGGGGACAGTAATGCCAATCTCACATAGTCCTTAGTGAGGACTAAATGAAACAATATATGTAAGTACCTTGTAAGTACTGTAGTGCTTCTGGAGAGATGCAGGTCCAGGCTGAGCATCCCTACTCAAAATATTCAAAATCTGGGCCAGATTTGCTGGCTCACACCTTTAATCCCAGCACTTTGGGAGGCCAAGATGAGTGGATTGCTTGAGCTTGGGAGTTCAAGAGCAGCCTGGGCAAAATAATGAAACCCTGTCTCTACAAAAATATTAGCCAGGCATGGTGGCGCACATCTGTAGTTCCAGGCTGAGGTAGGAGGATTGCTTGAGCCCAGGGGGCTGAGGCTGCTGTGAGCCATGATCACACCACTGTACTCCAGCCTGGGCAACAGAGCAAGACTGTCTCAAAAAAAAAAAAAAATCAAAATCAAAAATCCTTCAAAATTCAAAACTTTTCGAACTGACATGATGCCACAATTGGAAAATTCTATGCCTGACCTCATGTGACAGGTTGCAGTTAAAACTTTATTTCATGCATAAAATTATTAAAAATACTGGCTGGGTGAGGTGGCTCATAACCAGCAATCCTGGGAGGCCAAGGTGGGAGGATTGCTTGAGTTCAGGAGTTAGAGACTAGCCTGGGCAACACAGCAAGACCTTGTCTCTACTAAAAATCAAAACAATTAGCTTGGTGTGGTGGTGTGTGCCTGTAGTCCCAGCTACTTGGGAGGCCGAGGCAGGAGGATCGTTTGAGCCCGGGGTGTCAAGGCTGCAGTGAGCCATGATTGTGCTCCTGCACTCCAGCCTGGATGACAGAGGGAGACCCTGCCTCAAAAAAGAAAAAAAAAGTTAGTATAAAATTACCTTCAGGCTATGTGTGTAAAGTGTATATGAAATATAAGTGAATTGCGTGTTTAGACTTGTGTCTTATCCCCAGGATACTGCATGATATATATGAAAATATTCCAAAATTCAAAGAAAATCCAGAGTCTGAAACACTTCTGGTCCCAAGCATTTTAGATAAGGGATGCCAACCTCTAATGGCATTCAGGGCATAAGACATTCAGGATGTTAATATGATGTAATAAGCAATGATTTGATGGAGTGGTCATAAAAGAGTGAGACTCATTTTCATGTCTGGATCATGAAATTTGTTAATTTCTGTTGTGTTTTGTAAATTAGTGCACCTACATACTGTATTGAGAGAAGGACTTTAGGATGCTGTTTTTAAGCTATTATGTGAATTGATCTGCTGAGTAACAAGAAACACTTCCAAGTGTTTATATTATCTTTTTTGTGCCTGTAACTGCTCTTTGTTAGAAAAGGGATATTATGTTATCCCCGTCCCCATTTTACAAATGCCGAAACTGAAGCTTAGAGAAGTAATGTAATTATTAATAAAAATATAGAGCTACCGGGCCGGGTGCGGTGGCTCATGCCTGTAATCCCAACACTCTGGGAGGCTGAGGCAGGTGGATCACCTGAGGTCAGGAGTTCGAGACCAGCCTGGCCAACATGGCGAAACCCTGTCTCTACTAAAAATACAAAAATTTGCCAGGCGTGGTGGCACACACACGCCTATAGTCCCAGTTACTCGGGAGGCTGAGGCAGGAGAATTGCTTGAACCCGGGAGTCGGAGGTTGCCATGAGCCAAGATTGCGCCATTGCACTCCAGCCTGGGTGACAAGAGTGAAACTCCATCTCAAAAAATATATATATTTTATATATATATATATATATATATATATATATATATATATATATATATATTTATATATATTATGTATTATATATATTTATAAATTATATATTTATATATTTTGAGATGGAATATATATATACACACACATATATATACACATATGTGTGTGTATATATATATACTTTTTGTATATACGTATAGAGAGAGCGAGAACGCGCATGCGTGAGTAGCAAAACTAGGACTTGACCTTTGTTTTGACTCAGAGTACTGAAAAGCACTATTACTTTTTTTTTGGAGTTGGGGGTCACTTTTCCATGCTGCTCTGGATTTGGATATTGGGACTGGCCCTGTCTTGGGACTGTCATTAATTATGGCCCTTTGCCTTCATTTAAACTTAATGTTTACAGAAAGTTATTATTGATTATATTGTGAGAGTGTTTGATTATAGGTATAGTGTTATGATATGAAGCTTAAGGATTTGATGAAAATACTAATACTCATTGATAATAAAGATTGGTGGTAAGATGGTAAGATGGTTACTCATATTGATAGTGGGAATGTAAATGAGTAAAACTTTTCTGGAAAGCACTTTGGCAGTATTTATTAACAAGCTTTTAAAAAAAGTTATGCATGCCTTTTGAGCTTGTAATTCCATTTCTAGGAATCTTTATTAAAGAAATCAGAGATGTCGAAAGATATTCGTGTTCAAAGATGTTCACTGCAGCAGTATTTAGCAAAAATTAGAACCTTAATGTTCAATAAAAATTAGAGAAATCATGGAAAATTCATAGAATGGAAATAATATACAGTCATCTTAGATGTTTCAGAAGAATTTTAGTGACATACTAATATGCTAACCATATAATAAGTGAAAAAAGGATATGACACTCTATAAAGTATGGTCCCAATTATGTCAAACATGTATGCAAAGAAAAGAAATAGGTGGTGAGATTATAAGACTTGATATTTTTCTCAGTTTTAGAAATGTTCTTTGATAAACAAATTATTTAAAAATAAATCATAGTTTAAAATTGATATTAACAAATATGAGTAGAGTCAGTGACCATCATTTTAACCAATAGTTTTCACTAATGCAGGTGATTGTGAAGTTGTAAATGGATTGTATTTTCAAGTTAGTTTTCACCTCTTTTATTTTGCACTTAGAACATGGTTTCATATGTCCTGACATAAATGATGTTACTATTCCCAGGAAAGCCTTCTTTTCCCCCAAAAGTCCTATTTAAGACAGTATTCTGGAAGAAGAGTTGTATTCGTATTGGTGGTATCATTATCCCGGTGCTACCATCACCTCTTCAGTGGCCACAGGGACAACGAGTAGGCCTGTGACAGCTCCGTCTTTACTTTCAGAGGGAGTCCACTCCTATCTCTGTGGAGTTGAGGTTGGCCTTTGGTAGATAGAGATAGTGAGTTGAATGCTTACGTATTTGGGAAGTGATTTTTTGGTATGGAAAATTATGTGTGTTAAGGTAAACTGAGGCATAAGATTTTAGAGTTTATTTGCACAAACAGCGATTCATGAATTGGGCAGCTTCAAATCAGAAGTGATTCTGGGGCTCCATTGAGGGAAAGTAAGCGGGGGAAGCTTTTGTAGGAAGACTGTGGAAGTAAAACAAAAGATTTGATTGATTAGTTATACAGTTGATCACTACCATTGGAAAGTCCTCAGTTACATAAGTTTGTTGGCTGCTTCTGACTAGATAAGCTTAAGGTTTTTTGTTTTTTTTTTCATATATGCATTTATAAGACATATCTCAAGTTTTGCCTATGTTTGCAAATCAAACAAGGTTAAGGTCATTTATAAGGCCTAACTAGTTTTGTCTGCTTGAATTTTTCAGACCAGGTCTGATTTTTTTGTTTTGTTGTTGTTGTTGTTTTATTTGTTTTTTTGTTTGTTTGTTTTTTGTTTTTTTTTTGTTTTTTTTTCGAGACAGGGTTCTTGCTCTATTGACCAGGCTGGAGTGCAGTGGCACGATCACGGCTCACTGCAGCCTCAACTTCCTGGACTCAAGCGATCCTCCCACCTCTTCCTCCCCAGCAGCTGGGACTACAGGCATGCACTACCACGGCCTCCCAAATTGTTGGGATTGTAAGCATGAACCACTGCATCTGGCCAGGCCTGGTCTGTTTTAATTTATTTTAACAAATGTGAATGTCTGTCTCACTTATTTTATTTTGTGAGAAGAAGATTGAAGATCACGTTTGTTTGGATTTCAGTTTTTCTGATAGCAGTAGTTAGTAAAAATATGAGTGTTAAAATATGATGAATTGTTGCCTTTTACTCTTTTCTAATTATCATATACTTTATAATTGAAATAGTTTCAGGCTGGGCACAGTAATCCCAACACTTTGGGAGGCTGAGGCAGGTGGATCACCTGAGGTTGGGAGTTCAAGACCAGCCTGACCAACATGTAGAAACCCCGTCTCTACTAAAAATACAAAATTAGCCGGGTGTGATGGCACATGCCTATAATCCCAGCTACTCGGGTGGCTGAGGCAGGAGAAGCAATTGAACCCGGGAGGTGGAGGTTGCAGTGAGCCAAGATTGCGCCATTGCATTCCAGGCTGGGCAACAATGGTGAAACTCCGTCTCAAAAAAAAAAAGAAAGAAAAGAAATAGTTTCAGCTTGTACAGTTAAGCATGATGGCCAGTTAGGTTTGTTTTTTTCAAATGCGCATACTGATTCTCTTATGTACAATATAAAAATGTGCATACTGATTCTCTTATGTACAATGCAAAAAATTTACCGAAGTATTTGAGCATATTTAAATTAGGAAAATATCAGGCAAGATGTTTCTTTTGTAAACTACTTCTGTCCAAAGCATTCTGTATATTATCAGAATGAAAAATGACAGCACTTTGTCATCTGTTCAAATTGATATTGCACTCTTTGCAATGACAGCTGAAAAGGCCCACAGGTGCCATATAAAGAGGTGACCATGTTGTCATATTTCATTTCGGCATCCCTCTGCAAAGCCATAATTACCTAATTAGGTTGTTAATTAGGAGATTAGCATTTCACTATATTGATAGAATGCTCTTTACCGGCGTGGGGTGAGATACAGATTTGTCTGCTCTAATTTATAATCTCTGCCTGTTTTGTACTTATTTATTTGCTTAAGATGCTGGTATGGGGCAATTCAGTTTACCTGAGAAACAGTTTACAAGCGAATGAAGCTTTGATCACTGGATT
Organism: Homo sapiens; assembly: GCF_000001405.40. Lineage (NCBI taxonomy): Eukaryota > Metazoa > Chordata > Mammalia > Primates > Hominidae > Homo > Homo sapiens. The sequence goes on along the minus strand of NC_000009.12, from coordinate 125,695,144 downwards.
AAAGTTGCTGAGTTAAAATACGGACACATCCCCAAAATTAAAATAAAAATTCCAAGTTGGTATAACTTGTATTATTGTTAACACAGTCAACAAACACAATAAGAATTCACATTGTTGGTATAAAAAATTCAAAATACAAAAACTTAAGTCTGAACTATGACAGAGATTTATCTATCCTAAACTAGGCAAAATAAATTATTTTAATTATCTTCAATGACAGACCTCTGTCATTTATACTTGGGACTTATAAGAATATGCTAAATGTTTTGAATGTATTTAAGAAACTGAAGCTTGGTTAATAACTTCAGAACAAATATATTGAGTCTTCAGTTTAGACTTCCTTAGATAGTCATGCATCAGGGCTTATTTCATTTGTACCTTCTGTCCATTAGTCTGTGCTTGGAACATTCCCTTCCCACAGTCTTTGCAGTACTGAGGGGCTTATGGAATTTGAAGTATTTCACAGTAACCTTCACTTGGTGAGCTATTTGGAGTAAGCACGGTTTCTATAAAGTGTGTCTAACATTCTTTTGGGAGAGGGGGCGGGGAAAACGATTTCCATACATTTTCTCTGTAGTGTTTGTAATTTGCATTATGCATACTTTTCTGCCTTTTTTTAGTTAAGGAAATTAGGAGTTTCAGAACAATGTTAAGAGCACCATTCCCACTGAGGTAGTAGTTTAGCTTCTTTTGATCGTATTGGTATTGGCATTCAAATTGTAGTAAATGCATGTGTGCTTAAGTCCTTTTTCCCTACAGTTATGAAGAACTGCATTTGTTTTATAGCCGTAATTTTCTTAAAACTTTTTTTTTTTTGGAAATGGAGTCTTGCTCTGTTTCCCAGGCTGGAGTGCGATGGCACCATCTTGGCTTACTGAAACCTCTGCCTCCTGAGTTCAAGCAGTTCTCCTGCCTCAGCCTCCCAAGTAGCTGAGATTACGGGTGTGCACCACCACACCTGGCTAATTTTTGTAGTTTAGTAAAGATGGAGTTTCACCATGTTGGCCAGGCTGGTCTCGAACTCCTGACCTCAGGTGATCTACCTGCCTCGGCCTCCCAAAGTGCTGGGATTACAAGCATGAGCCACCGTGCCCAACCTAAAAAATTTTTAAAAATTAAAAAAAAATTTTAATACAAATAACAGAGAAGGGGTCTTGCTATAGTGCCCAGGCTGCACTTGAACTCCTGGGCTCAAGGGAACTTCCTCCTCTGCCTCCCAAAGTGCTGGGTTTACAGGTGTGAGCCCCTATGCCCGGCCAACTATATATATATGTGTGTGTGTGTGTGTGTGTGTGTGTATGTGTGTATATATATGTGTGTGTGTGTATATGTGTGTGTATATATATGTGTGTATATATATACGTGTATATATGTGTATATACGTGTATATATGTGTATATATACGTGTATATATGTGTATATACGTGTATATATGTGTATATATACGTGTATATATACGTGTATATATACGTGTATATGTGTGTGTATGTATACGTGTATATGTGTGTGTATATGTGTATATATGTGTGTATATATGTGTATGTGTGTGTGTATACGTGTATATATGTGTGTGTATGTATATATGTGTGTGTATATGTATATATGTGTGTGTATATGTGTATATATGTGTGTGTATGTGTATATATGTGTGTATATATGTGTATATGTGTGTGTATATATACATGTATGTGTGTGTGTGTGTATATATATATATATATTTTTTTTTTTTTGAGGCGGAATTTCGCTCTTGTTACTTGAGCTGGAGTGCAATGGCATGATCTTGGCTCACTGCAACCTCTGCCTCTTGGGTTCAAGCGATTCTCCTGCCTCAGCTGCCCGAGTAGCTGGGATTACAGGTGCGTGCCACCACGCTTGGCTAGTTTTTTGTATTTTTAGTAGAGACGGGGTTTCACCATGTTGGCCAGGCTGGTCTCAAACTCCTGACATCAGGTGATCCGCCTGCCTCGGCCTCCCAAAGTGCTGGGATTACAGGAGTAAGCCACTGTGCCCGGCCTGTTTTCTTAATATAAAAATATTATAAGGGGCTTCTCATGCGGATCCCCTGGTGTGGATTAGAATGTTGTGTCGTGCTCTGGTAGGAGAAACTGCTCCAGTGTGTGAGGGTTTGCTTCAGCAAAGCCAGAAGTTCTGATGGGATTTCTGGTACTAGGATTAACCTCCTTCAACTAGAAATGTAGGTTAGTTACCTTTACACAGGTCACGAAGGTATATGACAGTTCTCTTTTTCCCCAGAAGAGAAGACTTGGAAACTGCCATTTTTGCATGAGGAATTTGATGTCTATTTGATGTAATCAACTTATATTACAGATTGTTTAAAAATTTTTATGGTTACTGTTGCCAATTCTGCTTATTAGGTACTTTGTTGGTATCCTTGTTTTGGAATCACCTGAATTAGAAAAAATCTAGGATGTAGCATGGATTCTAGCCTTCCTGTGTTTCTATCCCCTTTCTTTTTTAAAAATTGAGATATAATTCGCATACCATAAAATTCACGCCTCTAAAATGTACAATTTAATGACTCTTAGGATATTCACAAAGTTGTATAACTGTCACTATTAACTAATTCCAGAACATTTTTGTCACCTCAGAAAGAAATCTCATATTCATTAATAGTCACTCCACTTTTCCTCCTCCTGCTGCTGGCAACCATTAATCTACTTTCTGTCTCTATGGATTTGCCTGTTCCAAACCTTTCATATACAAAGAATTGACAGTTTGTGGCCTTTGATATAATGTAATAATTTTCAAGGTTCATCTGTGTTGTAGCATGGATCAGTACTTCATTCCTTTTTATTGCCAAATAATATTCCATTGTATGTCTGTACCACATTTTGTTTATCTGTTCATCAGTTGATGGACATTTGGGTTATTTCTACCTTTTGGTTATTATGAATACTACTGTGAACATTTGTATACAAATTTTCGTGTGAACATATGTTTTTAGTTCTCTTGGGTATATTCCTAGGAGTGGAGTTGCTGGGTCATATGGTAACGCTCTGTTTAACATTTTGAGAAACTGCCAGGCTGTTTTTCAAAGCAGCTGCATTATTTTACATTTCCTCCAACAATGCATAAGGTCAGCCTCCTTTCTGCTTCTATTCTCCTCAGGTTCTGTATTTCTCTGCTCTGGGCTGGAAGCAGCCCTAGGCTCTAGGAATTCCACAAGACTTTTGTTTAAATAGGTGGGAAATGATCCATTTTTCTCTGTTCAGCCAGGTTCATTCTACAAGCATGTGGGTACCAGGCATATATATTGGGCATTAGTGATAGGAAGTCAAATGCCCTTTCCTCTCAAGGACTTTACAGTCCAGCAGTGAACTTCTTACTAGGAAATGCGAGGTGAGGGGAAAGTGAAGAAAGTAATAGCTTATAAATTCATGAGTTTACACAGCATGGATAGCTAACTTCAGGATCTAGCCAAAGATTGACTTTTTTTTTTTCCAGCTTCTGTTTTTTGTTTTTCCTTCAGGCTACCCTTTAACTATTGCTGTTCCTTGGTTTTATCCCTAGGTTACTGTTCTTCTTACATATTCTCCCTGGGCAAAATTCACATCTATGGATTTACCTGTCACTTACATGTTGATGTCTCCCAAGTTTGCTCAGACCTTTCTCCTGGGCTCTCAGGTTTGTGTTTTGATGGATCTCTATTTGGGTAATCCATAGACATCTGAAGCCCGCTCATTGTGTCTGAAACATAACTCCTCATCTCCCCACTACCTGATAATCTGTTTCTGCTTTTGAGTTTATGGTTTTATTTGTTGGCACTATCATGCAAGCCATAAACTTCCCCCTTCTTAATCCTTCACATTCACTCAGTCACCGAGTTCTACCAGTTTTGTTTTGTTTTGTTTTGTTTTGTTTTTGAGACGGAGTCTTGCTCTGTCACCCAGGCTGGAGTGCAGTGGCGCGATCTCGGCTCACTGGAAGCTCTGCCTCCCAGGTTCACGCCATTCTCCTGCCTCAGCCTCCCAAGTAGCTGGGACTACAGGCGCCCGCCACCACGCCCGGCTAATTTTTTCTATTTTTAGTAGAGACGGGGTTTCACCGTGTTAGCCAGGATGGTCTCATTCTCCTGACCTCGCGATCCACCCACCTCGGCCTCCCACAGTGCTGGGATTACAGGCGTGAGCCACTGCGCCCGGCCTCTACCAGTTTTTATCTCTTAAATATTTTGTGACTGTTTCTTGAATTCGTGCAACCATCTTTCACTGCCTTCAGATTTCATCATCTCTGGGCTATCTTCACAGCTTTATAACTAGTCTTCTGTTTTGAGGAAGTCTCTCTGTAATGCTAGTCAGCAACTTTGAACTCTGTGTAATTTTAGTTACTAAATACATGTTGTTCTGCTGTTTCTTGCTTCAGTGCCTTGTCCGATGCTGTGTCTTCTACCTCGAATGTTGCCTTTTACCCCCTCTTTGAACCTTCCAATTTCTCATCTTTGAAGATTCATCTTAGACCAGGGAATAATAGCAATAATAATAGTAAAGAGTTGTAATGGTGCTTACCATGGGTCAGGCACTGAAGCACATAACATGTATTAATTCATTCAGTCCTCACAACAATCCTATGAGGTAGGCACTGAACTTACTTCCATTTACAGATGAGGAAATAGACACAGAAGTTGTTACTTTCTCAAGGTCCCACCACGAATGCCAGGTCCAGGTTTGAAGCCAGGCAGTCCGAAGATTGTTTGCTTTCAGCCTCTCCTATGCACCCTCTCTCAACTTCTGCCATTCCCTTGGCTTCCTCCACTGCAAAGGGTAGTTATCTTTTCTTTGCTTCTGCAATAACTCACACATGGCCTGATGTTTTTGTTTTAAGCATTTCTGAAACTTCTGAAGTTTCTGATCAGGGAGCCAGGATTATAGATGGTTTAATTGCCAGCTCTCTCTCTTTTTTTTAACTATTAAGGTGGCTAAGTTGGAAATGACTTCTTCCATTATTGTGATCTTAGTCTCTTCTGTGAAGCCTTGTCTGAGTAGCCAGTCTCATTTAGATATTTTTTCTTTGTGTCTCCATAGTACATTGTTTCTTTGAGATGGACTTTTGCTCTTGTAGCCCAGGCTGGAGTGCAATGGCGCAATCTAGGCTCACTGTAGCCTCCGCCTCCTGGGTTCAAGCAATTCTCCTGCCTCAGCCTCCTGAGTAGTTGGGATTACGGGCGCCTACAACAATGCCCAACTAATTTTGTATTTTTTTAGTAGAGATGGGGTTTCACCATGTTGGCCAGGCTGGTCATGAACTCTTGACCTCAGGTGACCCGCCCACCTCGGCCTCTCAAAGTTCTGGGATTACAGGCGTGAGCCACCGCGCCTGGCCCGTAGTACATTGTTATAGACTCCTCTAGCGTTGCTCTCATTCTTCTTCTTCTTTTTTTTTTTTTTTGAGATGGAGTCTCACTCTGTCGCCCAGGCTGGAGTGCAGTGGTGCGATCATGGCTCACTGCAACCTCCACCTCCCGGGTTCAAGTGATTCTCACGCCTCAGCCTCCTGAGTAGCTGGGATTACAGGCACCCACCACCACGCCCAGCTAATTTTTTGTAGAGATGAGGTTTCATCATGTTGGCCAGGCTGGTCTTGAACTCCTGACCTCAGGTGACCTGCCTCCTTAAGCCTCCCAAAGTGCAGGGATTATAGGCGTGAGCCACTGTGCCTGGCCTGTTTTTTTTTTTTTTTTTTTTTTTTTTCCGAGATGGAGTCTCACTCTGTCGCCCAGGCTGGAGTGCAGTGGCGATCTCGGCTCACTGCAAGCTCTGCCTCCCGGGTTCACGCCATTCTTCTGCCTCAGCCTCCTGAGTAGCTGGGACTACAGGCGCCCGCCACCACGCCCGGCTAATTTTTTGTATTTTTAGTAGAGGTGGGGTTTCACCGTGTTAGCCAGGATGTTCTCTATCTCCTGACTTCGTGATCCGCCCACCTCGGCCTCCCAAAGTGCTGGGATTACAGGCGTGAGCCACCGCGCCCGGCTGGCCTGTTCTTTATTGTGGCCATTTGTATACTTGTCTTTAACCCCTTGCTTGACTGTAAGCCTCTTGGGAATAGGGACTATGACTTAGCACTTTATACGCCTAACCCTCAGCGTGTAGTATGTAGTCATGCTTATTGAATGAACTGATAAGTCTCTGTATACCCATACCTAGACTTGTGTGTAAGGAGTGGAGTAAGAAGATTAAGATGAAGTGAGCTTAAGCTGGAAATGTGAGACAGCATATTGTAGTGATTGGGAGCAGGATTCTGGAGCCAGGCTATCCTGACTCCACCTCTTACTAGTTGCGTGGCCTTGGGCAAGTTTGTGCCGAAGTTTACTGATTTATAGAACATGAAGAATAATAGAATCTACCTCATAGCTTTGTGAATGGCAAAAGTGCCTTTATTTTGTTTTTAAGAGATGAGGGTCTTACGGCCAGCTAATTTTTGTATTTTTTTGTAGAGATGGGGTTTTGCCATGTTGCCTAGGCTAGTCTTGAACTCCTGTGCTCAAGCAATCCGCCCATCTCTGCCTCCCAAAGTGTTGGGATTACAGGCATGAGCCACCATGTCTGGGCTGAGAATTGATTATTCGATTTAAATTGTATGTTGTGGAACATTCTCACCCTAATTATAGTATTATAAGCAGAATGAAGCCAGTTCTGTTGCATTATCCTCATGTTTGGTACACTGTGGTGATTTAAAAAATGAGATAGTCTAGCTGGGCATGGTGGTTCATGCCTGTAACCCCCGTACTTTGGGAGGCCGAGGCCGGCAGATCACCTGAGTTCAGGGGTTCAAGACCAGCTTGGCCAACATGGTGAAACCCGGTCTCTACTAAAAATACAAAATTAGCAGGGTGTGGTGGTGGGTGGCTGTAATCCCAGTTACTTAGGAGGCTGAGGTAGGAGAATCGCTTGAACCTGGGAGGTGGAGGTTGCAGTGAGCTGAGACTGCACCATTGCAATCTAGCCTGGATGACAAGAGCAAAACTCCGTCTCAAAAAAAGAAGAAAAAAAATGAGATAGTCTAGAAGGTTCTGAGAAAATACCTAGCAAAGTTAACACAGTTTTGTTAATAGTAACAATAATAGCCATTATCATTTATTGAGATTATGAAAGCTCTATTCAAGTGAAAATACAAAGCACCATTCAAAGTCACATAAAAGTAGTTTGAGGATTATCTGCTGGTTTAGATTATGTTGTTGCTGTCTTTTGTTCATCAGGAGTTGAATTAATGAGTTTGATAGTTGACAGCTTATTTATTTTCCTTCCAAAAAGATATAGCTAGAATAGGAAAAGTCAGTAATATTACATCTTAGATTTATGTCGTGCTTTTTAGCTTTCTGTAAATATCCTTTTTAAAAAATTTAAGAGAGAGGGTCTCACTCTGTTGCCCAGGCTGAAGTACAGTGGCTCAATCATGCTCACTGTAACCTTGAACTCCTGGGCTCAAGTGATTCTCCCATCTCAGCCTCCTGTGTAGATAGAACTACAGGCATGTGCCCCCATGCCTGGTTAATTTTTACATTTTTTTTTTTTTTGTATAGGTGGGGTCTTGCTCTGTTGCCCAGGCTGGTCTCAAACTCCCCGCCTTAAGTGATTCTTCTGTCTCTGCCTCTCAAAATGCTGGGATTTATAGGCATGAGCTACTGTGCCCAGCCTCTATTTTGTTTTATAGCAGCATCACTGTGAAGTGGATAATAGGACACATATTATGGCTATTTCACTGTAGAGGAAACAGTCGGAAGCACTGACTCTCCTAAAGTCATCCCATAGCTAGTCTCTTTAACAGTGACAACTGTTAACTAATCCATAGCAGATGTCACTAATCCATAGCCTGTGACAGCAACGTGGAACTCTAGATGTGGCAAAACACTGTGCCTTTTTATAATCTGTGCCATTTTCATTTTCTGTTAATATTAGTTTCTTTTATGATAACACTCTGAAGATAACTGTATTGTTTATCACCTTTAACTCTTGTAGTTATTGGAACCAGTTTATATACTAGCATTAAAAAAAAAAAAAAAAAAGATGGGCATGGTGGCTCAGGCCTGTAATCCCAGCACTTTGGGAGGCCGAGGCGGGCAGATCACCTGAGGTCAGGAGTTCGAGACCAGCCTTGCCAACATGGTGAAACCCTGGCTCTACTAAACATAGAAAAATTAGCCGGGCGTGGTGGTGGCACCTGTAGTCCCAGCTACTTGGGAGGCTGAGGCAGGAGAATCACTTGAACGTGGGAGGCAGAGGTTGCAGTGAGCTGAGATCATGCTCCTGCACCTCAGCCTGGGCAACAGATCAAGACTGTGTCTCTCAAAAAAAAAAAACCAAAACAAAACACAAAAACGGCAGTAATGCCTGTTCAAATCAGTCAACATGGTTTACCTTTGTAGAGAGTGTACCGGCAACATCTTGATACTATTACAATTCTTCGTCAAAAAAGAGATTCCTCGTACCTCTGAGTTTGAATTATGGCACAGGTGTGGTAGAGGTCAAACATGCAATGAAATTCTGGTCGAGGGAAAACAATGTGAAGCGAAAACACCCAAAACCTTTTAGATGGGCTCCAGGATAAACCTCTCCCAGTCACATCCTCCTTTTCCTCCTCCACACAAGTGACTGGAATGGAATTTAAGAGCTGAAAGTCCCTTCATATAGTTCAGCCATGCTATTTAACAGACATAAGAACAGATGAGGTTTAAAGAAGTCACTTGTCCAAGGCCGTGTAGTTAGGTCCCTGGAATTTAGGTTTCCTGAGTGATCTTTGTGGTAAAGTGTGTTGCTTTTCTTTCTTTCTTTTTTTTATTCTTTTTTCTTTTTCTTTTTCTTTTCTTTTTTTTTTTTTTGAGACAGAGTCTCATTCTTTTGCCCGGGCTGGAGTGCAGTGGCTCTATCTCGGTCCACTGCAAGCTCCGCCTCCCGGGTTCATGCCGTTCTCCCGCCTCAGCCTGGGAGTACAGGCGCCCACCACCACCACACCTGGCTAATTTTATTTTTGTATTTTTAGTAGAGACGGGGTTTCACCGTGTTAGCCAGGATGGTCTCGATCTCCTGACCTTGTGTTCTGCCCACCTCAGCTTCCCAAAGTGCTGGGATTACAGGCATGAGCCACTGCACTGGCCGCTTTTCTTAATTGATATGTGGTTACCCTGAAGACCAGGTAAGTGGAAACATTACTCTGTTGAATTCTTCCACTTGTTTGAGCAAACTTCAAACGCTGAGGAGCTGATAGAAGGAAAATAAATCTTAGATTGTAATGGGAGACCTATCTATTAAACCAGCAGCATGGATGGGGGTCCTTTTTGGTAAACTCACCGGACAGCCCCTTGGGAACAAGAAAGATGCACCTGTTGTCTATTCATTCCACAATGAGCTCTTATTGAATGCCATCCACATATACTAGAAACTGGCAGCATAGTGATGGGTAAGATAGTCAGTGTCTTGAGAGTTTAGAAGTTTAGAAGAGAAAACCAACATGTAAACAGATTATTATTTAAAAAGAAATGCCAATGTGATTTGTTTGCGATCTTTTATTTGTTCTTTAATTCATTCATTCCTTAACATGGCAACCAGGGAGATTCTTTTAAATGTGAGACAGATCATTCACAATCCTCCAGTGACCCCTCATTTCACTTGGAGTAAAAGCTAAAGGCCTTGGGATGGCCTGTAAGGCCCTACAGACTCACCCCAGTCTTTCAGATCTTATTATCTACTACTTGCTCCTTGGCGGACTCCTTGCTGCTCCTTGAGCAGTGTGAGGCATGTTCCCCTCTGCTTGGCAGACCTATTCCCTGGAGTGTCTACATGGCTTGTTCTCTCACCTCCTTCAGGTGTTAAGTCAGATGTCACTTAAGTGAGGCATTCCTTGACTATTTCATTTACTGTTGCAACTCACGGCTCCACCGAGCATTATCCATTTCTTTCTCTGTGCTATTTTTCTTCATGGCACTTCTAACTCACTATATAATTTACTTCTTTGTCCTGCCATGAGGGCAGGACTTTGCCTTCTCTGCTGTGTTTTCTGCATCTAGAACAGTGCCTGGCACATAGTAGGCATTCAGTAAATATTTGTTGAATGAGTAAAATCAACAAACACTTAGCACCTTACTAACAGGCAGTGTGCTGGGTTAATTATTTGGTAGAACTAGGAACTAAGTGCAGTGAAATGGGCACATGGAGGGAGCAAGCCGGGTGCGGTGGCTCAGGTCTGTAATCCCAACGCCCTGGGAGGCCGATGGGGAGGATCGCTGGAATCCAGGAATTCAAGACCAGTCTGGGCAGCATGGTGAGACCTTGTCTCTGCAAAAAATTAGCCGGGTGTGGTAGTGCATGCTTGTAGTCCCAGCTACCTGAGAGGCCAAGTTGGGAGGATCGCCTGAGCCCAGGAGGTTAAGGCTACCGTTGAGCTGGATTTTGAATAATATGTTAGGAGGTAGTCAGGGGAAGAAGGGTGAAAAGGCTTCTCAGACCAAGGGCTAAGTCTTACGGAATGCAACTTGTCTTTATTGTAGTTGTTTGGGCTTTGGCGCTCCTTAGGGTAGACTAAAACTTCAGAAAACAGACTTGAACTTTTTTAGCCCTTAGAAGGTTTAAGCATAGATTTTAGTAGCAAAGTTCTATAGTTTAGTTTCAGTATAAACAAAACAGTTTCGAGGGAGTTGAAAATTACCACAAATTTAGTGGCTTCAAACCTCACATTATTGTGGGGTTTTTCAAGCTTGGCATTATTCATATTGATATTTGGGGAGGTATAATTTTTTGTTGTGGATGCTGCCTTGTGCATTGTACCATGTTTACTAGCGTCACTGGCATCTACCCACTGGCTACTAATAGCAGCCATCTCTAGTTGTAACAGCTGGAACTATCTCCAGATATTGATTGCTTAAATGTCTCCCAGGAAGAAAAACCGGCTTCCATTTGAACCATTACATTATCGTTGATGGAATCTGTAACAACTTCACAAATGATTTGGGGAGAGATTTATACCTTAATGAAGTAACCATATTTATGAATCTAGAATTGGGTAAATTTAAAATTGTTGGTTCCTTAAAAATAATATTCATATGACTCACTGTAATGATGGTAGAAATAAAATGCTATTAAAATAGGTTGGACTCTGGGTGATATAGAAGGGTTTACCAAGGATGAGATACTTCTGTTGGACTTACAAGAATAAGATTTGTATTGGAGAAGGGTACACCTGAAATAAAGGAGTATCATTACCAAAGGCCAGCACATATTCAGTGCAGTCCTGGAAGTTGCAAGATGGGGAGGGAAGAGGTAGTGAAATTGCATTTTAGAGAGCCTTATGTGTTATATGTGAAGGGTTATAGGCTTATTTTCCTTCACTATGCTGAATTCATTTTCTTTTGCTGCATGACAAATTACCACAAACTTATCTGCTTAAAACGATATGAATTTATGATTTCACGGTGAGTCAGGAGTCATGGCTTCAGCTGAGTTTTGTGTTCATGCTCTTAAAGGGATGAAATTAAGGTGTCAGCTGGCTATATAGCTCATCTGGAGGCTCACTAGGGAAAGATCTTCCAATCTCTCTCAGGTTGGGTAGTGGAATTCATTTCCTTGCGGTGATATGACTAAGATCCTCCTTCTCTTGCTAGTGGTTGGCCAGGACCATTTTCAGCTCCTAGAGGCTGCTCTCAGGTCCTTGCCATGTGTAGTTCCATAACATAGCTGTTTGCTTCTTCAAGGCCGGCAAGAAGATCTCTCTGGCTTAGAATTGCTCTCTTCAGGTGGCTAAGATGGAGTCTTATATAATGGAAAGTAATCAAGGAAATGACTGTCCCATCACCTTTGCCATGTTTTATTGGCCAGAAAGAAGCAAGTCAGATTCCACCCACACTCAAGGGTAGGGGACAACAGAAAGGGGCAAGAATTTAAGCCAGGCGCAGTGGCTCATGCCTGTAACCCCAGCACTTTGGGAGGCTGAGGTGGGTGGATCGCCTGAGGTCAGGAGTTTGAGACCAGCCTGCCCAACATAGTGAAACTCCATCTCTACTAAAAATACAAAAAAATTAGCTGGGCGTGGTGGCGGGCACCTATAATCTCAGCTACTAGGGAGGCTGAGGCAGGAGAATCGCTTGAACCTGGGAGGCGGAGGTTGTGAGCTGAGATCGCACCATTGCATTCCAGCCTGGGCAACAAGAGCAAAACTCCGTCTCAAAAAAAAAAAAAAAAGAATTTAAAATTCTATCTACTGGGTCCACCCTCAGAAGATCCATGAAGGCAGTGGCCAAAAGTCTTTATTTTTGCTCAGCAGTGTATCTTTGGTGCCCAGCATGTAGTAAGTGCCTTATAAATATTTGTCAAATGAATGAAACCAATGAATGAATATTTGGTAGACAATTGAGTGCTAGTTACAGCTTAAGCTCCTAAACCGGTAATTTCACATTGAGAAACAGTCTAGTTCTTTTGGCATTATTTATATTCTTCAGTTTAGGTAAAACTAGTAAACATTTTGACCCAAGATCTTAAAGTAAAACGTAAAATTGTTTATTTTCACAAGTGTCAGTCAAATCTATTATGTCAGAGAGACAACACCCATTGGAAAAATAATTTAGGGGCCACATTATACCGAACTGGCAGATTTCTTGTAACAGCTGGAAATGTTGGCAGGTTTGAAGTTTTGGGGGTGGTGGGTGGTTAGGTTGTTTGAAGTTTCACAGCTATTGCTAGCACATAAACATTATTTCAAAACACTTTGAAAATACAGATTGTTTTATAATAGCTGAATAACAGTATTTTATTCTAACTTGTGCTTAGAACTTTATAGTTTAGTGTGGTTTATACTTAACAGTTCTTCAACCTTATAGGAAACATCTTTTGAGTAAAATTTAGAGTTTTGAGTTGTCCATTGATAAAGTGCCATTTTATCTGTACAAAATGACATTTCTGATACCAAAGTCTATGTTTTTCCACTAGATCCTTGCCATTCAAACTGAGGTTAAGAGAGTCCTAGGATGTGCCAGGGTGTAGTGGAAGCTACAAAGTAACCATGGTACATTTTCCTGAAGTATCAATTTTAGTGATGTATTTGAAGATAAACATTTTTTTTTCCTGTTAAAACAAACATAGGGGAGGGGCACAGTGGCTCATGCCTGTGATCCCAACTCTTTGGGATGCCAAAGTGGGAGTATCGCTTGAGCCCAGGAGTTTGAGACTAGCCTGGGGAAGATGACAAGACTCTTGTCTCTACAAAAAAATTTAAAAATTAGCTGGGTGTGGTGGTGCTTGCCTGCAGTCCCAGGCTGGGGTGGGAGGATCACTTGAGCCCGGGAAGTCAAGGCCGCAGTGAGCTGTGATCACACAACTGCACTCCAGCCTGGGTGACAGAGCGAGACGCTATCTCTGTAAACAAACATACATAGGTGCAGTGTAGTATAAAATAGAATACAAAATATGAATGAATTCTAAAAATAAATTTCTTATGGTGTGTTACTGTAGGTGGCTCCCCTAGGTTGTCTCATACCTTGATTTATGGTCACTGTCCCATGCCCTTCAGGTGTGTCCGTGGAGAAGTGTGAGAATCACTCTACCAGGTTCTTTTTTAACTGGATCTTGGCAGATGTAAGATTCTGAGGCATTTCGAGGTTAGTGGCATAAGACAAGAAAACCAGGGATCAGGGTTCCTTTGTCTGAGGGAGACATTTGATAGAAGAAGAGACTGTGCCTCCTGGTAGGTTAGTGGGAGGCTTGTCCCTGATGACTTAATCACTCATGGGGCCTCAGCAGGACAGCTGGAATGACAGAGATGGCTGAGCTTCTTTCTCCCCATAGTCTTTTACCCCTGACTTTTTCCCATAATTCAGAAGTGGTCCAGAAGAGGCCAGGGCAGAAGCTGCAAGCGCTCTTGAGGCCAAGGTTCAGAATTTCCACAACATTCCTTCCCCTATATTCTGTTGGTCAAAGCAAATCGCAGTGTGAGTCCAGATTCAAGGATGAGGAAATAGACTCCACCTCTTGATGGGAGGAGCTTCAAAAATTGTGGTCTTAAAAAATCTACCTTGTCTCCTTGGGCAAGATACTTAACTCCTTTAAGCCTTAGTTTTGTTTGTTTTTAGATCTATAAAATGAGGATAGTATTAATGCCTACCTCCTGAAGTGGCTGTAAGGATTAAATATGTTGTTACATGAAAAGTGATTAGTACATCTCATGGTAAGAGCTCAGTAAATGTCAACTGTTACTGTTTCACTTGTGTTTCTGCCTAATGAAAGCATAGCTATCCTTAAATACTTCTGCCTTCCTTCCTGAAGTCTTCTGTGATGTTCCTGTCTCTTGGAAAACATGTTGTCTTAATATCTCATTTGGTGGTGGGTTTATCTTGCTTTATGTTATTGTTCCCTATGTATATGACACAGCTCCTCTGCTGAAGTTTGTAAGTAAACTTCTGGAGGGGGCAGGCCAGTATTTATACAATTTTTCATTTAGTGCTGAGATGATTTTGTGAATGAATCTCATTCAAAATAAGATAAATCATTTCTGTTATTTTAGTCTAGTAAGCACTTTTAGTCAAAATATGGAAATAAAAATGTAAAAAGAAGAAACAAACTCTCCAGATATATGGTCTCACAATTTACTGCTTAATGAAATTGGGCATATTCACATGGAGAAGATTTTAATTCCCTGAGGGGGAAAAAAGCTCAATTTTTGCTAGTCCAAAAAATAAATGAAGATTTAATTTAGAGTTAAATTGGAGTTAGAGAAAGAGATTTAAAAGCAATAAAGTGTTTTATTTTAATGGTCACTTCAATTATTTTCGAATTCCAGGAGGTATGAATTCTGAGCTTTAACTAGATCAAAGGATGTTGAAATCTTAGTTAAAAAATAAAAAAAGAGGGTCTGTTGGTTTTTATAAAGGCAAGACGTTGTATATAATAAAAAGCCTTTTTTTCTCCCCTCACTTGTAATCATTCCTTGTTGTGGAAAATAAATGTGAGTGTTCCTATGACACGTTTAAGGACTCCTGTACAGGAATTAGCTTTAACTTGCCTGATGCTAATAGTGTGAAGTCGGGGTACAGTGTGGAAAGGTTAAAAAAAAAAAAAAAAAATCTCGCATCTGCTGTTACATGTTGTTAACTCCCTCAGCAGACATTAAATCATTTCAAGTACAATAATAGTGTGGGAGGTAAATTAACTAACCATTAACAGTCTTATAAATACACAATTAACATGCCAGCATTTATATGGCACATTGATGGGGCAGCAGTAATTTTTGATTGGGAGTTTGCAGACCTTTGTGAAGCCTCGGGCTGTTGCCTATTCTGACAAGTTTTCACAGATTGCAGGTGAGAGATCAGAGGGAAGTGAGCGGGTAGTGTTTTGAGAAAGTCCAGGAAGGGGAATTTCCTTCTAACCATTGGATAGACGTGAGCATTGTAAGTCGTATTGTTGCCTATCTCAGGTCCTTAGAGACTGAAGAAGTATAGGGTGGGCTTGTTTGCTTGTAGTGAGTTATTTGAAGAAATAGAGTATTTCAGGTATAGACTTGAAGTAAAGGTACATGAGTCACTAGGGATTTTAAAAAATATTCCTTAGACGTAACTAGATATTTAAAGTAAACCCTTCCTCTGTGATTTCAGGTCAACAACGAGATAATCACTGAAGTTCCTTTGTTCTGTGAAATTTTGTGACTTTTATTTTTTTGAACAACCATTACATGCACTGATTGTTTCTTGCTGTTGTACAAGCACTGTTGTTAGTGGAGGGGAGCTAAGGGTTTACTCTACTGCATAACACATTTGCTCTCTTATGTCTTTCACAGAGACCCATGGGGGAAATTTCTCTCAGGCCTTAGATACAAATGAGTACAATAGGCTTTTAAAAAGTCGTGTTCAGCTGGGCACGGTGGCTCACGCCTGTAATTCCAGCACTTTGGGAGGCCGAGGTGGGGGGATCACCTGAGGTTAGGAGTTCGAGACCAGCCTGGCCAACATAGTGAAACCCTGTCTCTACTAAAAATACAAAACTTAGTGGGGCGTGGTGGTGCACACTTATAATCCCAGCCACTCAGGAGGCTGAGGCAGGAGAATTGCTTGAACCAGGGAGTCAGAAGTTGCAGTTAGCCAGGATCGCACTGCTGCACTCCAGCCTGGACGACAGTGCGAGACTCCATCTCAAAAAAAAAAAAAAATTGTGTTTATTATGACTATTGTAACTTTGTCCCTCTTTGTTTTGAGAGGCTCTGTGGTGTAGGGAGTAAGATCCCAAGCTCTTGAATTTGATTTTTTATTTCTATGTATTAGCTGTCTGGCTTTGGGCAAGTTTCTTAACCTTTCATTGTCTCAGTTTTTTTCATAAGCCATTATAAATAAAGTTTGGAAATGAGTGTATGTAAAATTATCCAAAATTATATTAAGACGTGATGCCCATCAAAACCTAGTAAAAATTATTCCCATGTTTAGAACATGTTCCTAGTTACCACAGGCAGGTTTCATGATCATTAATGAATACAGATGGGTGTGTAATCTGGGAACAGTATCCAAAGTGCATCTGAAACCACTCTTAGCACTTAGTAGAAACTTAGTAAATATTTGTTGAATATTTATTCATTTGAAGTGTAAAAGGAGACCCACCTAGTATATTAAAAATGCCTGGGCCGGGCGCGGTGGCTCACGCCTGTAATCCCAGCACTTTGGAATGCCAAGGCGGGCGGATCACGAGGTCAGGAGATCGAGGCCATCCTGGCTAACATGGGGAAACCCTGTCTCTACTAAAAATACAAAAAATTAGCCAGGCGTGGTGGCGGGCGCCTGTAGTCTTAGCTACTCAGGAGGCTGAGGCAGGAGAGTGGCGTGAACCCGGGAGGCGGAGCTTGCAGTGAGCAGAGATAGCCACTGCACTCCAGCCTGGGTGACAGAGCGAGACTCTGTCTCAAAAAAAAATAAATAAAAATAAAATAAAATAAAAATGCCTGTGTTGGCCTGGCATAGTGGTTCACGCCTGTAATCCCAACACTTTAGGAGGCCAAGGCTGGTAGATAGCTTGAGCCTAGGAGTTCAAGACCAGCCTGGGCAATGTGGTAAAACCCCATCTCTACAAAAAATACAAAAAGTAGCCAGGCATGGTGGTGTGAGCCTATAGTCCAAGCTACTTGGGAGGCTGAGGTGGGAGAATCACCTGAGTCTGGGAAGTTGAAGCTGCAGTGAGCCGTGATCATGCCTCTGCACTTCAGCCTGGGCGATGGGAGTGAGACCTTGTCTCAAAAAGAAAAAAAAAATTGTGTTATTTTGGGACATCTCTTTCTTTCCTTCTACTGTGCATGGATATCCCTATTGCTTCCATTTTTAGTAAAACAAATCTTTATGCTTTAAAGAACGTGGTGTTAAAAAGTGTGAGAAAGAAGCTGTGAAAAGTGGGAAAGCTTAGGCAAGGTGATATTATTTATCTGTGGCCTAAAGGTATGTAAAAAGGTCTATCTTATTTTATTATTATTATTATTTTTGAGACAGAATCTTGCTCTCTCGCCCAAGCTGGAGTGCAGTGGCAATTTCGGCTCACTGCAACCTCCACCTGCCAGGTTCAAGAGATTTTCATGCCTCAGCCTCCCGAGTAGCTGACACTATAGGTACGCACCACCACGCCCCCCTACTTTTTATATTTTTAGTAGAGACGGGGTTTCAGCATGTTGGCGAGGCTAGTCTCGAACTCCTGACCTCAGGTGATCCACCTGCCTTGGCCCCCCAAAGTGCTGGGATTACAGGCATAAGTGACTGTACCGGGCCTTATTATTTTTTTCAGATGGAGTCTTGCTCCGTTGCTGAGGCTGGAGGGCAGTGGCACCATCTTGGCTCACCTCTGCCTCCCAGGTTCAAGCAATTCTTCCACCTTAGCCTCCTCGCCCAGCTAATTTTTGTATTTTTAGTAGAGATGGGGTTTCACATGTTGACCAGGTCGGTCTCAAACTCCTGACCACAAGTGATCCGCCCGCCTCGGCCTCCCAAAGTGCTGAGATTACAGGTGTGAGCCACTGCACCCGGCCAAAAGACGTCTGGCTGTGTCAGAGAATCAAGAGTTGGTAACATCCAGGGAAGGCATTCAAGGCCTGAAGAGACAGCATTTGTGAAAGTGTAGAATAGCATTTCTAAACCTTGTTCTGTGAAACGCTGTTATACATTGATATGTTTAGTATTCCTACAGAAAACAATATTTATGGATGGAATAAGTTTGGGATATATTGTTACTAGATTCCTCCCTCTTGGAGAGTCATAATACACAAAGTACATAATTTAAAAGCTTTGGGAAGTCCTGTGATGAAACAGCAAGAAGAAAACCTCTTTAACTTGGTTGAATCTGGTGTTTCCTAGACTTTTTAAAAAAACTTAAAAATTTTAAATTGTGGTAAAATATACATGGTATAAATGATAAGTAAAATTTACCATTTTAACCATTTTTAAATGTGTAGTTCATTGGCATTACATACATTCATATTATGGTGCAACCGTCACCACTGTCCATTTCCATAACTTTTCCATCTTCCCAAACTGAAATGTACCCGTTAAATACTTTTTCCCCATTACTACCTTCCTCCAGCTCCTAGCAACTGCTGTTAGACTTTCTGTCAGTTTGACTGCTTTAGGTACCTCATAAATGGAATCATACGGTACTTGTCCTTTTGCGACTGGCTTATTTCACTTAGCGTAATGTTCTCAGGGCTCATCAATGTTGTAATGTGTCAGAATTTCCTGTGTTTGAAGGCTGAACAATATTCCATCGTTATATACCACATTTTGTTCACCCTCTACCATGTATTGTTAATCGCTACTTAGTATTGTGTTGTTTGTATGTGTCATGGCATATGTGTACTATTGTAGGTTCCTTTTAGATTTCCAGTATTACAAATTACTCTGAGATAAATATTTTACACAATTATCTCCTTAGAACAAATCCTAGAAGTAGGATTGCCCAGATAGTATTCATGTTTTATATTTTGGTAAATATTACCAAATTACCGTCTAAAAAGTCCCAGTTTTCATTCCTTCATATTGTGCATGAGAGTGCCCATTTCTCTGAACCCTTGCCAGAGTTAGATTTTTAAAAATCTTTTTGATCTGTGCACAACTGATCAGAGAGTACAATTTGTTTTTATCCGTGATATGTATGTCCTTGTCTTGGAAATCAAACATAGCTTCAAATGATAATTTGCTGCTCTTTGGGAGATTTTTTAAAATATTCTTTTGGGTTTTGAAAAGTAGTCTTGTTAGAATAAGTTGAATAGTGTTCCAAGGGGACAATTTTGAAGGGCACGTTGAAGAGATGCTCTTGTATTACGAAAAAAAGACAATCCTTTATTTATAATCACACACTTACACCTGGCACATTCATATATGACTTATCTCTACAACAAAATTGAATAGTCCTTGGAAGTTAGACAGCAACATTTATTGAACTCCTGCCATGTATAACAGCCTTTGTTGCCAGAAGGAATATGGTGTTATGAACCCTGTCCTTGTGGAACTTATAGTCTAAGTCTTTAAGTACATGTAATTGGAGGTAAAAAGTGACATACACAATAATATGTTTTCTGGGGCAGTCCTGTGGGAGTTCCATATCAGAGCTGGTAGGGAATAAATATTTTTTGAATGAATCATACAGATTCCTTAATGTATGAAGTCATAGTGTCCTAATAGAGAAGATATCTGCTGCTGTTGAGGCATTTGTTCTGGGAGGATAAAGCTGGGAAGTTGGTATGTGCCTTCAGAAGTGTTTGCCCATTCCTCTTATCTTCAGAAGTGATCTATTTCCCTAGAATAGATTTTATTGAGGGCACTTCAGTATACTTTTGTCACTTTGCCTTTTGCCATTTGACTTTTTGGTGCTAGAACACCTATTAAATATCTGATCACTTCTCGGCCTTTTGGCTAAGATCAAGTGTATTAAATGTGTGACTTCTCATTAAAGCCCTTGTTTTTGCAAGGGAGAACTATTCAGTATGAATTTGAAAGCACCTGCCTCTCTACTGGTGACTAGCTGCCTTCCTTTCATGCCAGGAAGATGGCTTATTGTGATTGCTGTAGAAGGATGTTTGCAGCTCTGATCTGTGATACTATGCTTCCACAAATACTCTCATTTATAAATAAATGTGTGGTGTATACATTTTTTATGGTTATAGAGAAGTTTGTATTTTTACAAGTGAAATTTAAATGCTCATTGTTAATTTCATATTTTTTTCTGATCAATATCCTTAAAATGGTAGATTGACACTAATACTTCAGGGACCAGATATCTCAGAAATTTGATGCTTAAAGGAATCCCATGGTATTAGGAGATGTACTCGGTCTGTATTAGGGTATTAACTTTTTGATTCAGGGATACCTTACTCACCTTTGCATTTCCCATTAGCCTCAGAGTAAAATAAGTACTCAAGGAATATATTAAGAGGAAAAAAGTGAAGATTAATGTAATTTGCTTGATTAGAGATGCTCCTCAGTTAAATTTCTTTTTAATCTCAGTATCTTTATTTTAAGACCCACTTTAAGACACATCAGCAGAATGATGTGTTTCCAGACAACAATTTTTAAAACCTTAGTTAACTGTAAGGATTTATTAGCTAGATTTCCTCTCTATGTTCCATTTCTAGAAGAAACAGATTACAAGAAAATCTGGTGTTATAAGTCCTTCTGAAAGTAAGTATCTTCTAGGACTGTTCCTGGAAACATAGTCAATCCAGCTTTCATATTCCTTGTACTTCTCAACAATTTTGCAGGGGCAGGGAAGTCACTCAGATGACTTGCAGTGTCCTCTATCACAAAGGAAGCACAGACTTATTTTATGTGCCACGAACTTACTAAGACAGATGGGATATTGACATATTTTAGGACTACTTTAAGCAAGAATTGATCATTGAAATTATTGATTTTTTATCATTATTATTAATAGCTAACATTTATTTAATTACATGCCATGTATTTTTTTGAGCATTTTACCTGCATTATCTCCTGAAGCTTCCATTTTATAAATGAAGGAAAAAAAAAAGGGAGGCTCAAAAAGGTAAAGTATTTTGACTGAGATCTTATAGCTAACGAGTAATAGGGCCAGGGTTTGAACCCTTTCTGTCTCTAGGGCCTAGTACCTAACCGTTGTCCTGCAATATTTTCTTTGTTGAGTATTTTCACTTAACTGAGAGGGTGCTATCTTGTTACTAGAACAAATATTATTACAGTGTTTTTTGTATGTTTTGTTTTGTTTTGTTTTTAGAAGACAGGGTCTCACTATGTCACCCAGGCTGGAGTGCAATGGTGCAATCATAGCTCACTGCAGCCTTGAATGCTGGGGCTCAAGTGATCCCCCCACTTCAGCCTCATGAGTAGCTATGACTACAGGCATGTCCCACCATGCTCAGCTAATTAAAAAATAATAATTATTATATATATATATTTTTGTAGAGATAGAGTTTTGATTGTGTTGCCCATGTTGGTCTTGAACTCCTGGACTCAAGCAGTCCTCCTGCCTCGGCCCCCCAAAGGGTTGAGAGTACAGGTGTGAATCACTGTGCCCGGCCTCATTACAGTTTTAACAGGACTGAGGAAGCAGTTTTTATAATTAAGTTTCTAAAATAAGAAGTTGATTGTATAGTAGGTAATTTTGATTATAAATTTTATTTTAAAAACACAGGCCAGGCATGGTGGCTCACGCCTGTAATCACAGCACTTTGGGAGGCCAAGGCGGGCGGATCAACTGAGGTCGGGAGTTTGAGACCAGCCTGACCAACATGGAGAAACCCCATTTCTACTAAAAATACAAAATTAGCTGGGCATGGTGGCGCATCCCTGTAATCCCAGCTACGCGGGAGGCTGAGGCCGGAGAATCTTGAACCTGGGAGGTGGAGGTTGCAGTGAGCCAAGATCACGCCACTGCACTCCAGCCTGGGCAACAAGCGCGATACCCTGTCTCAGAAAAAACACAACAACAACAACAACAAAAACACAATACTATCTTGACAGGAAAATATATTCATTGAGCAACATTAATTTGGTGGTACATCATTTTTATAAAACCCCTAGTAACTCTGAAAGCATTGTCTGTGCCCTTTTAAACACTTCACAATCATATGACAGGAGGGGAAATGTAAACTGATGAAATAGAGTTTTGTACTTTAGCACATCATTTGAGGAAAATACAACTTGTTCCCCCATGACCTTATAAAGTAATGAGAAGATTGCATGATAGTGAAGGGAGAAAGAAAGGAAAATATATTGTTTTAACAGTAGTTATGTGCTTCGAGTGGCCTGACTTGTAAGGAGTTGCTGTGATTTGTTTTGCAAGAGTGCAAGCCTTCCTTTCTGATTCTATAGAGATCTCATTGACTAGAGCTGCAGCCCCTAGTGCTTATAAGGATTTCCTTTCAGCTTAGACTAAATCCTTTTAAGCTCCACAGAACAGGGATAAATGTTGATTTTCAAGGTGGCATTTTACTACACTGAATGTGTCTGAAAAATGATTCAGTCATTTTCTGCCTTATTCTTAAATATTTGCTGTGTACATCATGTTTCTAGGTAGGTGAGCTCGTGAAACAATATGAAGAGGAGAAAATAGCCTTTTAAGGAAATTGGCCCACAGAAAGGATGGCCTTCTTGGACAATCCAACTATCATTCTAGCTCATATTCGACAGTCACATGTGACCAGTGATGACACGGGAATGTGTGAGATGGTTCTCATTGATCATGATGTTGACCTAGAGAAGATTCATCCTCCTTCAATGCCTGGAGACAGTGGGTCAGAAATTCAGGGAAGCAATGGTGAGACTCAGGGCTATGTATATGCCCAGTCAGTCGATATTACCTCAAGTTGGGACTTTGGTATTAGAAGACGCTCAAACACAGGTAAACATTGTGTTCTAGTCATGTCTTCTGAGCTTTAAATCAGTAAACAGTCTTATGGAATAATGCATAATATTGGAATAGGCTTAATGGGGGATGTTTCCGGGTATTAATAGGAACATGCATATGTCAGACTAAGAGTGAGTCTGAGCAACATCTCCATCTCTGCGACTGCGAATGGAGAGGGCCTCTAGAATATTATTAGAAGTAGACAGAAGGGGGATAGTGAAAAAGTTGGTTAGGAGAGACATGTTGGACATTTCTAACAAGTCATTGTGTAGAAAGGCAAGTGGACTGGCTTTGAGTGTCTTCACACAGCAACATTAGTCCCAGTAGGTAGACTACCCGGAGACAGATTTCAGGTTGACATAATAAAGAGCATTTAATACAGAGAGGTGACCACCCAAAGAGAGCAGGCACTTCTTGCCCCTGGAGGAATTGTGGGGGAGTGGGGAAATGGGAGGAGACACCTGAGTATTTGTTAGGGCTGGTTTTAGTAGGATTCTATACATAGGGTGTGAGATTAGAAAAGGGGCCCCTGTTTTTGATACTTCGCCTTTATTTTCTTAAATTGATCACCTTTTGATTTTTCTGGCTTGAAAACACTCAACTTTGGTATACACGTATTTAGTCATTAGCTTTAAAAGCTTATTGCCCATTTTCCCACTTATATTTTTTTGGTGGCCTTGTTTCAAGGGGAATGTGATGAACCAAGGACTTTTTTTTTTACTTAGACAAATTATTTAGAATACATATTGTAGTTCTAATATGACAGGTATTCTAGGAGGTAATTTTTTTTAGATAATCAGAAAATATAATCTTCAAATTAGCAGTAACCTGCTAACTCCCAGGAAAGGTAATGGCAAGGAGATATAGTAGAACACTGAAAATACTTACATATTTATTTTCATGGTCCAAATGTAAAACACACATAAAGGAATATTGGAGGTAGAGCTGGATACAATTTACTGTGAAAGGCACATTCAAGTTTTGGTTCAGAATTCAGTATCTGTGACATAAGAATAATTTGCTCTCATGATGAAAATAATTAATAGCATTTCCCAGTATCTAAAGGAACTTTTGTCAAAATAGGATTTGAGTGAAGGTTTGAATATAATTTAGAACCATTGATTTTCAGTTCTCTAGTTGAAACTGACTTCCTTGCAGGTTATTGAGATGATATCTTATATGACAGGTTGAATGTATTTCAGTGGGAGAATGCTGCTAAATTGAGAGCTTTATGATTATATTACTTTGGCTGTACCCTTCACATTTATTAATTGCAATTGAATGTAGTTTTCTTCAGTGTTGGTTAGATATAGTGACATTGTCAGAATGCTCTTCCCAGCATAGTTTAAATTTCTGGTAAGATTATTTTCAGTGTTTCCCTACCACAATGCTAAGGCAGAAGTGTATAATTTCCTATCTTGAAAGAGGCGGAAAAAGAGATGTATTTATTTTCTATTAGCAAAATGCTGGGATAGGAAGCTGAAGATTAGCAAGAGAAAACTGATTTCAAGAGATGGCATCAATTGTGACTTTCTTTTTTATTGTGGTCTCTGTATGCGGCAGTTGTTAAGTGCATGCTGGGTGGTATTTCTCTAAAGGATCAGTTCACTGATTTTTGAAGGTTGATCAGCCAGTGGCAATATAATCACAAATGCATAATTTTAGGTGACTCTTGTTGGAATTTCTTTAGGTAGCACTTAGATGCTAATAATTAATTGAGATTGTAGGTTGTCTTAGTGACCAAAGAATTTACTTTTTAATCCATGCAGCATATCTTAAAATTTTGTAAAAGAAAAATTGTTCTTTTTAAGATTTGACTAATGTTACAAAGATACAAATCATTTATTTTACTACCTATAAACTGTTTCAGCCCACTGAAGAAAAGCTATGCTAATTTATATAGCTTTGACATTTTATAATTTTCATGATTTTTAGATAAAGGATTTTATATTTAAAACTTTAATAGTCTAGTCTGAGTTCATTTATCTTTAATTTTTGAAATGGGTAGAGTAATTCATAACAGTAATTTTATTCCTGTAATGTAATATTCACTTCAGTTCATTTGTGCATTAAAATTCCTTTAAGACCGTTATTAATGATTTATATAATGAAATGTCATATTAATCACAGAAGTTTTCACATTTTATTATTCTCTTCCATGTTAATACTATCTTTATGATCTCTATTAGTGTTTTATATCCTCTAATTTCAATTATAAATCAAGAATATTTTCATGTTTTTGTTGGTATTTGCTTTTCAGGGGTGCCACCTTTAAAATTTTATGACTTTTTCTCTACATATGCAATATAAAACATCTTTATTCATGTAAAGGTAGTTAATTATGTCTTTGTTTATGGTAAACTTTCATTGACAAACTTACAGTTATAATATTTCTTTTCAAGCTCAAAGATTAGAACGACTCCGAAAAGAGAGACAAAACCAGATCAAATGCAAAAATATTCAGTGGAAAGAAAGAAATTCTAAGCAATCAGGTAAATGGAAATGATTTTAATTCTTAATTTGAGATTTATATATTTAGTTTATTATATAAGAACTTTTATTTTTAATTCATCCTTTTAAATCCTCTGGACTTAGATACCTCTAGTGTTTTGAGCTTTGAGCTCTTTCTCTTGTGTGCCTTGACCCTCTGAAGCTATATGCTCTTTAGTTCTTGGCTTTTTGGCCACCCTTCACTCTGGGTCACAGGGATTGATGTGTGCAGGGGACATTTTTTACAAGCTGTCATGTCAGTATTTTTTTCTGATTTTTTAAAAAAATATAGGCCAAGGAGTACCCTATGATTTGATTTTTATTATTATTATTTTTTTTGAGATAGTGTTTCACTCTTTTTGCCCAGGCCGGAGTGCAATGGCACGGTCTTGGCTCACTGCAGCCTCTGCCTCCCCGGTTCAAGCGATTCTCCTGCCTCAACGTCCTCAGTAGCTGGGATTACAGGCGCATGCCACCACACCTGGCTAATTTTGTATTTTTAGTAGAGATGGGATTTCACCATGTTGGCCAGGCTGGTCTTGAACTCCTGACCTCCAGTAATCCACCCACCGTGGCCTCCTGAGGTGCTGGGATTACAGGCATGAGCCACTGTGCCCAGCCGATTTTTTTTTTTTTTTTTGAGACGGAGTCTTGCTGTGTCACCCAGGCTGGAGTGCAGTGGTGCCATCTCGGCTCACTGCAGCCTCCGCCTCCCTGGTTCAAGCAATTCTCCTGCCTCAGCCTCCCAAGTAGTTGGGACTACAGGTGCACACCACCATGCCTGGCTAAGTTTTGTATTTTTAGTAGAGATGGAGTTTCACCATGCCAGGCTGTTCTCGAACTCCTGGCCTCAAGTGATCCACCTGCCTTGGCTTCCCAAAGTGCTGGGATTATAGGCGTGAGCCACTGCGCCCAGCCCCTGTGATATTTTGGATGAGTTTCCAGGTTACAGATTTCTCTTGGCAGTTCCAACCTAGACTTTTCCTTGCCCCATTAGTGGGCCTAGTAACAGTCTTTTTTGCATATATGCAAATTCTTTTCCCTTAGTGTAAAAACCATTATGTTGCTGGTATTATTAGCATTTGCTGTATATTTTCATATAGTATGTGTATAAAGGCTGGCCATATTATATACTTTCAAAGCTTCAGTCTCAGCAAGAAGAAAAGACTTGGGGAGAAAAACAATTTCAGAAATAAAATGCTATTAAAATATTTTATAGTGGTTATATCATGTTTCCTAGACTTTCTCTTTTTCTTCTCCTTTAAAAGAAATATCTGCAGTCTGTCTTCTGTATCCTCCCAGCACCTCCCAATATCATATCGGCATGTAATAGATGCCTAATAAATATTTGTGGATTGGCTCCATTGTTACACAATAATTATAAGTCTAATAATATTAAGGTTTATTATACTAATAGCAGCCTCTACCTCGTGCTCTACTAGGTACTTTACATGCATTACCTCTATTGCAGTGATCTTGCAAGGTGTAGGTATCGTTGCTATTGTTTACAGATAAGACAAAGGCTCAGGGATTTGATGAACTTGCCAAAGTTACCCAACATGGAGGGAAGTGTGATAATGAGATGTTTTGTGTCCAGCTCTGCCTGCATATAAAGGCCAGTCTCTCTGCGCTAAATCACTCTGTAAAGTGCTTCTTGATTTCTCATACTATGGTTATAAACTCAAGTATCCTTAGCAGGTATGATTTTCTTCATGACTGCTACTAAGTGATGACTGTGTAGAACCAGAAGTCCCAATTACTTGTTTTTCTTACTTATATCTCATTCTGACTTGCTTGAATGCAGTAGTTCTTGAATTTCTCTCTAGTTTTACTCTGAATACTTTCAAAATCTCACGAGGCTAGCCCCTTCTGTTGATCAAGTTAATGTTTCTCTTTGTTGTATTTAATACAAACTGAAAATACTTTATATCACTTATCTTATTCACTTTTTTCAAATTTTTTATATATCTTAAAGCAGTTCTTATTAATCTCTTCTTGATCAGTGAATACAGAGCAAGTTTATTTAAGCTCCTCTGTCTCTCCAGCCACCCTTTATTTGCGTTCTTCACTTCCATAGCTTAAAAAATTATAAATAAAACGCACAGTGAGGCCAGGCACTGTGGCTCACACCTGTAATCCCAACACTTTTGGAGGCCAAGGTGGCAGATCAGTTGAGGCCAGGAGTTTGAGGCCAGCCTGGCCAACATAGTGAAACCCCATTTCTACTAAAAATACAAAAAATTAGCCAGGAGGCAGGCAGATCACTTGAGGTCAGGAGTTTTAAGACCAGCCTGGCCAACATGGCGAAACCCTGTCTCAACTAAAAATATAAATTAGCTGGGCATGGTGGTGTGCGCCTGTAATTCTAGCTACTCAGGAGGCGGAGGCATGAGAATTGCTTGAACCTGGGAGGCAGAGGTTGCAGGGAGCTAAAATCGCGCCAGTGCACTTCAGTCTGGGCAACAGAGCGAGACTGTGTCTCAAACCCAAAAATACGGTGAATAGAGTACATCAAATATAGGTGCATCAGTCCCTTTTACAATGTGAGAAGTAAGTTCTTCAGCTTAAATTTTGATACATCTAATAAATAGAGGATTTTATTTGCTCCCCCACTTATTTTTTAAAGTCTAATCTACTTTAATTTTTGTTCATTGTTTCACAGAATATGCTGGAGAAATAGTTATGTCACCTTTTGCTTTCATTTGTAACCATACTGTCCATTGTAGACATGTACTTCTTATACTTCTCTCCTTCAGTTTCCTTCTCTCTCTTTTCTGTGTCTCACGGATTTTGATAATTGAGCCTGTGGTCTTACTTCTGGAGAAGCTCTTCAATGTGTATGTTCATGCTTGAACTGTTATTCCCTGATTCTGGCCAGACCAGCAGCCTGCCTGGTAGTCATTCCTGATGGTTAGAGTGAAACTTATCAATGCACAAAAGAATGTCTTTGGATTCTCCCTTAGGCTGGGTCCTATCATTAAACCATAGCTTGGCACTCTGGGTGTATTGAAGCATGCTAGAAAAGTGGAATCAGCAGTCCACTAAACATCTACCTGGCAAACTGAGCAGCCATCCTTTTTTTATACATCTCCCACAAACGTACTCTCTCAGCAAGAAATGCCACATCTAAATCTTTTTGATCTTTATTGAGAGTTTTGGATGGGTAATTATTTATTCATTCTCTGCTTTTAAGAATTGGGGGTCTCACTGTGTTGCCCAGGCTGGCCTCAAACTCTGGATTCAAGTGTGTCAACCTCCTGAGGAGCTAGGACTACAGGCACATGACACCATACCCAACTTCATTCCCTCATTCTTTTTCTATTATTTATGCTTTGCTAAAATCCTTTCATTTGTTTTTCTTATCTTTGTTTTATTTCATTCCCCACTAGAAGAATCATCATTCTAAACAGGATGACCACCCTGGAAGTATTCTTCTTCCACAATTATTCTGTCAACATCCAGTTTATCCTTTAAGACACAGCATAAGGGCAGCCTTTTCATAGAGGAGATAGAGGGTTTGTGGAGACCATCTAGTCCATACCTCAGTTCTTTATGAACTTACTGATCCATGTGCCATGAGACCACATGATAAATGAAATACCTTAGAGTAAGATCCTTGTAATATTCTTGTAACTAAAACTGCATGGATAGATAAGAACATGGTGTCATCAGAAGGGTGCTTTGTTAGGAATAATGTCATATTAAGATCCAAATATCTTTAATTTTATTATTTTAAAATGGTATTGGTATTTTATTCTGTACATAATTAGTTATTACCCTTACTCATTGAATCATTTAACAAGTATTTCTTTCATAACTCCTGTGTGCCTAATAATTCTGTGCTGAGCTCTAGGAGGACTACATGAATCCTCTCCTCAAGAAGTTCGAAGTCTAATAGGCAAATAAGGCTTCTTATGCATGAAGTTAAATAATAATGCAAAACAACAATGTAGCTTATTTATATCAATTATTTACATGTACCTGAAGTTTTGTGTAACTTCTATTATTGGTTTCTTAAGTAATGATTCCCAAATACAATGGAGGTATAAAAATCAGAACTGCATCCAAAAGTGCATGTTATAATAACATTCCCTATACATTTCTAGGCCTCACCTGTGGAATTCTTGATTTAGTAGATGGGGGTTGGGGCCCACAAAGTTATGTTTTTTTTTTGTTTTTTGTTTTTTGTTTTTTTTGAGCAACAAGGCTGTTTATTTCATCTGGGTGCAGGCGGGCTGAGTCCGAAAAGAGTCAGCAAAGGGTGGTGGGATTATCATTAGTTCTTATAGGTTTTGAGATAGGTGGTGGAGTTAAGAGCAATGTTTTGGGGTCAGGGGGTGGTTCTCACAAAGTACATTCTCAAGGGTGGGGAGAATTACAAAGAACTTTCTTAAGGGTAAGTT
Organism: Homo sapiens; assembly: GCF_000001405.40. Lineage (NCBI taxonomy): Eukaryota > Metazoa > Chordata > Mammalia > Primates > Hominidae > Homo > Homo sapiens. The sequence goes on along the minus strand of NC_000009.12, from coordinate 125,665,416 downwards.
ATGGTTTTCAAAAGGTCCCTGGGTGATTCTGATGAGTAATCAGCTCAGGGTATATAGTATGTTAGCCACTAAGTTTATTTATTTCTTTTTTGTTTGTTTGTTTTTGAGACAGAGTCTCCTTTTGTCACCCAGGCTGGATGGAGTGCAGTGGCACAGTTTTGGCTCACTGTGACATCCGCCTCTGGGGTTCACACAATTCTTGTGCCTCAGCCTCCCTAGTGGCTAGGATTACAGGCGTGTGCCACCATGCTTGGCTAATTTTTTAAAAAACATTTTTAGTAGAGGCAGGGTTTTGTCATGTTGGCCAGGCTGATCTTGAACTCCTGGCCTCATGTGATCCGCCCGCCTCGGCCTCCCAAAGTGTTGGGATTACAGGTGTGAGCCACTGTGCCTGGCCTATTTCATCTTCATTCAAAGCCAGTAAATTAGCTGTTAGTATGTCTCTTTTACAGGTGAGAAAACTGGTGCTCAGAGGCCAAATAACTTTCCCAAGTTACTTGTAAGTAGTAAGTGGTGAAGCCAGAATTCACCTCCTGGACAGTTTGACCCCAAAGACTTTATAGTCTTTCTACTCTGCTCTGCTCCCTCCCATATCATTGGCAGAAAGGAGCTGCTTCTGAAGCTTTGGGTATTGAGGAGTCTTTGGTGTTCTCTTGTTCCGTTCTTTTTCTTTTCCTTTTTTTTTTTTTTTTGAGAGTGAGTCTTGCTCTGTTGCCCAGGCTGGAGTGCAGTGGCACGATCTCTGCTCACTGCAACCTCCGCCTCCCAGATTCAAATGATTCTCCTGCCTCAGCCTCCCAAGTAGCTGGGATTACAGGCATCTGCCACCACGCCTGGCTAATTTTTGTATTTTTAGTAGAGACGGGGTTTCACCATGTTGGCCAGGCTGGTCTCAAACTCCTGACCTCAAGTGATCTTCTCGCCTCGGCCTCCTAAAGTGCTGGGATTACAGGCATGAGCCACCACACCCAGCCTACCATGATAAATAGGACATTCTTCCTCATACCTTTGTTATTGGTCTTTTGTAAATAAATCTGTTATTTTATTTTTATTTTTTTTTATTTTTTTTGAGACGGAGTTTTACTCTTATTGCCCAGGCTGGAGTGCAGTAGCATGATCTCGGCTCACTGCAACCTTTGCCTCCAAGGTTCAAGTGATTCTCCTGCCTCAGTCCTCCAAGTAGCTGGGATTACAGGTGCCCGCCACCATGCCCGGCTAATTTTTGTATTTTTGGTAGAGACGGGGTTTTACCATGTTGGCCAGGCTGGTCTCGAACTCCTGACATCAGGTAATCCACCCTCCTCGGCCTCCCAGAGTGCTGGGATTACAGGTGTGAGCCACCGCACCTGGCCGAAATCTGTTATTTTAATATATTTGTTTTGTATCCCGCTGCTCCCTAAATTCTTATAGTTCTAGTATGTTCCATGCATAAGTTCTGATACACATTCTCATCTTCTGAATGCTATAGTGTGTGCTTTTTCATAAAGCTGATGATAATTAAATTTCCAGGCTATTTATTTTTTTAGTTTTGTGTTTGTTGGTGAAGTCCAACTGTTTATATTCGTCAGGACTTTTTAGTTGCAAATAACAAAAAGCAGCTTGAAGGAGGGCTCTCAAGAAGTATAGTCTGCCTGATGAATGGCTTGAAACCAGAAGGAAGGGCTCTCATGACTTCCCCCATCTTGTCTTGGCTTCTTTCTGCGCATCTGCTCTCTCTGTCCTCCCTTCCTATACCCTACCCCAGCAACTTTTTCTACTTCTCTGGTCCAGACTTATTCATTCAACAAATATTTATTATTAAAAAATAATAAATTATTCCTTCAACAAATAGTGAACAAGACAAAGTCCTTGTCTTCATGGGGCTTATATTCGATTGGGGGTAGATAAACAGTAAACATAATGTGCCAGAATGGGTAAATGGCATGGAGAAGAATATAGCCAGGTAAGGGGGATAAGGAATGCTAGGCAGAGAATTTTGCTATTTTGTGTAGGGTGGCCAAGGAAGGGCTCATTAGGAAGGTACTGTTTGAGTAGAGATCTAAAGGAAGTGGAGGAGTGAGTCATGCATATATCGGGAGATGAGTGTTCTAAGAGGAGGAAATAGCAAGTGCAAAGATTCTGAGGCAGAAACGTGCCTGGTGTATTCAAAAAATAGAATAACAAGGCAGGATGCCTGTTGGTTAGAGCACAGTAAGCACGGGAAGAGTGGGATCAGAGAAGTCAGTAGTGGGGTTCCTAGTTATGGAGGGTCTGGTAAGGAATTGTATTTTTTCTCTGAGGTGATTTGATCAGAGTAGTGATGTGATATGTGACTTCTTTTCCCCCAGTTTAAATTTCCTTAAAAAAAAACTTTTTATTGTAGAAAATTTCAGACATACACAGAAGTAGAGAGAATGGTTTAATGAACTCCCTTCACTCATCTGCCAGCTTCAACAATGAACAGTACATGGCTGGTCCTGTTTGATTTATACATTTTACTACCAGCCCTCCCAGATTATTTTTAAGCAAATCCCAGCTACTATATGATTTCATACCTAAATACTTTGTATTTTTAACATATAAGGAAACTGTGGCACTACTACTCTTCAAAAAATTAATATTATTTTAATATTCTCTATATCATTTAAAATTATTTATGTTAATTATTATAAAGAAATGTTTAATAATTACATTGAAAAACATTTAAAATAATTTCTTTATAAAGAAAAATTTTATTTTTATTTTTATTTTTTTTAAGACGGAGTCTTGCTCTGTCGCCCAGGCTGGAGTGCAGTGGCACGATCTTGGCTCACTGCAAGCTCCGCCTCCTGGGTTCACGCCATTCACCTGCCTCAGCCTCCCGAGTAGCTGGGACTACGGGTGCCCGCCACCACACCCAGCTAATTTTGTGTATTTTAAGTAGAGACAGGGTTTCACCCTCTTAGCCAGGATGGTCTCGATTTTCTGACCTCGTGATCCACCCACCTCGGCCTCCCAAAGTGCTGGGATTACAGGCGTGAGCCACCGTGCCCAGTCAGGAAAAAAATTTTTGTTTTGAAACAGGGTCTTGCACTCTCACCGGGGCTAGAATGCAGTGGCATGAACATGGCTCACTACAACCTCAACTTCCTGGGCTCAAGTGATTCTTCCTCCTCAGCCTCCCAAGCAGCTGGGACTACAGGCACATGTCACCATTCCTGGCTAATTTTTGCATTTTTTGTAGAGATGGGATTTTGCCATGTTGGCCAGGCTGGTCTTGAACTCCTGGGCTCAAGTGATCTGCCCATCTTGGCCTCCCGAAGTGCTAGAATTACAGTCGGTGAGCCACAGTGCCTGGCCAAGAAATAATTATTTAATATTATTAAATATCCGATTATCGTTCATATTTCCCTAATCATCTCAAATTTTTCTTTTTTCTCTATTGTTTTGTTCATGTTTGGATCTAAGATCCATCTACTACTTTGGTTAATGTCTCATTTTTTAATCTATAGCTTCTCTTTCACTTTTTTCTTATAATTTATTTGTTGAAGAAATTGGGTCATTTGCTGGGTAACAAAGTTATTTAAAATAATTCCCCTCTTTGTAGTTAATCTGCCAAGTCATTATTATACTTAGGTTCATGTATTTCATTTTGCCTTTGTTTTTAGAGGTTATGCTTTTAATTTTCTTTTATAATTATTTAAAACATTGACATGGCTTCAAAGTCAGAAACATAAAGCAAGATAAAGTCAGAGAAATCTAGCTTCACTTTCTGTTCCCTTCACTCTTTTATAGTCATTTTTAAAAAGGTTTTTTGTCCATTTAAAACTATATATAAGCATATTTATATTTATATCCCCTTTTTAGATTAAAGATAGCATACTATACATACTGTTTTGTACAATACTTTTTTTATTTAGTAATATATTCCGAGGATTTTTCTGGAGCAATATATAGAGATAAGCTTCATTCCATTTTACAGCTGCATAATACTCTGTGATACGCATGTACCAGTGCCAACCCATGCCCCGGTGAGGGATGTTTGTTTGTTTTCAGGCTTTGCTTTTGCAAATGGCACCGCAGAGAATAGTTGTATGCATTTTTTTTTAAGTTTTGTTTTACCAGTGTATCTAAGTGGTATTGTTGGGTCAGAGGGTAAATGAAGATGTGATTTTCCTTGATCTTCCGAATTCCGTTTCATAGGACTTTCGCTGTTTCATGCTCCCACTGGTAACATACAGAGTGTCTATGTCCTCAGAGCCTCAAATCTTTAGATTTTTGCCAATCTGATGAAATGTAGTTTTAATTTGCATATCTCTTATGAATGTGGTTGAGAATCTTTCCATTTAAGAGCTGTTTACATTTCTTTTTCTGTGAACATTTCATATTTTTGTCTTATTTTTCTATGTGTGTTGTTCAGTGTCTTCTTTACTTTTAGAATATTTACATATTAGGAATATTGACCTTTATTCTTTCCTAATTTATCATTTGTCTTTTTACTTTTTTCCCATACAGAAGTGTTTTCTTTTCATGTGGTCAGGTTTATCAATTTTTCTCCTCATTCTGAAGTTTGTAACTTGTATTTCAAAAGACTCATATTGGCGGCTGTGTCAGGAAGAAACAAGGGTTGGGGTGAGGAGGCAAGGGCAGAAACAGTAAAGCGGGTTTTAAGGTGATGATAACACAGCGTTGCTAGCGGTTGCCACGGTTCTGAATAGCTTTTGAAGTGTCGGTTGATGGGTAGGATGTGAGAAGTCAGGATGACTCCCAGGTTTTTGGCCTAATAGAACTGAATTGCCATTAACTGAGGAGACTGTGGGAGTGGGAGCTTTGGGGAAAGATCAAGAGTTTGGTTATGGATAGGTAACACTTGAGGTGCCTGGTGGACATCCAAGTGAAAGTGTCCAGTAGAAAGTTGGATGTCTATAATTTCAGGGAGTGTTTAGGGTTAGAAATAACCATTGAGAGGTACTAGCATGTAGAAGATATTTACTTGGGGTTTCCCTTTTTATTTATTTACTTTTTTTGAGGTATGCTTTACATTCGGTGAAATGTACAGATATTAAATGTACAGCTCAGTGACTTTTGACAGACATATACATTTATATAACTAGCATCCCAGACAAGTATAGAGCAATTCTGTCACCCCAAAAAAGTTCCCTCGTGCCCCTTTTTAGTCATTTCACTCCCCAGAGGCAAGCATTGTTCTGATTTATGTCACCACAATTTAGTTTTGCCCCTTATAGATGGTATTTAAAAGCATACGACTGGATGAGATCACCAGTGGCGTGAATGTAGATTGAGAAGAGGTCCAAGTGCTGTGCCTTGGGAAATGCCAGTGATTCAAGGGAGAAATGAGATGAATCAGCAGAGGGACTGAAAGAAGTAGCCTGAGAGACAGTATAAAAGCCAGATAGAGTGGAGTCCTGGGGACCAAGTGAAAAAAATGTTAAAACAGGAGGGAGTGAGGAACCGTGTCAAATGCTGCCAAGACATCTTGTAAGATGAGGATTAAAAATTCACCAACAGATTTAGCAACAAAGGGATCATTGGTGACCTCGATAAAAGCTGCTTTGGTGGAGTAGTGTGGCCTGAATATGCCTACTTGGAGTGGATTTGATTGAATGGAAGTAGAGGGACTGGACAGGAAGAATATAGACAGACATTTTAAGAAGCAGAAAAATATGGTAGTAACCAGAAGGGAGGGAGTATGGGATAGAGAGAGGATTTTTTTTTTTTTTAATGAGCAGTGTTTCAGTACTGTGTGCTGATGTGACTAATTCAGTAAGAGAAAAATTGACAATGGAAGAGAGAGAAGAGAATTGCTGGAGAGCTGTTCATGAGTTGGCAAGAGGGATGGGATCTAGTGCACAAGGGAAGGGCTGGCCTAAGGTAAGGGCAGAGGGAGTTCATCCTCGCTAGTAGGAGGACAGGCAGATAGAAGAGCAGATGAGAGCATGCAAAAGTTCTCTTTGGTTGTTTCTATTCTCCAAGCCTCGACAAAGGAGGAAGAGGGGAGGAGGTGTTAGGTTGAGGAGAGAGGTCTGAGTGTGAATGTCTGAGAATGAAAGGGTTAATCATAGCATCACATTGCACCTAACCCTATTGGTAACAGCTGTGTGAAGTCTATACATTACTTATGTTTGGGATTCCTCAGTTTCTTCATGGAGCTAGTAGTAACATCTCTCTTAGGATCTGTGAAGACTGTGACTGTGCCAGGTGAGGAAAATACCTAGTATTGATCCTGGCTCATAATAGATGCTTAATAAAGGATCATTTCTTTCCCAATTGTAAGCATGAAAGTGGTAATAGATTACAGGTAGAAAAGTACTTCCCATATTTAAAATATTACTTTAATTGAATTATAGTCTAATTCCTCTTCAAATCTGTGTTTAATATGTTGATTATGTCGAACTCCTGTGCTCCAGTGATCCTCCCACCTTGCCTTTCCAAAGTGCTAGGATTACAGGTTTGAGCCACGGTGCCCAGCTGCAGTTACATTTTTTTTTGAAAGTTCTAAGTGACTCTTTCGGAGCTCTGTTCTCTCTCTTGGTTTAATTTGACTATGCTAAAGTGGAATGGGGTTGAACACGTCTATTGCGGATTTTAAAGTCTCAGATTGATTTATTTAAAAACTTTAAGTGTGGACATTTCTTCATAGCCGCTTATCATCTAGCTACCGCCACCTTGATTGATATTCCAATTGATTTAGAGAATTAAATGATCTTTGAAAAGTTACGGAACTTGTCTTGGTTCACTAATGAATAAGAACTGAAGATTCAGATTTAATAATTTTAATCTGAATTATTTCAATCATTCATTCATTCATGCAACAAAATTTATTCAGTGTCTACCTTGTTCATTAGTGCCCTAATGTATAAGAGCCTTGGTCAGGTGCAAATTCTAGTTCTGTTACTTATTAGCTGTGTGGTCCAGGGCTAATCAAAATATTCTAAGCTTGTTTCCACATTGACAAATCTGAGATAACGCTAGTATCTACCTCATAGGCTTGTTATGAGGATTAAATGAGATATATTGACTTGCTAAATAAATGTTAGCTACTGTTACTACACTTGATCTTAGCCAAAAGGCCGAGCAGCAATAAATGTTAGCTACTGTTATTATAAATATCCTTTCTCTTTTTCTCCTCTTCATCTTTGGCATCAAGAGTTTGTACAAGGTGCAACTGGAGAGTGTTAGAGAATTAATATGCAGATCTTGACCTTGAAGAACTAGAATTCCAAAATCACATAATATTACAGGCAGGAGGGATCTTTGAGATTTTCTAGTTTGACAAGCCCAGAAAGGTTTAGAGAAGTGTCTACTGTCACATAGCTTGCCGTTAGTAGCAAAGCCGGGCCAAAGCTCGGGTCTCCTGGCTGTGAGTGCTCTTCCTATAAAATGGCTCCTTTGTTACTTTGTCTGATTCTTCCCCCTCCCTTAACCCCTTCTCTTTCCAAATTGACTATCCTGGCCTGCACGTTCTTCCGTGCTCTGCCTTTTCAGTGCACGGTATATTGTGGGGCTTTCTGCATGTATCCGACCTGAACATGTCTCTGGATGCTCCTTCCTTAAGGTTCTAAGGAAGACTTTTTAGGGAAGGTGGACAAGTTGTCTCTGTGTAATCACAAAGATGTTTTTCTTCCTCTTGTATCACAGCCCAGGAGTTAAAGTCACTGTTTGAAAAAAAATCTCTCAAAGAGAAGCCTCCAATTTCTGGGAAGCAGTCGATATTATCTGTACGCCTAGAACAGTGCCCTCTGCAGCTGAATAACCCTTTTAACGAGTATTCCAAATTTGATGGCAAGGTAAGTAAAAATGAGACTTTGTCCCTTTAAGTAAAACTGTAATTGAGTGGAGTTGTTGTTGGTATTATTATTAGATTTAGGGTTTCAGAAATGCTTTGTAGAATATCAGTTGACAGTTATAGAATGTCACTTACATTTTCTAAGACTTGATGTAAAGGTATGAATTTGGGTTCAGTATTGTTTCCACAGTAATATATTTGGGAGGATTAAAACAAAAACAGTCCTGTGCTCTTTCATTCTCTCTTTCTCTGTGTATAGATATCTCAGGACTGTTGTGTTTTAATCCTCCCCAACACACATATATATATGTGTGTGTATATATATGTATATACATATGTTTATATATATATGAGAGAAAGGGGAGGGGGAGGAAGGGAGAGAGAAATATATATGTGTATATTTTTAATCCGTTTTATCTCCTAAGTATACTTGAGAAGTTGGATTAGTTAGATTGTGATTAATCAAGGTCTAATTGTATTGGGAAAGCCTTGAAAGTGGTTCTGGGAGGCAATTTGCATTGTCTTGGCTGATTATTATAACTGTAGAAATTGTTTGATTATTATAACTGTAGAAATTGTTGAGATCTGAGCTTTATTTCAGAATTCTAGGCTATTGCTTGCATTTCAGTATTTCACTGTAGGGGGATCTTGACACTTGCTATGGAGGCTAACTTTGTTTTTTGCCTGTTTGTGCTAAGTTTGCTGTTATGAAATTAAAGTGTGTTTGTTTTCCTTTTAGAAACATGGCCACTATTTCAGGTGGATCCTAGTTTCATATGCAGCACCCCTTCCCCAACCCCCTGCCTTCTTGTGTCTCTGTGCTGACCTGAGCAGGGCCTTGTTCAGAAGACAGTAGCGGTTGATTTTTGTATTTATTGCCATGATGTTTGCTGTCTGGCAGTGGTGTGGGGTGCTGAGTGATAGCTCTTTGCCTGGAGGTATTGTGTATAATTTGTCTTACTTCAGCGCCATTGCAGTTAATAAACATACAGCTTTTTGCTTATGCTTGATTTTTTTTTTTCATGAGCTGGTTCTGTCACTTGTCCTCTTTGAGCAGAGGTGTTTTCTCTTCGAAAGACTTTTACTTCCTACAATTCAGCAGGTTTCCGTAGGTTTCAGTAAGCATGTATGGCCACTGGCACATGAGGTTATTGATGTTTCTGAGGGATAAGAGCAAAAACTAGAAACAAAATGCATAAGTAATATAAAGGTCCTAATATGCTCTGGAAGTTTCCTCCAAAGAACTTCTGACAGCACTTTTAGTAAGTTATAGACTGTATTGATGTAAAGCTTCTCTTTCGTCTGCCCTTGCTGCTTTCTCCTGTTTTGTGGAATGTAGCATGGAGAAGGAAGTTCCCCCAGGGGACAGGAATGTCAGCCTCTGGAAAATGGCGAGTTGGACTACATAGGATTTAAAAAAAAATACTACAATGATTCATTTAGACATGTGAGAAGTTATTCTTGGGATTAGGGTAAGCAGTTGGAATTTATTTGCTTCCATTGCCTGATACCATCTCATTGTTTGAGGATGTAATTTCTGGAATAGTTGATGTGTGATAATGTGTTTATATCAAAAAATAGCACAGATCTTTTAAAATACTCTATAATTCTCTTTATACCATAGACTTTATTGTTAATTACTTAGGTTCAGATTTGTCACAAGGTTGTGAACTCTGCTTGGTGTGTATATATCTAACTTCTGAAGTACCAGCGGGAAAATAAAAAGTAAACCATCTCCTTAGTCACAAAGGAATTATTCTCGCTAGATGTGTGTTTACACTGAAGGCTCTCAATGCTTTTGTCATAGCAAGTCTATTTGTAATCCACGAAGGATGTGAGTGCAGAGCAGTCACCATTATGCATTGATTAAGAAAGATTTAGATATTGATAAGTCTATCTTATGTGATGCTATTGTATTATTATCTTACATATTACAATTGCTAAAATACAATTAAACCCTTGTTCTCATCTGTTATTTAATATTGATGCATTTGGCAGATATGTAATGAAAATGGCTAATATTTGAAGGATATTGTACTGTACATATTAAATTAGTCTTTCTTTATCTTTGTGAAATGCGTCAATATGATATACAATGACATCTCAATGATTAATAGAGAATTATACTTGAGTCAAGCCTTTTTGTAACCTAGAAATTAAAATGACTATTCAAATAACACCTCAAAATGATCAAATTAGCATTTTGTGATTGCATAATAATGGGATTGTAGTAGTTATAACAGCACCATGGCTGCCTCTAGAGTTAAGATCATGTCAACCCCTTGATAATAAAGCCTTTTCCGTGAGAGTTGACTCTTAATAATTTCCAGATTGATTCCTCCCATAAATCATCTGACGTTCAGCACTAAATTTTTGTTACTGTTGTAACTTAAAATTATTTTATTTTTTTTCGGCTCATATTTAAGAAATGAAATGAGTGTCTTGTTTTAATGATTCACTGTCTTGTCATTGGAACACCATGCTTTTAGCCTCAAATGTAAGGGTTTTCTATGTATTTTGATACTCCAGTTTTTTCTTTTTTTTACAAAGATTTGTTAAAGCCTCTAAAATATGTACAGTTTTTTTCCCCCTCCAAATATTCACAATGCTTTTCTTGGGAATAACTCTTGCCTTATTTACATAATTAACTGAGTTGCTTAGGTCTCTTGGGCAAATAGTACATAATTGGGGAGAGAAGGGGATGGGGAAGAGTTTGGGGTCTAATTAAATATGCTAAAAAACTACTTAATTATGTATTGCCTCAAGAGACTAACTGCTGTGAAATCCTCCTTAAGATTAAACTAGTGTTAGATCTGAAGAAAGGATTTTGCTTTTGCTATGGCTTTACTGTTACATTTTAGTCAAGCAGGCACATATAGTGTTCTTAACAGTTCATGCCAACTGGATTGTTGGTTTTTATGATTCTGAGGGTGAGCATCTCTTAGCTGTTGTGCTAAATTAAAGTGAATATTTCCAAGTAATTTTTGGTTCCTGTAGCTGGTTAATAATTTTATAAAAAGCTTTTTAAAACAGTGGTTGGCTAATAATTTTTTAAGGCATGAAATTGAGAGGGAAAGGCTGTACTTAGGCATGTGCCTTGGTGTAATTTTGACAATTTTTGGGGTCAGGTTTATCATTTTGATATTATTTCTTTAGCAAATTGGTGATGCTCTCTGTGATCTGTTTTAGAGTCTGGGTCTGGATTATCAATAACTGTTTACTGATCATTTGAAAAAAGTTCAAGGTTGATGGCCAAGCAGTTTTAGGGCATGCTTTGGTCAGATCCGCAAAACCAGCCTCAGCCATCTGCCTGAATTCTTAAGCATTGTTGAGAACGGAACCTCTGAATAGCCTCGTTAACAACACAAAACCTCTATTCTAGAGGTTGAGACAATTGGAAAACTTCTTGTGCCAGTCCTTCTGATTTCACTGGATGTGGGAACTGTTGGTTGTGACAAGAGGTTGCTTTGAGGTGATCGGGGAGTGGGCTTTGCTGAGAGGCAAGTAGACATTCAGCACTAATTTACGTGCCTCAAAATATGTGGATTTTCTGCCCTGTTTCTCCACCCGTTTCAGATTAGGTTATGTTTTAAGAAGGAAATCTAACCCTATCCATTTTATGCCATATCACTTTCTTGAGACTCTTTTGCTAGTACATTATCACTATTCTGGTCAAATTGCATTTGCAGATATTATCCTTAATAGACCATCAGAAGTTCAAGTACCCATTTCCTGTCAATACAGTTAGTAATAAAAAAAAAGGGACTGATTAGCAAGTTGTGTCATCTCAGTCAGTTTTTTCACCTCTGAAAGGAGATGGGTGTGAGTTCCTCACAAGCCTCATGAGACCATCAAATAGGATAATGCTAGGATGAAGCATCTAGCACAGTGAGAGGCAGTGTCGTTTAATAAAGCAACCTATTCTGTAGTAAAGCCTCCATTCGAATCCCCATGGCTCCACTTACGGTGTGACTTCAGTCTAGCTACTTAACCTCATGAAGCTTGGGGTTCAGGACACACTACCCCAAAATGTGGCACCTTGGAATATTGAATATCATAAGCTGAAGGAACTTGAGAAATGGCAGGAAGAACTCTGATCTTCCCCTGCCCTTCTCCCCTAAGCAGGTCACAAGGCCCTCATGTGAGACATGTTCTCCCTCTGCCTGGAGGAAAGGAGCATCCTCATCTCCTAAGATGAATCTTAAAGAACAGGGTTTGCAAAATTTCCCCACAGTTTACCACACTGACTTCCTACCTTTTTCCTATCATATTTTCCACATGACTTTCCACTTTTCGTCAAACTTAATATAAAAACCCTCAGATTTAACCGACAGTTTCTTGGGTCTTCGTTTTCTTATGAAGGCTCTATGTCATGTAAAATTTCGGTTAAATAAATTTGTGTGCTTGTCTTTTGTTACTCTGTTTCTTGTTACAGGGGCCTCAGCCAAGCATTTATAAGGGTAGAAGGAAAAAATGTTTCTTCTCTACAAGTTCCAGTCCTGATCTGTGAAAGAAATGATGACAGTGTATCTTCCTCAGGAGGATGAAATGAGCAGGATGTGTTTAGCAGGACGTGTAGCACATAGGAAACACTCAACAAATATCCCACTTCTGCTGCTTTCTCTTTGTAAAGGGATGACACAGGGCACTGACGATGGGGCAGTGACGATGTCTTTCCCACGTACTTCATTATGTGGTTGACAGGATTGAGTGAGAGGGAATGTGTTTTTAAAAGCCAGGATTTTAGAATAGTGTCGTAAAGAAGAAGTACAGCAGAGAGGGTGAAAACGGTCTGCATGTTGAAGTTCAGGGAGTCCAGTGGGGTTTTGGTCCTTCACTAGGAAGATTGAGACAAGTAATTACTTCCTTTGGGTGGGTGGGGGATTGGCTATTTTTTTTAAACTTTTGGTGAGAAAATGGTTCAATATTGGTGATCGCTTGGCAGTTTCTAAAATGTTAAATATCCTACTTTTTGGGCTTAGCTAAATACTATTTTCTAAATATAAGGGGAATGTTTGACTTGACAAGTGCTTGAAAGAGCAAACCAGTTCTGGTTCATATAGACAACTGTGACTTTGATGGTGTTAACTTGTTAGAAAGTAACCATTTCTCTATTAGAAACTGTTTTAATAGGGAAGCTGCAGAGAGCATGGGGGAAGGGATAATTCATGAGTGCTAATTGCTTGGCTGTTAATTTTCATAAGTGTTGATAGAAGCAGTTCCTTAAATTAAACTTTGTTTAAAATGTATCAGGGGAAATATTCCACAATGTCGAGCCTGAAGTGAAAATTAATATGAATGCTGTGGCAATTAACACATACTGGTTAATAGCTTTTAGCAGCATTTTGGGATGATAGTCCTTAAATACATTTTTGCATGCTGCTCTTGTTTCAGCATTGTTCCAGTCTATGTCGGATAATTATGAACAAATGTTTTCTACAATCATTGGCATTAAATAGCTCTCTTCAAAGAAAGTCACTTAAAACTTTGCAGAAAAGCATGAAGCCACCGAGAAATGTTGCAAACTCAGAAAAGGTCAGCGAATTGAAATCACGTAAAAAGAAAAATTGCCCTTAGTGGAAAAGGCACCTCATCTGAACTTGGAAAATATGCTATTCTTGTGGGAATGGTCCCTTCTAATATGTTAAACTACGTTTGCTTCTGGATCTCTTTCCCAAAGAAAAAAAAATGTAGCCTGGGCTTTTTAGTGTTGGCTGTGTTTCTAGAAAGCAGCTTTTACTTAATGCTGCCTGAGCTGAGGCAGTGGCCTTCAGCCTAAGGGTCTTCTGGCCTTACTTCCTTCTCCTTTACCCCCAACCCCTACTCAACTGGTGGGGGTGCGGGGGTAACCATGAATGAAGAAAGAAGTTGGCTGCATAATACGGAAAGTCCACCACTGCTCCTTTCAGTAAGAGTTCTCCAGGGCTTTGCTTGCTTAGTGCCCAGTATGAGATAAATCTAGAGTGACTATATTTTGAATTAGGAGCTGTTCGTCTCAGTTGTTCAGTGGCTTCATTTACATACTTTTGTTTTGTTTTGTTTTTTTGAGACAGAGTCTCTCTCTTTTGCCCAGGCTGGAGTGCAGTCGCACCATCTCAGCTCACTGCAGCCCCTGCTTCCCAGGTTCAAGTGATTTCTCCCGCCTCAGCCTCCCGAGTAGCTGGGATTACAGGCGCCTGCCAACACACCTGGCTAATTTTTGAATTTTTAATAGAGATGGGGTTTCACCATGTTGGCCAGGCTCGTCTCAAACTCCTGACCTCAGGTGATCTGCCCGCCTCGGCCTCCCAAAGTGCTGGGATTACAGGTGTGAGCCACTGCGTCCAACCTACATACTTTTTAAAAGAAAAGTCTCAACATGATTTTAGCAGTTATTCTCCTGGCTACTTATCTCTGTGACTGTATTTTGCTAGTCTTCCTTTCATAGATCAGTTTTTGTTAGTCTATTCTATTTCTAAAAGAAGATGGAGTTTAGATATTCACTACCATTTACATATTCTGGTATATAGTATAGAAGGATCGCCGGGCACAGTGGCTCATGCCTGTAACCCCAGCATGTTGGGAGGCTGAGGCGGAAGGATCACTTGAGCCCAGGAGGTTGAGGCTGCAGTGAGCTGTGATTGCACCACTGCACTCCAGCCTAGGTGACAGAGCAAGATGGTGTCTGAAAAAGAAGGATCAAATTCATTAAAGACATCTCTTTGTGAGATTATTTCCCCCTTACCATTATATTAATTCTCTCCTGTTGCTGTTGCTTCATGTTATACTGAAAATCCCAAGGGAGGACATTGGGATTTTTGTCTTGATGGTCAGTTCGTAATGAGTTAAATAGGAATCACAACAAAATGTTTTCGGCATTCTACTTCTCATAGAAGTTAAATCCTCTATGCTGAGTTCTTAAAACTAACTTCTTCCACCCTGAGCTCTCTGTCTAGGCCTCATTTCTGCAGTTAGCTGTGAACCTTGCCAGTCTGTGGTGGCTTCCTTTGTTGTGGAGCCATCTTCTAAAAATTCCATGAGGTAGAATTCACCATTGGCTTAAGGCTTTTCAAAGGAAGGCAGACTCTTGCCATGGAAAGAACATGTTTGTCAGGCTTGGGTTAAAATCTTTTGATCTGAGAGCTAAAGGGTGAGTAAGAACTAGCTAAGAAAAGGGGGAGGAGAAAGGAACAGAAGGTCTGAGGCAAGGGGAATTTGGCAATTTTGAGGAACCAAAAGAAAGTTGTGTGACTGGAGCCCTAGGGTGAAGTAGATCGTGGTGAAAAGTGAAGCTCTGGGGGAAGACCGGGTATGATTGGTAGAGGTGTTCTCTTTAACCTCATGGCACGGGGAAGCCTTGAACAAGGATTTAAATGGGGAGGTGAGGTAATCAAATTTGTTTTGAAAAGACCCCTGGGGCTGTGCTGCCGAGTATATCCCTGAGAAGGGTTTGTGAGGATAGAGAAACTAATCAAGACATTTTTTGCAGTGCTCTGGGTGAGAGAGTGGTAACTTGGGCTTGCTTGTTAGAATGAAGATGGAGTGAATGAATTCGAGAGATATTTAGTAGTAGGCAAAAGTGGTAGGATTTGATGATGTATGCAGAGAACAGGGTTAGAAGGGGGTTTGAAGGATGATTTCCTGGTCCGTGTCCGGCTTGTGGAGCTGGATGGATAATGAAACCATCCCTGAGTTAGGAAGCACTGAAAGAGGGCTTCTCCCTCAAAGAACGAGGCCATAATTTTACTATCTTGAAGATATCTCTCCAGAGAAATCAAATGACAGCCCAGGGTCACCTAGCTGGGCATAGAATCCAGGTGTTCTAATTCTCAAAGATTCTTATTTTCTTCTTTTCTTTTTTTTTTTTTTTTTTTGAGACGGAGTTTCTGTCACCCATTGGCAGCTGTTTTGGACCTGCTGACTACAGATCATAGACTGTTACCATGTCCTTGAAGACACTGTACATCTTTTTGGGAGGTGGGGTATATCCTATTGTCTGGTTTGTGTTTGGGGAATCTGAGGCAGTGCTTTTTGAGGTGAGAGTGGAGCAAAAAGCCTCTTTTTTGTTCTCGCTTGTCAGCCAGCCTTGAAACTGGCCAAGGAATTGCCTTCAGACGTTAGTCACCTTCCAGACACTTCCTCTCCCATCAGTCACTTCCTCTCAGATGACAGGGATGTGCACTCAGATGCCCAGCCTGACTCACCAGGCCATTCAGAGGAGAAAACGATAGGGTAATTTTATTCTTTTATTTTCGAGAGAGTAATTTTAAATGAGGCAGATGCCAGGTGTCATTTAAGACGTGTTGATTGTAATTGTTGGAGGTTAGGGGACTAAGAGGTAAACAACATGGACGTATTTTTGTTACAATGAGATTACTGTTGTTGTACTACCTTCTCACTACCTGACTAATTACCAGGTTAGAAGAGGGAATCTGGTTGGAATGAATATCGAGCACTGAGGTCTAGCCCAGGAGACAATCCTTGTAGGTATGGAGGGGACTAGGGATGGTGTCATTTTACATTCAGCCTTCTCATCCTGGGGTACTTTGCTCTGCATGGTTTGCAGTAGAGAGATTGTCTTCTCCCTCGAAGAATGAGGCCATGATTTTACTATCTTGAAGACCTCTATCCAGAGAAATCAAATGACAGCCTAGGCTCCACCTAGCTGGGCATAGAATCCAAGTGTTCTAATTCTCAGAGATTCTTATTTTCTTATTTTCTTTTCTTTTTTTTTTTGAGTCAGAGTCTCTGTCGCCTAGGCTGGAGTGCAGTGGTGTGATCTTGGCTCACTGCAACCTCCGCCTCCCGGGTTTAAGCGATTCTCCTACCTCAGCCTCCCAAGTAGCTGGGATTACAGGTGCGTGCCACCACGCCCAGCTAATTTTTGTATTCTTTCTAGAGGCGGGGTTTCACCATGTTGGTCAGGCTGGTCTCCAACTCCTGACCAGGTAATCCGCCTGCCTCGGCCTCCCAAAGTGCTGGGATTACAGGTATGAACCACTGTGCCCAGCTGAGATTTTTATTTTCATTAATGGGGTTCATACAAAATGGAAACTTGATTTCCAGGACTACTAGGCCATGTGTTAGAAGGAACACTGACAGGGAATCAGAAGACTTGAGTGTTAGTCCTGGCCATGCAGTTCCTTCTCTCTGATGTAGGACAAGTAATCTCTCATCTATGAGCCTTGATTTCTGCGTGTTTAGAATCAGGAATGTGGCTTAGATGACCTCTTGGATTCTTTTTGGCTTTAAGATTCCAGAGTTTTGTGATTAGGGAGGTGATTGACATCAGTGAGATGTAGGGGGGTACAGATGGGAAAACTACAACTTTTGAAGAGTTAATCTTTTGTGTATACATTGGAACTTTCCTCTTAATTATCCTAACAGAACAGTGATCTAGGGAGTATTAGCTCCAGGTGAGGGAACAGGCTGAGAGAGAGAAAGTGAGGTGCTCAAGGATTCCCCACTAGTGTGTGGCAGAGCTGGTATTCAGCTCCTTTTTCTCCTATTCCAGTACCACAGCTCTTTTTCCTAGACTCTTGCAGTCGTTGTTATGGCGAAAACAAAAACAGTTAACATTTGAAATTTTTTAAAATTTAAAAACAAAAGTTTTTCCTTTAGCAGTGGACTTGAAACCTGACGGACTGCTTCAGATCTTTTTATCAGTTATATGGATTGGGCAAGTTACTGCATCTTGTTAGCCTTAACTTCCTTACATGTAAAAAAAAAAAAAAAAAAGATATTGGGACTGGGGAAGGGGAATGCTTTCACACGTAGTAACTGGTGTGTGCCTCACAAATGTTTGTTTATTTCCATTGATTTTTCTGGTGTGCAGAGTGGATTCGTTCACACATCTCTATCCATCGAATACATCATTTACTAGGCACCCACACTGTACTGGCTCATTTCAAACATTTATTGCATACCAGCTCTGCACCGTGCACTGATAAATAAAATGGGGCTGACTGCCCTTGGGGAACTTAAAAGACAAGAGCGGCCATATGGCCATCAAGTGGAGAAACTATACTTTACATGAATGATCGTGCCCAGTGCTGAGGACTGTGACAGTGGTCCATGACATTAGGTGCACCTGACCGAGCAGAGGAACAGAACCACGAACAACAAACCAGAGAGCAAATGTGATGGGCACTATAGATGAATAGTAGATGAATACTGTCTACGGCTCGGATCTGAGCCAGTTTCTTATCCTTGGTGTGGTTGTCCGAATTTCAGTTGTATTCCTACAGGCCAGGGAATTCAGCTTTGGTCACTCTTATAATGAAGCCCAGAATGGTACTCTCCACATAGAAATGTGGAAGTTTTTAAAAATGGCAGTGATAAATTTCAAATGTCATTATTCTTTGAGGCTTGCAACTACATGGCAGTATCATAAGAGCTGTGTTTTATTAGTATTTCCACTTTACTTTCTGTTAAACTGAAGTTTAACACCTAGACAAAGATACATGTAAGAAATTTTACAAAATACATGTAAGTTTAGGAAATTTGCAAAATATGCTGCTATGCAACCAAAGATTAAATTGATTTGTTATATGTGCATTTAGCTACAATTCATTTTAATTGTCCGTATGAAGTTAAAAAGTATTAGTGTCAGATAAAGATTCATCACCAGAGCGTGATTTAAGGCTGGTGCTGGAGAACGCAGGCATGTGTTCCGGCAGATGTTTGTATAAGGCGCTGTCTTTCCTGACAGCAGTTAAAAAGTATGGTTATAGTAATCAAATTGTGGTGCAGCGACTCTGAGGCTAGGGCCAGATTGAATTAAAATAGATATAAGATTTATGAATAGCAATAGCTGTGATAAAATTTCACTGCCTTCTTCAACAGGAAGGACTTTTTCCACTGTGGAAAGAAGAAAATCTAATAACCACTTTTCTAAAACTGTGGTTTTGCTGACTTTCATTTTCTCTTCCTAATTATGGTATCAAAACAATAACTTGCTGGGTTCTTTTTTCAACCATGATGACCTTTTTTTCCTCTTTCTATTTTATTAGGTTTCTAGCTTTAAAACAAGTCTTTTTAAATGATGTTATTGTTTTAGTTTAGAAACAAAATTCATAAAATCTAGCCTATGAGATTTAAGCCCCCTTTTAAGGAAGGTTTTATCATTATTACCATAGCTCCATTTTATTGAGTCTTATTTTGTACCAAGTCCTCTAATGGACTTGATATGTAGCAATTTGTTCAGTCCTCATAACATTCCTTACTGTTGTACAGAGAAGGAAACTGAAACTTCACGGAAGGGATAAATGATGGCTAGGCTTTGAAGCTAAATTTGTGAGACTCATGGCCTCCTGATGGCATTGTATTAGTTTTTTGTTTTGTTTTGTTTTGTTTTGTTTTGAAGAGACAGGGTGTTGCTCTGTTGTCCAGGCTGGTCTCCTGGGCTCAAGTGATCCTCCTACCTCTACCTCTGTATTAGTTTTAAATTTATTCTATCCCAGGCATTTATAATACTAAGATCTCTAGTCTTTTCACCACCCAAAGGCTTTGAGGTGGTTCTCAGATTGACACAGGAAAAGCATTTCTTTAATATTCATGAAGTATGTAATTTAAAATATGGGGAATACCTTTGTGTACAGTTGATGTAATATTTGAGGAGCCCATTTTTGGTTAGCATTTTAATACTTCTCAAGATATCATTACTGAATTAATGTTAAGGGCAGCTTTGTTTTATCACAATTATCTCAAAAAATTTTTAAAAATTTTATTTAGTGGCACCTATGGGGAATAATTTTACATGATCGGAACTCTGCCTTCCAGGTGTTTGCATTCCAGAGTCAGCACACTGACAGGGATAAACAAGTGGCCAAGTAGGCAGAGGGTAGTTGACATTGTCTCACATGAGTTGATTATAATGCATTTATTCTATATGGATGTCAAGGAAACTTGGTACTTTTTTTTTTTTTTTTTTTTTTGAGACAGAGTCTTGCTCCATCACGCAGGCCGGAGTGCAGTGGTGCGATCTTGGCTCACTGCAACCTCCACCTCCCAGTTTCAAGTGATTCTTCTGCCTCAGCCTCCCAAGTAGCTGGGACTACAGGCACCTGCCACCACGCCTGGCTAATTTTTGCATTTTTAGTAGAGACGGGGTTTCACCATGTTGGCCAGGCTGGTCTTGAACTCCTGAGCTCAGGTGATCTGCCCGCCTTGGCCTCCCAAAGTGCTGGGATCATAGGCGTGAGCCACCGTACCTGGCCAATTTGGTATCTTTTTAAGTAAAATTAGCTTGAGAAAGAAAAATCTATGTTTGTCATTGAACCTGAGTTGTCTTTAAAACTCCATTGTCATCTGCGTTCTCACTGAGCTTCGTTTCTCAGGTGTTGGGGGAAAGTGTGCATGTGTTTTACTTGAGGCTGGCCACAGTGGAAGGACTCCAGTCACATCCTTTTGTGAGGAGGCTGGGGTTGGGGTTTGCCTCTGTAGCTCTTCTGCAAAGCTAGGGGGCTTGTATTTCTCTCTGCCTGGGCAGAGGCCTGCTCTTCAGGTCCCCCTTGGCTCTAGTGTCCCTTTCAGCTCATCTCCTTTCAGCCTTTCCCCTCCCCTTTTTCTTTTGGTGACGGTTACTTTTTATGCGCAGACACAAAGGACCCAGAATGAATTTGTTTGTCTTCAAAACTCTCCTTGTAGTGGTTTTGAGATTCCTTTCCACCTCCTACATGTTTGAGGGGCTGCCACATTATGACTGATGATTGCGCTATGTCTAACATGCTCTTGAATATATTAAAAAAACACATTTTTCATATTCAATTAGATATACAGAGAAAAATGTTAATATGTAATTTTGATCTTTAAATGCAGTTATGTAGAACTAGAAATGGATATTATCTCTTTAAATGAGACAGCAAGAATAGGTCTGTTGACCATGAATAATTTTTGTCAGTTTTGCTACCCCGGCAGATCCTTCATTAAGCGTTCAGCATTAAATTAAAATAGAACCAGTTTCCAATAGTAATTAACTTGAGTATATTGGGAGGCTATTATTCACATTAAAGTAACCTTTTAATAGCTCTGCCTTTAACTTCACTGCAGGTAATGACTTTAAAGAGCACTTATTAAAAGAGAAATGGTAATGAGCTTTAATAAAGCAGAACAACTTGAAAATTAAGAACCATTTTCTATGGAAAAGGATGTATAGGTGTGACTTCGATATTACATTAATGGTGCTAATAATTCTTTATCTGGTCTCTTAACATTAGCAGTGATTGCAAAGGGACAATTGTGTTGCAAAAATTAATTTTGCCATTTTGGGTTAAAATTGTGCTAATGTGAAATTTTCTGTTTCATGTTTTTTTTTCAAGGACTCTTACTACTACGATAGATGAGTTGCCTACAGTTTGTAATTTTGAACCCTTATTATGCACCCCATCTTTAATGAAAATAACTTAAATGGGCTAACGTAGGTTGTCTTGGACCATCCTGGTAGTTCATACATTAGACACCTGCCTTAGGAGGTTATGAGGTGATTAGTAAAATGTCTATTTTTCTCCTGAAACCTATCCTTCTAAGGACATCCCAGTGGAGATCCATTGCTTTCTGATCTCTCCATTCCCCTCTTAACCTCTTTTGGGGAAGGCTGAATGCTTCCTGAATATTCCACTTTTTAATTGGAGCTCTAATTGAGTTAAGGCTTGTTCTTAAATTTAAGACTTGATATTTCCTGGCTACCTATCCAGTTGATTGTCTTGCAAAAACATGCTTATTTCTGCTTATATTTTCCCAGAAATTTTAAGATGAAGCAAAAATGAAACAACAATAGTATAGAATTGTTTGCCTTTCACATTGGAGAGAGATTAAACTGGAAGCATTTCCCATGTTGGCAAGACCAAAAATTGGCGAAGTTTTCTGGAGGGTAATTTGGTGATATATATCAAAAGCCTAATTATATATATGTCCTTAGACTTGGAAAAAACACATCTAAAAATGTATTCTTAGGAATTAATCAGAAACGTATATACAAATGTATTTTCATTGTGTATTACTGAAACACTGGAAGCAACCTCAATGCCCAATAATAGAGGATTAGTTAAATAAATTATGGCATAGTATCCACCTAATGAATATTACATAATGATTGAAACAATGACATCTATGTCACTTCTTGATATAGAAGGATTTGTATAATATGGTGAATAAAAAGATTAAAAAATAGCATGTATAGGCCAGGCGCAGTGGCTCACACCTGTCATCCCAGCATTTTAGGAGGCTGAGGCAGGCGGATCACCTGAGGTCAGGAGTTTGAGACCAGCCTGGCCAACATGGTGAAACCCCATCTCTACCAAAAATACAAAAATCAGCTGGATGTGGTGGTGGGTGCCTGTAGTCTCAGTTACTCGGGAGGCTGAGGCAAGAGAATTGCTTGAACCCAGGAGGCAGAGTTTGCAGTAAGCCAAGAATGCACCATTGCACTCCAGCCTGGGTGACAGAGTGAGACTCCCTCCCCCCAAAAAAAAAACGCTGGGCGTGGTGGCTCATGTCAGTAATCCCAGCACTTTGGGAGGCCAAGGCTGGCAGATCACCTGAGGTCAGGAGTTCAAGACCAGCCTGGGCAACTTGGTGAAACCCCGTCTCTACTAAAAATACAAAAATTAGCCAGACGTGGTGGCAGGTGCCTGTAATCCTAGCTACTCGGGAGGCTGAGGCAGGAGAATCGCTTGAACCTGGGAGGAGGAGGTTGCAGTGAGCTGAGATTGCACTGCTGCACTCCAGCCTGGGTGACAGATCGAGACTCCATCACAAGAAAAAAAAAAGGCATATATATTATATTTTTGTTAAAATTGATACCAGTAGGCTGGAGGAGGTCCCCAAATGCTGGTGGGACCTCCACCCCAACCTGTGTCCAGGCTCTTGATACCATCGTGAGAATGAATTCAAGGATGAATCAGAAAATAGTGAAAATGTGGAGATTTATTGCAAAGGGAAAAGCACACATTAAAGAAAATGCAGCGTAGGCATACTCCTGCATGTGCAAGGGGATTTGGGGTTGCTACCTTTATGGGTTTCTTTAACTGAGGGGTAGATTATTCCTGACAAAAGGTGAAGATTTCTCAGAACTGTGTTACCACCTATTTTTACACCAAATATGGGTGTTCTCAGAACTGCCTGGTGCTGGTGGGTGTGTGATTTAGTATGTTAATGAGCATATAATGTGGTCCTAGTTGAAACCTAGGTCAAATCCAGCTCCATATTGGGTCTAGTTGGTCTTAGTCAGCTTTGTCCATACTCTGTTTTTCAGGATCTTACCAGCCCATAGCCTTTAGTCATGTGAAACTGCTGCCTGGAATTTTTATTCTCCTGTGTCCACCCTATATTATTCCTGTCTGAAAATAATTATATTCACATAGAAAAAAGTATGAAAGGATGTACACAAAATGTAAAGAGATTACTTCTGACTTTAGTTAGCAATTTAATTTTTTTTTTCTTTTTCTTCCTTCTTTCCTTTTTTTTTTCTTGAGACAGTCTTACTCTGTTGCCCAGGCTGGAGTGCAGGGATGTGATCTTGGCTTACTACAGCCTTGACTTCCTGGGCTCAAGTGATTCTCTCACCTCAGCCTCCCAAGTAGCTTGGACCATAGGTGCATGCCACCACACCGGCCTAATTTTTTA
Source organism: Homo sapiens (assembly GCF_000001405.40). Classification (NCBI taxonomy): domain Eukaryota; kingdom Metazoa; phylum Chordata; class Mammalia; order Primates; family Hominidae; genus Homo; species Homo sapiens. Next base: position 125,642,048 of record NC_000009.12, on the reverse strand, counting down.
AATTAACTAATTAATTTGAGACAGAGTCTAGCTCTGTTGCCCATGTTGGAGTGCAGTGGCATGATCTTGGCTCACTGCAACCTCTGCCACCCAGGTTCAAGTAATTATCTTCTCTCAGCCTCCCGAGTAGCTTGGATTACAGGCATGCGCCACCATGCCTGGCTAATTTTTGTATTTTTAGTAGAGATGGGGTTTCACCATGTTGGTGAGGCTGGTCTTGATCTCCTGACCTCAAGTGAGCTGCCTGCCTCGGTCTCCCAAAGTGCTGGGATTACAGGTATGAGCCACCACGCCTGGCCTATTTTTATAGAGACAAGAGCCTCACTATTTCCCTAGGCTGGTCTTGAACTCCTGGCCTCAAGTGAACCTCCTGCCGTGGCCTCCCAAAGTCCTGGGATTACAGGTGTGAGCTGCTGCACCTGCATATTTAGCAATTTTTATTCCAGTAACTTTTTTTTCTCCCTAACATGAATGTATTGCTCCTTTAATTGTCACAATAATAATGAAACAGAAGATGTTCATGTGGGAAGTTATAAGAAACTCACCCAGTTCTGTTTAGAGAAAAACTGATGGGCTGTTTTTAGATAAAGTTGATTCTGCTTTTTAAAACAATGAAATGTCATTATTAAAAACCAGACATCTGTCAGAATCTGTGAGTGCTGAAAAAAAATGTAAAAACCATACAGTACTCATACTTGACATCTTAAACTATATAGTAATTATCTTTTCTTGATTAAGAAAAGCCATTGACTACTTGTTTGATATTTTTATTAATCATAGATTCAGAAAATTTTGAATGGCTATTATGTGTAGAGTATAGGCACTAAGGGAAGGAGGGGAAATGAGAACTCTGTCCTCAAGATTAACAGATGAAGATAATAATAGTGTTTACTGTTGACCAAATGCTTGCTATGAGCCAGGCAGCATGCATCTAATCTACACAGCATCTAATATACACAGAAATATGATGTGTGGATTATTATTTCTATGTTGAGATACTGGGTCTGATAGAGATTAAACAACTTGCCTAAGATCACACCCTGCTATACGGTAGGGCCAGCTTTGAATCCAGATTATCTTACTTTTGGAGTTTATACTATTTCAGAAGAACCACATGTATTAAAAGAAATATTTCCACACATTTTATTTGCTTGTCAAATACTGTATATGTTAGTAGAATATTAGAGTCTCTAAATTTCCCAACATGTTGCATAAGAAAATAATAGCTTCAGCTTTTTCCAGCTTGGTTCTAGAAGAGTACTCAACTCAGAGACCAGGGTTCTGTTACTTACCATGTCACTTGCTTTCTAAGTGTCTTTGACTTAGAAGACTTTGACTGCATCATCTTACCTTTCTGAGGCTAAATTAACTAGTCAGTAAAAAGAGTGAGAATGGATGAGGTCATAGCCATCATTAGAATTACATAGTATTATGGTCATTATGAGACATTGAGGAATATTTGGAGACTTAAGTGTTCAGGTTTGCTTTATGAGAATACTGTAGGCAAGGTAGATTTTTCATTCATCAAACATTTATTTAATGTTTGTCTTGCTCCTGGCAGAGTAAGTGGTCTCGGGGGTGCATTGATGCAAGGGTAATCCCTGTCCCTCAAGGAGCCAGTTCAGAGTCTGAGATAAACAGAATGTGGCCGGGCATGGTGGCTCACGCCTGTAATCCCAGCACTTTGGGAGGCCGAGGCGGGCGGATCACGAGGTCAGAAGATCGAGACCATCCTGGCTAACACGATGAAACCCTGTCTCTACTAAAAATAGAAAAAATTAGCCGGGCGTGGTGGCGGGCACCTGTAGTCCCAGCTACTGGGGAGGCTGAGGCAGGAGAATGGCATGAACTCAGGAGGCAGAGCTTGCAGTGAGCAGAGATCGTGCCACTGCACTCCAGCCTGGGTGACAGAGCGAGACTCCGTCTCAAAAAAAAAGGGATAAACAGAACGTGATGATCTAAGGACAGGATGATTTGGAAGTACAAAGGAGTCATGCCTATACTGAGGTCTTAGTAGGAGAAGTTAGCGAGTACTATGTCCAGCTTTGAAGGGTGAGGAGAACCTGGCTGGAATCTTTGACTGAGTTTTTCACTGCCTGCCTTGAGGATTCTGCCCCCATGCGCCTGTCTGTGTTCAAGTATATCTCCCCAGAAGGAGAAATAAGCCTCTCACTGCCCTCCTCATCATAACCTTCCATGCAGCTGTCTGTCCTTCCTAGAAACCTATAAATTCTGATTCAGGTCTTTTGTATTAGAAACCAGATACTGTATCTGCTGCCATGTAAACTTCTTTCTCCTGGAAAATTCCTAGGTGTTCTCTTAAGAGCCAACTCAGACGTCACCTCTTCTGTAACATTTCCTTGCCTCATCTGAGAGTGGCCTCCTCCTCTGTACTTCCACAACAATCGTCTCTTTAGAGTACAAATTTGTCTCTTCCCGTGCCTCTCTCCCCCACTTCCCTGTGTACATAGTGCCCAGCATAGTGTTCAGTAGGTATTAGGTGGGACGGAGGGAGAATTTAAACAATTTTAATGATAACGAATATAATAATGACAACAAGCATATATTGAGAATTAGCTATGTGCCAGGCACAATTCTGAGTGCTTTGCATGCATTGATTAATTCTCAAAACAGCCTTGTGAGGAGAGATGATAACCCCCGCAGTGAGAGGTGAAGGAGACTGAGGTATGGGGAAGTTAAACAGCTTGCCTTAGGTCATACAGCTAAGAAGTGGGGAGTCTGCAATTTGAACCTAGGCACAGCTCCAGATAGTGGTTTTTTGTTTGTTTTGTTTTGTCTTGTTTTTTTGAGATGGAGTCTCTCTGTGTTGCCCAGGCTGGAGTGCAGTGGTGCATTCTCGGCTCCCTGCAGCCTCCGCCTCCTGGGTTCAAGCAGTTCTCCTGCCTCATGCTCCCCAGTAGCTGGGACTACAGGCATGCACCACCACACCCTGTGAATTTTTTTGTAGTTTTGGTAGAGACGAGGTTTCACCATATTGGCCAGGCTGGTCTCGAACTCCTGGCTTCAGGTGGTCCGCCCGTCTCAGCCTCCCAAAGTGTTCAGATAGAGTTCTTAAATCTCTATATTTGAAGGGCTCCCAAAGGTCTTCCACTTGTTATTGTGAGGTTAATTCTCAGCCAGATTTTTAAGTGGCTCCATGTTTTCCCGAAGGGGTTGGCCCCAAAGGTGGTGATCGTTCCTTTTGCCCTGAGGTTTTCATAAAATCCTTTTGCAAGTGAATATTTGCAGCTGTAGCCATTTGAGAGACAATGATGTGCTTAGGGACAGAGTGCACTATTCTCCTGATGACAGAATGCTTTATGTGCTGCAGTCTTAAAGGGTGCAGGCCCTGTTTCCTCAGGCCCGAATGATTGAGGGACATGAGTGAGAGTAAGCAAATTGCAGTTTAATCTTGGGCAGATCGAGGTAATTTGTACAGAATAGTGTTTAGACTTGGCTGGGAGAAAGGATGTTGCTTGTAGAAAAAGCAGAAAAATATTAAAGTGTATTTTGTGTGCAAAACAATGGGTCTTTCTGTGAAATCAGTAATATCCAGGGGATTATTTTCAAAGAAGGATTGTTTCCAAAGTGAGACTTAAGCCAGAATTGACTGGAGTACTTTTCTTCTATTTCACCACTCTCTCCCCACAGTGTGTGTCCCTAAGGTCAGCCAGTGATTCCTTCTCAGTGTCTGTCAGATTTGACACTTCTCAGATTCACCAGTCACACTCTTGTTTCAGGACCAAATCACAGCCCATTTATATTACAGGAGCACCTTCCAGGCTGGTCTCTCTGCTTCATGTCCCCTCTCTTTTGGTTTGTCCTGTTCATTGGTGGCCAGATTAAATACTCCCACTGCCCTTCCAAGGTAGCAAAACTAAACTCCTCCACTTGACAATCAGAGCCCTTTCCCTCAGACACTTTCCAATTTTAATTCTTATTGTTGAGTTCAGTTCAACCATTAAGTACCCATTACCAGCTGGGCGTGGGGGCTCAGACCTGTAATCCCAGCACTTCAAGAGGCCAAGACTGGTAGATCACCTGAGGTCAGGAGATCGAGACCAGCCTGGCCAACATGGTGAAACCCGTCTCTACCAAAAACACAAAAATTAGCCAGGTGTGGTGGTGCATGCCTGTAATCCCAGCTACTTGGGAGGCTGAGGCAGTAGAATCGTTTGAACCTGGGAGGCATAGGCTGCAGTGAACTGAGACTGCGCCACTGCACTCCAGCATAGGAAACAGCGAGATTCCGTCTCAGAACAAAAAATAAGTACCCATTACCTACCTACCTTCCTATTGTGGGTATGCTACTTTAATACATCGTTTCTCATTTAATCCTTGTAATAGGCCAGAGATTTTTTTATTCTTGTTTTCTAAATGAGGAAACTAAGAAACAGAGAGGAGAAAACCCCACAGAGGAACTGGCCTGTAGGTGAAAAATAATTATTTGTGAAATGAATGAATAAAAGCAAGCCATTAAGCAAGTTTACACAGTACTTAAATCTGGGTCAGTCTGATTCCAAATCTTCTGTTATCCTGAGTCCCAGCGTGGCCTCACCTCAACTGTTGTATTACCTGACAGTTCTATGACCACAAGTGATTTCTAATTTTTTCATACATCTGGCCCATTTCCTCATTTTTTTTTTTAGAAAACAGGGCAAAACCCATTCTCTTTAGCACTTTGATACTTGAACCACCTTTTATCTGCTCATTCCTTCTGCGCTTGTGCATCATTTACATTATACTTTTTTTATTTTTATTTTTATTCATTTATTTTTTTGAGACAGAGTCTTGCTCTGTCACTCAGGCTGGAGTGCAGTGGTGTGATCTCAGCTCACTGCATCCTTGGCCTCCTGGGTTCAAGTGATTCTCTTGCCTCAGCCTCCCAAGTAGCTGGGATTACAGGTGTGCGCCACCACATCCGGCTAACTTTTGTATTTTTAGTAGAGACAGGGTTTCACCATGTTGGCCAGGCTGGTCTCAAACTTCTGGCCTCAAGTGATCCACCCACCTCGGCCTCCCAAAATGCTGGGATTACAAGCGTGAGCCACCGTGCCTGGCCAGTTTGCAATAAATTTAATTAGATATTGACTTGTGGCATTTCTAATCAGATCATCTGCATGTATGTATGTCTTCTTAGCTAGACACGAGATTTTTGGGCTAAGGTGTGAGTGTGGTGGATTAGGGTAAGACAGGGTTGAGTCCTAGCTTTGCCACTTATTCTCTGTGTGACCATGAGTAAGAAGTTAGCTTCTCTTGGACCCTTTGTCCTCTCCCTCCAGCCTTGCTGGTAGGAGTGGTGCAGATCACCTGGCAGATCATATGTAAGCAAATGCTGCTATAGTCATTGGCACATAACAGATGACCAAGGCATGTTTGTTGATTCATTTTCTCAGTTAATTCATGCTGTTTTAGTTGTGAATGGTCTGGTAGTAGATACACTGGATGCACCTGCCCTGTGTTCATTATTTGGTTTAGAATTTTCTCCTCAAGGATGGTGATTGTTCTGGCACTATTAGATTGACTTTCTCAGTTCACATGTTAGAGAATATGCAGTTATCTGGCAAAAGCCACAGTTACAGAGTTGTTAGGTATGGAGGAATTTTGAATTATCTAATTTGTCTCTATTGTATCTTGATATATATGCGTTAGCTTTTTTTCCTATGTATTTTCAAACCAGTACTTCCTAGTGTTTTTAAAGTGTTTGGTTTCATTTTTTGCTTTCAGTTTTATTTTTTTTCTCTTCTGTATATTAATATGTCCCTTTCAGGATAACTTTCATCTGTTCTAGGCAATGACACCTGCTATTAGGTGTTTTCTGCCTTTGGCTTGGTCCACAGTTGTGCTCATCTTAGAACCAGCCTCCTTTTTTCTGTTGTTCAGCAGCAGTTCCCCAGGGTTCACTCTGACACAAATCAGTGGTGGAGGAAGACTTGGGAATAGGGAATGTGGTCTCTGCCCTGGAGCCGTGTGTCCTTTAGGAGAAGGCACTTCAAAGCAGCAGCTGTTCCCATTACACCAGCCGCAGCTGATACCAGGAGTTCATACATGTCCCAGGTTGAACTGAGCTGCTCTAGTTGAGCCATATATGAGTTAACATGTCTGTTAACAATTTCTATTTAGTTTAATTTAGTGAAAACTTATCAACCCCCTACTTTCTGGGTCCCATGGATACAGACATGAATAAACTGCTACGCCTGCTTTGAAGTAACTTGTAGACTGGTAGGTATGCAAATGACAATAAAGAAGCATTAAGAAATTTCTGTATAAAGACTTACCTTAAAAATCAGAATTTCATGATTGTATCTCTCTTCAAGCCATAGATGCAAAATCATCTTTACATCATTTAGCATGATTTATAGTGTAGGTGTAGTTTTGCATTCTGCTTTTTTACCTGCTTTTGTGTTGAGTTTTTCTTGTTTGTGTAGAATGCAAATAGTGTTTAGATTACATTCCTTTGGGCAGATATTTCAGTTCACTAGTCTCTTTCTCAGACAGGGCTGCTTCATGAACGGTCTTGTGGCAAAAGGTAGGGCGCATTTTAGCAAATAGTAGAGCAGTGATCTCTGTTGGCAAAGGTGCCAGATCAGCCTGAACATAGGGTGGAAGGCTTTTTTCTTGACTTTTTAATTGAGCAGCAGCTGGGGAGCTAAGAAAGAAAAAGATGGTTTGGGAAATGGAGAGAACTCACTGATAGTTCATATCTAGGAGCTTTAATTTAATTTGTAGTATTGGGAAATGTTTCTAATCTTCTGAAAAGGGGCTTGTGCCACAAACGATGTTTGAGGTGAATGGGTCTGTTCTAAGTTCTGACTGTTGGTGTAGACGTTTAAGAGCATCTGGTAAATCAGAGGGTAGGATTAGCAGGACTTGAGGACTACCTGGCCTTAAGGGAACAGTAGGCTTCACAGTAGGAAGGCTGACATTGCTGGAGAATAGCGTGCCATCGAATAAGTGGAAAAAGAGTAAAGATTAGTGCCCAAGAGAATGAGTCCATCATGAGACTGGTTAGCTCTATTTGTTGACTAACTGGAGAGGAGATGACATTTCCTTCCAGTAGATTGAGATGGAGAAAAGCAGAAGACTAGCCATCAAAAGTGTGGATTACTGTCCCAGCTTCTGTTCTTTCCTTGTTGTCATTCCTTCACATGAACTCTTTGAGAGTCTTCACCTGAAAAAAATGGGGACAGTCTCACCTACTTGATGCAGTTACTTTGAAGGTTAAATAGAAGATGCTCGTGAAAGTAGTTTAAAGGCTGCCTACTGTTATTCTACTGTTTTATATTAAGCATTATGTTTTGAGACTTTGACTTTCCATCTCCCCTCTAACCCTTTATCAAGCATTGTCTGGATCATATGCCAAGGAGAAATTTAATCCATACCTAACTTCACCAGTACTCAGTTTGCCCACAGAAAATGGGTTCGTTAAGCTGTGTAAAATTTTTGCTAGTTGGAAGGGAAGTGAAACTATAATTGTTTCAGTGGGATTTTTTCCTCCCCCAAACCTTGTGAAAAATGTATTCATGTGTTTTATGAGACTCCCCCACAAGTCTAATTTGATGACAAGAATTGCTGTTATTGCTAAATTTATTACACGTTCACCTCTTTTCCCTGAGTGACTCATTATTGAGTCCTAGAAATGCAACTGTGTTTTTGTTTAGGAGGAGGTTGTGGTAAGGGAGAACTTAGGGATGACTTTTAAATAAGAGAACTTTGTATTATATTTATCTGTCTGGAGGCAATAAATCTGTTTCAGCAGATTAAATACAGACTTCTTTATAAAGCCTTGTTTTCTCAAACCTCTTATCAGCAGCACTTGGCAGTAATCACACCTACGGAAACTTGTAATTTTCCTCAAGGAGGTGACACTGACAGAATTAAAAATGAAGGAGCCCCCCTGAAAAGCAAGTTCATTACAAATTAACAGTGGTCTTAGCAAAGCAGTGGGCTAAGGCGTGTCAAATAGCGATATGGATAAAGAAACCCAGCATTTTAAACTGTCAGAGCTGGGAGCAAGGCTAGCCTGAGAACAAATTAATCACATATTGTCAAGGCAAAGTTGCATCAAATTAACACATCGGATTCCAGCATATTAATGTCAGAATGCTTTCACCTGATTATTACTGCAAACCATTGCCACTCTTTGAATGCAAAGATATAATTAAATTGCTAAATAGAAAGTGCATATAATATCTCCACATGCATTTAGGATGCATGAGCTGAAAAGTGCACATCCTAGGAAGTGACAGATTCTATTTGTAGGGGAGAAACTTTACTTTTTTTCCCCTTTTATTTACTTGAGAGTACTAGAGTATGAAATTAGAAAAGTTAGTTATGTTATTCATATTCTATATGAATTAGATGAAATACAGGTTTAATTTAACTGATTTGCTACACTGACTATGAGTACATAATTACCTCTGCATTTTTCTGGAAGAGAAATGGGACAATGTTGCAAAATAGTACTTTGCATCAAAATTGCCCATTACACATAATCCTGGTGGTGGATTCGTCATCAGAAAGTGCTTAGGAGAAACTAGATTGGCCATTCTGACAACTGTCTTTTATGTAAGGATTACTTTCTGTCTCAGCTTAATCTAATATGTGTTCTATTATATTTAAAATAAGAATTCAGGCAGAAGCCCAGCTGTGGTTGACCTTTTGGCTCAAGGAGGCAGCCCAGCAGGAAGAACTTGCTTTTTATTAGTCCCTGTTTGTCCCAGGTGATACTTGGGCCAGGCTTTCTGACTTGCTGTCTTTGTTATCCACAATCAGCCTTGCTGTCCCTGTTACTCACACTTAGATTTGGCTACTCTCCCTGTGTCCTCTACCAAGCTCTGTTGGCGCTGTGCATTGAAATCTTCCTTAAATCTCACTTCTTTCATGAAGTCTCCTTCAGCAACTCACACTTCATAGACTTCTCTTTTCAGCTTTGGGATTGAGCGGTCTTGCATTTACAACAGCTCACTTAGCAGAGCTAAAGGGCTTGTAAATTCAAAAAAGGGAAGTAGTGATTGCTAGGAGCCACCATGGGTTTCCTCAGAACCAAGCAGGGCAGAACAAGCCCATTTCTTTCTTGGATAGGGTTGTTAGCTAGATAGAGGGCTGTGGTTAAAATTCTTTGTTCTGAATTTCAGTAAAGCATCAATTTTTGCATAGTATTCTTGCACGCAAGCTGGAGATATTCTCCAGTCACATTGTGGTCAGGTGGACTTTGCACCTGGCTGAGAGACGAGGCACAGAGTGGTGATTAATGGATTTATGTCAAACTGGAGAGCTATCTTTCGTGGCAAGCTGTAGGTCTCTTGTGTGTTCATTGCTGTCAGGGACCTGAATGAGAACATTGATGATAGGCTGATGACACTTGTGGAAGGCAGAAGGCTGGGAAGAATAGCAGGCATGTGCAGTGACAAAGTCAGGGACTAAAGTGGTCTTGACACACCAAAATGATACTTGCACTTAAGTCATAAGATGCAGTCATTTGTGTATGGGGGTGGCAGTGGAAAAGGGGAAGAGGAAGATGAGGTTTAACCAAGTAGCACATGAAAGAAAAGGTTTAGGGTCATGGTTAATTGTAACCTCAGTATGATTCAGCAGAGCCAGGTAGTTAGAAGGAAAACTCATGCATTCATTTCTCAAATATTTCTTGAGTGCCTGTATGTGCCAGGGACTTGACTAATGCTGAGGATACAATAGTGAATGAGATAGTCCCTAATTTAATGGTATGTGTAATCTTGTAGGGAAGTCAGACAATTATAATATAGCATAATAAATGCTATGAGAGGAAAAGTTTAGTATGGTGAGTTTCTTCTTTTTTTTTTTTCTTTGAGACGGAGTCTTGCTCTGTCACCCAGGCTGGAGTGCAGTGGCGTGATCTCAGCTCACTGCAGGCTCTTCCTCCTGGGTTCAAGTGATTCTTCTGCCTCAGCCTCCCAGGTAGCTGGGACTACAGGCATGTGCCACCATGCCTGGCTAATTTTTTTGTATTTTTAGTAGAGATGGAGTTTCACCATGTTGGCCAGGCTGGTCTTGAACTCCTTACCTCAAGGGATCTGCCCGCCTCGGCCTTGCAAAGTGCTGGGATTACAGACATGAGCCACCACGCCTGGCCTAGTATGGTGAGTTTCTTAGAGGAAGGACACCTGGCCTGGGCTTCGCATGGGAGAATATCAGGGAAGACTCCTTAGATGACCCCTAAGCCAAGCCTTGAAGGATGGGAGGAGGTTAGGCAGGAGGCTTCTAGGTAGGTGAAGTGCTGGTGTAAACATCTGAGGTGAGAGATGCTGGTAAATTCTGGGCAATGAAAGTAGTAGGGTATGACTGGAATGTGGAGGCTGAGAGCAGAGGAGGTGAGAGACGAGGCTTGATCAAGAAGAGTTTTGATTTGCTCCTGCTAGTTGTATTTGGAGCAGGAAACTGACATCCTTACGTCTGAATAAATCACCATGGCTGTGGTTAGCAAAAGTAGGGAATTTAGTGTGGTGAGGTATAGTAAGTTCTGTACAACAGACATTTACAACTATAAGTGTCTATTCAGACAAGTGCCACAAGGAGGTGGTAGAGACTAGGAACCGGGTGGGGCATATGAGTTGGGCTTTACAGAATCCATCCAGAGAAGATGTGAACATTGCCTGAAAATAGTAGAAGGGTTCTTGGGTAGAAGATGCTCTGCATGGCTCTGCCAGGCTGGACAGAGCAAAGGCAGTTGTCTTCATTCATTTTATGTTGCTATAACAAAATGCTGGAGACTGAGTAGTTTATAAAACAAAAAGGTTTTTATGGTTCACAATTCTGATGGCTGGAAAGTTCGAGATTGGGCATCTGCACCTGGTGAGGGCCTCAGGCTGCTTTTACTCATTAAGGAAGGCAGATGGGGAGCTGGGGAATGCAGAGATCACATGGTGAGAGAGGAAGAAGGACACGGGGAGGTATCAGGCTTTTTTTTTTTTTTTGAGACAGGATCTCACTGTATCACCTAGGCTGGAGTGCAGTGGTGTGATGACAGCTTGCTGCAGCTTCAGACTCTTGGGCTCAAGCAGTCCTTCTGCCTCAGCCTCTCAGGTAGCTGGGACCACAGGTGCATGCCACCATGCCCAGCTAATTTTTAAAAATTATTTTTTGTAGAGATGGCGTCTCCCTTTGTTTGTTGCCCAGGCTGGTCTCAAACTCCTGGGCTCAAGTGATCAACCCAACCTCTTTTTAATAAGCAGCTGTCTCTGGAACTAATAGAGTAAGAACTCACTTCTCAGGGAAGGTATTAATTTATTCATGAGGGATCTGCCTCCATGATCCAAACACCTCCCATTAGGCCCCATTTCCAACATTTGGGATCAGATTTCAACATAAGGTTTGAAGAGGACAAACATCCAAACCATAGCAGAGGTGTTAATCATCTTTCCATGATTAAGGGTTCAGTGTTGGCTGTTTGTGTCCTAACTCCCTAGACTTGCATTGACATACCAGGGCTGCTGCACTGCTTTGGGCCAAAGATTTCCTCATCTGTAAAATAATAAACCATACAATATGTGAAGGCCAGAGATAGTGTTTTACAAAGCACCTGGTATGGACTTGTGCTGAGTAGGAATCTAGCCAGTTATTGTAGAATCGAGTTATTGGAGGCTGGGCATGGTGGCTGATGCCTGTAATCCCAGAAGTTTGGGCGGCTGAGACTGGGGAATCACTTGAGCCCAGGATTTCAAGACCAGCCTGGGCAACATAGGGAGGCCCTGTGTCTGCAAAAAGAAAAAAAAAAGAAATTAGCCAGGTGTGGTGGCACGCGCCTGTTGTCTCAGCTACTTGGGAGGCTGAGGCAGGAGGATCGGTTGAGCCGGGGAAGTCGAGGCTGCGGTGAGCTGTGATTATGCCACTGCACTCCAGCCTGGGTGACCGAGCGAGAGTTCCTGGACCCTTGACTGTCTCAGAGATTACTAGAGTTAGGTGTCACTGATTCCTGGCCTTGACTGTTATGTTTCTACTTTGTAGGGGTTCTAAGGCCTTAGTTGACCCTAGGCTCAGTGTCCCCTGCCTCTCAGTGCACTTCCATCCTACTTCCCCACATAGTTTGTGAGCTGAAGCATACAAACTAATTTTGATATTCATGTCATTTAAATATGTTTATAAATTGTGTGTTTACAAAAGCCACATTTATTATACTCCAAGGACATCTAAAAGTGACATTTTGTGTTATACATGGCCTTGTCTGCTTCGACTAGTATAGGTGTTTGGGAGTGAACCATGCCTGCATTTCCGTGTCTTCTTTTCTTTTTTATTTTTCAGTTAAAATTGTCAAAAAAACACATAAAATTTACCATCTTAACCAATGTTAAGTGTTCAATATGGTAGTAACTATATGTACGTTGCTGTCAACAGACCTCTCAAACTTCAGTCTTGCAAAACTGAAACTTTATGTCCATTGAACAACTTCCCTTTTCCTCTTGCCCCCAGCCCTGGCAGCTACTTTTTTACTTTGTTTCCAAAAGTTTGAATGCTTTAGATCCCTCATAAGATATATGGTAGTAATACTGGAATCATGCAGTATTTGTCTTTTTCTGACTGGCTTATTTCACTTAGCATCATGTCCTCAAGGTTCATCCATGTTGTAGCATAGGACAGGATTTCCTTCTTTTCAAAAGCTGAATAATGTTCCATTGTATATACACACCACATTCTCTTTATCCATTCATCTTTTTATGGACATTTAGGTTTTCACTTCTTGGCTATTGTGAATAATGGTGTGCTGAACATGGAAGTACAAATATCTCTTTTCAGTACAAATATCTGTTTTCAGTTCTTTTGCGTGTATACCCAGAAGTGGGATTACTGAAATTATATGCAATTTGTAATTTTTTGAGGAACCTCACATTGCTTTCCATCGTGGTTGCATTATTTTACATTTCTACCAACAGTGCACAGGCTTCCACTTTTTCCACATCCTTTGCAACACTTTTTATTTTCTGGTGTGTGTGTGTGTGTGTGTGTGTGTGTGTGTGTGTGTTTTGACAGTGACCATCCTAACAGGTGTAAGTATGGTACCTCGTTGTGGTTTCAATTCGTGTTTCTCTAATATTAGTGATGTTGAGCATCTTCTCATATGCTTGTTGTCCATTTTTACATCTATGCAAGTCCTTTGCCCATTTTAAATTGTTTTTGTTGTTGTTGTTCTTGTTGTTGTTGTTGTTGTTGAGTTGTAGAGTTCATTATATATTCTGGTTAGATACATGACCCCTGATTAGATGTATGGTTTGCAAATATTTTGTCCTGTTGCATAGGTTGCCTTTTTACTCTGTTGTTTTCTTTGCTGCACAGAAGTTTTTGAGTTTGATATAGTCCCATTTGTCTGTTTTTGCTTTGATTACCCATGCTTTTGGTGTCATATTCCAAGAAATCATTGTTACATCCAACGTCATGAAGTTTTCTCCCTTGATTTCTTCTAGAGGTTTTATAGTTTCAGGTCTTACATTAAGCCTTTAATCCATTTTGAGTCAATTTTTGTCTGTGGTGTAAGGATTCACCTTCGTTCTTTTGTATGTGGATATCCATACAAAAGAATCCATACAATTCATTTTCCCAATGCCATTTGCTGAAGAGACATTTTCTTGTCTTAAGTGACTTATAATGAGAACACTTTTCACAGGTGTAAAAGTGACATTTAGAGTGTATCCTTTATGTGGCTCTTGATGATCTGCATAGTGAAGCATTTTATTTAAAGTGCCCCTTTTCCCACCTTGTCACCTGCCCTGTCTTCTTGCCCATTCCATCTTGCCCATTCCATTTTCTGTCATATCTTGTGGGTTGTGTGTGGTGTTCTTCTGCCTGAAATGTCTTCCTCTATAGTGAATTGCTGTTTATCCTTTAAGATTCAGCTCACACATGGCCTCCTCTGCCTCCTACAAGTTCACTACCACAAGCAGTCCTTATGACACTCCATTGTAGTTATATATTTATATGTCCTTTGCTCTCATAGAATGTAAGCTGTGTGTGGACAGGGCAATGTCCAGTTTATCTTTCTAACACCAGCAACTCCACAGACCCTAACATTCAGTAGTCACTTTGCACAATTAAATGAAGTGGCCGCCTTTGTCGTAGAGAATTATAAAATGGTACAAGGCAGGATGCTTCAGTTTGTATGTAACTAACCAAGCTTCTGTCTCCTCATTTCTAAAATTAGGAAGTGAATTAGTTCTCTGAGGTCTCTTCTGGCTCCAACAGCCTATGAAAACAGTGGGAATTCTTACCTGAATGCTTTCAGAGCTTCGTTCCCACATATCCCACAAGATCTACCGTAAAGTAGGATAAAATCGTAACTTTTTGGAGGGTGAGATGGGGTGGGGTTTAAGGAATTATGCCATTCAAGAGTCAGATGAAAAGCTGGGCACAGTGGCACACACCTGTAGTCCCAGCTACTCGAGAGGTTGAGGCAACATAGTGAGATACTGTCTCTTAAAAAAAATAAAAAAGAGTTAGGTGAAGTGTGCTGGCAGGGCCTTCCTAATGTGTTCCGGTTCCAGTGGTTCCCTTTCTCAGTGCAGGCCAGGTGTTCCCATCCCACTCTCTCTGCCTTCACTATTCCCATCTCTAAAACTGGAAAGATTAGAGAGGGTCTTCACTTTATATGGTTCACTATATGTGTGTTTAAGGGGGCAATGAATGTATTTTTAAAAAATATTTTAACATTGGGAAATGAAAAATTAATTTTTACATAAAAACTTTAAAGCCTTAAAAAACTGGCTATTGGAAATGTGCCCAAGATAGAGGCATTTGAATGGCAGTGGGGAGGGTGTGTATCATCTTTGGGGTAGTGTGAAATTTTTTAAGTTATCAGAAGGCGTCATGGATTACAGGTAGTCATGAAACATTGCAGTAGTTTCTGTTCTAATTTTCTGTGATTTTATATTGATGACAATTTCACAGAAGGCTTCAGTGGGATGAGTCCTACTCATTGTTACATATGAATTGCACCTACAGTTTTGTTGGCTTGTTTGATTTTTTAAATTGAATCCTGACTCCACCACTTACTAGCTGTGTGGTGAAAAAAATAAGTGATAAGAAAATCACTTTTCTCTAAACCTTAGTTTTCTCATCTGTGAAAAGGATATGATGATAGTATCTTCTTTTATAAGATTGTACTGATAATTAAATTAGATACATAAGCCTCTTGCATAGTGGCTGACACATCATAAATCTTCTATATATGTTAGTAATTATTGTTAAGTATTTTGGACATGAATATTAATCACACCTCTCTGATCTGACTTTGGAACCTTGAGAGTTAGATGAATAAATCAGAAAAATGGAATTAAATGTATCTACTTTATTATTGGTAAATCTGGTTAGGATGTGCAGCCCTAATCAGGCTTCCTTAATTCCTTCTCCACTGAGTCTGGACCAGCACTCTCCAGTAGAACTTTCTATGATGACGGAAATCCTCTGTGTCTGCGCTGATCAGTGTGGTAGTTACTGGCCACATGTGGCTGTTGAGTACTTGAAATGTGGCCAGTGTGGTGATGGAATTGTGTTTTTAATCTTATTTAATTTAAATTTAAATAGCCAAATGTGGCTAGTGGCTGTTGGACAGTGTAGGTCTAAACATTGGCATGACTCACCCAACAAGAGATTGGATCTGCATAGGAGACAAGCTTACTAGAATTGCTGTCTCATACCCTTCTGTGCCAGTAATGGGGTCAGAGGGAGCTAGAGCCCCCAGACCTGTTTCCAGAAGGCTAGCCAGGGCCCTGACCCCAACATGCTGAACACACAGAAGCAGTTGCTGAGCAGGCACTTTTGAGAGAGCCTGGAACAGGTGAGGCCATGCCAGGTAAAAAGAGAAGTGTTCTTTCCAGTATTTCTGAAAGTGTAAAAAGACCTATTTTATGACTAAAGCTCAGAAGCCTGGTAGAGCAGTTTTCCTTACCTAGTTCCCTTACAATTCTATAGAATAGATAGAATAGTTCCTCTTACACTTAACAGTGACTACAGGTTGTACAAAGCATTTTCTTAAAAATAAAATGTAGACGTTCAGTCCTTAATGATATGGACTTTTTATATTTTGCTTCATACTACACCTTAAGTATGACTTCAGTAGTTTTTTCTTATGTGCTTTCTTGCCATATAATTGGACAATCCAAATGTAGCCTATTTTTCAGACAGAAGAAGGATTAAAACTTGAAACTAAAAATAAAACGTTTTGTAAGCTTTTGCTGTGAATTCAGTCTGACCTCAGTTTTTTGTTTTTTTATTGTTTGTTTGTTTGTTTTTGAGATGGAGTCTCACTCTGTCACACAGGCTGGAATACAGTGGTGCAATCTCGGCTCACTGCAACCTCTGTCTCCCAGGTTCAAGTGATTCTTGTGCCTCAGTCTCCCAAGTAACTGGCATTACAGGCACACACCACCACGCCAGGCTAATTTTTGTATTTTTAGTAGAGATGGGGTTTCACCATGTTGGCCAGGCTAGTCTCGAAATCCTGACCTCAAGTGATCCGCCTGCCTTGTCCTCCCAAAATGCTGGGATTACAGGCGTGAGCTGCCACACCCAGCAGTCCTACCTCAGTTTTATTGAACATGGCTTTTGTTAAGCTTATAAAAAGCCAGCTGCTGCTCTGCAGGGTTGGTTTGTTTTGTTTTGTTTTTTTGTTTTTTGTTTTTCCCTCAATAATTGTGTAGTTTCATGGCGTGGAATGTTCTGTTGTCCACCAGCAACTGAGTGAATTAGAAATGACAGTATTTTGGAATCAAAATTTTACATTTTGGAATGTAAATTCTCTCCCTTGTTTTTTTTTTTTTTTTTTTTTTTTTATTTATTTATTTTTTTTTTATTGATAATTCTTGGGTGTTTCTCACAGAGGGGGATTTGGCAGGGTCATGGGACAATAGTGGAGGGAAGGTCAGCAGATAAACAAGTGAACAAAGGTCTCTGGTTTTCCTAGGCAGAGGACCCTGCGGCCTTCCGCAGCGTTTGTGTCCCTGGGTACTTGAGATTAGGGAGTGGTGATGACTCTTAACGAGCATGCTGCCTTCAAGCATCTGTTTAACAAAGCACATCTTGCACCGCCCTTAATCCATTTAACTCTGAGTGGACACAGCACATGTTTCAGAGAGCACAGGGTTGGGGGTAAGGTCACAGATCAACAGGATCCCAAGGCAGAGGAATTTTTCTTAGTGCAGAACAAAATGAAAAGTCTCCCATGTCTACTTCCTTCCACACAGACACGGCAACCATCCGATCTCTCAATCTTTTCCCCACCTTTCCCGCCTTTCTATTCCACAAAGCCGCCATTGTCATCCTGGCCCGTTCTCAATGAGCTATTGGGCACACCTCCCAGACGGGGTGGTGGCCGGGCAGAGGGGCTCCTCACTTCCCAGTAGGGGCGGCCGGGCAGAGGCGCCCCTCACCTCCCGGACGGGGCGGCTGGCCGGGCAGGGGGGCTGACCCCCCCCCCCACCTCCCTCCCGGACGGGGCGGCTGGCCGGGCGGGGGGCTGAACCCCCCACCTCCCTCCCGGACAGGGCGGCTGGCTGGGCAGAGGGGCTCCTCACTTCCCAGTAGGGGCGGCCGGGCAGAGGCGCCCCTTACCTCCCGGACGGGGCGGCTGGCCGGGCGTGGGGGCTGACCCCCCCCACCTCCCTCCCGGACGGGGCGGCTGGCCGGGATGGGGGCCGACCCCCCCACCTCCCTCCCGGATGGGGCGGCTGGCCGGGCGGGGGGCCGACCCCCCCACCTCCTTCCCGGACGGGGCGGCTGGCCGGGCAGAGGGGCTCCTCACTTCCCAGTAGGGGCGGCCGGGCAGAGGCGCCCCTCACCTCCCAGACGGGGCGGCTGGCCGGGCGGAGGGCTGACCCCCCCACCTCCCTCCCAGACAGGGCGGCTGGCCGGGCGGGGGGCTGACGCCCCCACCTCCCTCCCGGATGGGGCGGCTGGCCGGGCAGAGGGGCTCCTCACTTCCCAGTAGGGGCGGCCGGGCAGAGGCGCCCCTCACCTCCCAGACGGGGCGGCTGGCCAGGGGGAGGGCTGACCCCCCCACCTCCCTCCCAGACGGGGCGGCTGGCCAGGCGGGGGGCTGACCCCCCCACCTCCCTCCCGGACGGGGCGGCTGGCCGGGTGGGGGGGCTGACCCCCCCATCTCCCTCCCGGACGGGGTGGCTGGCCGGGCTGAGGGGCTCCTCACTTCCCAGTAGGGGCGGCCGGGCAGAGGCGCCCCTCACCTCCCGGACGGGGCGGCTGGCCGGGCGGGGGGCTGACCCCCCCACCTCCCTCCCGGACGGCACGGCTGGCCGGGCGGGGGGGCTGACCCCCCACCTCCCTCCCGGATGGGGCGGCTGGCCGGGCGGGGGGCTGACCCCCCCCCCACCTCCCTCCCGGACGGGGTGGCTGCTGGGCAGAGACGCTCCTCACTTCCCAGATGGGGTGGCTGCTGGGCAGAGAGGCTCCTCACTTCTCAGACGGGGCAGCTGCCGGGCGGAGGGGCTCCTCACTTCTCAGACGGGGTGGTTGCCAGGCAGAGGGTCTCCTCACTTCTCAGACGGGGCGGCCGGGCAGAGACGCTCCTCACCTCCCAGACGGGGTCTCGGCCGGGCAGAGGCGCTCCTCACATCCCAGATGGGGCGGCGGGGCAGAGGCGCTCCCCACATCTCAGACGATGGGCGGCCGGGCAGAGACGCTCCTCACTTCCTAGATGTGATGGCGGCTGGGAAGAGGCGCTCCTCACTTCCTAGATGGGATGGTGGCCGGGCGGAGACGCTCCTCACTTTCCAGACTGGGCAGCCAGGCAGAGGGGCTCCTCACATCCCAGACGATGGGCGGCCAGGCAGAGACACTCCTCACTTCCCAGATGGGGTGGCGGCCGGGCAGAGGCTGCAATCTCGGCACTTTGGGAGGCCAAGGCAGGCGGCTGGGAGGTGTAGGTTGTCGTGAGCCGAGATCATGCCACTGCACTCCAGCCTGGGCACCATTGAGCACTGAGTGAACGAGACTCCGTCTGCAATCCCGGCACCTCGGGAGGCCGAGGTTGGCGGATCACTCGCGGTTAGGGGCTGGAGACCGGCCCGGCCAACACAGCGAAACCCCGTCTCCACCAAAACCAATCAGGTGTGGCGGCGCGTGCCTGCAATCGCAGGCATTCGGCAGACTGAGGCAGGAGAATCAGGCAGGGAGGTTGCAGTGAGCCGAGATGGCAGCAGTACAGTCCAGCTTCGGCTCCGCATGAGAGGGAGACTGGGGAGACGGAGAGGGGAGAGGGGAGAGGGGAGAGGGGAGAGCCTCTCCCTTGCTTTTTAATTTTTAGTTGACATGTAATAATTGTACATATTGGGCCAGGTGTAGTGGCTCATGCCTGTAATCCCAGCACTTTGGGAGGCCAAGATGGGCAGATCACGAGGTTAGGAGATTGAGACCAGCCTGGCCAACGTGGTGAAACCCTTTCTCTACTAAAAATACAAAAATTAGCCAGGCATGGTGGTGCCCGCCTGCAATCCTAGCTACTCAGGAGGCTGAGGCAGGAGAATTGCTTGAATCCGGGGGGCAGAGGTTGCAGTGAGCCGAGATCACGCCACTGCACTCCAGCCTGGGCAACAGAGTGAGACTCTGTCTCAGGAAAAAATAAAATAAAATATAAAATAAAAGAATAATAATTGTACATATTTATGGGGGTACATAGTGATATTTTGATATGTGTATGCAATGCATAATGATCAAATCAGAGAAATTCAAATATCACAAACATCATTTCTGTGTCCTGAACATTCATAATCCTTTTTTTATCTTTTTGAAAATATGCAACAATGTAACAATGTTGACATTTATGCAATAAATTATAATTAACCACTTACCCTACAGTGCTGCAGAACACCAGAGCTCATTCCTCCTATCTAGCTATAATTTTGTACTCATGAACCAGCCTCTCCCCATCTCCCCATACTTCTCCCAGCCTCCAATACCCACAATTCTACTCTCCACTTCCATGAGCCCCAGTTTTTTTAAGCTCCCACATATGAGTGAGAACATGTGGTATTTATCTTTCAGTGCCTGACTTCTCTCTCTCAACATAATGTCCTCCAGACTCATCCATGTTGCCAGTGATGATGACAGGCTTC
This sequence comes from Homo sapiens, assembly GCF_000001405.40. NCBI lineage: Eukaryota > Metazoa > Chordata > Mammalia > Primates > Hominidae > Homo > Homo sapiens. The sequence goes on along the minus strand of NC_000009.12, from coordinate 125,621,961 downwards.
CATTCTTTTATATGACAATAGTATTCCATTGTGTATGTATACCACATTTTCCTTATCTGTTCATCTGTTGGTTCCACTTCTTACTCTCCTTCTTTTAAAAATAAACAATGGTTGCACTTCTAAACTTTTCAGTTGATACCCTTTTGCATCAAATATGTTCAAATTATTAAATAGTAGCCTTAAGAACCCATGTATAGTTATGGGGTATAAGAAGTTGTTTTAATGACCATGGAATTTGTATAGTGAGGATATTGCATATCTAAAGCAGCCTTCAGTTAGGTAGAGGCTGTTAATCTAAACATACACATTTGAATTAAAGCATCTTTGTTAACTTCTTATCTGACTTTATTGTTATTTTTGGTTCAGTTGATTGAAACATCCTTGAAAAGAGCTTGGAATAGTAAAGCATTAATTAAGCATTTACTGTGTGTTTGGCATTGTGCTAAGTATTTTATATACATTATCTCATTTAATCCTCATATGAACTTCTGAGATAGGTAGTATTGCTGGTTTACAGATATGGAAAATTCTCTGTACCTGTTTTCTCACTTTTAGGCTAGGGTTAGTAATAATATTACTAACTTGATTGTGTTGATGAGAATTAAATGAGATAGTACATGTCCACCATGAAGTAAGCACTCAATAAATGATAGCACTTTTGTGGTTTGTTTTTGTTTTTGTTTTTTTTTTGAGAAAGTGTCTTGCTTTGGCTCCCAGGCTGGAGTGCAGTGGCATGATCACGGCTCACTGCAGCCTCAACCTCACAGGCTCAAGTGATCCTCCTGCCCTAGTCTCTGGAGTAGCTGGGACTACAGGCACATGCCACCACACCTGGCTAATTTTTGCATTTTTGGTAGAGACGGGGCCTTACCATATTGCCCAGGCTGGTCCCAAACTCCTGCGCTCAACCAGTCTGCCCACCTCAGCCTCCCAAAGTACTGGGATTAAAGGCATCAGCCACCGCATCTGGCCTGATGGCACTGTTGTTATTCTTATCTTATTATTTAATTTCATGTGTTAAATAGGTGATACATTTGTATGGTTCAAAAATGTAAAAGGTAAACATGTCTCACTCCCTCCTGTCCACCATTCATGTCGTCCCTACCCATACCCACTTTACTAGGTTGTATATCTTCTAGTGTCCATATGAAAATATACTTATTTTTCTCCCCTTTTACACAACATGTAGCATATTGTTAACACTTTTCTCGAGCTTGCTTTTTTCATGTAACAATGTGATTGGAAATCTGTCTCTGTTAGTGCCAGAGAATTTCTCATCCCTTCATATAGCTGCATAGTATTCCATTGTTTGGAAATACTGTAATTTATGTAACTAATTCTCTGTCGGTGAAGACTTGACTTGTTTCTAATCTTTTACTATTACAAACAACGCTGTGGTGAATAATCTTGTACATATGGCATTTTGTGCATGTGCGATTATATGTGTAGGATAAATTTCAAGCAGAATTGCTGGGTCAAAGGGAATATGCATTTGTAATTTTTGTAAGTATTGCCAAATTGTCTCCTTCGGGATTGCTCCAATTACACTCCTACCAGCAATGTAAGACACTGCCTGTTTCTCCATAGCCTTGCCACAGAAGTTGTCAGATGTTTGGATTTTTGCCAGTCTAATCAATAAAAAATGAATCTGTATAATTTTTTTTTTCGCTCTGTCATCCAGGCTGGAGTGCAGTGGTGCGATCTCAGCTCACTTAACCTCCACCTCCTGGGTTCAAGTGATTCTCCTGCCTCAGCCTTCAGAGTAGCTGGGATTACAGGTGTGCCCCACCACACCCAGATAATTTTTGCATTTTTAGTAGAGGCGAGGTTTCACCATGTTGGCCAGGCTGGTCTCCAACTCCTGACCTCAGGTGATCTGCCCACCTTGGTCTCCCAAAGTGTTGGGATTACAGGCGTGAGCCGTTGCACCCGGCCCAAATCTGTATAATTTTAAATTACGTTTCTCTTATTAGTAAGATTGGGCTTCTTTTTATTTAAGAATCTTGACAGGGGTATTGTTAACTGCTCAGATGTGTTGGATTCTTGAACTTTTTCTTATTTTCTAAGATTTTTTTAAAAATATATTGAGATTAGCCTAGTTTATTATGTATCTTGACTTTGTTCATGGAGTTTTTTTGTTTGACTATGCACTAATTTTTTTTTTATTGTAGCGAAATATACATTTTTTGCCTCTATAGCTTCTGGATTTTGAATTAATCAATGTGGAGAAATTTTTTTTCAAATGTCTTGCATAGTTTTACATTTTCTTCCTAGGTATTTGTAGTTGCAGTTGTAAATAAGGTCTTATTTTCTGCTATGTTCGTATATATGAAGGTTCCTGATTTCTCTCTGTTAATTTTGTATTCCTTTATGTTACCAAATTCTATGTAGTAGTTTTTCATTTGTTCTTTTAGGATTTTCACACATATAAGAATATTGTTAATTTGCAATAATATACAGAATAAAACGCAGTTTTTTTTTTTTTTAAATGGAGTCTTGCTCTTTCGCCCAGGCCGGAGTGAAGTGGCATGATCTTAGCTCACTGTAACCTCCGCCTCCCGGGTTCAAGCTATTCTCCAAAATGCAGATTTTTGTAAACCTCTTTGATTTCCATTTTGTATACCTGTGACTTTCTCTTTTCCGATGTTATTGCTGTTGTTTATGTTATCGCTGCCACCACCATAGTACTTGTCATTAAGCTAAAAGTTGGCATTAGGGGAATGTTAACTCCCTCTTTAAATTGCAAGATGTAAATATCTCTAAAATGTGACTAGCCCATGTTTATACTAAGCAGAAGATAGTAAGACAGTTTTTTGTTTTTGTGTTTTTGAGATAGGGTCTTACTCTGTTGCCCAGGATGGGGTGCAGTGGCATGACCAAGGCTCACTATAGCCTTGACCTTCTGGGCTCAAACAATCTTCCCACCTCAGCCTCCTGACTACCTGGGACAGAAGGCATGCACCACCACATCCAGCTAATTTAAAAAAATTTTTGTAGAGATAGGGTTTTATCATGTTGTCCAGGCTGATCTCAAACTTCTGGGCTCAAGGCATTCTCTTGCCTTGGCCTCCTGAAGTGCTGATATTCCAGGCATGAGCCACCATGCCCAGCCTAAGACAAATTTTCATAAGTAAGAATAAAGGTGCGGGGGTGGATGAAAATGTCTTTGAATTCTTCTAAGTGACCCTTTACTGCATTGCTTATGAGAATCTATATTAAATAGCTGTTTGTTTGTTGTTGTTTTATCATAATTGAAAAACATATTTGAGGTGTATACACGCCACTGCACATATCAAACAAATTTGAGTGACTATAGGTCTTTTCTGTCTTTGAAATCACTTGGTATTCTTTTTTCTTCCATTCTGAAAAATAATTAGTGCTTTACAATACACCATCAGATTATATATTTGTGTTTTAGTAATAATCTTGCATTTTACTAAATATAGACCAACATTTGAATTAGCAACTGAAGTTAGAACTTGAATTAAGCTTAGTAGGAGTTTGAGATTTTATTTTCCTGCTTTCTTTTCCTTGATTCATTGTAGTCCCATAATGGGTAATGGGTTGTCTTTAACATTCAGCCTATTGCCTTTTTTTTTTTTTTTTTTTTTTTTTTTTTTGAGACGGAGCCTCACTCTGTCACCCAGGCTGGAGTGCAGTGGCGCAATCTCAGCTCACTGCAACCTCACCCTTCCAGGTTCAAGCGATTGTCCTGCCTCAGCCTCTCTAGTAGCTGGGACTACAGGTGCGTGCCACCACACCCAGCTAATTTTTGTGTTTTTATTAGAGATGGGGTTTCACTATGTAGGCCACGCTGGTCTCGAACTCCTGACCTCAGGCGATCCTCCCTAAGTTCTTAAAGGAAGTTGTTGGTTGCTTGGGAGTAATTGGGTGCTTTTCCTCTCACATATGCTGGAAAAGTTATGAAGCTTCTCATGAGTGAATTAGAGAAATGGGTTCATTTGTAAATATTTTTGTTTTAAATTAGAAAAAATTAAATACTGAGTAGACATAGAAGATTTTTAAAGTATCTCCAAGGTATAAACAGTTGTATAATAGTCACTCATGTACCTATCACCCGTTTTGGGAGGAAGAATATTACTTTTATTTTTGAAGTCCCCTCCGTGTCCTCCTTGCTCCCTGACCACTCACAGATGTGTCTTTAATTCCCTTGCTTTTCCTTATAGCTTTATCCTGTATATTTGTATCTCTGAACAATATTTTTTTAACTTTATGTAAATAAAATTGTACTTTAAGTGTTCTTCTGTAACTTTTTCCTCTTAACATTACGTCCCATAGATTCACCCATATTGATGTCTGTAGCTGTAGTTAATTCATTTTCATTGTATGGGTACTCTGCAGTTTAGCCATTCCACTGTTGATGGACATTTCAGTTGCTTCCAGTTATTGCTATTACAAATAATGCTGTTTATAAGTATTTTAAATGTGTAAGAATTACCCCTTGGCAGAGACTTACAGACTTTTAAAAAGATTTATTTTATTTTGAGATAGGGTCTCTGTTGCCCAGGCTGGAGTGCAGTGGCATGATCATGGCTCACTGTGGCTTAGGTCTCCCAGGCTCAAGCAATCTTTCCAACTCAGTCTCAGTAGTAGCTAGGACGCTAGGCACTTGCCACCACGCCTGGCTAATTAAAAAAAAATTTTGTAGCAACAGGATCTCCTTTTGTTGCCTCCGCTGGTCTCAGATTCCAAGGCTTAAGCGATCCTTCTGTCTCATCCTCTCAAGTTCTGAGATTACAGGCATGTGCCATTGTGCCCGATCTACAAACATTTTGGCCATGAATCATATGTAATAAGAAATACATTTTGGGGTATAACATGAAAGTTTTGATCTATGCATACATTGTGGAATGATTACATTAATTTAATTAAAATATCTGTCACTTCACACACACACAAATAGAAACACATAACATGCATATTAAGTGCACATATAGATAAATGATATATGGAAACTATTTTCATAGAAAAATACTTAACCTTTACTAAGTACAAATGCATGCTATTTTTTATTCTAATCAATTCTATTTTATTTAATTTTAAAAGAAAAGATTGGTTGAAATTGGCTAAATTGATTTCCTAGCCCTCAGGACCATGGTTTGAAAACTTTGTTAGGGAATACATGCAGATGGACTTACAGGGTCATGGGATCTATGTGCAGCTTCAGCTTATAGATAATGCCAAACTGTCTTACAAAGTGGTTATTCCCATGTGTGCCCCTCCAGCAGTGCGTCAGTGTTGTGCTCCCACATCAGACTTAGTTTTTTCTAGTCTTATGGGTGTGAAATTGTATCTCATTATGATTTTCATTTGCATTTCTCAGAATATAATTGAAATTGAACATCTTTTTGTGTGTTTATTGGTTATTCATGTTTCCTCTTCTGTGTGAACTACTTGTTCTAATCTTTTTTCTATTTTAATCAATTTCTTCCTGATTTGAAGAAGAAATTTGAATGTATGTTTGGATACTAACCATTTTTATGTATTGGGTAGCAACTGTTGTAGATTCTCCTGGTTTGTGACTTGTCTTCATTCTCTTTTTGGTGCTTTTTAATGAACAGAAATTCTTGTTTTTAATGTATTGAATTATCAGTCTTTTGCTTCATTATTGCTTTTTGTGTTCTAAGAAATCTTTACCCTCAAGATTATAAAGTTATTTTCCCAAATTGTATTTAAAGTTTTTATAGTTAAATAATTAATCCATCTGGAACTGATTTTTTGCATGTGTGGTAGTGAGGTAGAGGTCTGATTTCTGTTTTTTTCTGTGTGGTTAATCAGTTGTTGTGGCATTATTTATTGAGTCCCACCTTTCCCCATTGGTTTGTCATGCTCGCTTGGTCATATATCAAATTTCCCTATGTTTGTGCTGCTCTTCCTGGACTTTTCTGTTTCAATTGTTTATTTGGTTTTTCCTGTGCTAATATCACACTATTTTAATTACTTTAAATGTAAAGCAATTTCTGGTAACTGATAAATCATGCTCCTTCAACCTCCTTTTCTCTTTTCTTTTCTTTTTTTTTTTTTTCTGAGACGGAGTCCCACTCTGTTGCCCAGGCTGGAGTGCAGCAGCGTGATCTTGGCTCACTGCAACATCCGCCTCTGCAACATCAAGTGATTCTCGTGCCTCAGCCTCCTGAGTAGCTGGGATTACAGGCATGCACCACTACACCTGGCTAATTTTTGTATTTTTAGTAGAGATGGGGTTTCGCCATGTTGGCCAGGCTGATCTTGAACTCCTGACCTCAAGTTATCCACTCACCTTGGCCTCCCAGAGTGCTGGGATTACAGACATGAACCACTGTGCCAGGCCTCAACCTCCTTTTTGTTATTTGTGAGTGTCTTGTATATTCTTAACCTATTGCCCTGCTACACAATGGCTGATTTTTTTTTTTTTTTTTTTTTGTATTTTTAGTAGAGGTGGGGTTTTGCCATGTTGGCCAGGCTGGTCTTGAACTCCTGACCTCAGGTGATCCACCCACCTCGGCCTTCCAAAGTGCTGGGATTACAGGTGTGAACCACCATGCCCAGCCCCTTCCATATATACATTTTTAAAATCACTTGTCAAGTTAAAAAAAATTCCTGAGATTTTGATTAGAGTTGGATTAAATTTGTAGATCAATTTGGGAGAATTGGCATCTTTACCATTTTGAACATGATATATCATTTAAGTGACCTATAATATCTTTAGTAAAATTTTATCATTTTCTCCATGGAAGTCATATATATATATAGTTTGTCATTGTTGTTAGATTGATTCACATATACCTATTATTAAATATATTTTTAAATTCTACTTTCAAGATTTTATTTAAATTATAGTGTCTTCCGGTTTGTTGCTGGTATATAGAAATGTAGTTGATTTCTTTGACATTGATTTAATGTCAGTAACCTTAATAAACTCCTATAACTTCCATTAACTTATACCTTTTTTGGTTTTCTGTGTAGTTGGTCATTTGCAAATAATGATAGTTTTATTTCTAATCCTTATACTTTATTTTTCTTGCTTTACAGAGCTGAAAATTTAAAAAATTCTTTTTATTGCTTCACAATACCATGTTGAAAAGAAATTGTCTTGCTTCTGATATCAAAGGAAATGTTTCCAATATTTCACCATTTAGGATATTTCCTATTTTAGCAGATGTTCTATGTTGGGTTAATAAAAGTCCTTTCTGTTCCTAGTTAGCTACAATAATTATTACTTTTTAAATCATGTACATTCAACTGTACTGAATGTTGAATATACTGAATTTACCTATACTACCATATGATTTTTCTCCTTAATCTCTTAATATGATTATTATTATTATTATATTTTGAGACGGAGTCTCACTCTGTTGCTCAAAGCTGGAGTGCAATGGCGCGATCTTGGCTCACTGCAACCTCCACTTCCAGGGTTCAAGTGATTCTCCCTGCCCTAGCCTCCCAAGTAGCTGGGATTACAGGCGCCTGCTACCACACCCGGCTAAGTTTTGTGTTTTTAGTGGAGACAGGGTTTCACCATGTTGGCCAGGCTGGTCTCGAACTCCTGACCTCAGGTGATCTGCCCACCTTGGGCTCCCAAAGTGCTGGGATTACAAGTATGAGCCATCACGCCTAGCTTTAATATGATTATTATATTGATTTATCATCTTATGTTAAACCAACCTAGTATTTGATACAATAAACTCAGCTTTGGTCATCAAATATTCTAGTTTTTATATCTTGCTGGGTTGGTTTGCTAATATTTATTTAGGATCTTTGTTCACAAGTAAACCTGGCCTGTAAGATTATTCTCTTACACTCTCAGGTTTGGATATGGAGGTTTTTCTAACCTTATAAAGTGATTTAGAAATTGCTCTTTTTTGGCCGGGCCTGGTGGCTCACGCCTGTAATCCCAGCACTTTGGGAGGCCGAGGCGGGTGGATCACGAGGTCAGGAGATCAAGACCATCCTGGCTAACATGGTGAAACCCCGTCTCTATTAAAAAATACAAAAAATTAGCCGAGCGTGGTGGCGGGCGCCTGTAGTCCCAGCTACTGGGGAGGATGAGGCAGGAGAATGGCGTGAACCTGGGAGGCGGAGCTTGCAGTGAGCTGAGATCGCGCCACTGCACTCCAGCTTGGGTGACAGAGCGAGACTCCGTCTTAAAAAAAAAAAAAAGAAATTGCTCTTTTTCAGTAAGGTTAAATAGTATGGGTAATTCTAGCATTATCTGTTCTTTGAATGTTTGGCGGAACCTGCTAATAAAAGTAAACTATTGTTGTCACAGGTTGGGTTCTCCTGGGAAGCAGTCTCTGAAATGGAGATTAACATGCAGGAAATGTATTAGGGAGTGTTTTCTGGATTAGCATCTGTGTGGAAAAGGGAGGAAAACAGAATTGGGTAGAGGGAGGAGTTGGGACTGTGATGCAGTCGTAACAAGGCCTCACCTGACACCATGGAGTACTCTGCAGCTGGATGGACCTTCACAGTTGTCCCAAGTTAGGGTAAGGGGGTCAGGCCTCTTACATTCTTGCATCTAACCTATCATTGGATTCTGAGTGTCGTGAGAAGGAGGTGCAGTCTTGGCAAGGTGACTCTGTCAGCCAGCACAATTGCAGGAAAGGACTAACAGCTGATAGCCATCAGCCAGCATTCCTTCCAGCAGTTGGGAAATATGCGCTTTATTCCTGAAAAGAGGGAATCTGGGTGGTACAGTCCACCCTTGGTGCTGCTTGGGTTTACTGGCTTCATGTTAAGTTCTGGGAGCACACCTTCAGGTCTGCGTTGGACTTCGTTTCTTTGGGGAAATTTATACAAAGAGGGTTAGTATAATGATCTACAGTCCTGTTTCTACCACTGGTCTTGAGGTCATGACTAACACTCATCTGTCTCTTCAAGTATTTATTCTAGTCCTGTCAACCTTGGTTAGTTAGCATCTTGGCTGGTCTAGGTCTTAAATGGTATGATGACCCAGATCCTTATGTCTGAGGGCCCAAGCCTCTGTTTACCTTTCTCAGGATGTAGCTGCTTCATTTGTCCATTAACCACTAAAATTGGGTAAAAGTAATAAGATACCCCAATGGATTTACTGGCTAGATGTGTTTCTTCCTGCCTCCATTGTGTAACAGCCTCATGTTCTTTTGATGAGTGTCAGTCACTCCTGTGAGGATGGTGACTTTCCTTCTTGCCTGATGTCCCTTGGCATGAGGAACCTGGGCTGCAGCCATAGTTTTAACATTTAGTGGTACTTCTGCTGTGTCTCCCAGTGGAAGTGTTCTCCCTTTGGGAATCAGGATCTCTTAATTGATAGAGCCTCTATTTACCCAACAGAATTAAAAACATAAGTTCATTCACATAAAGATTTGTACATGAATGCTGGCCTGTTCAAAAACACTGCAGGACAGATGGCTTCAGAAAGAATAGGGAATCAGGAAATAGACAGTGCGTTTAGGAACTCAGTTTATTGTGGTTCTACAACAACTGATTGTTAGTAGATAAGTTTAATTTCCAATCTTACTCCACATGCCGCCCCCCATTAAAGAGCTAACATAAAAATTTTAAATTTAAAAAAAAACTAAAAGAATTTGTACAGAAGCTGTGACACTACCAGTTATTTGAAATTCGTTGAGCATGGCTGTATGCCCATTAATATAGGTCACCTTTTATAAATATTATATGTGAACTTGGAAAGAATGTGATTTTAGCTGCTGTTGGTTGCAATATTCTAAATATTGTCATTAGGTCAAGACTGTTACAGGTTGAGCATTCTTACTCTGAAAATCTGAAGTTTAAAATGCTCCAAAATCTAAAACTTTTTGAGCGCTTATAAGTAACTCATGTATCAAAAAATAACAGAAATCAGAAAATATTTAGAAACAAGCATTTCCTTTGGAGCATGATCAAAGGAAATGCTCATTGGAGCATATTACATTTTGGATTTTTGGATTAGGGTTACTCAACCAATAAGTATAGTGTAAATATTTCAGAATCTTAAATATGAAACACTCCTGGTCCCAATAATTTTGAATAGGGGATACTCAATCTGTAAATCTGTTAAAATTTTCTTTACAGATATTTTTGTCCAAGCCATCAGTTAGACAGAAATACGCTTGAATTTCCTGCTGTTGATAGACTGTCCATTTTTTCTTGTTAATTGTGACTATTTTTTCTTTGTATATTGTGATGTTATGCTTTTATGTTCACACAATTTCAGAATTGCTATTTTTTCCTGGTGAATTGAACCATTTGTCATTTGTGATTAACTCTAGTGAAGTTTTCCTCCCTTTCAAATAGTTACACCTGCTCCATTTGGTTGATATTTGTCTGGTATAGATGCAATTTCATTTTGATGTTTTAAGATACAGATCTTCTTTCCTATTTTTCTTCTTTTGCATTCATTGGGCTTTCTGAATCTGCATATTAGTGTCTTTCATCATTCTGGAAAATTCTCAGCCACTGTCTTTTCAGACATTGCCTCCGAACCAGTTATTCTTTTCTCTTCTTCTGAAACTCTAGCTACACCTATCAGAATGTGTTATTTTATCCTTCTCATCTCTTAATTTCTCTTTCTTATTTCCTATCTCTGTGTCTCTTTGGGTTGCATTCTAGGTAATTTCTTCAACTCATATCTTCCTAACAGATTCTCTCCTCAGCTGTGGAACCCATATGTTGCATTTCCAATTTTAGTTGTTGTATTTTTAATTTCTAGAAGTCTGATTTTGATCTTGTAAAAATCTGCTTGGTAATTTAAAAAACTATTACGAAAAGTGTAGTAATTTTATTAGTAAAAGTTCAGTGAGCACCCTTATGTGTAGCACCTGTATTCAGTAATTGTTAACATTTTGTCATATTTGCTTTATTTATGCTTTATTTAATCTTTAAAAGTTGACATTCACTCCTAGCGACATTCTCCTACTCAACCATAATATATCACACCTTGGATAATCTTTTATAGTCTCTTGCACTTACTCCACATTTTTGCTTACACATTTATTTTATATTTTGCTTCTGATCATACTGTTAACTCCAGTCTTTCTGGGCCTATTTCATGATGCCTTCTATGTTTTGTGATTTGGAGATAGAACAAATTATTTCTTGCAAATTTTTCTGTTGGAATTATTTGAGTCATTTAGGTTTTTCCCAATAGGATCTGCGTTTGCTTCTACCTAGAACCTGGGGGCACTACCACCTCAGGACCACTTTAAATTCTTGGCTTAAAATCTTTCTGGTCCATCAAATAATACGAATTTGGGATAGAAATTTCATATGAAGGTTCGTTTATGTTTATAAAGTCTGAGGAAGAAAATAATTTTGGGGGAAGACAGGCAGTTTTACCTTGCTGGAGGTCAGTCGGGAAACCTTAATTCTAATTTACTCTCACATGTAGGTCTTTGGTGGTGGTGGGTTGTGAGGAGGGTATCACGGTCTTATTATAGGTTATAGATAGACTGTTCCCTATAGCCTGCTGACCAAGAAAACTGACACTTCATGTCACCTTGTTTGGCAAGTACCATCATTAAGGCAAAATTATGTTCTGTTTTTCATTCTAGATTCTCTTTTCACTTAGTCTTTGTGCTTTTGTGATTGCCTTAAAAAGTTGCCAACCAGTGTATTGAGTCAGATAAAATAGCTCTTTTTATATTTCATAAATATGTTTAACTGTTTTCTGTTTGAGGGTTGGTCAGGATACATACTTTGCCATATGGTTGAAATACAAGTCCTATAGTAAAATAGTTTTTAGTGTGTTGTATTAAATGCTGTGGGAGAGGAATATATATTACAGAATGAAGAGAAAGAGTTTGTGTTTACACATATCATGGCTCTTTATTTCATGCAAATGTTGATTCAAAATGTAAGAAGATGTTTTTTCAAATAAGAACTTTCCCTCCAAAAAAGCTTTTCAAATATATTGGTTTTGGGAAGAATTGTTGTCAAGTTAAGATTGTGGTCTTTTGAGTCAGTCAGAGGCGGGTTTCCATCTGAGTTATCTTACTGGCTGTGTGACCTTTAACAATTTCTTTCACCTCTTAGCAGTTTATCTGTAAAATAGGGTAAGTGGGGGCTGTTTTGAAGATCAAAAGAGAGAATTTATGTGGCACACTCAGCCCAGTGCCAGGCACAGAGTAAATGGTAGCCATTTTTAATTTTAGTTATTCTCTTTCCAGAAATGTTCAAGATGCTGTTAATAGAGTGTTAAATGTGAAACATCTCACATTGTACATGGAGTAGTGTAAAATTGAATGTGGGTTTGGGAGAAACTACCAAAACTACCAAAAAGAGAAAAACGAGAAAGGCACTCAGGGTCAGAAAATGAGGAAAACAGGATGAAGCTTGGCAGGCCAGGCCCGGTGACAAGTGCCTGAGTTAGCTATTCAGGAGGCAGAGGCAAGGGGATCACTTGAGCTCGGGAGTTCAAGACCAACCTGGGCAACATAGTGAGACTCTTTCTTAAAGACAAATAAACAACATACTCTTTCTTAAAAACAAACAAACAAACAAATAAATAAAGAAGCTTGGCAGGTGAAACAAAGCCAGAGGCTGTCTGCTTCCCTTAGCATTCCGAGAGTGGGATTTCTTAAGGATTTTTTCTGTTCCAGCTCTTTTTTGTATATGTCCTGTTCATTTAGTTGAGCATATATATCCCTACCCCTTTGGGTCAAAGGAAGTTCCCACTTGCTGTGGTTCAAGGGAGCTGCTTTGGGTACTTTAGGGGAAGGAAACTTGTTCCCTTCTATAGAGACCTCAAAGATAGGAATTTTCATTCCCATCAGTTCAGCAAGTAACCATTTTGCATCCCCAGAATTCTGGAAGTACCTAATTAAAAAATGACACAGTTGCATTTTTAATAGACAAATTTACAATTAACAGGAATTTAAAAATATATAACATGAAACATCAGCATGTTTCAGGTAGTATAAGCATTTAGGTTTTTTTCTCTCCCTCTTGATATGACTCAGTCTAATTCTTGTGTATCTTCTTAGTTAGGCTCCACTGTAGGGCAGTATTGGAAATAAGAGGGAATTGTGTAACCCACCTCCATCTAACCTTTTGCTCTCTATTTTTTTGCATGCCCAAAGACAGGAGAAGTATGTCTTATTCATCATCTTTGTATATTTCTCTTGGTACTAATATTGTCATTTTGGTTTTTTAGTAAAGGAAATTGGCTTATTTGAAACGTTTGATTTAATCCTCTGTGGAAATAGCGGTTTACTGGAAGGTTAAGGCAGCCGGTTTGGGCTCCTCTCAGAGTCTCTGTGCAATTGTTGGAAAGGAAACCCCAGGGAAACCCCTGAGCGCAGGCGTCGGAAAAGCAGTGGCTGCGCAGAAGACAAAACACTCCAGATGCTTTATCAGGTGCTGTCTGGAGAGCAGGAATAATGGTCTGAAGGCGGAAATGCTGATGTCTCCACTTTCCCAACTTAGTACAAATATCTTCTTTATCTTTGGTGGATTTTGGTGCCACAGCGGCGGCCCCAAGAAGCCCTAAATGCAAATGTGATGGCTTTTAGAATTTTGGCTTTGAAAGCCTGGCATTTGGGGGTTTTCTTGACTTGAATTCTCTTTTTAAAGGGAGTGGATTCAGAGCATCCACTGTCAGTGCCATTTCCCTTGCTATGATGGCTTGTTCACTGTTTACATCAAAGGATTCAGGAAGCAAGAGATGTGAACATAAATAAATAAATGATCAGACTAACAAATAAATAAAAAGCTTTGCTTCCTTTGTCACATTGTGAAAAGGCTTGACTGTAACATAATGGGAACACAGCAGCTATTTGATTAAAACTTCAGGACTTTTCTGGAAACTTCGAAGCATGTCTGCTACTATTCTTTTTTTCTTTTTCTAATAACACTATGACATGGGGTAAGTAGAACCCTAGAGTGCCATGGTTGCAGTGGGACTGTTGGATGCATCATCCTCCCAGTCACTACAGGCGCTGGCGTGACATACCCTCCCTGCTGGTGCCTGTCTGCCCATTGACATGGCCATCCTTCGGAAGCCCACAAGTTGATTTGTAACTTGTTTGCTCTTTGCCCCCATACAGTCTTATTAAAAGCAAAGTCACTTTGGGAGGCCAAGGCAGGCAGATCACAAGGTCAAGAGATCAAGCCCATCCTGGCCAACATGGTGAAACCCCGTCTCTACTAAAAATACAAAAATTAGCTGGGTGTGGTGGCACATGCCTGTAGTCCCAGCTACTTGGGAGGCTGAGGCAGGAGAATCGCTTGAACCCGGGAGGCGGAGGTTGCAGTGAGCCGAGATCGTGCCACTGCACTCCAGCCTGGTGACAGAGCAAGACACTGTCTCAAAAAATATATAATAAATAAATAAAAAATAAAAGCAAAGTAAGCGACTTTGCAGTGGGGAAGGCAATTTTAAGTGATGAGTAAGAACTCAGACTCTGGAGTTAGACATCCCCAGTTAGCATCCTCGCTTCACTAGCTGTGTAACTTTGGGCATGTTGCTTCATTTCTGCAAGCTTCCATTTCAACTCTAAAATAGAAATAATTGTTGAATCTAACTCAGAGTTGTTTGAGATTACATAAGCTAATATGGATGTCAAATGTATGGGGTGATATCTGACCTATAGTGTTTGATAAATATTAGCTGCTGTAGTGTTGGAATGAAGAGCCAGTCTTTGAAAAACACCCTTTATATCTTGCTTGTCTTCCTTTGATAGGAGTGTAGTTCATTTTATTTTTGAGAATTCTCAGTTATTTCTCCAGCCCATGATATTTATTGTTTCAGTCGCTATAATATTTGTTGAAACCCTATGAAATTGCAATTTTTGTAGGTCATAAGTGATTATCAGCAGTTTCATATGATTCAGTTTAATGTAATAGAAACTATTGGAGTGTTTGCTGTATGCCAGAGTATCTACTATGCCATTTCATTCATTCTTTCAAGCTTCCCTTTAAAGTATGTAATATTATTCCAGTTTTGGCATGGGGAAACTGAGGCTTAGAAAGATGAACAGACTTGCCTGAGGTTACACAACTAGTAAGTAGTGAAGCTGGAATTCAGACCTAGGTCTCTCCAATCCAAAGCGCATTTATTTGCTTTCCACTTTCTACCCATGAGCCGTCTCAGACATACCCTCCCCTAGCTCCATGCCCCTAGCTCCATGAAAGTCAGAGAAACTACACTGTTTCTTCTCGATTGTAGAAGATTCGGGTTTTCTTCAGTAGGGTGAACATAATGTGGCTGTCCTGTGTTGATGAACCTTTTGTGCTTTTGTCTCTCCTTTTCGCATCAAGAGCACAGCATCTGCAGTGTTGGCTACAATCACCTTGGCTCTTTCAGAAAGGCATGTAGAGAATGAAAACAAAGAACCTAGACTCTGCCTTCAACCCAGTTTTCATTGTCTGGTGCAGTTTCTCATGGCCATAATATTTGAGCATCTGCTCTATTCAGGGAATGTGCGAGGACAGTATCTCAGTTTCCCTATAATATTGAAGATAGGGGCTAAAATCCTTTATAGGGGAGGAAACTGAGGGTAAATGGGATCACATGACTTAGAGAAAGGCACAATACCTGTCAGAGTCAATCTTGCTTAAGGGTCTAGGTCTTTTCTACTATACCCCATTTCTTCTTCCCATTCATAGAAATCTTAAAGAAGGGATATGAGGACAGCCCTTTCTGCAGAATAATTTAGAGCATATTTTGGTATGTTATCCCTGCTGAATTTTTCCCATATACTCTTTTCCTTTTTCTTTAACCCTTTTCTTTTCCTTCTTTCTTCCCCCCGCCTCCCTATGCCCTTCTTCCCTCCCTGCCTTCCTCTAAACATAATGAAGTTTAAAAGATTAGGAGACCACTTAATGTATTTCCTGAAGGAAATTGGGTTCTTGAAATATTCCCATTTGATTTTTTTTTCTGGCACTAAAAATTATTTCTAAGTTTAATTTGCTTTCAGAGGAATTATCGTCTTATAAAATATGCTAGCTGCTAAAACAGATTGAATTCCTATCAATTTCAAAGAGAGTGATCTCCTCAGTCTTTGAATGGAGTATTTTAAATAATAGGATTTGAAAATAATTGCTTAATACCTGAATTCAAGATGACAAAACATGTTTTGAGTTCTCAGGAAAGCCTGTTTAATGTAGCTCCCTACTTATTCCTAAATCAACCAACTTTCTTATTCACTCCATGAACTGTGTTGGTGAAACCTCTTATTGCAGCTGGAGGTTGCACTTTATTCCTTTGTTGTTCCATTGTTTCCTTTAGGGTGAGGGAGAATAATTAAGGAGAACATCTTTTCTGAGCAGCTGGAGCCAAATTCCAGCTGACTGCAGCACCTGCAAAGTTGACACCTCTGCCTCTGGGTGGCAGGGTGGGATGCCAGCCGTGGAGCCTGTGACAATGGGTTCCGAAGTGCAGAGATGCGGCCGTGCGGTACCACTCCTGCCCTTCTGTGAGCTTCAGATGGCAGTAATACCAGTGAATGCAAAGTGTCTGTTTTAGACTAGAGGGATGATTTGTGAAACGGTGGCTATTTATTTAATTAATCACCAGCACAAAGCCATAAAACCCATATTTTAAAAATCCCTGTTAGTTTGCCATGTGGTTAATAGATTGGGGCACATTAAAAAGTGACACAGTGATGTATTAAAAATGTTCCACCTAAGGTTCCTTCAGGAAGGAATGGAAGCTGTCTGCTTTCAGATACTGAAGTGTAACCTGCCAGGATTTGACCTGTCTGAAGTTTTAATATTTATAAAGGCATTTATCTTTTGAATAGCATCTTTATTAGGACTTCTCTTCTTGGAATATTTCAAAATAAAAAATGTTTGTAGCATAATGAAAAGTTATAATTAAAGTGAATTTTGCTACAGTTTCTCTTAATGATGAGGAACTATATTTTCTCGTTAAATTATACTATGTTTACTATGCATAGCAGTATCTTTTATACCATAGGTTATTTTCTGTTTGTAAATAAAGGAGTCATTTAATTAACTAAATAATAAATGCAATAGTATTTTTGTTCCCACTGTCAGCATTGCATTTTGTTTTGCTGTGGTGTTATTTTACTATCGAATAGGAACGGGGATAATTGGTGTACTTGCTCAGCCTCAGCTCAGGTGAGTTGTCATTTCTTTATAGTAAGAATAAATGTCTAATTGACTTGTTCAAGAGATGACATTGGCATTAAAATTGAGAAGAGATGGCTTAGATTGTAACAACTGGTAGTGTTTTTTTACACACACAGACTTCTTGTTGATTTTCAGTACACACAAGCACGAGTACGTACAGTCCCTCTTGCACTTTCAATACTATTGGGAGATAAATTTGGTACATCTGTGCTGTTATTCATTCTTTATTAACAACATATTATTGAAATTATCAGTGTTCCTGCTAAAGCAAGTTTAACTATGTAATGAAATGTTTTCTAGAAGAATTTGAAATCATGTATGAAAATGTGTTGCTCAGGTGAATGCTTGTAAGGAAATTGTGCAGCTCTTAGGATTGTGTTTCTCTGCTGTGTTGTATAATTACCTGCTCTGGTAGAAGGGGAGCTGGAATAAAACATGAGTATGTTAATGCAGCCTGGAGCTGATGTGGTGGTGATGATTACAATGCAGATAAAGCATTTCTCATAACTGCCGTTGCCTACTGGAGCCTTTGAAACATCTGGACCTTTAATTGAAAAATAGTGTGGTGCTGTGCAAGGCAGACATGCTAAGTGAAGTCACTAATTTAGAATACAAAAATATAATTGATAAAGTGTTTTATTTACATTGTATTTAAATATTCATACTTTGTTATGCTTTGTATAACAGGGAATTACTGGGTTAAATTTTCATGAATGTAGACAGTCTAAATGAGATAAATTAAGTGAAAATGTTAATGGAATTTTACATTGGAACCAGAAGGCAGTTTGGTCCAGGAGAGTGTGTACTTTTGCATCTATCAGAGCCTTTTAGGGAAGCAAATAGGTTAAGTCTTATTCTTTGAGTGTTGCATTTTAGAATTAACCATCAGTTGGTAACAGCATTATATTTCTTTCTTGTTGTTGTAATCATACCTTGTTATTTAGTTAAAAAAAATAAAATGTTTCTTGGCATAATGGTAAATGGCTGTAATGGCAACATTATTGCCCAATAAACCAAAGCCTTGCCCACCTCTCGGGGCAGGTTATCAGAGTCTGCCCAAGAGAGCAGAAGAGCTGGTGAAGGGCTTGCAATTAACCTTTGTCCTGTGTTCGCAGCAGGGGAACTGACCTAGCAGCCTTCCGAGGAAATCCAATTTAATTTAAAATGAATTTGAAAAGACAAATTAGCCATATCTATTTTAATAAGATAAAATCTTGACTCTCCCTGTGTCTGGTTTAGTTAGGACCTCAGAGGAGGTTGGACTGACTAAGACTCAAGATGAACACAAGGAAAATACTGCCAGGGGGCTGAGCAGAAACCCCGGAGACTTTGATACATGAGTGACTTGTCAGTTTCTGCAAGTGAACAGGTCTTGTGCTGCCCATTTCTGCAGATAATTGCAACCTGAGATGGACCTTTGTCTCCTCACACCCTTTGCTTGTGTTGGAGCTCGATGCCATGTTGATGTCATGTGCTTGCTCGCCCATCTCTCCAAGGACCACATTGTTATTTTCCTCTTTTGTCATTATTAGAGCACAATTGGGTACTGCCACCTGGGTAGCCAGATTTAGTAACAGATACACCTCACGATTACTGATGAGCCTCATAATCCGAGTACAGATTGTCTGTGGCCTGGAAGTTGGTGCTTGACCACTGCTTCTTGAAACTGAATCAGACAGAGGCTGGGTGCGGTGGCTCACACCTGTAATCCTAACATGTTGGAGTGCCAAAGTGGGAGGCTCGTTTGAGCCCAGGAGTTTGAGACTAGCCTGGGCAACATAATTGAGACTCTGTCTCTATAAAAAAAAAAGAAAGAAAGAAAGAAAGAAAGACGCAAGTGTGGTGGTGTTCCTGTAGTCCCAGCTTCTTGGGAGGTTGAGATGTGAGGATTGCCTGAGTTTAGGAGGTCAAGTATGCAGTGAGCCATGTTTACACCTCTGTACTCCAGCCTGGACAAAAGAGTGAGACCCCATCTTTTAAAAGAAGGAGAGAAAACGGAATCAGAGGGTTCTACCTGGTTTGGTTTTGTTTGAGACAGGGTCTTGCCCTGTTGCCCAGGCTGCACCAGCTGAGGGTTTTGGAACAGCCTACTTAACGAACAGCTCTAAGAGGGAATGAGCGATCCTCACAGGACTGTTGGGCATATTAAATGAGATAATGTATGAAAAGTGCTTGGACCCTGATAGGTGCCCAATAAATGACAGCAGCAGTGACCTGCCAGTTGCAGAGAGAGCTTGTGGTGGGTGTGCAAGGGCTGTGTACAGACGAATGCACTTTCTGTGCCTGGCCCCGTCTCCCATCGAGACTGTCAGCTTTGTAGCTGGCTACTTTTACTTTGTGTTGCTTTGCTGACTACCTAATTGAATAATTTGTCTGACAGTTTGTATTATCCTGTGGATCTTGCTGTCCCCTCAGTTTTAGAAATAAAAGTTTTCTGCCACTTACTGCTTTCTTGGTGATGCTGTCTGGAAGACGCGGATGAAGGCCCGATAATCAGACTTTTTGGGCTGCTTCTCAGTTGTAAATTTTGTTGATAGTTACAAGTGATTCTTTCCAACAGGAAGCGCTGTTCTAGATAATTAGTAATTTATCTCTTCTTTCATTTGCTGATGTTTATATTTCTTTCTTTTCTTTTTGAGACAAGGTCTCCCTCTGCTGCCCAGGCTGGAGCGCAGTGGTGTGATCACGGCTCATTGTAGCCTCAACCTCCCAGACTCCAGTGATCCTCCCACATCAGCTTCCCGAATAGCTGAGATCACAGGCTCACACCGTCACACCTGTCTAATTTTTAAATTTGTTGTAGAGATGGGGTCTCTTTATATTGCCTTGGCTGGTCTCGACTCCTGGGCCCAAGTGATCCTCCCACCCCAGCTTCCCAGAGTGCTGGGATTACAGGCGTGAGCTGCTATTTATATTTCAACATGCATTTGCAAACTGTGTTAAATGCAGACTTTCTCAATTGGCTCTTTGCAGTTGTATCACAATGTAAACAACCATAATATATTTTCTGCTGAGGAGGAGCATCCTTCTCTGTCACCAGAGGTGTAGGTTCTTTGTGTTGGCCTTTATGTGTTACATAGAGTAACAACTATCCCAGTTATTTCACGTGTGCATTTTGAGGATGAAAGTGAATGTTGTAATTGAAGAAATGTGAACCTATTGTGTGATGTTTTTACATTGTTTGCTAGGAGGTGCGTCAGGGACTTGAATTAATTATAATTACTGAAGAGACGTACACTGATTGAGCAAATAAAGTAGTAAGCGCATTTATGCCAAGGCCATCTAATTAAATTCTAACTTTGGATAAGCTGGATGTGCATGAAAGATTAATTTTAAGAGATTTTTATGACTTTCTAAATAATGATACAGTGAAATTTTTGAGTTATATCATTAAGGAACATTGAATCTTAAAGTGATAAAACACTTAGTTACGAACCTACCACTGTATAGAAATTTGTGGATTTTTTACACTATTTAAAATTAAGGAAACAATTTTAATGTGAATAGTGACGTTTAAAATTTTTATAATGTTTAATTGACTGAAACCCTGCAAGAAATGAATATGACATATGCGCCTGGATTATTTCCTTCAATATTTATGCAATTTTACATTCTCAAAATACTTCGCTATCTTTGAAATTAAATTGTCCTCGGGGTAGTTGGAGGGTTATACCAAAATTTCCATATAATTTAGGAAGGTGATAATGGCTGTACTATAACCTTTTTTAGAGATACATCATCTAGTAATGGAGTCAAATATACATTCTCCATTGAGTTTTAATTTTAAGAGTTGATATTAAATCTTCAAGACTCATTATATTATGATAATTGATAGAGTTTAAAACATGTAACTCTTCTTTATGGTTTAAAAAAAACCAATTTTTACTTTTAAAGCATATTGATTTTATTATATAAATGATTTAATAATGAAGAGGTCCCTAAACTTATGCTCTGTGATGGGGCTTAGTTCATGCAGATTACCTTTCCCTGATAATATCATCATTATGGAAGCTATTGTTTGTATAGTTAAATGCAAAGCACTGTGTAACATTAATGATCTACAGAATCCCATCATGGCTTTGAAAATTCGAAGTGGACATTTTACATGCTTGAAGATGGCTAGATTATACCTGTGTGAGAGCACATTCTGATACATGCTGTAACTGTCCCAAGGCTGGATGAGAAGAGAATGTGGTTCTTCTCTCAAAATAATTAAGATAGAGACCTTTCCCTGTTGTCCCTACTTCTCAATTTCATGTTTGCTTGAAGGAACATTTTGTCCAAAAATCTGCCTGGTCTGAGTAACAGCTTAAATTACAATAATAAGGAATAATTGACATTTGTATGATAGTTTGCAGTTCACAGAGGATTTTAACATGCTTTGTTGTCACTTTATACTTCCTGATAATCTTTTGAAGTAGATGGTCTTATCTCTATTTTATGGGAGAGGAAACTGACTTTAAGAGAGATTATGGGCTTACCCAAGGCTGCACAGCTCAAGGCTGGCAGGGCCAGAGTCCAGATCAGTTCAGTTGACTCAGCAAACAGAAGTCTAGCAAATGTAACTTATGTTGGTGAAAACTGCCAGTATCAAGAATTGCTTTCTGAATTTAGGTCTTTGAGAAAATGATTGTTTCTGATACGGAGTGGACTGGCCTTTTTTTTTTTTTTCCTTCATACTTCCCCCCATGTTTTATGAAATGTCTTACCTACATTTGAACATGAATGATTGCTAGTTTTTCAGTTGATATCTTGAAATAAAAGAATTATTTGAGGCTATTAATCAAACTTCATTTGATAACAGATTGTTTAAACCAATAGTTGCTAGGCATTTTCTTTCCCAAAAATGTCAGAGCATCAAAATATAGAGGGTTTGTTTTAAGTAGAGAAAACCATTTCTGAGAGCAGCAACCTCCTTTCTTGTTTTGAGTCCAGGACTAAAGATTTACATTTGCGGACAGGCGCGGTGGCTCACGCCTGTAATCCCAGCACTTGGGAGGCCAAGGCAGCCGGATCACCTGAGGTCAGGAGTTCAAGCAGCCACGTCACCTGAGGTGAGGAGTTCAAGAACAGCCTGGCCAACATGGCAAACCCCTGTCTCTACTAAAAATACAAAAAATAGCCGGGCGTGGTGGCAAGTGCCTATAATCCCAGCTACTCGGGAGGCTGAGGCAGGAGAATCGCTTCAACCTGGGAGGTAGAGGTTGCAGTGAGCTGACATCACAACATTGCACTCCAGCCTGGGCAACAGAGCAAGACTCCATCTCAAAAAAAAAAAAAAAAAGGGACTTACATTTATCATAGATGTTACAGAAGGAAAAGTTACAAAATGCCATTTTCTGTGCTGTGTTGTACTCTTGAAAGGATTATAGCCTGGCTTATTCCATGGTGTTTAGTAACCAAGTTTTTTGTTTGAGATACTAGGTATATGAAAGGGTGTCTATGGAGGTAGAGGTAGATTTGTTCAAATTTCATGAGGGTTAGCACTAAGACTAATGAGTAAAACTTGCAGAGAGATTGCACCTCAGTGGACATAAACACATTTTAGCTGGCAAAACTGTTTGCCAAAGACTGAAGAAAAGGGGCTACTTCACATGGTGACAGGGACATCATCAGTGAAGGTGTTCAAGAGAGGTTGTAAGACAATCATTTGTTGATATTTCAAAGGGGATGACCCTTCAGATTTCTTGTAGTTTCAAAAGTCTATGAACAGCAATATTTTTTTTTAAGTCTATTGATATAAAAGTAGATAAAAAGTAGGAAAAAACATCATAATAACCAGTATTTCTTGAGCATTTACTGTGGGACTAGGCACAGTAATAAGTGCTTTACATGAAGTCTTTTTTTTTTTTTTTTGAGACGGAGTTTCATTCTTGTCACCCAGGCTAGAGTGCAGTGCTGGCTCACTGTAACCTCCGCCTCCTGGGTTCAAGTGATTCTCCTGCCTCAGCCTCTCGAGTATCTGGGAGTACAGGTGCCTGCCACCACGCCTGGCTATTTTTTGTATTTTTAGTAGAGACGGGGTTTTGCCATGTTGACCAGGCTGGTCTCAAACTCCTGACCTCAGGTGATCCAGCTGCCTCAGCCTCCCAAAGTACTGGGATTACAGGTGTGAGCTACTGCGCCGGCCCGTACAGTCTTATTGAATCGTCTCAACAATTATTTAAGGAGGTACTTTTATTATCCACATTTTGTATGTGAGAAAATAGTGACTCACAGAGCTTAAATAAATTGTCCAGGCACACATAGTAAGTGGCATTGCTTATAATTGAACTCAGATCTATCTGATGCCCCGACTTGTGCTCTTAATCACACTGTACTGCCTCCCTAGTTTCTATTAGTTATAGCAAGGATCCTGGAGGTACCCAGATCAGAACTTGACCTTGTTAAAGAAAGAGTGGCAGTTGACGTTCTTAATAATAAAAGCTTAATGGAACCAAGGTTGGTGATTCAGAGGAAATTAATGAGATTTTGTCAATTTTATTTTAAGCTTAACTTGTCAGAAAATACAGTGTCCAGTGACAAACTGTAGAAATGTTTTTGACAAATTAATTTGACTACAGGTACCAGATCAGGGAAATGTTAATTTAATAGCCTTTAAGCATTCCAGATTTATTGAAGATTAAGATAGCACTACAAAGCCAAGCCCCTATCTCTGAATGGATTTGTCATAGAATTTTACACAAAATCCATTTATAAATTCAGTATTACCATTTTGAATGTAAAAAAAAAGTTCTTTTTGTGAGTCCATAAAGCCAGAATTTTATTAAGATCAAAATGTTACAATTCTGGTGTTTGGGTTTTGTTTTTTTTTTTTCTCATGTCGACCCTCTTTACTTCCCATAGCCCGTAAAACCTGAATTAGACCAATTTAGGCCAGATTTTGTTTGAGATTATTACTTCTGATCAAATGAAGTCCATTAATTATCATTAGAGTAGTGCTCATTTGAGACCCCTGTACCAAGTCTGCCTACTATGTTATTAAAGACAAGACCATTGGTAGAATATAGCATCCTTTGGTCCTTCTTGAGGAAGTTGGGATAAAGGTACTGATGGAATAGAACTGTAGCCATTCTTTTCAGAGAATGGCTCTTTTGAAGGCTGCAAATAACTCTTTTATCAATTTGCATCATTACATCGTCTGGATACACTGATATATTTATTTCTGCATTAAAATTACACGTAATGATCTGCTTGTGCAGTTGTTACTAATGGAATAATGTTGCCTGCTTTTTGTCTCTTTAATTGCAGAAGCTAAGCTGTCTATCCTTTCTCTGTTTCTTTTCCTTGGGAGAGAAACTGAACACTTAGCAGCAGTTTAGATCTGATACTCAATTTATTACTGGGAAACCTTGATATTAAATAGCAATGCTAGCCAAGCCTTTAGTCTGTAAGACTTAATTCAGCTAACTCACTTGATATGGATATTTCTTTTTTTCTTTTCTTTTAGAGACAGGGTCTTGCTCTGTTGCCCAGGCCAAAGGGCAGGGGGCTCAATCATAGCTCACTGCAGCCTCAACCTCCCAGGCTCAAGTGAACCTCCCACCTCAGCCTCCTGAGTAGCTGGGACTACAGACATGTGCCACCAGGCCAAGCTTTTTTTTTTTTTTTTTTTTTTTTTTTTGAGACGGAGTCTCGCTCTGTCGTCCAGGCTGGAGTGCAGTGGCACGATCTCGGCTCATTGCAAGCTCCACCTCCTGGGTTCACGCCATTCTCCTGCCTCAGCCTCCCAAGTAGCTGGGACTACAGGCGCCCACCACCACGCCCGGCTAATTTTTTGTATTTGTTTTAGTAGAGACAGGGTTTCACTTTGTTAGCCAGGATGGTCTCGATCTCCTGACCTCGTGATCTGCCCGCCTTGGCCTCCAAAGTGCTGGGATTACAGGCATAAGCCACCGCGCCTGGCCTTTTTTTTTTTTTTTTTTAAGACACATTTATTCAGCGTCATGATCAGACTGTTACATTTAGCAATCAACAGCATGGGTACAAAAAAGAAATCTACATTAAAATCCTTTGTTGGAATGCTTTACATTTTCCACAGAAGAAAAACTAAAACAACCTGTTATACAATTAGTCACAAATACAGTCCTCGAGTTTTTTGCCCATACACATGAGTATTTGTCTAAAACATGTCTTCTTTGTAGCAGCTAGGCCTTGCCACCACTGTGCTTGGCTGAGTTCACAAATCTGTTGTAACCTGTAGCTTCGCTGTCACTTCTCTGGCTCTCCTCTCCTGTTAAGCTTTGTTTGCTGGCAGTAATTAAAATCTTCTGCCACTGCTGTAGCTACTGCTGCTACTGGAACTGCCATAGCCACCTCGGTTTTGTGGTTTGGGAAAGTACTGGCTTCCACCACCATAGCTGCCAGAGCTTCTGCCTCCAAAGTTTCCTTTCATCATGGGTTCAAAATTTGAAGACTGATTGTTGTAATTGCCAGAATCATTGTAGCTTCCACCACCCTCCAAAATTGCTTCCATCAGTACCAAATCCATTATAGCCATCCCTACTGCCACCATATCCACCACCACCATGGTTGCCACCAAAGGCACCACAACCACTGAAGTTTCCTCCATGACCAAAGTTGTCATTCCTACCGAAGTCACCTTCACGACCACCACCAAAGTTTCCAGAACCACTTCGACCTCTTTCGCTGGATGAAGTATTAGCCATCTCTTGCTTTGACAGAGCTTTCCTAACTTCACAATTGTGGCCATTCACAGTATGGTGTTTTTGAATGACAGTCTTATCCACGGAGTCGTGGCCATCAAAGGTTACAAAGGCAAGTCCCCTTTTCTTGCCACTGCCTCGGTCAGTCGTGATTTCAATCACTTCAGTTTTTCCACGCTGTTCAAAATAATCTCGCAGGTGATGTTCTTCAGTGTCTTCTTTAATGCCACCAACAAATATCTTTTTCACAGTTAAGTGGGCACCTGGTCTTTGAGAATCTTCTCTTGAGACAGCTCTCTTTGGTTCCACAACTCCGATCCACCTTGTGTGGCCTTGCATTCATGGCTGCATCCACCTCCTCCACAGTGGCATAGGTGACAAACCCAAAACCCCCGGAACGCTTGGTGTTGGAATCTTTCATTACCACACAGTCTGGGAGCGTTCCCCATTGCTCACAATGGCTCCTCTTGCTCTCATTGGTTGTTTCAAAGCTCAACCCTCCAATGAAGAGATTCCTTAGCTGTTCCGGCTCTTTAGGAGACTCTGACTTAGGACGGCAGGGAGAAGAGAGACTTTAACGATGCTTCCTTGGCGTGTCCACAGGCAGAAAGGAGTAAGCTGACAAACATAGCATGATATTTCTTAATTCAAGATTATTTTGAACTGAATCCCATCTGTATTCTTATTGCTTCTCCTACTTTGGAAACTATCAGGTATATGATTTTGAAATTAATTTTATGATAAGCAGCTAATGTATATTATTTTAATTAATAGGATCAGCTGAGAAAAGCTGCTCTAGATAATGTTTTAATTCATCAGCATGTTCAAATACATACATTTCAATTCTATATCTGTTCACATTCTGTGTATTAGAAGTTATTTTAGATTTTTAAGTTTACCCATTTTATGAGCTAATTATTAATTGGGTAACCTTTGGTTCATAGTATTGATATTTCATAATTGGCCTAGAGACACTTTTTAAAAGACTGAGCTTTTCCAGTATATATCACAAGTTACAAAACATTCATAGTCTTTGACTTAGTAATCTACTTCTAGAAATATTTTCACATTTATATAGGAAAATGTTTATGAGATTATTTATAATAATGGAATATTGTAAACAGCTTCCATTTCTAAAAATGGGAGAATAGGTGGTACCACCATATGCTATAATATAATGCAAGTGTTTAAATCATGTGTTAAAAGAATATTAATCATTTATTCCATCAGTATGTGTAAGTAACTATGTCGGGCCCTTTGTTAGGTGCTGGGGATATTTCAGAGAGGAAAGAGTGTTCCTGAAGAACAGGGGCTGGGAAGTAGAAAAGGTATAGCTGCTCTACCTGGGATAGAGAATTGGTAGGTCCGGTGGGTCCATTCTGAAAGAGAGTCTGAGGAGTCCTTTTGATTTAGCCAGCTAGCATGAAACCCCTGCTGTGTTCTAGGCTCTAAGAGAATACAAAATGGATGAGGCTATTTTTCCCTTTATGTAATTCACAGCTGAATGAGAGAGTGTGGGGAAGGAGGTGGTGAGGGTAGTTACAGAAAAAAGTGAAACTGTAAGTCTGTGCAAATCAAATTGTTAGGGGAGGAGAGAAGAGGGAATTTATTTCGTCTTCTACCTTCTTGGAAGAGGTGATATTTGAATTGAAGGACAGAAGAAGAGCTATGTTTCTTGATCAGTGACTTTGTGGCAGGCATTTTAGATACATCTTATTTGCTTTCCAAGTGAGTAAATACAAGTTCTGAGAGGTGAGGTTACTTTCCCAAAGTCTAAGGTCTAGCAGCTAAGGAAGTGGTAAAGCCAGGATTCCGACCTGGGCCTAGCTGACCCCGAGTCTGTGCTCTTAATTACTGTTCAGTGTACATCAGTAATGATATGAGGGACCAGATTGCAAAGGGCATTAACTGCCACCTAAGGAGTTGGAATGCTACCACTAGGCCATCCTGTGTTTCCACATGACTGGCATGGTCTGTGATTTGAGAAAAATCACATTGGTGGCAATAAGGAAAGAAAGATTTGGAGGGGAAGGATTTTTAAAAATAAAGAAATAGTTGGAGATTGCTGCAGTGGTCTCGCTGACAGATGACAAAGCTGACGAAGCCTAAACTGGGGCGTTGGCAATAAGCATGGGAAGGAGAGAGATTTGGGAGGCATTTCAGAGGCATTTGGATGGTAGAGTGTGAGACAGAAAGAGGAATTAGGATTCCTAGCTTGCGTGACAGAGTAGATGGTGAAAGCCTTAGTTGAGATAGAGTATAGAATGACAGACATGCCAGTGAAGAAGAAAATTGGTGTTGGATATGTTAAATTTCAGATTCTGACTGCATTTGCAAAGCCATCAGGTCAGGGAGAGGCTGTGGGATATGAAGTTGAGTCTAGTTGGTCCTCATGAGTTGCATTTGTGCCAAGAAAGTTTTGCTATAGGAAGTACTTTTCTGTTTGTTCTCAAACCTGCCTTGGGGGCATTTCCTGATTTAGGAGCTGCTCTGGAGAATGTTGTTCAACTTCAAATTGTCAGCTGATTGTGAATTTATTACCTTTTTTTTTCTTTTTCTTTTTGAGACAGAGTCTCGCTCTGTCCCAGGCAGAAGTGCAGTGGCATGATCTCTACTCACTGCAACCTCTGCCTCCCGGGTTCAAGCAATTCTCCTGCCTGAGCCTCTCAAGTAGCTGGGACTACAGGCGCACGCCACCACACCTGGCTAATTTTTTGTATTTCAGTAGAGACGGGGTTTCACTGTGTTGCCCAGGCTGGTCTCAAACTCCTGAGCTGAGGCAATCCATCCGTCTCAGCCTCCCAAAGTGCTAGGATTACAGGCCTGAGCCACTGTGCCTTGCCCTTTTCTTTTTCTTTGATAAAAATTACTTAACCTGCCATAGTAAGGTATCTGAGTTATATATATTTTTTTCTTTTTTTGAGACAGTCTCACTCTGTCACCCAGGTTGGAGTGCAGTGGCATGATCTTGGCTCACTGCAACATCTTCCTTCTGGGTTCAGGCGATTCCTGTGCCTCAGCCTCTGGGGTAGCTGGGACTATAGGCACATGCCACCATGCCTAGCTAATTTTTGTATTTTTAGTATATTTAGTATTTTTGTATTTTACCATGTTGGCCAGGCTGGTCTGGACTCCTGACCTCAGGTGATCTGCCCGCCTCGGCCTCCCAAAGTGCTGGGATTGTAGGTGTGAGCCACCATGCCCAGCCCTGAGTTATATTTTCTTTTTTTTCTTTTTTTTTTTTTGAGTTATATTTCAACTTACTTTTTCCAACAGCCTGTCACAGCACATAGTATGTTCCTTTTTTTTTTTTTTTTTTTGAGACGGAGTCTCGCTCTTTCGCCCAGGCTGGACTGCAGTGGTGCTATCTCGGCTCACTGCAAGCTCCGCCTCCAGGGTTCACGCCATTCTCCTGCCTCAGCCTCCTGAGTAGCTGGGACTACAGGTGCCTACCACCACGCCCGGCTAATTTTTTGTATTTTTAGTAGGACGGGGTTTCACCGTGTTAGCCAAGATGGTCTCGATCTCCTGACCTCGTGATCTGCCCGCCTCGGCCTCCCAAAGCGCTGGGATTACAGGCATGAGCCACTGCGCCTGGCCAGCACATAGTATGTTCTTAATGATGCCTACTTGATCCCTTAACACAGGCTACATTTTTGAAATCGATCCTCTCTTTCCCTCACCTAAAACTTTTAAGCCCTGAATGGTACTCTTATTCTTTTTATCTCCTTTTTAGTTTATAATATTTACAATTTTGTTTCTAATTATAAAAGTAATACATGTCTATTATAGAAAATACAGAAAACTATAAACCAGAAAATTAAAATCACTGATAATCCCGTGTCTCAGAGGGAACTCCTGCTCACCTTTTGGTGTATTGGTATAGTAGGTAAATACAATAAGCATCTTTTTCTTGGTTAAGGTTCTGTTGCATGGAAGGGTACATTTTTATATCTAAGAGGCCTTCACTAGCCCCCTTTAGCCTGGGTTGCTTCTGGGCTCTCTTGACAGACTGGACTTTCCCCTTCTTAAAACTTTCGTGACATTGTACAGTGAGACCTTCAGCAAAACAGTTTGATGAGGGTCTGGTCTGCATTGTATGTCAGTGGACTTTGTCTTCGGAGCCCAGCATCATGTTTCAGCTGGTGTTTGTTGAATGCATGAGAGAATGAGAACATAAAGCTAAGCCAGTTTCCCTGTGGCAACACTTTCTCTGTGTTGCCCGCTTCCCTGTGCTCTAAATATGCCTCCATTTCCCCAGTCCTGTATGGTGGAACACGTAAATTGCCATGCAGTGAAACTGTATGATATGATCTTTGTTTATTGCTAGTTGCTTTTTCATATTTAGACATCTATGGAATATTGCTTGCCTTGATGTGTAATGAATACTTTTAATCCTTCGGTCACCGTTTTTTTAAATAAGTTAATTACTTTCTATTATGTTGATGGATTGTTTTATGTTTTAGATGATTCCTTCTAAATATTGCAACTTAGGGACTATTAGGATAGAGCTAACTGCCACCACCTTGAGCTTTTTCAGAAGACAGTCTCCTTATTAAAAAATATGTAATTTCAGTGTGCAAGGCACTTTTCCCATCATCATTTCCTCAAGATGGAATTAGAAGATTAAAAAGATAAAGTGCTTCATTCATTTAATAAGTATCTATCATATTCATTCCGATAGTTTTTGCCCCACTTTCTATTTTACTATGAAATAGAGGGTAGTAAAGAGTACTGTACTCTTTAGAGTAAATAGAGGAGTATACTCTGTGTTACTCATATGAGTACCATATAACTATCTGTCCTCATTTCCTAAACAGTGGTGACTGCCCTTCAGTCAACTGACAGTGGCAGGGTTTCCTGGAGTCTCCATCTCCTAACTGCTCTCCTCGAGCAGCTCCTCAGGCAAAGCTTTCCTCAGGTTTGTAGGGAAAAGAAGAGGGAGACGATTTTCAAGCCTTGAAGAGTAGGAATTGATTACATTTAGAGTAAGTCCAGGGAAAGAAGGCGTTGGTGTTTACAGTAGGGCCTTTGGAGTCAGGCTGACATGAGGTTTGAGTCTTGGCTCTTCCACCTTGGTTATTGGGTGTTGAGCAGATGACTGTAGCCTTGTAAGCCTTGGTTTTCTCAGCTATAATATAAAGGTTACGCCAGGTCGCAGTCACTCACGCTTGTAATCCCAGCATTTTGGGAGGCCGAGGTGGGCGGATCACTTGAGGTCAGGAGTTCGAGACCAGCCTGGCCAACATGGCAAAATCTTGTCTCTACTAAAAACACAGAAAGTAGCTGGGTGTGGTGGCACATGCCTGCAATCTCAGCTATTTGGGTGGCTGAGGCCCAAGAATTGCTTGAACCTGGGAGGTGGAGGTTGCATTGAGCTGAGATTGTGCCACTGCACTCCAGTTTGGGCAGCAGAGCGAGACTGTTTAAAAAAAAAAAAGTTATGATAGAACCCTATTTCTTAGAGTTATTGTATGAATTAAATGATATAATTAGGCAAACATTTAGCAGAGTTTACTTAACAGCTCTCAGTAAGTGCTAGCCCTATGCCCCGCCCCCCTTTTTTTTTCTTGAGACGGAGTTTGACTCTTGTTGCCCGGGCTGGAGTGCAGTGGCGCCATCTCAGCTCATTGCAACTTCTGCCTCCCAGTTGCAAGCAATTCTCCTCCCTCAGCCTCCTCAGTAGCTGGCATTAAAGGTTCCCACCACCACACCCGGCTGATTTTTGTAGTTTTAGTGGAGATGGGGTTTCACCATGTTGGCCAGGCTGGTCTCGAACTCCTGACCCAAGGTGATCCACCCACCTTTTCCTCCCAAAGTGCTGAGATTGCAGGTGTGAGCCACCGCACCTGGCCTAAATGCTAGCTCTTGTTACAATAGTCAGTATTATTAGTGTTCCTGCAGTACCCGTTCTTGGCCTCATGTGACCTTGTAGTAAGCTTGAGTAATAGAAATGGGTCGAATTTCAACACAGACGCCCTTTCTGGCATACTGCTCTGCATCTCTAAAGCATCTTACAGTTTATGAAGGACATTCACATTTGTCATCTCGTTGAATCTTCATATCTTGAGAGACTGTGAATCCTATAGCTCCTTAGTTCTAGTGCTTCCAGAGGAAGAGGAATAAACAGAAATAAAAAGAGAGAGCAATGACAAGCAACTGATCTGGGTCTGAAAAGGAGGGTAATATGAGGGCTATCAACCGACTCCAGAAAGATTCCCACTGTTTGCATTGTAACCCTTTGCCTGCCCGACAAGGCCAAAACACTTGTTATTTAGTGAAGTCTTTGTTAGCCATTGAAATTATTATTTCAGAGCTGAAAACCACACAAGGGAATGTGTGCTTGCCCACGTGTGTTTGCATACGAGACAGAGAGTGCACACGTGCAAGAGAGGGACAGCGAGTGTGGGTGCATGCATTATGTAGGAGAATTATTTTTTTGGTAGTTGCTTTGTAACATACAGATGAGGCTGAGGGAATAAAATCAGTCAATCTAATGATGGATGCTGGGTTGTGTGCAAAGTGGAATTACTCTAAAAATGTTTTTTAAACTGACTTTATAATTTCCTTTCCCTGTACTGACCTTTTTCACCTCAGAATGATAGAATTATAGAGTTAAAGATGGAACCGCATGATTGCTCAAGTCCCTCCACTTTCACCTATGACCAGGAAATGGATCCATAGAGGAAGGGCAAGAGGGATGGAGAAAACTAACATTTACTCAGTTCCTACTACGTGTCCTGGCAGGCACTGGAGTCATTCATAAATTCATTCTGTAGTTCAACAGATTTTTTCCTCAGGGTCTTCTGTGTGCCAGGTACAGGGCCAGGCATTATGTATGGAACAGTAAACAAAGCAGACGTTAACATTGCTCTCAAGGAAGTTCAGAGGAAACTTCGTGGAGAAAGCATACACTAAAGATGTACATAAATAAATCATCTCAATTGTTAAGCGCTCTGAAGGAGATGAACAGGACATGTGTGAGAGAATAACTGCAAAAGGAGTGTTAACAGTGACAGCTGAGCCCTGTATAATAATAATTAATAATAAGTAATAATAATTCTCATAAGGGTCTTATGATAGGTAGGTCCTACCATTCTCCTCATTTTACATATGAGGAAACAGAAGCATAGAGAGATTAAGTAACCTCCCAAGGGCACACATTAGAGGATGAGGAGTCACGCATGCAAAGCCATGAAAAAGAGCCTCTCTAGATACAGTGAACAGCACCTGCTAAGCCCTGGGACGTGAGAAATGCAAGCAAGGTACACACAGGCACACGTGCTGGTATATTGAGGGTACTTCCAGAAGGCCGGTATAGCCGAAGTCTGATGAGCAGGTGGAGGAGTGGCAGTGGATGATGTTAAAGAGGTAGACAGGGCCAGATCATGTGGTGCTTTGTTGGATGTTGCAGGGAGTTTGGATTTTGTTCACGGTGTTTGGGAGCCACTCATCGAAGGAATTTAAACAGGATATGGTATGATCAAATGTGAGTTTAAAAAACAGATCTAACTTGTGTGTAGAGAACAAATCAGATGAAACAAGAGTACTGTAGAATAATTTGGGAACTGTTACAATAGTTCAGGTGAGACCTGATGGTAATTTTGGTGGCAGTGGAGATAGAAGTGAGATGGTTTTGAAATACATATTTTTCACTTTTTTTCTTAAGATAAAACATTACATAAAATTTACCATTTTAACCATTTTAAAGTGTACGGTTCTGT
Source organism: Homo sapiens (assembly GCF_000001405.40). Lineage (NCBI taxonomy): Eukaryota > Metazoa > Chordata > Mammalia > Primates > Hominidae > Homo > Homo sapiens. Next base: position 125,588,498 of record NC_000009.12, on the reverse strand, counting down.
GGTATTTAATATATTAACAATGTTATGAACTGTTACTGCCAATTTCAGAACATTACGATCACCCCCAAAAGAAACCTCATACCTCCCAATTTCCCACCCCGTCATCTTCTGCCAACCGCTAATCTACTTTCTGTCTCTATGGATTTGCCTGTTCTGAACAGTTCATATAAATGGGTTCATACAGTAGTGGCCTTTCATGTCTGGTTTCCTTCTCTTAGCATGATGTTTTCATGGTACACCCATGCTGTGTGTATCAGTACTTCATTCTTTCTCATGGCTGAATAATATTCTATTGTATGGATTTTGTTTATCCATTCATTAGTTAGTGGACATTTGGGTGTTTTTCATTCCTTGGCTATTATAAATAATACTGCTATGAACATTTGTCCAAGTTTCAATGTGAGCATATGTTTTTAGTTCTCTAGAGTATATACCTAGGAATGGAATCGCTTGGTCATATGGTAATTCTGTGTTTCATTTTTGAGAAACTGCCGAACATTTTCACAATGACTGTATCATTTTACATTCCCACTGGCAGTGTCTGAGGATTTCAGTTTCTCCATATCCTCACAAATCCTTGCTATTTTTGGGGTTTTTTGGGTTGTTGTTTGGAGTTTTTGCCTTTTTTAAATTATAGCCACCCTAGTGAGTAAGAAGTAATTTACATTATGGTTAATGATATGAAACAGTTTTCATGTGTTTATTGGTCATTTGTGTATCTTCTTTGGAGAAATGTCTGTTCAAATCTTTGCCCATTAAAAAATTTTGTCTTCTTATTGAATTATAAGACTTCTTAACGTATTCTAGATAGTAGAGCCTTATGAGATATATGATTTGTGAATATTTTCTCCCGTTCTTTTGATTGTCTTTTTACTATCTTGATAGTATCCTTTAGGCACAAAAGTTTGTTTGTTTGTTTGTTTGTTTTTGTTTTGAGCAGAGTCTCCCTCTGTTGCCCAGGCTGGAGTGCAGTGGCATGATGTTGGCTCATTGCAACATCTGCCTTCTGGGTTCAAGCAGTTCTCCTGCCTCAGCCTCCCCAGTAGCTGGCAATACAGGCGCCTGCCATCACGCCCAGCTGATTTTTGTATTTTTATTAGAGAGGGGATTTCACCATGTTGGCCAGGTTGGTCTCAAACTCCTGACCTCAAGTGATCTCCCTGCCTTGGCCTCTCAAAGTACTGGGATTACAGGCATGAGCCACTGCGCCTGGCCTAGGCACAAAAGTTTTTAATTTTAATGAAGTTCAATTTATTTATTTTGTTATTTATGCTTTTGGTGTCATATTAAAGAAATCGTTGCCTAATCCAAAGTCATGAAGATTTACACCTGTTTCCTTTTAAGAATTTTATAGTTTTGCCTCTTACATCTAGATCTTTGATTTATTTTGAATTGATATATTTATGTGGTATGAGGCAGGACTCCAAATTCATTCTTTTGCATGTGGCTATCCACTTGTCCCAGCATCATTTGTTGAAAAGACTGTACGTTCCCCATTGAAATGTATTTTTGAAGTAGAGACATTAGAACTTCCTAATGGAGTAGATAGGCAGTGTGAGGGAGGAAGAAGCATCAAGACTGTTGAGATGAGCAGCTGGCTTAGTGGTGGCAGCACATATTATTAAAATAAGAGGGGTTGTTGTTGTGACTTGGGATAGGAGGGAGTGAGGGACAATCAAGCATTCCGATTTGAACTCGTTTTCTGTGACACTTTTCTATATACTCTGTGTGGTGAACATATTGCATGGGTGGGAAGGAAGACTGAGCCAGTGTGCAAGCCTTCTGTGAGGGAGGGGAATGGCCAGAAGGTTGGCGGATAACAGAAACACAAAAGGAGGGAGAGAGGATGGTGTCATCGGATGGCCTGGGTCTCAAGAGAACAAGGATTTTTTTCACAAAAGAGAAAGTACTAGATTGGAAGTGTTAGCAGGGACTAGGATACCTACTCTTGCATGCCTTGAGGGTGCAGGGGTTATAAAAAAAAAAAACAACAACAAAGCAGTCCTCTTTTAACAGGACAGCAGAGGAGGCAGTATCCTCAACAGCAGGTTCAGTGAAGTCCAAGAGGTAGAGGAAATCGTTTTAAAAAGCAGCTGAGGATTTATGGGTGTTTGCTGATTAGCGCAGCAGCTCTTGAGGGCAGAGTGGAAGACGCAGGTGGGAGGAGTGGTAGGTGTGTGGGAGGGAGTGGGAATATATCCAGCAGTGTGGGGTTGGTGGTTAGGGCAATAATGGAGGATCAAAGGGCCCTTGAACCTGTGTGGTAGTGAAGGAAACAGATGTACTGCCTAGTGGAACTAGCCCCCAGTCTCTGAGAAGGCAAGCACCTGTTTCAGTGCTGCGGGCCTAAATCCTTCCTGGGAGAGTATGACAGCTTCCCAGGCAGCTCATCTCATTGTCTCAAGGACAATGAGACAGTTGCCAGAGAGGCACCCAGTGCTAAGGTCCAGGGACACACTGAGTTAGTAGCAAAGCCAGCCTCCTAACACCAAACATGAACTCTACTCACCACTCATATTTTCCTCTTAGTTGTAGTGCCCATTTACCTTCCTGCTGGCAGATCCCGATCCATTAGTTTATTATAAAATGAAAATTTAAGGAAAAAAAATCCTTGAAACTAGACAGTGTTTCCACTTTGGGACCATTCCATGGTCACAGTAGGTCTGTAGAGCAAGGATGAAAAATGGCTGTGCTGCCCACAGGCCTGGAGAGCAGTGGGGTCTGTATAACTGGCAGTGTGCTTTGCTCTCACGTGTTTGTTCTGTCCACAGGGTCATGTAGGTACAACAGCAACCAAGAAGATCGATGTCTACCTCCCTCTGCACTCGAGCCAGGACAGACTGCTGCCAATGACCGTGGTGACAATGGCCAGCGCCAGGGTGCAGGACCTGATCGGGCTCATCTGCTGGCAGTATACAAGCGAAGGACGGGAGCCGAAGCTCAAGTAATCCATTCTCTTTTTGGCTGCTCTAGTTTCTTGTGGTCTTTTGGCCACCCAAGGTGTCTTCTAGGCTGGTTAGTCTTTCTAGGCATTGGCCTGGAACCACACTTCTGCACTGATCCAGCTCTGGGTGCTCACCAGGTCTCGCGCCTGTGCATCTCAGAGAATCAGCTTGCAAAATAGACTTAGAAGTTTGTGAATTACAGACATGAGAACATGGATTTTTAGTAATTTCCAAACCCTTTTATGATCCCTGCTAATAAGCAACCTGGAAGGGAACGGGAGGGGATTGATGTTTGTTGAGCACCAATCATGCATTGGGCACTGGGCTGGGCACTTTGTAGCTGGTATCTGGAATCTCATTTGATCCTCCCAGCTCCCTGGGAGGTGAGGGTAATGATCCTCATTCTGCAGTGGTGGAAGCTCAGGTTCAGAGCTGTTACTGGCTGAAGGTTGCACAGTGAGAGATGGCAGAGTCAGGATTTGATTCCAGGTCTGTTTGATGCCAAGGTTTTTGCATTATTTCCTTCTGCCTTCTATAGAACCTTTGGTCCGAATTTTAGTTTTCTTTATCAGTTAATGGTTCTAATTTTCTCTCAGTCACTAGGCTCTGTTCTTCATTAAATAATTATATTTAAAATGTAGTGCTTGAGAGTAGCCTCTCTATGCCTCGGCATTATAATTTGAACTTTAAAGTGCTTTGCTGCATTGCCTCTCCCCTACTTGAGTTTCTGACAGGCATTCTCTTCTAGTTTTACATGTTCTTTCCAGCAGTAGGGTTTAGAACACAGCAAAATGTAGTAGATGCCTTCATTTTAAAAATGGACTCTCAGCTGGGTGCGGGGGCTCACACCTGTAATCCCAGCACGTTGGAAGGCTGAGGTGGGCGGATCACCTGAGGTCAGGGGTTTGAGACCAGCCTGGCCAACATGGTGAAACCCTTTCTCTACTGAAAATACAAAAATTAGCCGGGCATGGTGGTGGCCATCCGTAATCCCAGCTACTCAGGAGGCTGAGGCAGGAGAATCGCTGCAGAGGTTGCAGTGAACCGAGATCGCGCCACTGCACTCCAGCCTGGTGACAGAGCAAGACTCCATCTCAAAAGAAGGATTTTCATGGAGATGTTCTCTTCCCCTTTCACATTTTCAGAGTTAGTATGATCCAGTCAGCAGTTAGTTTTTATTTTTCTTTAGGTATATTAAATTTCTTTAGGTAAATTTAGTATGACACATAAAATGATTTTTTCAAATTCTTATTGACATTGCCCTCCACTTTGCCTGAGTAAGTTGTGGACACAAAGCTCTGGTGGCAGAGAAAGCCTTTCACCAAGATGCCACCTAGGCTTAGAAAATGGTTCAGTCAGCGGCACACCTCAAGGGTGAGCTGTGAGGTCCTCCCTTTTCTGCATGAAGTGGGAACAAGGAAACAGGAAAAGGTGTCACAGAACAAATGACTTTATCGATGTTGTCTGAAGTAATTCTTTTTTTTTTTTTTGGAGACGGAGTCTTGCTCTGTCGCCCAGGCTGGAGTGCAGTGGCGCGATCTCGGCTCACTGCAGGCTCCGCCTCCCGGGTTCACGCCATTCTCCTACCTCAGCCTCCCGAGTAGCTGGGACTACAGGCACCTACCACCACGCCCAGCTAATTTTTTGTATTTTTAGTAGAGACGGGGTTTCACCGTGTTAACCAGGATGGTCTCGATCTCCTGACCTCGTGATCCACCCGCCTCGGCCTCTCAAAGTGTTGGGATTACAGGCGTGAGCCACTGCACCCAGCCTTTGATGTAATTTCTTAAAACATTACTTAGGGCAGGCACTGAAATCAAGAGAGGAACTTGCCCAGGGTTACTAGTAAGTAACAGAGATAGGAATTGAACTGTGATGTACATCTTATAGATGAGGAAACTAACTTAGAGAGACTAAGTAGCTTTCTTATGTCACATAATAAGTGGTAGTATTAGTATTAAAACCCAACAATCTCTGACTCCAGAGCTCCATCTCTTCACTATTACATTATCCTCTCCACCATGGAACTCTGTTATAGGTGAAATGAAAATATTTATTGAGTTTGTACTTATTGCAGGCACTGTGCTAGATCTGGAAATACAGAAATGAAAGAGGCAGTTCCTGCCATCAGGGACCTTTCTGTTTAAGGTAAATAGGTAATAACAATATAATACAATTACGTGCAAAATCAGGTGCTTACAAGGAGATCTAACCCCACATTTGGGGGTGAAAATGGAGTCGTGAAAATCTCCCTTGATTAAATGACATCTAAACTGATACCTGAGGGAGCAGTAGGAAAAAGTCATGTAGAGAGGTTGAGAGGAGGGCATTCCAACAGAGGGAAAAGCATGGTTATGATAGACCTTTAAGTTCATGCTTTAAATTCTATATTCTGCTCCAAATACATAATAATAGTAAATGAAATGCTATTAACATATTTGTACTTTAATAACAAGATAAGCATCCTGGTGGACTAGAAATAGAACCAACTACAGAAACAGGCAGAGTGTGCTAGGAGTCCATTATTTTAGGGTATTACTGTCCTTAGAGCATGCTGTGGATGGGTTTACCAGTGTATGACATACTGATTTTTCTCAGGCTTCAGGGCAGCTAGTCAGGGCATGGGTGATGATCAGAGCCCTCAGCCAATCATTCCTGGGTGAGGGAACAGTCTCATCCATCTAGCTGTGTACTGTGCAAATATTGTTATTTTCTCCATATGTCATGGTGTCAAAAAGAGTGGGAAATACTACATGAGGGTATGGGACCAAAGGAACTGCATCCCTGGACGGGGACCAGAGGAAATGACAGAAACTAGAAGCTGGAGTGAGACTGTCATACCTATGAAAAGAAGCTGAACAAGGCTGCTTGGGTCTGTGGCTCATTTAAAGTTGTGTTTCTGGGGTGCCAAGGAATAGAGAGAGCAGTGCAACCAGGACCTGACTGTGGCATGGCTGGGTTTATGTTATCCCTAGTATTACAGGAACCCTGAACTATCAGTGTAAGACCTGGTTCTGGTCTGGAGGCCTCTGTTTGGATGAGGGTGGAGGGTGGTGGCAATATCTGTAAAAGCACTGACAGTGAGTGGAGGGAGAGAGCAAGCAAGGGTTCTCATTCAAGAAGAGCTCAGCAAATTAAAATTCCAAAGCACACGAGGATAGCTAGTACCAAGAAACACAGACAATAATCAGGAGATGAATTTGGGAACAGAATATAGTAAAGCAGTCTGAAAATTAATTTCAAATAAATATGTTTAAGCTCACCAAACAGATGAAGGAAGGAATAACATTCATGTTTCACTTCTAGGAAATTATGAAACAAAAGCAAGCAAATTTGAATTTAGAAAAGAACCAATTAAAAGTACAGTACTGGAAATATAAAATACAATTATTAAAGTAAAAAATACTTTGGGATAAACTCTAGGCTGGTCACAATTCAAGAGAGAATGAGCTGAAGGACAGTTGATACTGAGGAATTCAACCTAGGATATAGTACAAAGAGATAAAGAGGTACAAAGAATGAAAGAGAAGAGACATGAAGGAAAGATTCAAAGGCTCCCACATGTGAAGTGGAGAAGGAAGGGAATAGCAGAGAAGCAATATTTGAAGAGATAATGTCAAAGAATTTCCCAGAACTGAAGACAGATAGGAGTGGGTTTGATGTTAAAAACACATGCAAATTAAATGGCGGAAGAAGAGACTTTTTTTTTTTAAACAAATGGTCCTGGACCAGTTGAAATTCTATAAGCTGAAAAAATCAACCTAAATCATGTATCTTGTATTAATTAAAAATAAATCACAAGTTAAATGTAAAATGTAAGAAAAAAACAGGAGAAAATCTTTGGGACCTAGAGCAAGTTAGACTTCATTAAAATTAAAAATATTTGCTCTGCAAAAGACCCTGTGAAGAGGATGAAAGGACAAGCTACACACTGAAAGGAAATATTTGTAAACCACATATCTGACTAAAGACATATAGAATAGGTAAAGAACTGAGAACCCAACAGTAGAAAGTTTAGACGGTTGATCAGAAAATGGGTAAAGGCATAAACAGACATATCACTGAAGAGGATATGCATACAGATGGCAGATGAGCACATGAAAAGATGCTCAGCAACATTAGCCATTAGGAAAATGCAATTAAAACCACACGCTATTAGAACAGCTGAAATAAAAAATAGTGATGACACCAATTGCTGGCAAGGATGTAGAGAAACTGTATCATACATCATTTCTGTTGATAATGTAAAATGGTATAGTCATTCTGGAAAATACTTTGGCAGTTCCTTATAAAGCTAAACGTGAATTTACCATACAACCCAGCAATTGCCCTCTTGGGCATTTATTCCAGAGCAGTGAAAACTTACATTCACATAAAAACCTGTATACAAATGTGTATATCAGCCTTATTTCTACTTAAAACTGGAAACAACCTAAATGTCCTTCAGCAGGTAAATGATTAAACATTGTGGTACATTCATACCAAGTAATACTACTATCAAGAGAAGAGGAACAAACCGTTTTCATACATGCAGTGACTTGGGTGGATTCACGTAGTGAAAAAAACCAATCTCTAAAAGTTTCATATCACCCAATTCCATTTATGTAACATCCTCAAAATGACAAAAGTATACAGATGGAGAACAATTGAATGGTTGCCAGAGGACAGGCACAGTGTTAGGGAGGCAGTCCAACTATAAACGGGTGGTAAAAAAGAGCTTCTCTGTCATGATGGAACAGTTTTGTATCTTGGTGATGATTACACAGATATATACATGTAATCCAATGTGTAGAACTACACAACACACACACACACAAGTACATGTAAAAACTGGTGAAAAGTGAGTAATGTCTATAGTCTTTTTTTTTTTTATACTTTTAAGTTCTAGGGTACATGTGCACAACGTGCAGGTTTGTTACATATGTATACATGTGCCATGTTGGTGTGCTGCACCCATTAACTCGTCATTTACAATAGGTATTTCACTTAATGCCATCCCTCCCCCTCCCCCCACCCCACAACAGGCCCCAGTGTGTGATGTTCCCCGCCCTGTGTCCAAGTGTTCTCATTGTTCAGTTCCCACCTATAAGTGAGAACTTGCGGTGTTTGGATTTCTGTCCTTGTGATAGTTTGCTCAGAATGATGGTTTCCAGCTTTATCCATGTCCCTACAAAAGACATGAACTCATCCTTTTTTACGGCTGCATAGTATTCCATGGTGTATATGTGCCACATTTTCTTAATCCAGTCTATCATTGATGGACATTTGAGTTGATTCCAAGTCTTTGCTATTGTGAATAGTGCCACAGTAAACACATGTGTGCATGTGTCTTTATAGCAGCATGATTTATAATCCTTTGGGTATATACCCAGTAATGGGATAGGTGGGTCAAATGGTATTTCTAGTTCTAGATCCTTGAGAAATCGCCACACTGTCTTCCACAATGGTTGAACTAGTTTACGCTCCCATCAACAGTGTAAAAGCATTTCTATTTCTCCATATCCTCTCCAGCACCTGTTGTTTTCATGAATAAAGTCTAGTCTTAACAGTATTGCACCAATGTCAATTTCCCTGGTGTTGATATTGGACTACAATTATATGACATTTTTAAATAGTTGTTCCATATTTCGAATTACATGATTATATTGAGTCTAAACCATGGTCTTTTGAAATTTTTTACAATTCTTAGTGACGTTGGATTTCTCAGGTTTGTTTGGTGTAATACAGTCTATAAAGTGAATCCCTGGGATCTCCTCCTGTCGGGCAGTGTAATGTGAGGTATTTTCTTTCTAGTGTGTTTGTACTTAGTGTTGGAATAGATCCTTATTTGGTCTTTTCCAGTGGGTTGGCCCTGTGAAAGAGCTTTTCATTCACAGAGAGGGAATTGCTGGATGCACATGAAGAGTGGCCCACCAGTTGCAGCCTGGTTGTCAAGAAAACCATTTAAGAATATTGTTCTTGGGCCGGGCACGGTTGCTCACACCTGTAATCCCAGCACTCTGGGAGGCCGAGGTGGGTGGATCACCTGAGGTCAGAAGTTCAACACCAGCCTGGTCAACATGGTGAAACCCCATCTCTACAAAATATACAAAAAATTAGCCGGGGGTGGTGGCAGGCACCTATAATCCCAGCTACTCGGGAGTCCGAGGCAGGAGAATCACTTGAACCTGGGAGACGGAGGTTGCAGTGAGCTGAGATCACGCCATTGCACTCCAGCCTGGGCAACAAGAGCAAAACTTTGTCTCAAAAAAGAAAAAATATTGTTCTCCTGTTCCTGTGCCTTGTAAACTGTCTATGGTAGTAGACTTTGGCCCCAATGAAGGAATGGAGAATTTGGCAGGAATTCTTGGCCTCCTTTACACTTACGTCTGTTAACTCTTGAGCAAGATTGGAATATGGTACTTAGGCTTATTTCCTGCTTATTTTGATGCACTGATTTGGGGGAAAACATTTGGGAGAAACTAACTGAAATAATTTCAATCTCTAAATGGTCAAATTTTAAAATTTAGACTTTGTTATTCTTTATTGAATTTTGATCAGAAAATGTGGACTATGAAATTTTTGCCTAAGAGATTTATGTATATTTGGCTGCTTACTATGCTATAATTTTTTGGTCAATATTCCATGGGTTCTGGAAATAATTATTCTCTATCGGTTATGGACCTCAATATATACTTATTAAGTCAATGTCCTTAATTACTTATTTCTATTATCTTAGGGTTTTTGACTATTTGGTCTATGGATGATTAAGAGAAATGCATTAAAATTTCCATCTTGTGTGTTTCTGTTAACTTTTCCTAATATTTCAATAGTATGCACTTTATATATTTCAGTTCACATAAAGATTCATGTGTTTTGTGTCTTTATTATCAGTTCTACTTCAGTATAAACCGGTCTTATTTGTTCTGTTTATGATTGTGTCTTGCCTGTTTCTTTGCTTCATCAGCAATCTGAGCTTTTTTTCCCCTGCTCTTCTTTGCTCTTTCTTCAGTCTTTTACTTTTGCCTTCTGTTTTAGATATGTTAATAATTTTGTGAGGTTTTTCTTTTTTGACTCATGTAAGTGATTTTCATTTCATAAGAACTATCTTTTTTTATGCTTTTTTTTTCGTATTTATTTATTTTTTATTGATCATTCTTGGGTGTTTCTCGCAGAGGGGGATTTGGCAGGGTCACAGGACAATAGTGGAGGGAAGGTCAGCAGATAAACAAGTGAACAAAGGTCTCTGGTTTTCCTAGGCAGAGGACCCTGCGGCCTTCCGCAGTGTTTGTGTCCCTGGGTACTTGAGATTAGGGAGTGGTGATGACTCCTAACGAGCATGCTGCCTTCAAGCATCTGTTTAACAAAGCACATCTTGCACGCCCTTAATCCATTCAACCCTGAGTGGACACAGCACATGTTTCAGAGAGCACCGGGTTGGGGGTAAGGTCATAGATCAACAGGATCCCAAGGCAGAAGAATTTTTCTTAGTACAGAACAAAATGAAAAGTCTCCCGTGTCTACCTCTTTCTACACAGACACGGCAACCATCCGATTTCTCAATCTTTTCCCCACCTTTCCCCCCTTTCTATTCCACAAAACCGCCATTGTCATCATGGCCTGTTCTCAATGAGCTGTTGGGTACACCTCCCAGACGGGGTGGTGGCCGGGCAGAGGGGCTCCTCACCTCCCAGTAGGGGCGGCCGGGCAGAGGCGCCCCTCAGCTCCCGGACGGGGCGGTTGGCCGGGCCGGGGGCTGACCCCCCATCCTCCCTCCTGGACGGGGCGGCTGGCCCGGCAGAGGGGCTCCTCACTTCCCAGTAGGGGCGGCCAGGCAGAGGCGCCCCTCACCTCCCGGATGGGGCGGCCGGCCGGGTGGGGGGCTGACCCCCCCACCTCCCTCCCGGACCCCCACCTCCCTCCTGGACGGGGCGGCTGGCCGGGCGGGGGGCTGACCCCCCCCACCTCCCTCCCGGACGGGGCGGCTGGCAGGGCGGGGGGCTGACCCCCCCACCTCCCTCCTGGACGGGGCGGCCGGCCAGGCAGAGGGGCTCCTCACTTCCCAGTAGGGGTGGCCTGGCAGAGGTGCCCCTCACCTCCCAGACGGGGCGGCTGGCTGGGCGGGGGGCTGATCCCCCCACCTCCCTCCCGGACGGGGAGGCTGGCCAGGCGGGGGGCTGACCCCCCACCTCCCTCCCGGACGGGGTGGCTGCCGGGCGGAGACGCTCCTCACTTACCAGACGGGGTGGCTGCCGGGCGGAGGGGCTCCTCACTTCTCAGACGGGACGGCTGCTGGGTGGAGGGGCTCCTCACTTCTCAGACGGGGCGGTTGCCAGGCAGAGGGTCTCCTCATTTCTCAGACGGGGCAGCCGGGCAGAGACGCTCCTCACATCCCGGACGGGGCGGCAGGGCAGAGGCGCTCCCCACATCTCAGACGATGGGCGGCCGGGCAGAGACGCTCCTCACTTCCTAGATGGGATGGCGGCCGGGAAGAGGCGCTCCTCACTTCCTAGATGGGATGGCGGCCGGGCAGAGATGCTCCTCACTTTCCAGACTGGGCAGCCAGGCAGAGGGGCTCCTCACATCCCAGACGATGGGCGGCCAGGCAGAGACGCTCCTCACTTCCCAGACGGGGTGGCGGCCCGGCAGAGGCTGCAATCTCGGCACTTTGGGAGGCCAAGGCAGGCGGCTGGGAGGTGGAGGTTGTAACGAGCCGAGATCACGCCACTGCACTCCAGCCTGGGCACCATTGAGCACTGAGTGAACGAGACTCCGTCTGCAATCCCAGCACCTCGGGAGGCCGAGGCTGGCGGATCACTCGCGGTTAGGAGCTGGAGACCAGCCCGGCCAACACAGCGAAACCCCGTCTCCACCAAAAAAATACAAAAACCAGTCAGGTGTGGCGGCGTGCGCCTGCAGTCGCAGGCACTCTGCAGGCTGAGGCAGGAGAATCAGGCAGGGAGGTTGCAGTGAGCTGAGATGGCAGCAGTACAGTCCAGCTTCGGCTGGGCATCAGAGGGAGACCGTGGAAAGAGAGGGAGACCGTGGGGAGAGGGAGAGGGAGACCGTGGGGAGAGGGAGAGGGAGAGGGAGAGCTATGCTTCGTTTTTTTAAAAAAATTTTAATCGACTATTTTTTAGAGCAGTTTTAGGTTTACAGAAAATTTGCACAGAAAATACAGTGAGTTCCCATACATATCCTTCCAATCCCTCATTTTACTCCTGTTACTAATATCTTGCATTAGTGTGGTACATTTGTTAAAGTTGATGAACCAATATTATTAACAAAAGCCAGCAGTTATACATTAGGGTTCACTCTTGTGCAGCTCTAATGGTTGTATCATACAGAATGGCTTCACTGCCCTAAAAATGTCCTGTGCTCCATCTATTCAACCCTACCCACCACTGCTGGCAACCACTGGCCTTTTTTCTGTCTCTGTAGTATTGCATTTTACAGAACGCCATCTAGTTGGAATCATACCATATGTAGCCTTTTCAGACTAGCTTTTTTCACTTAGCAGTATGCATTTAAGCATCCTTTGTGTGATACACTTATTTCTCACTGTTGTTAAGTAATGGACTGCATGGATTTACCACAGTTCATTTATTCATTCATCTATTGAAAGATATCTTGGTTGCTTCTAATTTTTGGGAATTATGAATAAAGGCACTGTAAGTATTCATGTGCAGATTTTTATGTGGATGTAAGTTTTCAGCTCATTTGGGCAAATATGTAGGAGTGTGATTGACAAATTGTATGGTAAGCCTATGATATAAGACACTGCCAAACTGTCTTCCAAAGTGGTCATACCATTTGGCATTCCCACCAGTGAGGAATGAGAGTTGTTGCTCCAAATCCTCACCAGCATTTGGTTTTTATCAGTATTTTCAATTTTAGCTGTTTTAATAGGTGTGTAGTGGTATGTCGTTGTTTTAATTTGTAATTCCCTAATTACATCATGTTGAGCATCTTCATATGCTTATTTGTTACCGTTTGTCTTCTTTGGTGAGCTGTTCTTATCTTTTGCCCATTTTTAATGGCCACTATACATTAGACAGTCCAGTGTGTAACAATACATGGTATAGTCATGCATTGGAGATAACTCTGGATTAGCATCATTTTGATAGGACCTCAGCCATCTAGACTGCTTAGGGAAAGTTGGTGGGTTTTGTAGCTATTTGAGGGCTTATCTCATCAAGCATCACATTTTATTCATTTATTTTAAGACTCTGTTGCTCAGGTTGGAGTGCGGTTGTGCAATTACAGTTCACTGCAGCCTTGAACTCCTGGGCTCAAGTAATCCTCCCACCTTTGCCTCCCAAGTAGCTAGAACTACAGGTGCATGTCCCTACACTTGGCTAATTTTTAAAATTTTTTGTAGTGGCACAAATTTTTTGCAAGAGCTTTGTTGCCTTGGGTGGTCTTGAATTCCTGGCTTAAAGCAATCATCCTGCCTCAGTCTCCCAAAGTACTAGAATCATAGGCCTGAGCCACCATGCCTGGCCAAACTTCATTTGAGTTATTCTTCATAGGAGCTCTCTAAATTGTGTTAACATCTTTCTGTACTTTCTTAATCAGAATATAACATAGTGGCTGAAAGTGTGAGATTCACAGCTACAGGCTGGGTTTTAATTCTGGTGTTAACGCCTACTAGCAGGATGATTTTAAATGAATTACTTAAGCCCCATGTAGTATGATTTTCTCATGTATAAAATGAGGGTGGAAACTATCTAACAGGGTAGTAATGAAAATAAAATGAGAAAATACATAGCAAGTGCTCAATAAATGTTCATTTCTGCTCCTCCTAACTACTGTAACCGCAGCCAGCTACTACCACAACCAATATTAGTAAGTAGTTCAGCAGTAGTAGTGTAATTTAGTCCTTTTTTGATGACTCAAGTAATTTTACTATGCTATGATATTCTGATGCCCTGTGGACTTAGGACAGTATTTGGCAGTGTTTGACCTGACATTATGTATTTCCAGACAACTTCGTTATTTGAACTCTTCAGTATGTTCTTGATAGTCCCCTTTTTTACCATCTGCATGCCCACCTGTGTCTTCTCCCATTTCTGGGTTGCTGCTTCTGCTTTATATTTCTTAGAGTCATCATGAGAACTACTCACCTAAACAGTACAGCTGAAGTGGCCCTTCCTATTCTGACTCCCAGCTGTGCTCCCATATATCCTAAGGCATCACATTCTTTTACTGGCAGCTTTTTAACATCAATACCATAAGTGCTTTTGCTATTTCTGTAGTCAGAAATGCTTTTCTCATTCTTCTCCTCTTGGCATTCTGCTTAATCTCAGAAGCTTAAGTCCTTCATTCCTTCATTTAATAAATGTTTTTGGAGTTTCAGACCCTAAGTATTCAGGATAAAATGGAGAACAAGAGAAATGTGATCACTGCACTAAAAAATGCACAGTTTGTTGGGGAAGAAGAAATTATCAAGGGTAAAAGCACTTTGTAACTGGCTCATTTCACTTATCATTTCTATTCATTCATGCATTCAACAAATATTTATTGAGTGTTTGCTATATACCAGGCATTTTGCTGGGTATACAGTGGTGAGTAGAGCCAGGCATGGTCTCGCTTTCAGGAATTCCACAGTCTATTGAAGGAAGTGGGCAAATAACTAAAATAATTAATTCAGATAGTTAAACTAAATAATGTTTGCTTTAAAACTGAATTAAGTGCTCTGAAGGAAAGGAACACTGTTTATGAGAGCTTTGCCTGGAAGTCAGGGAGAAATTCCCCAAGAAAGTGATACAGGAGGCATTGGGGCAGGGGAGGGTCCCAGCAGATGGAGCAGTGTGGCAGCCACCTTATTGCTGGAGGAAGCATGTTGTGGTCAGGGAACAAAAGAAGGTCAGTGTGACTGGAGCACAAAGAACAGGGAGAACAGAGTGGGATTGTTACAGGACAGGGGTCTTGATCCAGACCCCAAGAGGGTTTTTGGATCTCATGCAAGAAAGAATTCAGGGTGATCCCACAGTGCAAAATGAAAGCAAGTTTGTTAAGAAAGTAAAGAAATGAAAGAATGGCTGTTCCATAGCCAACCCTTTGGGGCTGCTGGTTGCCCATTTTTATGGTTATTTCTTGCTGATATGCTAAACAAGGGGTGGATTATTAATGCCTCCCCTTTTTAGACCATATAGGGTTACTTCCTGATGTTGCCATGGCATTTGTAAACTGTCATGGCACTGGTGGGAGTGTAGCAGTGAGGATGACCAGAGGTCACTCTTGTTGCCATTTTGGTTTGGGTGTGTTTTGGCTGGCTCCTTTACTGCAACCTGTTTTGTCAGTAAGGTTGTTATGACCTTTATTTTGTGCTGACCTGCTATCTCATCCTGTGACTTAGAATGCCTTAACTGTCTGGGAGTGCAGCCTGGTAGGTTTCAGCCTCATTTTACCCAGCTCCTATTTAAGATGGAGTTGCTCTGGTTCACACACCTCTCATGTCCCCCCCCCCCCCCCTTTTATAAGAGAACTCTTTAATCGTAAGAGTTGCAGAGGGATGAAGATCCATCTTCTTTAACTTCTTCAGGCTGAATAGCGATTATGATATTCCTGCCTAACTATGAGGGTTTCTTGCATTCAGAGTAGACAGGAGCTCAGTGAGAAAGCATCAGTATGGTAAGGTCCATTCATAACTCTTGAGTTTTGAGAAAAGGCAATATCTGGAAGATTAATAAGTGTTTAATTTAAGAAAACATTCAGTAAGCTTGTCCTGTATTCCTACACAAAGAGTATAACAGCAGTATATTCCACAAGAGTAAAGCAAAATAAGTAAAGTTATTCCAAGTAAACTAAATTAGAAGGCTTTACATGAACTGGGCAACTGTTGGAACTAAGCCGATATGGGATTGTTAGCTGATTGTAATGTGCCCAGAATTAGAATACTGATCCAGATTTTTACATTACTCATCCCTCTTGTTTCTTCTGACCACAAGTCAGAGATCACTCTTTGGTTCACAGGAATAAGCAGGGTTAGCCTAAATTGCAGAAACAAACTTAAAAACAACTAATGAGGCTAGAATTTAGTAGAAAGTGTACCATAGTTCTTGAAACATAATATTTCATTCTCCAGTTTTTCATTTTTACTAAAGACAAATCATGGTAAGACTGATTTGCTTTATTATACTTGGCCTGATTATTTGTATAAAGTGCAGCAAGAATAATTATTTTTCACATAGCCTCTTTTAAAATTGGCTTTGATGGAACTCTGTTCCATAGAAGGAATCTTAGTTAAGATTTCTTAAAACCAAGCTCAGCCATGGTTTTGTACCCTCAAATACCTATTAGTTGAGTAAATTCCTCTCCTCTTGGGGTCCCAAGATAACTTGGGGCTCCTGGACCTGTTAGAAAGTGACATTCTTTACTTATCACAGGTCAGAAACCTTGTACACACCATTCCAGTTAAAGCCTTGGGAAAATAACTAGTTTCTTCAGTTGTGTTCTGTTATAAAAGAAAACAGATTCTTATTGCACTTATGCAAATAACTATATTGCCATAAATTAAGAATGCTCACAAATAGTTTCCAAATTTTGGAGAAATCAGGTAGAGAGAAACAAATATGCTCCAAATTTTGTTTACAGGAGTATACTTTACTTAATTGGTAAAAGCTGTAAATAGCTCAAATGAAAAGTTTCCTTGACTCTGAAAAACAAAGGATCAGCAGGATATTCTATTTATTTATTTATTTATTTTGAGATAGAGTCTCGCTCCCGTCGAGCAGGCTGGAGTGCAGTGGCGCGATCTTGGCTCACTGCAATCTCTGCCTCCCAGGTTCAAGCGATTCTCCTTCCTCAGCCTCCCGAATAGCTGGGATTACAGGCATGTACCACCATACCTGGCAAATTTTTGTATTTTTTTTTAGTAAAGATGGGGTTTCACCATGCGTTGGCCATGCTCGTCTCAAACTCCTGACCTCAGGTGATCCACCTGCCTCGGCCTCCCAAAGTGCTAGGATTACAGGCATGAGCCACTGCACCTGGCCGGATCAGCAGCATTTAAGCAAAGTTAAAAAGATTACGTTAGTTTGCTATTGGTCCAGTTAATTCAGTTAACTTATGTTCTATTAGATATTCATGAACATTCCAGCTCTTCATAAGAGTTTTAAAAGTTGTTTCCTCTATTCTAATCTTACAATTTCCAAAGTTATTAGAAACCTGCGTTTAAGAACACCTGCTAGAGTTCTCTAGTTAATTATAAACCACCTTCTAAAGAGGATTAAAACAAGACAACAATGGTCTGTAGATGATAAAAAGTTTTAGGACAGCCACTATTAAAGCCACAATTGATAAGGAAATTTGGTTACTTCTGTGGCACACAAAATTTTACATAACAATTATAATGATTAATTACATACACTAAGTTATATTAGAATTATAGGAGTTTCCCATAATTTGGAACATATACCAATAACACATTTATGCACATATAGTCCAAAGAAAGCAAAACACCATTTTACATTTGATAATGTATGATTTTTATACCAAATAAGCCAGATTTCACCTTCATATTAATGTACTATTAATGTTAAATGCAATTTTTAATAAAATCTTTTAGACATATTTACTGAATTTTAATGTTTAACCGTAAGTTAAGATTCTTATAAACCTTTATAACCCTTTACATTTTTTTTTTTTATGAAAGAGCAGATGAGTGCGCTAAGAAAAACCTGTTGTGCTTTTATTCTAAAATTTAATTTGTGGAAAAATTGAATAGTACCCCTTTAACTTTAGCCAATATGTTCACACACTGAATCTCTTAAAGTTACTTTTTATAAACCTTTCACAACTTGTTTAAACCTTTAGATTTTTTTTTCTTACTTAAAACAATCCTTCAATACTTTAGGCAGAAAAAAATTCACATTCCCATGATTTCTTACAATCTTTCACCAAAAACAAATTTTACTTTCTTTACACATTGCATGTAAAATTATTTCAGTAGTTTCAATTGCATATTATAATGTTAACTCTTAGCAACTTTTATTTTTGGTGAAAACTTTGGTAAGTTTGAGATTTTAATTCTACACTAGGTGTGGAGCAGTGTACTGCTCCTAGATACACTAGGACACACCAGGCAGAAGTGCAGATAAGGTCTGACTCTCCAGCATAGCTGGGGGCATGTCTAACTCCACATGTCCCCAGGCCTTACCTAGCTGTAAAGCAGGCAAGTTATACAGTAAGAACCATAGTGGCATTTCATGAAGCGTTTAGCAGATCTAACAACCTTTGAATTGGACAACTTTTCGTGCATAAATTCCCTTTCACAAATTTTTTCATGACTTACCCATACCATTTGAGACTCTTGGACTTTCTAACTTGCCCTAAACCTCCCTCCTTTTAAACAACCAGTTATTTTACTTTAGGACAAGAATTTACCATACAAGATCCTTTCTTATATAAAATGTCTTTCTTTGTAATCTTCTTTGTATAGCTAGGGGGCATGGCTAGTTCCACATGTCCCCAGGCCTTATCTAGCATTTAATGGCTTTAAGGTAGGTAAATTAAACAATTTTTAAAAGTTAAAGAAGCAGTTCATGACCTTAAAGCATTTAGCCAACTTAATATCTGACCTGCATAATTTAGACTAAACATTTTTATCAGTCATTTTTAAAGCTGTTTTCATTTCCCAAAGATTACTAAAGTTACATGAACCAAAAGGCATTACAGTTTTTATTTTACTTTTAAAATATTTAAGTGCTTAATTTTGTTTAAGCCAATTAGAGCTCTTTTATATAAGCATTACACACAACACATATGTAGCTACACAGAAAGACAGAAGAAGATTACTACAGTAGTTGTAAGATTTTTCATTTGCCAGTTTTTAAGTTTCTTAGTTGGATTACTGGCTTTAGGGTGGAGTCCTTGGAAGAACAGGGCCAGGAAAGGGGTCTCTGGTGCCTCCTGTTTTTCCCAAGGAGGCTGTTAGAGCTTGAATATCCACTTTTAATTAAACTGATTTTAACTGTAGCACTCTCTAATAACGTCCTTTTAGAATTTCTTATGCCAAGCAGCTGATATTTCTGGCTTTTGAATTTTACCACAGGTAACCTCCCAGGTATTCAGAGAAAGGAAAATTTAAGATAGTCCGCGGAGGAGAAAAGAATAGACAAGGTCACGCAGATATTAAACCAGAAACGACTTACTTCCTAGGTGGGGAATTGAACCCGGACCGCCACTGTGAAAGTGCAAAAACCTTAGCTACTGAGCGATAGATAGCATGGGGCAGTCTCCATTTCCTTTCCCAGAAGGAGTCTAGAGTAGTTCATTTTGAGCTTGCAAAGGCTTTTAACTATTTAATATGATTTTTAGAGCTAACTATGACATGAACCCTAAAATTCCTGTTCCCTGGAAGGCATTAAACGTGGTTAAAAGGTCAAGCCCCCAAGGGCATAAAACAAGGTGGAGACATCATCCAGTTTTTTTGTTTAAGGGACCTGTATTCAAGTTTGTTACTGACCAACTTGCTGGCTTGTCTGGAAAAGTGGGCTTACAGGTGTTCTAAGCCCGTGTTTTACCCTGAAGTACCCCTCGACACAGAACGACTAATTCATAGCACAAAATACACCAGCTTAAGACTAGCCTTAGAATTCTTTTTCGCATTAATCAAAGCTTTACAGAGGAGATAAACGCTGATTTTTTTTTTAAACCATTCATGGACCCGTTTGCACAGAGAGGAAGAAGCCAGAAATCTGACTGGAAAGAAATTCTTACCCTTTTGTCAGCATGCCAGGCTTCTGGATTCCCTTTCCCTGAGCGGCCCCAGTGATCCAGCTTGCAGCACCATTGCCCTGGGGGCCAAGCTGCATCATAAAGGAAAATTATTTTTTTTCATTCTGGCCAGAGCAAAATACATGTAATAAAACATAGACATTAGCCACTTTGCTTAGCACCCAATATCAAACTGGCAAGGCTTAAATTTGCCCTCAGATGGGCCCCATCATCTTTAATCCAACCTCTGACTTAGAGTTTCAACATGTGGTGGCTGGGCAGGGTGGTTGCCCTGAGTAACAGAAAAGAAAGGAAAGGAAAAGTACAGAAGGAAAGTATTGCCTGTGGCAGGGTGGGGAAGGTGAAGAGCTTAGGAAGGTCAGGTAAAAGACCCACTCAATGCAGCCGACAATGAAAAGTTCAGGCGGCTGCTCGTTGGTTGCAAACGGACCTTTTCTAGCAGTCCCATCAGCTCTCAAGTTTCCCCTTTTAGGAAGGAAAAAACTCCTCATATCCCACGATCCAGTACATGCCTAACCCTGTCATCCACAGTCATCAGCAAAGAGTGCAAGGCGGATTAATCCAAAGAGAATAACAGTTAACATCCCATAGTGCCAAACCTATTCTTATCCAAGGACTTTACCGAGAGGGGCCTTTAACCCCCTAAATCTTAGAAGGGACTTTAACCCTCCTAAGTTGGGCCTCTAACCCAAGGTCAGTCAGGCGTCCTTGCCTTTTATTAAGAGGGGACTCTAACCCACTCTGTCTTAGGAGAGACTCTGACTCCCCTAAGTTGGGCCTCTACCCCAGTCTCATTCTTTACCAATCTCATTCTTTACCCGGGTACCCCATTACTTACCCAAAGTTGTCCAATCAGTGCTCCAGTCTATTTCCTTTGCGTCGGAGGGTCTCCTCAGTATTGTCCCTTTTGTGGTTCGAGAGAAAGATGTTACCAGACCCCACCACTTACCCAAAGTTAGCTTTTGTTGGATCAGGGGTTTCCGAAGTATAGTCACTTCTGTCATTGCCAGAAAGATGTTACAGGACCCCAACATTTACCCAAAGGTAGCCATTGAGTCAGGGTTTTCTCACTATAGTCCCTTCATGATCTCCAGGAAGATGTTACAGGACAGGGGTCCTGATCCAGACTCCAAGAGAGGGTTCTTGGATCTCACGCAAGAAAGAATTCAGGGCAAGTCCACAGTGCAAAGTGAAAGCAAGTTTATTAAGAAAAAAAGGAATAAAAGAATGGCTACTCCACAGACAGAGCAGCCCCGGGAGCTGCTGGTTGCCTATTTTTATAGTTATTTCTTGATGATATGCTAAACAACAGTGGATTATTCATGCCTCCCCTTTTTAGACCATATAGGGTAACTTTCTGATATTGCCATGGCATTTGTAAACTGTCATGGCGCTGGTGGGAGTGTAGCAGTGAGGATGACCAGAGGTCGCTCTTGTTGCCATTTTGGTTTCAGTGGGTTTTAGCTGGCTCCATTACTGCAACCTTTTATCAGCAATGTCTTTATGACCTGTATTTTGTGTTGACCTCCCGTCTCATCCAAATGCCTTAACCATCTGGGAATGCAGCCCAGTAGGTTTCAGCCTCATTTTACCCAGCTCTATTTAAGATGGAGTTGCTCTGACTCACACGCCTTTGACAGAATGAGACCGAGAGGTAGGCAGGGGTCACAGTGGGGATTGAGAGAAGTGGACAGATTCTGGGAGTATTTGAGAAATGGAATTCACAAGGACTTGGGCTGAACTCAATATGGAGAGTGTGGCAGAGGAGAGGCTTCATGACTCACACACCGTGATGCACTGTGGTGCTCTTCACTGAAATAGCTAGCATTGGAACAGCAGGTTTTGTTGGGGCTTGCTGTGTGACTAGGAGGGATAGGGGCGGCATGAGTTTGGTTTTCTGCCTGTTAGTTTGAGGTGGCTTTGCTAGATCTAAACAAAGTGTTCAAGTAGTCACTTGTATTTTCTTGTCTGGAGTTTAGAGGGGAGAGATATGAGCTGGAAATATGAATTTAGGAGTCATCTACGTAAATATTAATTAAAACTTCTAGCATGGATGAATGAAAAGAGAGACAGGCCTAAGACTGGGTGGACATTGAAGAACTGTGTGGATGGCAAGGTCGAAATGGGATATCCTATAGAAATAGGTTTCTCAGTGTGAGTGGAGTTCAGTTTTGGGTGTAATGAAGGCGGAGATTACTTGAGAGACATCCAAGTGAATGAAGAAGTCTTTTTTCTTTTTCTTTTTCTTTTTCTTTTTCTTTTTCTTTTTCAAGACAGTGTCTCACTCTGTTGCCCATGCTGCTGCAGGGGTGCAATCGCAGCTCACGGCAGCCTCATCCTCCCAGGCTCAAGCTATCCTCGCACTTCACCTCCTAAGTAGCTGGGACTACAAGCATGTGCCACCACACCCAGCTAATTTTTGTATTTTTTATAGAGATGGGGTTTCACCATGTTGCCCAGGCTAGTCTCAAACTCCTGGGCTCAAGCAGTCTGCCTGCCTTGACCTCCCAAAGTGCTAGGATTATAGGTGTGAGTCACCACACCCAGCAAGAAGTCTTATAAGTTGTAGTAGGATAGTTTTGAGTCTGGACTGTGTCTGTTTTATGGGCTTGTATTCCTCAGTCCATACACAATGCTTAACACATAGCAAATACTCAATGAATAATTTGTGGAATGGGTGAGAGAACATAGGAACATTTAAAGATCTGGACTGAAATTCTCTACCCTTGCCATGCCAAGGAGGCCCTTCTTCAGGTGTGTGCTAAAATAAGCTTCTGACTGTATATAGAATTTTATTCAGTAAAAATCACCAAGTTAGATTTCTCAACCTGCTGATGTATTTTATTTAAGTGACAGATGTGGAATTATTGCATACATTTTGTTCCGTGACCTAGACAGAAAGAAAACCCATTATCAACATTTCCCAATTGCTAGTCACCACACTGCTAGTTAATGGGTTGGTAGATACACACTGGAGGGCCTACTATGTGTTACACCACATGCTAAGCACTTCAAGTGTATTATTTTATTCCTTACAACATCTCTGTAAGTTATAGATAATAACCTTTTTTTTTTTTTTTTTTTTTTTTTGCAGGAGAGAAACTGAGGATCAGGAAGTTATCTAACTTCCTGAGGTTTTTTTGGACCTCACTTTCCTGAGGGGTTTTGGAGAAAAGGAAATCTTGATCACCTTAAACGCCTTTTCTCTGATTTCAGAGATATCAGCTTCTGAGCTGCAATCCTCATGACCTTTTTTCCCTTGCTAATGCCCAATACACTATTAATATTGATTCTTTCATCAAAATAAACACCAAAGCCCAAGTAATGAGAGTTCTGGACATTTAAAAATCATGTGCTCTTTTATTTTTCATGTAAAAAAAAAACAATAAGCATTCATCTATCTGGTCATCATACTTAAGTGTGTTTTACATTTTCCGAGGATGAGTGAATTTTTATGAGTATGTAAATTGAACATGCCAGATCACATTTGGGAGAAATCTGGGATGCCTCCTGGAATGCTCCTGAATTCTCACATATGGATTAAATGCTATCTATATATGGGCTACAGGCTTCTGTCGCTTTGTGAAAGCTATACTGGCCTTTGAACATAAAATGAATATTGGTTAAACAATTCAATGAAATAAATTTTTTAATGGAAAATTTTAATCTTATCTGATGGAACATGAATAAGTGAAAGTTGTACTCATTAAAGATTTGGAGATATGATTTATGTATCATATATATTCTGCCCTGTACACCCCCACACCCACCTCTCTTTTGGCAGCAGGCTCTATTTTGCATCCATTCGTTGTTCAAACTTCCAATTCTCATGGAGACTTCCTGGTCCCATGAAAGGTACTGCTCTTTTTATGCCAAACCAACTCTAAAATTAAGTCTCTTCCTGTGGATCCAGTTATCCTGTACTTGTTCATTGTTCTTTTGATCATTCGTCTTTCTCTGGTGGTGACTCAGAAACAGGACTTTTAGGTCTCTGCTTCATGCTGTCTGCCATGCTACTGTCTGCCCTGCTACTGTGAGATAGTTAATCCAGCTTCTGCGTAATCAGAAGCTTAAGAGCGGTGCAAGAAATCTTAGCAACATGAGAATCTTTCTTCATGCAGGCACTGTGCAATAAATTCAATCATTCAATCCTTACAAGACCCTTATGCAGTAGATATGGTTACTTCCTTCATAATTCCAGAACTCGGTAGAGAAAATGACCACTTAGGAACAAGGGGACGTGAGTGAGGCTGACAATGCTCAGGGTCTCCAGGACAAGTGATTCTCTGTGTGGTGGGCTAAGAGATTTCCCTGCATTCTTCATACTGCTTCAAATTTCTAAATTGTGCACAATAAAAATGTGCTACCCTCATCAAAAATAAATCTTTTATAAAGAAAGGAAAATAAAAGTTATATGTACTCAGGATATTTGGAAAGTGTATAAAATTAGAAGGAAAAGAGGGCTCGTGACTTAAATGTATGTGTAAACTTAACCCATTTGGTACATTACATTTATTTCTAGTCTTTTCATGTGTGACAATTGAAAATTTTTACATAGTATCATCATTTCTGTTTTTTCTCCATAAAAAGTGAGATGCCAGTATTCATATCTTGATGGACTATAAAAATTCCCCTTTCATCCTCACCTTTGCCTGTGCTGCCTTCTCCTCTAGTCTTGAATTACAATCTTTGACACATGTGCATTGCCTAGAAAGCCCTATTTGGTTAACAGATATCACTGTGAAAAGCAAGAACACAAAAAGAAGGTTATTACTTTCCCTCTTCTCATTAACACATACCTCACTAATAATACCCTTTGCTGGTTGGGCATGGTGGCTCACGCCTATAATCCCAGCACTTTGGGAGGCCAAGGCGGGTGGATCACGAGGTCAGGAGTTCGAGACCAGCCTGGCCAACATGGCGAAACCCTGTCTCTACTAAAAATACAAAAATTAGCCAGGTGTGGTGGCAGGCACCTATAATCCCACTTGGGAGGCTGAGGCAGGAGAATCGCTTGAAACTGGGAGGCAGAGGTTTCAGTGAGCAGAGATCGTGCCATTGCACTCTAGCCTGGGTGACAAGAGCAAGACTCCATCTCAAAAATAATAATAATAATAATAATAATAATACCCTTTGCTTTCTTCATAGAGTGATTGAGTCTACACATTCATATCTTCATTTATTCAACAAATGTTTGTTAAGTACCTTCTAAATGCCAGTCATTTTACTCTTTAGTAAGTATGGAGAGATAATAGAAGAATCCTTGCTCTTTAGAATACAGATGCAGAAATAGGAAAAAGCAATATGATTAGTGATATACAGAAATATTGACCAAATTTTGTAAGACCACAAAGGAGAATTGCTTGAATTTCGGAGATCCAAGCTATTCTCCTAGAGAAATCAAGGAAAGCTGTTTTTCCGATAAGAAAATGGAGCTCAAAGAGATTTGGTCTAAGAATTTGAGTTAGCATTAAAACCAGTTGTGTCTGCAAAATCCCTGTTCTTTCCACCAAGCTGTGTCATGGGAAGTGCCCCTGTTTCCATTGTGTTGTAAACTCTGAGATGTCTGTATCGGGGGGTTTCCTGAGGCAGGGACCAGAGCTGCCCCCTTTCTTTTCTCTCCCCATTTCAAAGTCCACCAGTTTTTTATTTGTTTAAAGAATAATGGACAAGAAGTGGGGACACCAGAGTTTTCAAGACCAGCTTTGCCTCTGTTTAATTGGGTGATCATGAGCATGTTATCCCTCTTTTCTCTGCCTCCATTTCCCATCTGTAAAAGCAAGGAGGTTGAACTAAATCTAACTTTTTATAAGTAATATGTCATGGTTTCCTTCTTCTCATCAAAGTGTGTCATATTTCCATAGGTGATTGGGTTCTCAAGTGCCTCAGGAAGTCTTGACACACTGTGGCTTTGGCAGAGGAATGGGTGGGGGTCAAGAGGGACAGCTCTTGGCTGCCTGGATTTGAATCTCAGCCCTGTCACTTACATGCTGTTTAATCTTGAGCAAGCTACCTAATCCTATTGAGGCTCAGTTATCTAATTTGTAAAATAGAAATATAAATGATTCATTTACAAAGTTGATGTGAAGTTTCAGTGAGCTTATATATCTAAGCCGCTTTGCAGAGTGTCTGGCTTATAGTACTCAATAAATGTAGCTAATGATACTGCTGGTATTGTACTAGTACTAATTTGGAGTCCTGAAGCAGTTTTAGAAGTCAAAATATCACAGTAGCTTCTTTTACTAATGATTCCTTTATAAAAGCACCAAAGGAACCAGTATGTCCATGTGTAGAATATAGAATTTTAGTCATTATCTCCTCAGATTTTCAATTAAGGGGTCAGAGGAGTTGGAGCACTATTTACTGCTAGACTTTACTGATGACCCAGAAGAGGCTTCTATTCATCTTGTATAATATGGCAGGAATCAGTCTTCTTTTCCTTCCTCTGTTCCTGATGCTCAGGACAGGCCACAGCCCAGGGGGGCACTTTACAAATGTGTTTTGAATGAATGATTTCACACTTCATATTTAAGAACTGGGGAGAATAATAGCACTTGGCAGTGAACCTTTTGCATCTCAAATCTTAGCCTGTGATATTTATTGAATTTGTTTTGAGAGGATTTGGGGATGTCCCTTAACAATCAAAGCAGAATTCTTCTGATATCATTGTTGGACTTTTCTGCTTTGATCAATAGGCTTATTATTTGCCCCTGAACCTCTGTGATGCTGGAGAATCAAACATTCCTCAGGTTGATTTACATGGCAATAAATAATCTGTGCTGTCTGTTGCTTGTTCCATCCATGTCTGCCCTGTTCATAAAACCCTGGGGGCTCAGTGACCCAAGGTTCCAAGGTTGGAACACAGTGGACATGTTGACTCCCATTACAGTTGTGTGTACATAGAACATGCTGCTCAGATGCATTGTTGCTTAATATGCATCCACAATTTGTGTTTAAGGATTGGTGCAACTATAAGTTAGTTTCCATATGACTTTCTTATTATAGTTACCTTCCCATTTATTTTTTACTTCTGTTACATGCCAGACACTACATATATTATCTGATCTAATCTTTACAATCTCTGAGGGACGATTATACCCTTTTTATAGAAGTGGAAACTGAAACTCGAGGTGAAGCTTATTCTCTGAAATCACATAGCCATGAGCCATGGAGCTGAAATTTGAACTCGTTCTGACCACAGAGCTCTCTTAGCCAGTATACCATGACATTTTCCTCATCCAAAGTGCTTTCTTTTGCCTCTCTAATTGTTCTGTTTTTAAGTTAGTACCCGGCTGCAGAGATCCAAAAGTTTCCCATGCCATTCAAAGATGAATTTTAAATATCTTAACAGCATTACAAATACCTGAAATGTAAAGTGACAAACATAGCTAGATTACTTTCTTGTTATCAATCCATTTAGCAAATTTACAGTTTCCATTAATTTTAATTTGTCCTTATTACTTGTTTTTTATAATAAATATCTCTTAGTCATGACAGACTCACTGAGTATAGATCGCCTGAAGTAGGCTCCCTCTCTTGCAATAAGCAGAGTTGCAGCTAAAGATTTGTGAATTAATTGGGAAAATTGCAAGTCAGGTAGTCAGTGAAATAATTCATTGTCACATCCAGTCAATAAACTTGGTAAATCAACTCATTTAATTCAAAAAATGATCTATATAGATCAACCAACCAATTAAACAATTAGCATACACTTTGCAATTAATTAATTTAAGCATCAATCATGTAATTAAAACTCCAAACTTAAGCTGCAGAATTTAGAATTCTACTGCCTTGTGAGCTATTGGGTTCCTGCTTCTGAAGCTAGCATAATTCTGAAGCTCGCAGGTTTGCGGTTTGGAGCAATTGAATTGATTGCACTCTTACACTGTCTGTATGTTGGTATAGTTTCCCATCCTCTTTGAACAGATCAACTTTTTACTTCCCCCAAAGAGGGTATGTGTTGATTCTAAACTGGGCAAGACTGCAATCTGGGAGTACTGTCTGGACATTCTAGGGAGTGGGAAGTGTGCAGAAGTAGTCAAGAGGACCAGGTATCTGTGTCAGGACTAATCCAGTCATTTGCTTTTACTCTGCTAAGGATCCATGGTGTTTGAAGTCAGATTCTACCAACTGACTTAGATACTCTTTAGAGAAGGGAGAACTGTATGGATTGTCTTGGTTACCTTGAGTATTTCTCCTGATCTAGAGCACAAATATTTTCTTTTTTAATTTTAATTTTATTTTTTTGAGACAGGGTCTTAACTCTGTTGCCCAGGCTGGAGTGAAGTAACACCATCATAGCTCACTGCAGCCTCGACCTCACGGGCTCAAGTGATCCTCTCACCTCAGCCTCCTGAGTAGCTGGAACTACAGGCGCATACCACCATGTCTGGCTAATTTTTGTATTTTAGCAGAGATGGGGTTTTGCCATGTTGCCTAGCTAGTCTTGAACTCCTGGGATCAAGCGATCTGCCTGCCTCAGCCTCCCAAAGTGCTGGGATTACAGGCATGAGCCACCATGCCTGTCCAGATATTTTCTTAATCCTAACCATAAATCAAAGGCCTCTGACCCCTGCCTTCCCCGAGGCCAGATAATCTTCCCCCCTTTACAGTTTTGTTTGTATCTGTTTTATATATATATTTTTTACATTTGTATTGTAGCTAGTGTAATGCTTATTACTTTTCCTCCCTACTATGCTGTAAGCTGCTTTTAGGGCTGATACTAAATCTCACCTTTGATCTAAGAGGTTAGGTTCTTTGTCGTAGCTGCAATAGGGCTCAGTGAATGTTGCAAGAATAGAGTAGTATAAAGACCTTCATTTCACACTGTTTTTCTCCCCTTTGCATTGCCATGTGTATTCTCTCTATCAAATGAAGTAGGATTTGGGATTTTTTACTGTATCACCAGGCTTGGGGTAAAGAAAAGCAGTCTCCTCAATTTGCTTGCTGTGCACCATACCCTCTGGTCTTCTTGTCCCTTCCCTACCTTGGTATTCACTCGCCTTTTTGGTTTTCCTTTCAGTGACAATGTCAGTGCCTACTGCCTGCATATTGCTGAGGATGATGGGGAGGTGGACACCGATTTCCCCCCGCTGGATTCCAATGAGCCCATTCATAAGTTTGGCTTCAGTACTTTGGCCCTGGTTGAAAAGTACTCATCTCCTGGTCTGACATCCAAAGAGTCACTCTTTGTTCGAATGTGAGTACTGACTCTATTACTTCTCTCGGTATCTCATCCCAACCTTCTAGCATTTTGGATCTGATTTTGGTTTTGTTCATCAAATAAATGATATTTGGCATCTGGAGAGTCCACTGGTAATAACGATGACTCCCAGAGAGATGCTGAGGACGACATTCGCATTGTATTTCATGCCTCTGCACCTAGGCTACGCAGACTGCTTTGCAGTGGCACATTGTGTGAAGCAGATCTCTGAACGGCATGTCCAGAGCCAGGCCTCTGGAAACACTGGTGCACTGGGAGCCTGTGAAGCAAAACTTCTAGGTTTGCACCTTCTCTGCGAGGAATACACACTAACTGAAAATGTGCACTGTGGCCACTTCTCTCTTGTGACTTAAAATAATTTTCTCTCAGACCAAATTTGACCTTCCCTGTCAGTTGCCTGCCTTGAGACTGAGCACATGTCTTCAGCTTTTTTTTTGTGCCTTTCTCAGAAAAGCGTGTGTAAATGCATAAAATAAAATCCACTGGAATATAAAAGTATTCTGTTATTTAAAGTTATCAGATTATTGAACAAATTCATGATATAGTAATATGTGTGGCTTTACTAGTAGATTAAACAATATCCAGCTGTATACCTAACAGTAACTCCTGAAGCCTGTTGTTTCAAAGCGGTGATGAGCATAAATGGTATTTGAGAAATCTGCAACAGCTGTAATGTGCTGTAGTGTTAGCTATGACTTCTGTTCATGACAGAGTCACTGGCACTGTGATTCTGCTGTGATTGTTTGCCTACACTTATAAATCAAGGAAATGCAAAATATTAGAAGTTAGTGAAAATTAAAATGTAGTTTTTATCCATTCAAGTTTATGAGCTCCTGAGTTTTATCCACATGTCCCAGTTGTTAAGGGAAAACCTGCTGCATTTGGATTTTACTCTCAAACCTAAGCTTTTTTTCAACCTAGGCCTCAGCAGTCCTTCTCATGGCTGTCTCCTGGGAACAATAGCGATCCCTTTGGCACCCCCTGCTGTTAGTAACCAGCAAATTCACTGCTCAAAAGGGATTGCTTTAGAAGACATTTCCCTGTCTCTCTCAACATACTGCCTTTGTTTGAGATTGTTACAGAAAATAGGGTTATGCTACATATGATATATGAGTATTTTGGCTCTTTCTACCCTTGAGCAAAGAAAGAATAACTGAGTACCTGGGGGTAAGCTGGGGAGTGGGCCCTCAGGCTTTCATGGTGGCCGTTTCATCCCTACTACAAGGTCAAGTTTGGTGTAAATAACAGCAAATTTTTTCCTGCTTTTTCATTTCAGAGGTACTAAAATAACTTTAAAGGATATTTAAAATAATTGAAAAGTTGGCCAATGATGCCTCCATCTTAACTATTTTTAATCTTGTATAATAATCGTGTGTATATGTTACTCAGTTTCACTTGTAGCACACATATTTTTGTGTTATTTTTACTTGACATTAAATTAGGTCAGGCGCAGTGGCTCACGCCTGTAATCCCAGCACTTTGGGAGACCGAGGCAGGCCAGGATTTGGGAGGCCGAGGAGGGTCAAGAGTTCGAAACCAGCTTGGCCAACATGGTGAAACCCCGTCTCTACTAAAAATACAAAAATTAACCGGATGCAGTGGTGGGCACCTGTAATCCCAGCTACTCGGGAGTCTGAGGCAGGAGAATCGCTGGAACCCGGGAGGCGGAGGTAGCAGTTAGCTGAGATCGCGCCATTGCACTCCAGCCTGGGCGACAAAGTGAGACTCCATCTAAAAATAATAAATTATAAACGTTTCAGTATTTGTTCTTAATTCCTACAGTCTGTATTTATGTGCCAGAGATCTAGGCAGAGACAGCACTACCCTCATGGAGCTTACTATCTAGTAGTGAGACAGTTGTCAAATAATTAAAATGTGATAAGCAGTATAAAAGAAAAGTGTATGGGTTGTAGTGGAAGCCGATCACAGAATATTTAGATTGCTTCCTTGTGTGGTTTTAATAAGTAATTTGATGATGATGGTCATTATCTATATACCTTTTATTCTGTTGAACAACTTCCTTAGGATCATGCCTTGTAAGTAGGATTATTGGTCAGAGTAAAAACATCTTTAGACTCACTTTTTATTGACAATAGCCCTCTGAAAGATGTCCTAATTTACAATGTTACCAACAGAATTCCTAAAATCATTTTTATAGTTTTACCATTACAAGGTATTAGAAGTTTTTTTTTCTACTCTAAAAGATATACACAGTGGCATTTCGATAGTTTTTACTTGCATTTTTATTGATTATTAATATGACTAGAACTTTTTCTACATGAATGTTAACACATGATCATAGCAGTCTTTTGAACCAGAAGTCCTTTTTTAAAGCAAGAGGCTTTAAATCACTGAGTTTTCAGTAGAGTGGAGTGGGGCTAGGATTCATATGCCTTTCCAGGAGGGGCATCTAAGACTACACAGTGTTTCACTATGAACCCTGCCTTCTGGAGAATAGGAAGGAGGGGGAAGGCAGAGAGTAACAACTGCTTTAAACTTAATACTCTGTTTTTTGATCCTGAATTACTCCCATCCCTGTGTTCCCACTCCCAGACACACACATAGCCCAGTCAATCCTTTTTCTATTTTAAAATTCAAGAGAGTTTATTTGATGTGTCTGGAGTGTTTCTGAAAACACGAGGTAAAGTGAAATCTTTATATGTGAGCATTAAGAACAAAAGTGTCAATAAATTTTCTTTTTCTCAGTCGTCTGATGAAATAGTACAGATTACTGACCGTTTGCCCTGTGTGTATTTTCTTGGTTCAGCAACCTCTTACTCGCCTTTCTGGTCTATATTCTAAGTTAGTAAAGCTTCTCCTACAGATGCAGAACAGAGCAGACCTTCAGGAGTCTGTAGGGATGTGTCTAAAGTTTCAGAGAAGGAAATCCCAGCAAAATAAATAAAGCCGTAACTACTCCTCCTCGTCATTTCCCCCCTTTCCTCCTTCCATTTGTCTCCCAGTAGAGGAGGGACAAGAAGTGGCTGGGAAGACACTAAGCTGAAACAGAAAGAGGCAAGTAGGTTTGACATAGGGAGTGAACTAATACTTACTAAGGGCCAACTATGCATATGCTATCTCACTTAATCCCAAAATAGCCCAGTTTTTATGAACAATTTAGAGGCGTGGAACCTGAGGGTGAGCAATATTGTTCTTAGGCCTGGATTTGACGCCATCCCTGACTTTAAAGTCCATGCCCTTTCCAACCCTCTGCTGAAAGATTGAGGCTGGGGAATCTGGTGTTGGTTTAACCTGTGAATCTCACTGTCTTAAGGCTGACATTCAGCCACTGCTATAGTGCAGTAGGTGACAGCATGGTGGGCTGTGAGCCAGATCGCTTGGATGCCGATCCTAGCCTTGCCCTTACTAGTGTGTGTGGTCCTGGATGAATATTTAACTTTTCTGTGGCTCAGTGAAATGGAGATAATAATACCTACCTCACAGATCAGTTATGAGGATTAAATGAGTTAATAGATCTGAAGCACTTAGAACAGTGTTTAGCATATGTACGCATCATCTTAGTGTTAGCTGCTGTTATTGTTACTATTAATAAACAACCCTTGGAGAGCAAGAACTGAATTATCTGTGCCCACAATACTCACCATCACTCCATTACTGTGATAGATCTGTCACACGTATTTCTTGAATGGGTTACTGAGTAGATCTCTGCCACTTCTACATTTTTCTTCTCCGACTTTGTTTTATAGCAGAGGAGGGGTAGTGTTTAGGTGGACATTGCTCAGCTGGACTGAAAAAGCTGAATTGGAATAACTTTCAGTGAACATGGGCAGTGGGTAAACATCGAGGATCTACATACTTTCAAATGAGTCCTCTTATGAGCACACATCCTCTGAGTTAGTAGCAAGACCATTAACTTCTTGAAGACTAGGAAGGCACAGTCTTATTGTCTCTCTGTATCCTGAGCACCCAGCACAGGGCTTCATGGAGAAGGAATGACTGAAACTTCAGGTGTCTGTGGGCTGCCAGGAGGACACCTGACCCAGCAGTGTGTCCCACCTTGCTTTCTAAGACCTCTTCCCCTTTTTTACACCCGTTCCTGCCTTTCAAATACCAGGAAGCCCATGTCGCCTTCTGACCTTTAGAGGCCCTCACACCGGCTATTCCCGGGGCTCCAGTACCATCTTTCCCTCTAAGTGCGGCAGCACAGACTTTGAATTTAGGCAAACCTGGGTTCATGTTTCAGCTTCAATAGTATCTTGCTACATGCATGACCTTAGACAATTTTACTTACCTTTGTTAAGTCTCAGTTTCTTCATCTTTAAAATTTGGGTAACAGTAACTATCTCATGGAATTGTCATGAGGGAGTTTCTTAAATGTAAGTTATGTACAGAACTCTTTTAAAGGGAAATAAATTCTCCTAAAGTCTCAATGTTTATCCAAATGAGTTTTTTAATAATGCTACTTAGATACATGCAAATACAAAGTTCTGTAATGTTTAGCTATAAATTCAGTGTTTTTACACAACCTAAACAAAATTACAAACTAAATACAGATAAAATTATAACGTTAATAAAATACAAATTAACAACTTTAATGTAACAGATGATGTTTTGCTGAAATTAAACATTGCTGATGTTGGGTTTAATTGGGTGTTAAATGTTTTACTTGTCAACTTGAGTCTTTTGATTTTCATATGAGACATCACGATTAACATCCTTTTAAACAGTGTATTTTTAACTACTCGTCCATTATTTTAGTGGGCCAATTGATTTATAATGTGTCCCCCCACACAAACACATAAATTTTAAATGTTCTTTACTAGAAAATGCTTTTTTTTTTTTTTTTTTTTTTTGATAAGTGTCTTGCTGTGTGGCCTAGTCTGGAGTGCAGTGATGTGATCATGGCTCACTGCAGCCCCAAACTCCTGGGCTCAAAGGACCCTCCTGCCTCAGCCTCCCAAGTAGCTGGAACTACAGGCATGTGTCACCATGCCCAACTAACTCTA
Organism: Homo sapiens; assembly: GCF_000001405.40. Taxonomy (NCBI): domain Eukaryota; kingdom Metazoa; phylum Chordata; class Mammalia; order Primates; family Hominidae; genus Homo; species Homo sapiens. Next base: position 125,554,641 of record NC_000009.12, on the reverse strand, counting down.
TTTTTAGTAGAGACAAGGTCTCACTGTGTTGCCCAGGCTGGTCCTGAACTCCTGAGCTCAAGCAGTCCTCCTGCCTCGGCCTCCCAAAGTGTTAGGATTACAGGCATGAGCCACCGCTCCTAACCTAGAAAACTCTACTTTACGTTTGGCCCACCACGCTTTCTGTTAGTATGATCAGTTTGTGATGGTTTGTCCAGGACTCTCCCTGTTTCAAAACTGAAAGTCCTGAATCTATGAGCACTCCCTGATGCTCACCTCCAACCCCTTCCTCCATCCTAGGTAAACCAGATTGGTCACTCTACTTTATCTGTTGCTTGGTCTATACATAAGTGGGCTCTGCCTGACTGATACTTGTGTATAGTGTGACTTGGCACCAAACAGCACAGATTTTTCAGAGACCAGCAAGACTGTTCATAGAGATCTTTGTGCCCACTGAATTCTGTCACCATTTTTCTCTGTTCAGCAAACAAGTTCTGTATGCAGCTTGCAGTAATGCCATTTGACTTTTACTAAGTTTGTTAGTTATGTTAAATAACTCTAGCTGCTGGAACACATAACCCCCCAAATCTCGCCACGTTATCCTAGGGTTGGCAAACTTTTTTTTTGAGATAGGGTATTGCTCTGTCACCCAGGCTGGAGTGCAGTGACATCATCTTGGCTCACTGCAACCTCTGCCTCCCAGGCTCGAGCAATCGTCCCACCTCAGCCTCCCAAGTAGCTGGGACTACAGGCATGCACCACCATGCCCAAATACTTTTTGTATTTTTTGTAGAGATAGAGTGTTGCTGTGTTGCCCAGGCTGGTCTCAAACTCCTGGACTCAAGTGATCTGCTGACCTCAGCTTCCCAAAGTGCTGGGATTATAGGCTTCAGCCACCGCTTCTAGCTCAGCAAACTTTTTCTGCAAAGGGCCAGATGGTAAATATTTAGGCTATTGGCCATAGAGTTTCTGTAACTCAGCACTGCCATTGTAGTGTGTGAGTAGCCGTAGACTACATAGACAAATGGGCATGGGGTAGGTTTGTTGGTCAACTTCTGGATTTTCCCAATAAGTTTCTTTCTTTCTTTCCGTCTTGCCCTCCCCTCCCCTCCCATTTTTTTGGGTAGAGTTTCACTCTTGTCACCCAGGCTGGAGTGTAATGGCGTGATCTTGGCTCACTGCAACCTCCGCCTCCCAGACTCAAGCGATGCTCCTGCCTCAGCCTCCCGAGTAGCTGTGATTACAGGCACCTGCCACCATGCCCTGCCAATTTTTGTGTTTTTAGTAGAGATGGGTTTTCGCCATGTTGGCCAGGCTGGTCTCGAAGTCCTGACCTCAGGGGATCTGCCTGCCTCTACCTCCCAAATCCTCCCCTGGGATTACAGGCATGAGCCACCGCGCCCAGCCTAATAATTTTATTTCTTGTTCACATTTGTCTGATGTAGGCCAGGTGACTCTCTTGGGTATTTCTCCTCTAGGCAGTGGCTCAGGGCTCCCCAGGTGGGTGGAAAATGGGGAACATGGAAGATGAGGAGTGAGGAGGGGCCTATATCTGTATCTTTATCTCATACACCCCCCCACACACACACAGTGACATATATAAAATATGTGGTGACACATATAATTTTGCTTTTAGTTCAATGAAAAGCACATATAGATATATATAGCTACACATCCATATCATACATATATTGATATGTATAGATAATACATCTCTATATGCTTTTCATTGACTAAAATCAAAATTGTTTTTAATTTAAAAAAATTTTTAGAGACAGTGTCTCACTATGCTGCCCAGGCTGGACTGGAACTCTTGGGTTCAGACAGTCCTCCTGAGTAGCTGGAACTAGAGGCTCACATCACCGTTAGAAAACAGGTTTTTAAATTCTGAAACTTAGTCTGTAAATTCATCTGTTGATTCCTGGGGGCTCTTGAACCTCAGGAAATGCTGCTGTGATTATTAATATTAGCTGAGACTCTGGCATGTAGGAAGTGTTACATAGTTGCTATTGTTATTTCTGTCAGGGATTCTCAGTGGGAATAATTTACACTAAGGTGAGAATGGGGTTTAACCTTCCTTTGAGTTATTTTTTATTATATAATTAATATGTGTCCATTATAGCAAAATTGGGAAATAGATCTGTTTCTGCATATAAAAGAAATTTTTAAATTTGTCTTCATTCCATCATGCAAAGGTTGTGAATTATATTTTATAATTATTTACATTTTTTAAAGGGGAACTAATTAATGAATTTCTCATTGGAAAATTATTCTGTGGAGGGAACGTGAAATTGGATGTCTTCTGATGTTCTTACTAAATCAGGACTAGATCTATCTAGCTTTCCCTCTAGAACCCCTGGGCCCCAGGAATCCCCTGGATAGAGTTGTTGTTCAGGGAAGGAGAATGGATTATTCTAACAACTTGCAAATTAGGAGCCTGGTAATGGAAACTGCCTCTTTTAACAAATCTTCAAGTGGATTCCTAAGCTATCCATTGTTCCTGATTGATTTTGGACAGAGCAAATATATCTATAAATGGGAATCCCTAACTTGCTGACTACTTTGAGCTTAAGCAGTAAAGATGTTTGGATATCAGTAGTGTCAGAGAGGAGAAGTAGGGAGTGGGAGGAATGGGAAGGTTTTTGGCTGACCCCCAAAACCAGATAAAGAGCTGGAGCTCAGATAGTGCCCAGCATCTCAAGAAGTGTTTCTTGCCAGCAGTGACCAAGCCAAAGCCTACTGTTCCTTTAGACAAAGTAGGACAAGGGAGAATGAGATCTTGAGTGGGCTAAGTGCCTCTCAAGGATAGGGACCTGCCTTGTTCGTCTCCTTCTCCCATTCCCAACACAGACCTAATTTAGTCAGAATTTGTGAGACTGAATTGAGTTCAAAAGTGGCAATGACAAAAACAACTGTGGTAGTATTATTACCTTATATGTGTTGACATTAAAGTTTCATGCCAGGATTCTACTCTGGAGTGGGGGAAGAAGGGCATTAAAGGAAAAAAAAAAAAGTCAAGGCCAATAAAATGGTCAGAATCTCCTTAGGTTAGAAGTCAGAGCAGTTAAACTGTCTCCTATATATATATGTATTTTCCTTTAAATATTTGATATATTAGAGGAACATGAGGAAGGAACAGTTCTAACCAAGAGCTCTTTGGGTAACAGCTGTCAGGTAACAGTGGAAGGTCTTAGCCCAGAAGCTGGGCTGCCTTGGGCAGGCTCCCAGAGACTACCTTGGCTTCTCTTGGCTCTGCAGAAAGGGAACGATGAGCTGCTTTTTTAAAGAGGCGTGCCCTAGGTTCATTCATGCTCTTTACTGGGCTTTTCAGAAGAGTGGGGAGTTTTAGTTTACCTTCTTGATGATAAATCCACAGTATACCCCAAGTGACCAGACCTTTATTAAAGGGTGTCATTAGCTTGAAGCCTTTCCTTCTGTTATATGCTATTGCCTTGTGGTCTAGAGAATGAAAAAAAGAGGAGGGCAGGGAGAATATTTTCACACACTCATTCAGTTTCATACCTCCAATAGATGCTATCTCATTTATTTCTTTTTTTATCATTTATTTCTTTTTTATGATATTTTAAAATTGGCCACACCCCATCAGTAAAGTTTCTTATACGCAATTCACTTTTATAATATGTAAGCTGAGGCTCAGAGACAGGTAGTTAGTTACTAATTCAAGGCCATGCTGTTTGGTAAGAGGCAGAGCTAAAATAGAATAAGGAATAAAAGAAGATGCTTGTGTTCTTTGTAACCAGGCCTGACAAAATGAGTATAAATTATCCTGGTTATTTATTGTTTGCTTGATTCATAGAGGACCAACTGTGTGTTGTTTCTTTTCATTCTGTTGTATTAGCAAACATTTTCATTGTCCAGATTGTCCTCGTGTATGGAAATGTAACATATGCAGCCTGTTTAATTTTGTATTTGTAAATCTGACTTGATTTCCTTTTTGGCAACAGCTACTGTCTAGAGAAAAGAAAGGATTTTTCTTTGTGTCTGTTTAAAGTGACAGAAATATTGGAGCAAGTGATAAAGATGGAAAGCATTAATTACACACTTCTAAGAATTTAAAGGTCAGACAAGCTAAATATGTATGTTTTGCTCACTGGAATGTCTTGAAATTGTGCCAGGATTCGCTTTGTTCCTACCATAAAAGCACACATTTTAGATAACCATCAACTTACTTTGTATCTAAAAATTATGCCAGATTGTTGCTTTAGTTAATATGTGTCTTCAAAGTCGGGGAGCTCCCATTTCTGAGCCCATGTGATTGGTTTGGTGATGCTTCCCCCTTTGGCCATGTTTAGTTACTATGTCTCATTTTGATTTCCTCTGTTCTCCCCTCAGCTTATGTCGGAGTCTGTCAGCTGCTGCTATGTACATGTCAGGCTAGTGACTTGGAATGTTTATTAATACAATGTCAGTCTTGCTGTTGAAAAAAACTGTGATGCTTCTCAGAAGGTTGTGATAGAACGAAGCGTTTGATTTCCAGATCCTGTCTGCACTGCATGGTGAATACATTCTCAGATGTTATGCAGTTCACTGACCTGACAGTTATGGAACCCCGCCTGGGACCCCATTTCAGCAGGACATATTTGAACAGAAACAGTTTGCAAAACTTTACACACTTAAACTCCTGCCAAGGCAAACTGTTAGCCACTTGAGTTTGTTATAAATACCCAGTGGCAGTGGTTGGAAGTAGCCCACGGTGTGTTTTATATTCTGAACGGAATGTGAATGTCTTTGCAGTTATATAGAGTAGTAAATAATTGAGTTTGATTAGGGAGAGGGACCTCATTATCCCCCACCTGTGCCCAGCTGGAAGGGGAGGGTCGAAATGAAGCCATTAGCTGTCTCTCTTACTGGCATCTCAAAGAGCTCAAATACATCTGTGTCTTATTTTCTTTTCTGGCACAATCAGTCGAGCAAGCTAAGCAGGCATGACCGGATTTGGCAAGTCCCAAGGACTCTGGCAAAGATACACAAGGAGAAGGCGGAGGGCAGTCATTTTGGCTTCTCACTGCCCATTAGTCTAGCGAGTTATGTTTTTGGAAAATGTCTGTTTTGAAAAAGAGTACTTTGTCCAATGTCAAACATCGCATGCTCCCACAGTACGCTTTGATCTTTAAAAAAAATTTTTGGTCAGTCTAAGGGGAAACAAAATGTGGCATTCACACTAGTGTAAACTCTTTATGGATAAAGTCATACTCAGAGGACTTATTTTAAAGCAGGCATGCTGCAGTTATTACAAGGCCTTCTCTTGCTCATATATTTTCATTTTCTACCTTGAAATGCTGGAGAATGAACATGCATGGAATTGGACCAGAGCAGGTTGGGAACTAGAGTGTGTCTTCATCACTATTGGGAACTGGTCAGGACCAGAGACTCGAGAACTGCTCGTAGCAACCTTTTCCCACTTCTGCAAACTGAGACTGTGGCTTTTGAAACCATGACATTCTCCAATGTCTCCTTAAAAATCCTGTAGGTCATATGGTTAGTCTAAGAGTCTGGACATTCATAGTCAAGCTGAATTTGTTACAGTGGAAGTTGAACCTTTTCCACAGATTGGGTCAGTGGTTCCGGTATGGAAGATGTGCTCCCTGGAAGTCTCTTCTTTCCCCGAGTCCCTAAGACTCCCTTTGCGGCTGTGGAGGGATTAACAAACACAGACTTGGGAGTCTAGCTGATCTGGGTTCAAGTCCTGGCTCCTTCAGGACTTATTAGTTATATGATGTATTAACTTATTATATAACTCCAGACAAATGTCTCAACCTTGCCAAACCTCAATTTTCTCTTTTATAAAATGGAACTCATAATAACACCTATCTTTTCTAGGAGGATTAAACAAAGTAAGTGCTCAATAAATATTGAATATTATTGTCTCATCATTATATATTACTTCATTGTACATATGAAGAAAATGCTTATGCTTATTATATATTAACTGTTTATTAAGCATTTATCTTTTTTTAACTAATGGCTCATCTATAAGCATTTATTATATGACAGATATTATGGTAAGTACTTTAGAAGTATTTTGCCTTTACAACAATCTTAAAATCCAAGAATAATTATCATCCTCATTTTGTAGATGAGGAAATGAAGTTAAAGTGATTATGTTGTTATCCGTGAAAGCAGAGGTGGGGTTCCAAACCAGGTCACTTTATTCTAGAGCTTACTGTGCTCTGCTGCCTTCTGGTGCTGCCACCGTCTCTCCTAGCATGGTTTAGAGCTAAATGATGTTTGCGTTTTGAGACATCATCCCCACTAGGAAGCTTCCCGGACCCTCTCACCTCTGTGTGGCTGGGTTACGTGCCCTATGTTTGTTTTGGCAGCACTCTGAACTTGCCTCCACCTTTGTGACTGTCACACAGAACTATAATTGTTTGTTGACTTCTTATCTTTCTCTCCCACTGGACTGTGCAGCTTGGGTTAGGGACCACATTGTTGATTTCTGAATCCAAAACAGGATTTTTAATAGATGAGTGATCTCAGGTAAATTCCCTAATGCCTTCAGCCTCAGTTTCTATAAAATGGGTGTAATAATTGTACCTATTTTAGGATTGAATGAGTCAATACAGATATTTTTTAAAAAGCTTAAAACAGCACCTAGCCCATAGAAAGTGTTCAATAAATAGTAGTTGCTGTTATAATTGTTAAACAGTGGACAACTTGTATTGTGCAAATCAAAAAGTTCTTAATAAATGTTGTTGAAATTCTCTACACCACCATGATTTTTTAATTTCCATTATCATCATGCAAAGCCAGTGAATTAAGTTGAGGCAGAACATACCTGCTTCATAGTTAACACTTTCAAAAAGGAAAGTTTTGAAAACAACCCAGAGTGCTCCCCTTGGAGCTCTTGGGAAATTTTGGTGCTTGGGCCACAGGCTACTCACTGATAATGCCCCTGAATATGGCCACCAAGCTCAACAAATCACACATTTTAATGCCCCTGTGTTACCAATGACAGGCAGTGAGTTTTGAGACTCCCACCCCCCGATAAGCAGTCTCTGCTTAGGAGGCAGGGGAAGGAGGGGCTGAAGTGGGGCCTTTTCTCTTGGAATGATGACTTAGGGCAAGGGGAACAAAAGAGAACTAACGTCGACTCCCTTTACTGTTTGCCAGCCATAGTGTGAGGTGCTTGGCATTCATTGTCTGTTTCATGCTTGTGACAATTCTATAGGGAAGTAGCCTACTCATTTCATGGATGCGGCTGAGGTTCCCACATGTTACAGCAACATCTCCGTTAGCCACGGAACCAAGATTTCGGTCAAAGGGTATTTAACCCCCAGCCTATGCCCTTTCCTCTCCAGTATGCTGCCTTCCAACTTGAGTTCTGGTTCCAGCTCTGTTCCTAAAGATAGAATCTAAGCTTTTCAGATGAAGACCTGTGTCCCTGTGGGCTCCGTGGCTCCCATTGCCTCTCGCTTACTGCTTAGTACAGAAAGCCTGCTTGCGTTGGGTTCGTGCTGGCATACAAACTTTTTTGGGGTAACTGAGTGGCTGTGCGCTGGGACGGAGCTGAACTCCTCAAGCAAGGAGTCTCTTTTTAAAATGCCCATACATCGTTCAGTGGTTACGAGACTTGACAGGACCTAACTTTGAATTGACTGAAGCACTCCTGGCAGTGTTTCTTACGCTCCCTGACATGGAGTTTCACCCTAGACCCAGCATGGACAGCCCAAGGAGCCGTGGGAAGGGCAGCTGCTGCTTCTCAGTGTCCCTAGAATGCCCTGCTCTGGGGGAAAACAGGTTGTCTGTCCCTGAGGCGAGCAGGAGGAGGAGCGGTTTCTGAGCCGAGACTTTGAGTCTGTGTGTAGCCTGCCTGTTCATCCGAGGGCTGATCACCCCGCCACAGCTCCTAACCCAGAGACTGGAGCGTGTGCCACAGGGAAGGCAGGCCAGGACCAGGAGCACCCTTCCTTTCCTGCCCACTACCAGCACTCCCCCCAGGACCATTGTCTTCTCAGCTTCAAACCCAGCATCCCACATTAAGTAAAGGCTTTAAAAGATGTATTTCAGTAGACTTTTTAGAAAGCCCATAAAAAATCCTGGATATAAAGAAATGAGGCATAAAACCCAGAATGTTTGGAAGTCAAGCTGAAAATTGTGGTGGCAAGTCTCCATCTCCACTTGTTAAATGGGAGCATAACTTAACACTTGCACCTAGACGGAGGCTGAGAACCACTTGCATTCTATGCTCTTACGTTTTGGAAACATATGAGGGTATTACTCAAAAAACAAAACCCTGCCCATCTCCCCCCAAAGCGCTGTAGACGTGGAACAAGATCCAAAGTTGGCATTCGTCTGGAGGGAAAGGAGCGGAGCGTGGGACTGACCTGAGGAAACTCTTATTAGGTCTGCCTGAATGTGCAGCACTCAGGGCAGAACCTCTTTCTCCTTTTAACGTGCACGTTTTTACGGAAATGGAGCCCCAGAGTAAGATACTGCACACTCACGAAGGTCCATTCCGAGGGCCGTGTGTGCCCCTTCCCTTCGCTGTTGTTTTCATTTTCCTCTCATGAACCTTGCTACCCTGGCTTCAGCACGGAGGCTGTAAAGGAAGATGGAGAGCCAAGTTACCTCAGAATGATCACTATCGTTAACATTCACGGGTGGTTCACTTATCATTCCTGACTGCACAGACATGGCAGCCGCTCGGAAGCGTCCGCAGGTGTAGCATGGTGATACATATTACATTGTGCCACAATGGATTTATGTATTCTGTAACAAAAGAAAAGTGTAATGAAAAAATACAGAAGGTAATCCTTTATTCCTCCACCACACAATTTATCAGTAATGCCTGTGGATGATAAGTGCCAGGGATTTCCTCTGCTTGCTTTAACCTTGTCACCCAGGTACGTTTTGGTAAAATGACAGAAAAATACAGACTGGGGATTTTCCTCTGCTCAAAAATCTTTTAAAAGGACACTTTTAATTTATGGAAATTAGTCCAAACACAAGGCTTCCTTTTGAGCTTTTAGTCTGCCTTTGCTGAAAAAGATAAACGTATTGGCTGGAAATAATGCTGTCAGCCGGCAGCAGATTAGGAGGGAACGTAAGCAGTTTCTAAGCAGACTGAAATCTACAGTAGTTCCTGTAGAACCAGGTGGATGGCAGTTCATGAGGTCCAGGCCAGTACTAGTTTGTGAGTACCCGAGAACTTGTGTTCTCTTTTAGGCCCTACTCATCCATCGCCCAACATATTGTCACAGATGGAGCGCATACTGACTTCTGAGGAGAAAGCAAGGGAAGGCAAATCTGAACGTGGTTGACTGGCATTTGTTCCAAACACACACTGGCCTAGCGCCAGAGCAAATACCCCCAAGTTTATAAATGCACAAGGCACTTTACGTTTCAGTACTCTTGCCAAAGTATCACTTACTGCATCGCTCCCTAAATATAGTTTTTTAAAAAGAGCTTTTTCTTATTTTGCTTTGATCAGTAAAATAAACTTTTAAAGATTGTTCTGGGATGCGGTCCAGCTTCTGAGGTAAAGAATGGCCGGGACTCAGGCATGATTCAGTAACAGAGTGTTCAGTAAAATTAGCTTGACAGTTCTCAGGCCTGCTGTTCAATAGCAAGAACTTGACCAAGTTAAAATGGATGATGGTGCTGGCCAGACCAGCATCGGCTTTTGCTTTTTAACAAATGGAATGTCAAGGATTAAACAGCAAGCCGTATGGAGAGGAGGGTTGTGGAGATGTCTCTGTATTAGGGAAGCAAATTAGGTCCTTGGTTTTGAGATCGGCCCCCAGCCCCTGTGGAGAGTCAGCCACCTAGTTGGGTCCAACCTAGGCTTAAGGCCCTTCCCAGCCTGTCCTACCATTGGGAAGCTTTTCCAGAACTTAGCTTGGGGCTTGGCTTTTCTTTCAGATTTCTCGTCAATATGAAGTTCTGCCATGTTTTTTGGCCACATTCCCTTTAGAGATTCTTATGGAGAAATGGGAATGCGACCAAACTCCTTGTGGCAATTCCCATGTTCCATAGTTGGAAACTTGGGTCCCGTTTGTTACATGAGCTACTTGGAATTGGTCTGTTTTGTTCCAGTGCCCAAGTGTAGTGAGTAGTATTTGTGATACTTGCTATTGCAATTAACAGTCTTGGTGAAGTTATACCTCACACAGGAGATGGGCTTCTGTTTTTAGAGTACTTGTTCCTTAGCGGTTTTTTTCCAATCTAGATGAAGCCTTTCCCCCACCCAGTTTGATTAATTGGAAGCTTACAAGGAGTGTAAGTGTTTTGTCTTATAATTACTTGTGCTTCAGCTAATATTTTGACTTTCTAGGACTAAGATTAAATCATTCATACTGAAGTGTATAGACTGTATTTAAAAAAAAAAATACAGCCAGGTGCGGTGGCTTATGCCTGTAATCCCAGCACTTTGGGCAGCTGAGGCAGGCAGATCACAAGGTCAGGAGTTCAAGACCAGCCTGGCCAAGATGGTGAAACCCATCTCTACTAAAACTACAAAAATTAGCCAGGCACGGTGGCAGGCGCCTGTAATCTCAGCTCCTGGAGAGGCTGAGGCAGGAGAATCGCCTGAACCTGGGCAGCAGAGGTTGCAGTGAGCCGAGATTGCGCCACTGCACTCTAGCCTGGGTGACAGACATCTCAAAAAAAAAAGTGTGTGTATGAATAAAGAAATATATTTACTAGCTAGTTAGAGCATTTTCTTTTCCTCCTTCTCAATTACTTTGGGGTATTACTGCCCTGCGGCCCCACATGACGTTTTTTTGTCTGGGGCTCCATGAGCTTAGTATGATGGCAGTATCTGCCTGTAGTGACATCTACTGACACAAGCCAAGTTTATCAGTTGTCAATCCTTGTTGCAAGATTTGGTTTGGAAGCCAACACTAGGAACCCATGGTGCTGCTGACCCACACAGACCACTTAGGTTCAACTTGGACAAATTAGAAGAACCTTCCCTAAGCGTGACCTCTCTCACATGGAACTGCTCACGCTAGAATCGTTTATCACTGCCCCCCCGCCACCCACCATTTGAAGTATATTTATTCAACCTATTTTTAAATAATTGGCACCTCAGTATGCACTTACTTTAAAACTTGCTTAAACACGGCCGGGCGCGGTGGCTCATGCCTGTAATCCCAGCACTTTGGGAGGCCGAGGCGGGCAGATCACGAGGTCAATAGATCGAGACCATCCTGGCTAACATGGTGAAACCCTGTCTCTACTAAAAAAAAAAAAAAATACAAAAAATTAGCCGGATGTAGTGGCGGGCGCCTGTAGTCCCAGCTACTTGGGAGGCTGAGGCAGGAGAATGGTGTGAACCCAGGAGGCGGATCTTGCAGTGAGCCGAGATTGCACCACTGCACTCCAGCCTGGGTGACAGAGCGAGACTCCATTTCAAAAACAAAACAAAACAAACAACAACAAAAAAAACTTGCTTAAACACAGTGAAGATTGCAGTAACATCTCTCTGGATGAATGTTGGTGATGATTTAATATTTGTCTTTTCCTACAGAAATGCTGCTCATGGATTCTCCCTTATTCAGGTGGACAACACAAAGGTTACCATGAAGGAAATCTTACTGAAGGCAGTGAAGCGAAGAAAAGGATCCCAGAAAGTTTCAGGTGGGATAGTTAAATCATATTCTCACAGTAGTAGAAGCTTAACCCTTATTAAAAGGGCATAGGGGGTGTGTGTGTGTGATGGCTGGCTAGATTCTTTCAGATGTCATTGCTAGAAGGTTTGGTTAGCTGATCTATGCAAGAAAAGGTGATTGTACACTGCCCCTCGGCCTCAGAAAGGGACTGGGTCAGCGGCATATGTGAGAAGAATGTATTCATATCAATTGTGGAAGTTCCTTCATTAATAATTTGTGGTAGACTCAGACAGAGCTACTTGTGCTGATGATCAGTTGATATAAAGCTGTCTTGAAAACCGAATCAGTCCTAAACTTGAATCACTGCTATTAATTTCATGTTTTCACATAATTTCCCATGGGAGAACTTTTAGTTACTAATATTTGTGGTATGGGGAAGAAAAGAAAAATTTCTCTTCATCCTTATCAAATGAGGGCAACCTTTAAAAAAAAAAGACGAATAAAAAGACAAATCACTTGATGTGCACTAATAACTTAACTCCTCATTACCCAACTTTATATAGAAAATATGCTTATAGTATTAGCTGTGATATTTAAAGGATATATACCAGGATTGAGAAATAATCATCTTGAGAAATAGCTCAAAGATTTGTCATATCACAGACAACTTTAATATAAATCAACTCATATATGACGTGTTGAATATCTTAGCTCTGTAAATAAAGAGACTTCTTAAACACCTTTGATTTTACCTTTTGGAAAGGAAAAAAAGCATTGCTGGGGTTGAAGAAAATAGTTTTGTGCTCTTTTTAAGGGGAGGCATATAATCTGTTCCAGATTTAATTAGCTATCTTCAGATGAAAGCTGAAGTTTTAATAAAAGTTAGAAGAGATAACACAGTGAAGGACACGGATGAGCTGTCTCAAGGCCATATTCCAGGGGAACGATAAGAGCTGTAAAAAATGGCAGAGGAGAGCAATTGAATGGAGCAATGAAAATCTGATTCTCATAAAAAAGAGAGAGAGAGAGAGATGCTGGTAGGGGCGGTTGTAGATGAGACCTGCTAGCGTCTGCAAGCAATTTGGATGCTTGCCAGGAGTCATTGTTCACCCTCGGCTGTGGCGGCTCCGTCCAGATGTGCCAACTGCACGTTTCGGCTTTTGCCAGCTGACTGCGCCGTTTGATAACCAGCTCTCTGGATGCCCATCACTGGCCGCAGAGATAGAATTAAATGATGATGATCTTCCCACAAGTTGGGAGAGGAAACAATGCATATAAATCTTGATTTCATCTCAGCATGAGAAGTCTTTATCCATCATCACTCATAATGAACAAGTCGTTAGCTGGGATGAATGGTGTTCTGGTTTTTCCAAACACCTCTTTTGTTCATTTTTTGGGTGACTTTTATCCATTGCGTGGGGGTCAAACTTCTTTGCATTTAGGGGATGATTGAAGAGGCACAGCCACTCCTTCCCAGTGAAAAGTGGATATTTTGGGGTTCCAGGTGCCAATCTAATAGCTTTTAAACAGCTTTAGATAATCAAAGATATTTAGTAGGCATTCACCCTTTCGGATCCTGGTTCTTTACTCTTGTTTTGGTCCCAAATATTTTATATAAAAGTATATTTGTGATATAATGCATTATATTCTAAGAAGGCCTTATTCTGAAGTGTCCAAGGAGAAGGTGAAACTTTTTTAAGCTTCTTAGTAGAAATTCCACTGTCACAGATTTTTCAGACCATGAAACTCCTATGAACTTACTTAGATACAGCTGAGCAAGTATCTTTCCTTCTGTCTCCCGTCGTCTCTGTCCAATTGCATACCCGTTTTTCTATGTCCATTCCCAGCGTTTATCATACACACATTTATTTATGTTCACCTTTGTGTACACATTACTGCCTTTTCCATCAGAGTCTTTGCCATATCCTTGGCAAAGAGTTAGGACTCGTTATCTGAAAAACAGTGATCTGCGTTATTTATTCCTTTTCATACAAGAGAAGCCAATTGAGATTGATACATTTACATAAATTACTGTCCGTTTTCTTAATCCAAAAAGCTTTTTAACAAAAGAAGCTCTTTCTGTAGCTTTAATAAGTCTGGTCTCATAAAACAGAAGGATCTCCAGTTTGGTAAAGATATTTGTTTAAGGTTAGGTTGGTAAAGGCAGGGTACATCTTGTGTTTTTGAACTTTTTAGACTTTTTTTTGGAGAGTGATTAATGAAAAGAGGAAAATCCTCTTGTCATAGAAAGTAACACATAGAAAGTACTTAAAAAATTGTTGGTGTTCACAGTTGGCTATGAAATACCTGTTAGTTACCCATTATGACGCATGAACTTAGTCATGAACTTGGTGGAAAGAGATGCCAGGTTAGAGGCAGTCATCCTGCACTTCCTGAGCCTCTGTCACAATGACCAGCTTAGTGTTTGCAAAAATGTGCCTACCATGCCCCATGTCTGGGAACAGAATTAGAGTGATCATCCCTGTCGTCAAACCCCTTTTACCTGATTGAGTACAGAACAGCACTTGTCTCTTTGCTACCCTTACTGAACGTCAGTGAAGAAGGGGGGAAATACCAGTTCAAATCAAAATACACATGCCATGTAGAGTCAGTAGTTATCACAGAGGTTAGTTGTGCTACAACAAGATTTCAGAAATCCTTTGATAGGCTGACAGTGAACTTGTTCCTTGCCCACAGACATTTCTCTTCTCTTACCTTTTTTCCAGACTGACTACACAACTGTTTGTCTGATAATAATAATAAATTTAGAACTTAAACATTTCATTATTAAATCAAAATGTAGGCCTAATGGCAGTCCTAATGTTTGCTCTCTTGTCCTTCAGTCTGGCACTCCTTCCCCAGTTTTCATTTGTGAAAAATCAGAAGGTGGTAGGTATTTGCTTGAGCAAAGGAACTCTTCTTTGTTTAGGTAAATAGCTTTGCCAATTGAAGCCCTTAGGGTTTCAAAATCATTTTGCTTTTTAGGATAGACTGTCATTTACAGACACTTGTAACTGACCTAAAATTTTGATTTGCATTATTTGTAATTATTTCATCAACTCAAAACTATGAACACTGCATGGGTTTTTTTTCTATTAATATTCATATGAAAAGAATATACTATAGTAGTCTTTTCACAGTATGTTTCAGTCAATTCTCTGCTAAGGTCTATTTTTTATGCCTATTTTTAAATGTCTCTTTTAAAGTTTCTCTTCAGCCTTTCATTTTTTTTTACTGACCTACTTGACATTTGGAATGTACCTGCATTGGCAGGAAGTCCCTACTATTTAAGAAAATTGTAATTGGAGAATCCAGTTTTAGAAGAATTAGATGAAGCCTCTTTACTCATGTTAACAGTTAGGTGGGTGTGTTTTTGACATAGTAAAGAGTGGCTTGTCAGGTCCCTTGATTTAGGCAGCAAAATATACTAAGCTGTTATTTAGTGAATAAAGGCCTTAATTCAAGTTCTCCCTCTGTCAAGCTTACCCTCACAATCAGTGACCTTTGTTGTTATTTAAAAATGCGGTTAACCATCAGCCCTTCCTAGCCTTCTGAAGCATTATGTTGGGCATGACAGACACATTGCTGAGAAATAGATCAATTTCAATGTTTAACATTGACACAGAAATATAGATACCTCTAGATCTACAGAAGAGAGAGCATCAAAGTGGGGTTTGCTAAGCAGAATAGTTTTCCACATAACTTGTCTCAGTAGTCTCATTATGAAATAGAGGTGATTTTCTGTATTATCTGTGGAAAGATTGAACAGGAGCATCTTAACTTTTTCTTATTCCTGTCCATTCTTTTGATATGAAAGACAAATTTTTATTAGTCTGAAGATTCTTTTAAAAAGTTCTTAAAATATTGTTAATAAGCCTAGTGACATTCATTCCTACTTTTATAAAATTTCACGTAGAACTTGAAAGAAAAATGTTAGCTTTGTCAAGTGGACTCCCTCCTAACTCTATATCTGTTTAGAATTACAGAGCACCTTATTGCTTGCTAATTTACTTTGTTTTCACAAGACCCCTAGAATGTCACCAGTGAGATAGTGTACGGGGCTTCTCAAACATTATTCCGCCAAGTACTACTAGGAGCAGAGGGGGAGTAAACATGTACAACAGGGTTTGGGGGTTCTGGTCTGAGGGACAATGATGGCATCGTTGGACTCTTAAGTTGTATCTTAAAAATTTCATGTAAAATGTAAATATCGATCCATAACGTATCTGTAGCTATGTCGTACATTCACTTATGTGCTCCCCTGTGTCAGACCTAAGGATGACCTTTTTCTAGAGCAAGAGTATACATAAGAGGCTGAGAGGGAGAATAATAGGATGCAGGGGAGCTCTCTGCATCCTATAGGGTGTTTGGGGAGCCCCTCTCGGAGAAATTGACATTTAAACAATGACCTTCACATTTAAGCTATGAACAGTTTAGGAGTAGGGCAGGGACAATGCCAGTCAAAGCAGTGGCTTACCATATTTTAATGTAAAAAGAACATTTCAGATTACTTTGCAGTTTAATTTACTTAACCCCCCACCCCACCAAAAAAAAAAATTGTAGTAAAATTGACCCTTTAAGGGAGATAAAGCAGGTTCCCTGCACAGTAAGTGGCACCATCATCTACCCATTCACCTGAGCCACATATCCAGCTGTCAGTCTTGAATTTTTCCTGCACTGCCTCCCCACATCTTATCCATTAGCAAGTCTTATCAGTTTTACCTCTAGAATATATCCTGAATCCATTTAGTTGTCTTCGTCTCTGTTGGATGGGTCCAAGTCACCATGACTCTCCACCTAGACTGCTGAAATAGCACCCTGGCTGGTTTTTCTGCTTGTGCTCTTGGCCTCTCTCCAGTCTGTTGTTTACACAGCAACCAAAGAGAGATTTTAAAATATGAGTCAGAGCATATCTGCTCCGAACTCTTCAATGACTTTCAGTTCTGTATAGAATTAAATCCAAATTTTTAACCACTGTGAAATACACTGAGGCCCAAAGAGGATAAGAGACATACAGAGAGTATGAACACAAAGAAATAAAAGAACTTGAAAGAAATGGAGAAAAAAATACAGAGTTGATGATTGCCTTATGACAGAGGGATACAGATCAGGAAGAGACCCTGGGCACTCAAGGCCATGGGGAGGTGCGGAATTTAGAGCCTGTGACCCACTGTGGACCTGCTGTACTAGACTGGCTGCAGCAGGGTCAGTCTCCATAATACCACACACAGTAGGCCTTACTTTCATGCCAGATAGACTGAGAAAGTTGTATACAGATGAATTTATTATTTATTAAGTGTATTTTAGTCAGGCACAGTAGCTCACACCTGTAATTCCAACACTTGGGAGGCCAAGGCAGGAGGATTGCTTGAACCCAGCAGTTTGAGACCACACTGGACAACATAGTGAAACCCTGTCTCCACAAAAAATTTAAAAAATTAGCCAGGCATGGTGGCACATGCGTGTAGTCCCAGTGACTGGGGAGGCTGATGTGGGAGGATTGGTTAAACCCAGGAGGTCAAGGCTACAGTGAGGCATGATCACACTACTGCACTTCAGCCTGGGTGACAGAGCAAGACTCTGTATTGGGAGGGGGAGTTATTTTAAAGGGGATTTGTGTGCCATGGGAGGAGTTGGTCTTTCCAAAAGGAGGACCCCTTCCAACGACATGGGAGCTAATGAATGGAGTGCCTTGGTGTACCTAGAAATATTACCTCATTTAATCTGTACAACATCCCTGGAAAGTAGATTTTATTATGCCTGGTTTGAAGATGAGGCTTTAGAAATGTTAAAGGAAAAAAGAGGTGCATCTTAGAATTAAGGACCTATGGTAACTGTATATGTAATGATGTACTTCTCTGAGCCTCACTTTCCTCAGCTCTAAGAGGTTAAATGTACCCAAGTTTCCTTAGTAAGTAAATGGTGAATCTAAATTGGAGCCCAGGCTTTTTTGACCTCAAAGCCCATACTCTTTTTATTTGTACCATGTTGCTTATTAGAACCCTAATGGGAGAACAAATTTAAAATTCTGTAAACAGAAATGTTCATTGATTCTGAGATCTAAATGCACGAGGGAAGTGCAGCATTTAAAGGAACCCTGTGGTGACTCTGGATATAAAGCCAGGAATTCTTTTTGTAATTGCACAATTTGTCTGTATTGGTGTCAGTTTTAATGTTTTATGTCTAGCTTTCTTAAAGCAACATACACCTGTCCTAAGCTGCCCTGTGGAAAAGGGAAACCCATATATATTTTAGATGGAGTAGGGTTTTTAACACCCTTCTAGCCTGAAATGCCCTCTGAAGGCTAATGTAAGCTAAAGAATCTTCTGGCTATAGGGTTGAACAGAGAGTCCTACTTCACATGCAATTGGTACAGAAAATCCAGTATTCTTTCTTCTATCAAAGTAGAGTTTGTAAGCCAGGGACACAAATTTGTGATTTCCTTATGCTGTAGCAGATAATCCTTAAAAGAATAAACACTGAATGAATGAATGAATGAATAAATGGAAAATAGAACTGTTTAAGTGATCTTTGTCAAAAAGCAGTAAATTCTGCAGAAAATTATTCCTCCTTATGGAAGAATAAGTAATCATGCTGATGCCACTCATGCATAGGGGATGAATAGGAAACAGAGACCTGACACTCTATATCCAGTGACCTATTGGGAAAATGCTACAGTAAATTAGGGCTGCTAAAGTGTTTAAATGTGTGACTCAGAAGTGCCCCGGGCAAGGAGCTCCGACTTCAATATTCCTGCCTGCCTCCTTTCTCTGCCTCTTTATCTTACTGTTCCATCTCACCTGAGCCTCTCCCTGTCTGGAGTGCTCTGAGGCTCCTGATGGATCTTCCCAAATATAGAGTACAGCACGTTGAAGATAGTGGCATTGCAGTCAACTATTTTATCTAGAAAGCCTGGAAATTTAGAGAATTTATGTCAAGCAAAAATCTTTTGGAACCACTTTAGAGACCCAATTATTTTAGAAGGGTGTTATGAGCTCTCGCAACTGCCACCTCAGAAAAACTTGAAATATATCATTTGCCAAAACTATGTTTGACCAGCATTTACTCTTCCTGCTAGTCGCTAATCTTTCAGAAGTTCCTTTTCCATTATAAAATCTATTCATTCATATCATCTGGGCAGTCATAAGTGTGGATTCGATTAATGAAAAAGCAGACTGAAAGGAAGAAAAAAGACATATGCCCCAAGAGGCTGTGTGGTGGTATGGGAGACACACACACACACTTAGAAGTCAGACAGCCTTCTCCTGGGTTCACTAGGGTCTGATTCTAGAGCACCGCCAATTTAATAATAGCTTCTCAGGAAATAATTCTACATTACGTGTACATATTGATTGTAAACTGCATCCTGATTTTATAAATGTTTTAAAAAATGAAAATCTATCTCAGAATTAAGAAATTCTGGAAAGTGTATATGAGTGTAATGATGTACTTAACCTCTCTAAGCCTCGCTTTCCTCAACTCTAACATGGGAGAGGCTGAGTGAGGATTAATCAAGGCACTGGAGGAAAGGGCTATCTGTGCTCTTAAGCTCTGTGTGGCTCTGAGATGCCCTGTTTAGTTCATCTGTCATCAAATGCTGCCTGCTCTGTGCCATGCTGTCTGCTCTGTGCCATGCTGCACTGGAAATCAGGTGGAAAACCCAATGAGTACACGTAAAAAGAGGGATTAAAATGTGGTAAATTGTCAAGCAGATGTATATAAGCTACTAAAGCAGCACAGGTAAGGGAGTCCTACTTGAAACTACTGGGTTGGGTAGGGGACTGAGAAAAGATGCTCTGGGGTGATTTATTTGATGGCTCCTTGAAGATTAATTAGAACTTTGTCAGATGGGTAAATGAGAAGAACATTCTAAGTAGAAGAGACAACATGTTTTGAGATGTAGTCACAAAACATAGAAGTTCCAAATCATTGGAGCAGGAAGAGGGCAGAGGGTAAGCTACAGAAACTAGGCAGGGCCAGATCCGACCAGGCCAGGCCTGATAAGTGAGCTTAAAAATAGAAGTGCATTTATGTTCTGGGAGCTTGTTTTGTAACAGGCACTGTGTAGGCACTAAGAATTTTGTAAAGACCAAGAAATCGTTCCTACTCTCAAGCAGCTTTCTATTTAGTTGGGATAAGCAGGCAATTATAATACCATACAAGGGATACATGGAAGTAAGTATAGGGCCTGGGTGCACATGGGAAGCAGGGAGCCCTAGTTCCATCCTGGGGAGTCAGGGAAGACCATCCCAAGCTGAAATCTGAAGATGAATAGAAACTAGGCAGGTAAAGAGGGATGGGAAAGAGTGTTCAGGCTGCTGTGGTCGTCAGGGGCTAGGTCATGTCCGTATGTAAGCTGTGTTGAATATGAACTTTATTCTGATGGCAGAGGGGATCTATTGAAAGAAGGGCAATATATAATCAGAATTTCTCTTAGAAAACACTCATCTGCATTGTACAAATGAATTAGAGGCCAAAGAACATGAAGCAGAGACACCAATGCAGAGGCTCTCAAGAAATCTGTCCAACAGATAGTGGAGCCCTGAATTAAGGTGTGCAGAAGAGTAGAAGCTACTCATCGGGAAATGGAGGGATGGACACTATGGTAACATCTGATTTCTTTCATTAGAGCTAAATGCACAGTTTGGGAGAATTGAAATAGCTTTGATCTGTGGCCAGATCTCCTGGAGTTAATATCAAAAGAAGGTAGTGGCATTTAAAGATATTTTTTAAATAAAATTAAATACTTGTTGGGGAAGAAGCAAACATTTTAGAGATGTGTGAAGTAAAAAATGAAGGTTTCCTATAACTTCCTTTGGTGTAAATCCTTTGGGTTTTTTTTCTTCAGTTCACATACAGATATACATATAGGTTATACATTTCATGTGGACAGGATTCCTGTTTTTTGTTTTTGTTATTTTTAAAATCACTTACATATTCAACATCTGTCAAGGTACCTGTCAAATAGTATACTCAGTAAATGCTTGTTAAGTGAACTCATGAAAAATACATATGTGTTAAGGTTTTTAGGGTAATTATGTCACACAGCATATATGATATTGCATTTACTTTTTTAACTCAATGTGTCATAAGCATTATTCTATATTAGAGTGACCACACATTTTATCTTCCTAATAATTTGTTCAACTTAGCTCTCTATTGAAGGATGTTTAGATTATTTCCAAATTTTCAGTATTACAAAAACATGCAGTGAACAATCTTGTTTGAATATTTGTGCTAGATTGCATATTTGTGCTAGATTTTAAATATGGATTGCTTGTCAAATATTTATTTAAAATGTTGAGGAAAACAAATTGCCTTTCAAAAAGTTTATGCCTGGCCGAGCGTAGTGGCTCACACCTGTAATCCCAGCACTTTGAGAGGCTAAGGCAGACGGATCACCTGAGGTCGAGTTTGAGACCAGCCTGGCCAACGTGGCAAAACCTCGTCTCTACTAAAAATACAAAAATTAGCCAAATTAGGTGACAGGTGCCTGTAATCCCAGGTACTCAGGAGGCTGAGGCAGGGAGAATCGCTTGAACCTGGGAAGCAGAGATTGCAGTAAGCCAAGATCGTGCCACTGTACTCTAGCGTGGGTGACAGAGTAAGACTCTGTCTCAAAAAAAAAAAGAAAAAGTTTATGCCCATTCTTTGACATTCCAAGAGTATGTGAGAATGCCCTTTTCCCCAGCTCCTTACCAGCACTGAATGTTATCAGCCTTTAATTTTTGCCAAACTGATGGTTAGCAGCCAGTATCTCATTTTAATTTGCATTTCTGGGTCTTTAGTGTCGTTTAGTATTTTTAAATGTATTTATTAGCCATTTTATCTTTCTAAAAGATAGTTCTTTGGTCAGTCACGACTATTTTAATGGGAAAAAGAATTGAGAAAAAGCCTAATTTCAGAATACCATTTTTAAGATGTGCTCTATAGTTTAGAATACAGCTCGTCCCCACCTCACTTCCTGCCAAAGCAGGCGTGTATGCGTACACATACACACACACCCCATCATGTAGAGAAATGGATCACGCATCCAAGCCACACAGCTTCACTTGTTTGCCTGCTGGCCCTTTGAGCACCGGCAAAGCTTTTGTTTATATGTTCAGAAAAAGCTGTCTAATAATTTACCAGACTTTAATCCACCTCCTATTTGAGAACTTCTGTTACCTGATTGCTTTGTCATCAACACTAGTTTAAAAAACAGATTTTTAGTTAAATGTTTATTAAATACTTTAGTCTGGTACATGTACATAGCACTTAGAAAATGCATCATAATCTGGAAGTCACAAATATAGACAAAAACATTGTTACCCCTTAACCGGTTTATTTTGGGGCAGCAGATCTAAGGACACGCCTGGCAGCATTATGAACAGCAGTGGCACCAAGGGCAACTGTAGGGGGTTAATGTGGACCCTGCATCATTCCTTGCCATGTGCCTGGTGAGTAAACTCCTAGAAGTTTCTGGGAATGGTAGCAAGTGGGGAAAAGGCTGCAACCAACAATCAATGTCACAAAGTGGGGATGACTAATTTGCTGAGGAGGCCGTTGAGACAGATGTTTA
Organism: Homo sapiens; assembly: GCF_000001405.40. Classification (NCBI taxonomy): domain Eukaryota; kingdom Metazoa; phylum Chordata; class Mammalia; order Primates; family Hominidae; genus Homo; species Homo sapiens. The sequence goes on along the minus strand of NC_000009.12, from coordinate 125,532,525 downwards.
ATTAGCTGAAGTCAGAGTGGATAAATTGGGAGATTACTGCCTATGCAGAGAGATGCCTTTTTCCCCCTCATCTCTTTTGCAACTGCTTTTTGTGTGTGTGTCCTTACTTTTCTTTTTGAAGACAATATCCTCAGATTGGAGAGAGGTGGGAGAGAGGTAGAAAGTACCAAGGTAATGATTCCATTTTGATTACATCTACTGAATACTTATTGTATTCCAGGTATTTTTGTATTTAACCTTTACAAAAGACCTTGTGAGATGGGCATTATCTCTTTTTTGTGGTAGAAAACCAAGGAGATATATAAATATATAGAGAAAGAGAGCACATGGAGTGTGTGTGTGCACACTTGTATGTATTTCTAATGAGTAATACAGGTGAGATTTGAACCCAGACCCTTTGATTCTTGAGCCCAATGTTTTTTTTTCCGTACACCACAGCTTCCTCACTTAAAATGTAATGTGGATGAGGGAACTTTCTGGAGTAAAGCTAATCATCTGTATATTGATTGGGAATCTATATATTGACGGGAGCTGCAATTGCCAAGTGTGTACATTTGTCAGACTGTCAAATTGTATTTGTACAATTTGTGTGTATATTGCATGTAAATTTTACCTAAAAGTAAAAAGAAAATCTTAAACAAATATTGAGCTTCAGTTAATGCTATGTATGCTGAAGTAGTTCAGAGTGAATGTAGTAATGTCTCCTCCTTGATTTGAAATACATTTTAAAAAATGGATTGATAGATATGTGATCAAGCAAGTATTGTAAAATGTTGACTATAGGTCTAGGTGATGGGTATATGGGTTCTCAGTGTTCAGTTCTTTCAACTTTTCTGTGGTTTAAAAATACTCATAATAAAATGGGAAAACTCACAAAAATTAAAAATACATCATTTAGATACTGTTGATACTAATATGAATTTCTGAATGTACAAACATGTATTCTTGTAGCATAAAAAGCACTAGGTTATTTTATTGTTATTAGCTCGTCTGTTAAATAACATCTTTGAGGTCATAGTTTCTCCCATTGATCTGTGGTTTTAAGTTGCATTTACAGTTACAGGTATAATAATCACCACTTACTAATACTCACACTTGGCCAGGTGATCTGCCAGATACTTTTTTCCATTACACTTTAATCCTTAAAACAACTATTTGAATCAGTTGTCATGTTCATTTTATAAGTGAGAATACTAAAGCTCAGAGAGGTTGCAGGACTTGCTGAGGTCGCACAGCTAGTAGGGGAGTAAGGACTCAAAGCCAAATGGCCAAAGGTTGTACTGCTAGACACTGTGGTGCTTCCTTCTACTGGATAAGGTTACGGGGCCCACGGCTCAGTGGAAGCTGTTGCCTTTCTCTCTAGAGAGACCAAATGTCCCTGCTTCAGCTGGGGGTGGCAGCAAGACTCAGTGGAAACAGCATGGGCTTTGGAACCAAACCAACCCCAGTCCCCAGGCCACCTGTCCCTTTTACAAGCTGTGAAGTTAGGGAAGTCATCAGCCCCTTCTGACCTCAGTTGTCTTTTCTGTAAATAGAGGTAATAATACCTATCTTGCAGGGTTATTGTCTTAACTGAATGCATGTAAAACACTTAGTCCATAGTAGGCGCTCAGTGGACATCAGCTGCCATCATCCCTATTGCCACTATCATGCCAGGCACGCCATAAAACCTGGCTTTCTCTTTAGGTTTTGGTTTACTTCCTTTTCTATCCATATGATTTGGCCTTTGCCTGCACCTTTTGTTTTCCAGTGAATTAAGTCTATAGAAAGTTTTTACCTTGTGGTAGAATGAGCCTTTGAATTGTGTTTGAATTAGAATCTGCTGGAAGCACACTTTATTTTGAAGAAGGAGAAAACTAGACCCAGAGAGTCAACTCAAATGATTTTTTTTACTAATAAGTGAACCATACCATATATCTATAGGGATGGATTAATGGTCACAAGCCTTATTTATCAGATAGCTTATGTCTGCAAATTTAATTTCCTATGCCAAAGATTCTGGAAATAATGTGAACAAACTGTAATTGCCTGTAACAAACACATTTATAAGTAAGTTTTAAAAGTCTTTGTGTTCACAGTTTAGTAGCTCACAGACCCTGTTGCTGTTTCTCAGAAAACATTTAAAAGAGGAAGTATACTTAAATATCCATGTGATTTTGAAAATGAAAATGATTCTATAATTACAGACAGGATTAGAGTGTTGCATGTGCCCATTACATCTCTCCAGCCTCCATGAAGAGTCTCAGTCTGCACCAGAGGAAGCAGAAGTCCCTCTTTCTTCGGTCAGGCCATTTGATGTGTTTATCCTATTAGTAGCTGTAAGGAAAATTCTTCTCTACCAAGACTGATTTTAGCTACTTTCTATGAAAAAACCCTTGCTTTAGTAGAGTTACCCCACCACAGGAAACCAAGGGCCTGAACCACCCAACTCCTGTTCTGCTGCTTACAGAGGCCTGATACTGGAGCTGTTTTACTCCCATAAGCAATGTAAAAGGCATTTTAAACAACTCCAATAGTAATTTTGCATAGTTCTTTCTTTTTGAGTAAATTATAAGTAGTGGCACTTTCTGCCGCATATCTGCAACAGCTTTAAGTGCATTATAAAGAAAAGAAGAAAAATAGCTAGTCAGTAAGGGCATTTCTTTTTCTGCCTTACATGACAATAATGTCCTGAGACAAAGAAGACTTAAAATCAGGAAAATGGCATTGGATTAGCACCGTAAGGCAGATCTGGGGAGAGGACGTATCAGCATCTACCTCTCTGGTTACCTAGCTACTAATCACAGTATGGCAGGCAGCTAGGTGTGTAGATTCTACTGTGTCATCGAACCAATTTTTCAAACAGAAAGTCAGTGAGATGTGATTAAAGCCCAAGTGCTGCAAAAGATACAAGGTGGTCTATTGGAACTCCTCAATCTTCCTGGAAACTGTCACCACATAATCACAGAAATATCAAATCATAGCAAAACTTAAGCTTTCCTTTTCTTTTTTCGCCTTTTTTTTTCTTTTCTTTTTTTTTTTTGGCACACTACTTTTAATAGCAGAACAGTGTGAATTAAGATAATGTGTAACTGAAGTCTAAGAATCCCTGAGGGTCATGCAGATCTCTCAGGTACAGTGTGTCTGAAACCTAACTTATCCTTCAGTAGAGTCTTGGCTACATTTCAGGTAGTGAATAAGGATATAAGGGTGACAGTTGGGTGAACTCAGAGAGCTAACATTCTAATAGAGGAGATGGCTAATAAACAAAGCAATAAAACACATTTGATAGGAATTCTTGCTCTGGCTTTTGTTAGTCCTTCCATTTTCTTTTCTTTTTTCTTTCTTTCTTTTTTTTTTTTTTTTTTTCCTGAGATAGAGTTTCACTCATTTTGCCCAGGCTGGAGTGCAATGGTGCAACCTTGGCCCACTGCAACCTCCACCTTCCAGGTTCAAGGGATTCTCCTGCCTCAACTTCCCGAGTAGCTGGGATTACAGGTGCACACCACCACGCCCGGCTAATTTTTGTATTTTTAGTTGTATTTTTAGACAGGGGTTTTCGCCATGTTGGCCAGGCCGGTCTCGAACTCCTGACCACAAGTGATCCACCTGCCTTGGCCTCCCAAAGTGCTGGGATCACAGGCGTGAGCCACTGCGCCCTGCTAGTCCTTCCTTTTTTTTTTTTTTTTTTTTTTTTTTGAGACGGAGTCTCACTCTTATCACCCAGGCTGGAGTGCAATGGCATGATCTCAGCTCACCGCAACCTCCGCCTCCCGAGTTCAGGCGATTCTCCTGCCTCAGCCTCCCAAGTAGCTGGCGCCACAGGCATGTGCCACCACGCCCAGCTAATTTTTGTATTTTTAGTAGAGATGGGGTTTCACCATCTTGGCCAGGCTGGTCTCGAACTCCTGACCTCGTGATCCACCTGCCTCGGCCTCCCAAAGTGCTGGGATTACAGGCGTGAGCCACTGTGCCTGGCGGTCCTTCCATTTTCTAACTGAAAAGACTTCCTTGAGTCCTCAGGTTTGGGAGTTCCCCTCCTAGAGGGAGTCTCTCTGGCTCCCAGGCTCAGGCATAACTTCATTCTTTCCACTCGTTTCCACGCATCTCCTAATTGGGCTACCAGCACCCCTCCTTGATGCAGGCAGGGAGAAGTGGACAGGGCAGAAAGGGCTGGGTAAATTCATGAGCAGTAAATGACTCCATCAACAGTGGCCATCAAGGGAAACAGGCCATGTTCCAGCCATGGAAGCTGGGAAGGGACACTAATCCTCTCCAGAGATCAGTATCCCTCAGCCACTTAGGCTTGTGGCAGAGGCACTGTGGCCCTGTCCCCAGTAAGTTCCAAATACACTGATCTTGCCAGCTGCTGGTAAGCACCTTGCAAAAGAAGAGAATGAGAGCCCCCGCTTTTCCTTGAGTACAGTGAAAGCTCCTTTTGGAGAGGTAGGTTCCTTATGGTTTACCAGCACCGCAGCTGGCCCAGGGTTGGTGGTTAGCACATTTGTGGAATGAACTAAGATGTAGTGAAAACCAGTCCACAGCTCGTAGCCACGTGTCTCTCAGCCAGCCCACACCTGAGGCCACCACTTTGTGTTTAGGAGTGGATTCACTGTACTTTGGTTATCAGAGATTAAACTCCCTTGGAGAATTACATCATCAAATGAAAATGTAAATGTGTTTAAAATGAAAGGCGATGCATATCCGTTGAAATTAGTGTTGCCGCCCAGATTCCCGTAATGATGTGGATCTCTTCTGAGTCCTTGGGGAGCCAGAGGAGTATACCAAAAGCAGACATTTTAAACATTGATAGTCACGTAAGGGTGCCCAGCAGGAGGAAGTTACTGTAGGAAGCTACTGTATTGCAGAAAAAGAAAAGAAAAGCAAACTCACTTTCCAAAGGACGTGTGGGTGTGTGTGAAAGAGAGAGAGAGTGCACAGCCTAAGTCTTCATTCTCTCTAATGTAAGTTAATAGATATTGTCTGATATTTATAATAACTTATCTAAGTAGTTGAATGGGAATGTTAATAAAAAGTAGGACGGTGAGTGCCAGAAATCACACACACAAAAAAACTTAAACAAATTGCCTATAAGGAGGGACTCAAGAATGGGACAGGGAATTACTCTTTTTCATCATAGGACTTAACAGCATTATTTACTCTTAAAACTATATGTATGAGGCCCGGGCGCGGTGGCTCACGCCTGTAATCCCAGCACTTTGGGAGGCCAAGGTGGGTGGATCAGGAGGTCAGGAGTTCAAGACCAGCCTGGCCAAGATGGTGAAACTCCATCTCTACTAAAAATACAAAAAATTAGCTGGGCATGGTGGCACACGCCTGTAGTCCCAGCTACTCCAGAGGCTGAGGCAGAGAATTGCTTAAACCTGGGGGCGGGCAGAGCTTGCAGTGAGCCAAGATCGCGCCACTGTACTCCAGCCTGGGTGACAGAGTGAGACTACATCCCCCAAAAAAAACAAACAAAAAAAACACTACATGTATGAATCCCAGCATTTTGGGAGGCTGAGGCAGGCAGATCACGAGGTCAGGAGATCGAGACTATCCTGGCTAACACAGTGAAACCCTACCTCTATTAAAAATACAAAAAATTAGCTGGGCGTGGTGGCACACGCCTGTAGTCCCAGCTACTCGGGAGGCTAAGGCAGAAATCACTTGAACCCTGGAGGCAAAGGTTGCAGTGAGCTGAGATTGCACCACTGCACTCCAGCTTGGGTGACAGAGCAAGACTCTCAAAAAAAAAAAGAAAAAAGAAAAAAGAAAACTATATATATGCTACTTTGATTAAAGTTAATTTTTAAATTTTGTTAAAAGAAAACATCTTACTTTCAACTTCTGGAGTGTAGAAGGATCTTTCTTTCCTTACTTATGTGGACTTTGTCTATTTGAAAACGCCCTTTCTCCTAAAAGCAAACCATTCATTTCAACATGTTGGATGTCAGATTTCTCTGAGAACATCATTATTAAATAGTTGTTTCTTATAAACGTTTTCAAACTTTTTAAGACCAAAATGTTATATGAGTATAGTCAGTGTATTGTGATTCTGCCAACACTTTGTCTCTGTGACCCATATTTTCCGTAGGTTAAAGCATAAGCTATTAGCTGGATACTCTGTCCCATTGGAAGGATGACTAATATCTCAAATATAAATGAAAACAGCTGCTTTTCCATAACATTAGAGTCCCAAACAGCTGTCACATGTACATTTTGACATTCTTACTTCTTTCTAAATTGGGACAAAAATTAGTTTACTGGATTTGCTGATCTGGTTAAGTACATCATCTAACTTCTGTGGAGAGGTACAGAAGAGGTCATAGGAAAGTCCATGGAGCCAGCATGCAGACATCCCCAAAGGCTTGAACTTACTTAAAATGTAAACCCTGTGATGAGACCCTTCTGTGCCAAGAACATAAGGTCTGTAAGGGCCTGGCAGTGGCTGCTGCACCACTGCCACCTTTGCCAGCAAGCCTGAATCTCGGCAGCCAGCCATTGTTCTCTGTTCCACTGAAGAGATTGTGGAGTACCACCCCATTGTCTCCTGAACGCCTACGTCAGTGCATTCTCCTCTTCTGAGAGCCTTGGAGGATTTATTTCAGGAGGTGGCTGTTGCGGATCAGAAGATCATGCTTCCTCTATTGGCTTAAAACTGGTCATTCTCTGTCTTTGAGTTCCTTGCTTTAGTCTCCTCTTCAATAAAATAAGGTCCCAACCAGATCATAGTCTTCTGGTTGATAGCCTTAACTGTGGAGCTTAGTTAAGACCTGGGTTCTAGAAGACCTACCTGGTTCCACCCCTGCTCCTGTTACTTTTCCTTTTTTTTTTTTTGTTTGTTTTTGTTTTTGTTTTTTTGTTTTGTTTGAGATGGAGTTTTGCTCTTGTTGCCCAGGCTGGAGTGCAATGGCGCAATCTCAGCTCACCACAACCTCCGCCTCCCAGGTTCAAGTGATTCTCCTGCCTCAGCCTCCCAAGTAGCTGGGATTACAGGCATGCGCCACCGCACCCGGCTAATTTTGTATTTTTAGTAGAGAAGGAATTTCTTCATGTTGGTCAGGCTGGTCTTGAACCCCCGACCTCAGGTGATCTGCCCACCTCAGCCTCCCAAAGTGCTGTGATTACAGGCGTGAGCCACCGCGCCCGGCCTCCTGTTACTTTTTCTAGCTCTCTGATAAGTTTCTTAACCTGTTTGAACTTCGTTTTCCTCATTTATGAATGAAAATAATAATAATGTCTTCTTCATAGCATTATTGTGAGAATTAAGCAGCGATCCTTGCAAAGCACCAAGGACCCAGTAAGTCTTTGCTGTTATTATCTTATCACTCAGTAAATGTTAGTCCTGTCCCCTCCTTTCAGTTTCAGTCATGAAACCTAGTCAGACTCACAATTTTGTGATCTAATGCTCTTTTTGTATGAATATGACTGCTTTGAGTTATAGTTCAAAAGAGACTCTAGCTGCTAAGGAACCCAGCTCAAATTGAGTCCATGTATTAGGTACAGCCCAGAATGTGTGCATCTGTCTGCGCAGCTGCTCATTTGGGCTTTTCCAGGGGTCCGAGGCCCCTTGTCAGAGCAGCAGAGCATCAGCAAGAACATAGGAGTGCACGTGTAGGAATGACCTAGCCTTCCTCTGGAGCACCCTGCATCTGGAGCAGGATATGCAGAAGGGTTAAAAGCTGGAGAAACTTTAGTCATAAATTTTCTTTTCAGCAGGACTTCCCAGGGAACATCTGACATTAGCAGAGAGGAAATGCTGATTGGCCTGGGAGTCAGCTGAAGGAGACAGGAACTGCAGTGGAAGCTGCTGGATTTACTGTTATTAGCAAGGCAAATGGAAAGCCAGCAGGGCAGCCCAGCTCCCAGATAATAGATCTAACAAGAAAGAAAACTCTGAGAAAGGAAAATGGCTGACAGCCACGTCTCCTCTTCTGCCATTTTTCCCATTGCTTTTACCTTTTTGTTTTGTTTGTAGCACAAAGAGAAGCAACATGTTCGGTTGTAAGTCACAATTGGCTTAAAATAAAACAGGATATATAATTCAGCTTCTTACCTGTTTAAGATAAGAAGCTTGAGAGTTGAACATGGCAAAATGTGCAAAATTGTATTAATGTATTAAGAAATAGTTGCTATTTATTGAGCACTTATGTGCCAAACTAAGTGCTTTACATGTGTTATCTCATTTAATCTGTATAATAACCACATGAGTTAGAAATTATCATCATTCCCCACTTAGAGATAAGGAACCAGTGCTTAGAGCACTTAAGTAATTTCCAAAGGTCTTATGAATTGGTGGTAGTGCTTGACCCCACCATCACTGTCCTACCAACCTAGTAGAAGGTACTGAGGTGAGAACTTAAATGGCTGTTATAAAGCTGGACAGGGTAGTGGTAATTAAAGTGCTGGGAGTGTATTTAGGGCAACCTAAATCTATGCTCCTAGGTTGCAGTCCTCAAGCCTGGCCTCTTTACTTACGTAAAAAAATAAAAAATAAATAAATAAATAAGTACTCACCAAGGCTTGTGTTCTGACTTGAAACACAAACCTCAGTTGGCACAATGGTTATTAGAAGGAAGATGGGGCAGGCAGAGAGAAGCCCTGTTGACAGGTGGAGCCAATCTCTGAAGGATCTGGCCCCCACAGCAGGGAACAGGGCAGATGGGCAGTCAGCAGTGGGGGGCCATAAGGACAGCGGGGGAACTGCAGGTCCTGGCAGCAAGGACCAGGGAAGCAGATGATGCTCAGCACCTGGGGGTGGCCGTACCAAGAGCCACAGCTTATCCAGGGTTAGATCACAAAGGCAACAGGTGAGTAAAAATCCCATTGTCAAAATTACCTGTGGGAAAGAAAAATCTCTTTAAAAATGCCCATCAGAGGCAATGTAATTTTTCTCATTAAATTCACACAGCTTTTTTCTCTAGCATCGTAACAGCTAAAAGTACATATTTTTAAATGCTAAAATCAAACTTGGTCTAGAAAGACTGAGATACTATCATCCACCCATTTAATGCAGTTAGTCACTTATCACACATTTACAAGGTTCCATAGTTGCAAAGATGATTTCTGGACTCCTGCCTCATATTCCCACTCTTGGGGCTCATTGGATCACTGAGAGTCATGGCAAGTGGAATTCTCCCAACTGCTTAAATTGTGCTCTTGGTCAGGTCTCCCTCTTTTTTTCCTCTTTTCTACCTAGCAAGTATGGTTGAATTCAGATAAATTAAATGTATGATTTATGCACAAGGAAATCCAGGCGGGCAGGCAGTATCAGAGGGCAGGGCAGGATTTTCAGAGAGACACACTGGGAACCTAGCATGGCACCAGGCCTGAGGGCAGGGTTCTGGGCAGGATTGGGCCAGGAGCAAGGACAGTTAACTGAATGAGATGTAAAGGCCAAGGCTAGAGTTTTTAAAAAGGAAGCCCTGTTTTTGGTTGGCTGGGGATTGTAGAAATCCTATTGCCTTGAAGACGTTAACTGGTGCAACTTTCCCTATTGTGGGGAAAGGAAGGAGGCCAGTCTGGGACTCTGGTTGGGCCTGATATCATGGGGTCAGAAGGAGAGAAGATAAGACTTAGGGGATAATCAAAAAGGAGGGATGTGATTTTGACAAGCTGACGGAGTCAGTCTGGGTGAAGGGAAGGGCACAGCAGTGACATGGAGGTAGGAAACCAGGACATATATGCACTGAACAGTGAGTCTAGTTTGGGTCATAAAGGACATAGATGGACAAGAAATTAGGATGGATAGAAAGCCTTGAGAGTGGGGTAAGGAATTTGCATCTAAACTAGTAGCCTGCAAGGAAGTTGTGAAGGGATTGTATGAAAGTGATACCTTGAATCTACCAGAATTTGGCTCTGGAGAGCACTCTAACAATAGGGTGAAGAGTGGTTGGCTGGAGGCCAGAAGAAGGTTGGGAAACCATTACTGCGGCCTGAGTGAGAAGGAATGCAAGGGAGATGTATTAAGTGGGTAGAGTCTGCAGAACTTGGGAGCCGATTTAATGTCATCAACAAGGGGGAAGGCTAAGAAGTATTCCAAACTTGAGAGTGCCGTGTTCACTATGCCAAGTCCTTAGAGGCCAGATGCAGAGTCTTGTTCATCTTCATATCTACAGTGACTAGCTCATGACATGGCACATGGTAGGAGTTTAGTACAGTTTGATGAACCAACTGATTTAATTCATTGGGTGAATCGTAGTGTCGTCATTGGAAGCACAGTTACAAGGAAAAAAAGCTGGTTTGAGAATGGAAGGATGATAAGTTTATAGTTGATTGTCCTGTAAAATTAGAAGCAAAAAAGAGCTTAGAGTCTCTTTCTTCCTGCAAAGGCTGGTCCAACCATTCACTGGCAGTGGTGCTTCCCTGAAGAGTTGGTAGAAGTCCCTAAAGAGGCCCTGTAGCCTTTTGTCCCACCCTGGGCTAGAGCCCCTTCCACCAGGGCCACTGGCATCAAGCTAGCCAAAGAATAATCCTGGTGCCTCACTGAATCTGCTCAAAATCCTGTCAAGTACATACAACTACTGTATTATCCGCATTTAACAGAGGAAGAGACTGAAGTTCAGAGAGGAAGTGGTTTACCGAAGCCTCTGACATAAGCAGATTTGAATGAAAGTCTTCAGATTCCAATATATCATAACAGAGTCTGCTGACTGAAAACAATTGGCTCTAAGCTTGCTCTCCACTGACTCAGGTTGGAGTCACCACTTTCATGTAGCTCAGAGAAGGTTGAAGATAAATGAAGTCTCATTTTTGTTTCTTCTGTTTTTTGTCCTTAGGTGCTTGTGACTAAATTCACTAATTTCACTGGCTGTCAAGGCTGTGTTAAGGAAAATGGGTTTGAACTGCTGTGGGTTTTGAGTACTGGACTGGATGTCAGAAACCTTTGCCATCACGGGAAATTCTGTCACTCTGGATTTACTGTCTGTTCCCCACAGCTAAATTCCTCTGCAGTGTGATTTAGCACCCTGGATCCCCATCAACCAGTTTTGGCATTTATTTGAATGCATTACCCCACTGGTTTCCATAAACTATTTTACAATTGTTTAAAATAAATGACTGTTTATTTCCACAAAACCATCTGTATTTCTTTACAGAGCAACAGATAACTGTATGTAAAATTTGGTATTGTCACAGTGACTCAAGTTAAGAGAAACAGATTGGATTGAAAAATTGGATTCTTAGGGACAAAGGTAAAGGTTTCCAACCTCTCTAACAAGTGATATCTGGATTTCAAGGAGAAAAAAAAATTTCCTTTTTTACAAATAGTAGGGGACCTCCTTTCTCTAAAGAGAAGTACATTCCTGCTGGCTGCATAGTGACAGGATGTAGAGTATTAGCACTCCTCATGGTAGTGAAGGGTCTGCGCCTTCAAGCACACTCTCTGCCTACAACCGCATATATGAGGCTCCTGTCCAGTGGCTCCCAACCTTCTGCAAGTTTTGAAGTTTTTGGTTGTACATGTGTTACCTCTTCTTGTTCTGATGTTGAGTGGGCTCCACTTAGGCCTGTGTGTTGTGGCTCAGATAACTTTGGTAGGATATGTGTTGGGATAGGTGGCTACTGAAGATGGACCTGGGTAAGAGAACCAGACTGATGGGGATGAGGGATTGGACCCTGTCAATGATGGTCTTCCATTCTCCAGCCAATGTCCAGGTGAGTCAGCTAGATCCATGCTAGTTCCATCCATCCCTAGGAAACCCAGTCAGAGTTGGGACACTAATGGGAATCTCCAAACAGTGGAGGCATTTGGAGTCAGATGGAGGTGGAGCTCCAAGTCTACTTTGGAGGAAGAGGTAGGATGGTAACTAAGCAGGATGGGCTTGTTTCATCACCAGATAATCACTAAACATACCTGTATGCTGAGGCTGTCCTAGGAATGTAGGGACGCTGAAATGTGCTCTCCATTCTCAACTTGCATATATGTAGTACAAGAGGTCTTTGTAGTGTGGGTTGCACGAAGAAGTCCAGAGACAGAGGCATCTAAGCAGAGTTTTGATTCCTTGAGTGGGAAAAAACAGAGTAAAGAAGTGAAGTAGAGGGAAGATTGTTCCAAACTGAGGGACTAGTATGAGCAAAGACACAGATGGTTGAAATGGCATGGTTTGGAGGATATTTCTGGATTACTATATCATTAGAGGGGAGGAAGATGAGGCCAGTAAGGCTGACCTGGAGGTTTCAGCCTCTCCTAGAGAACTAGAGACCCTTCTCTTTCCGAGTGCTGCTTAGAAAGCAGAAGCAGCAACCCAGGCATAGGGACAATGCAGCTAAAGCTACAGACTTTATGAAAACTGTGGGCCAGGCATCCTTTCTACTTACACGTTTTACTTGTATTAACTCAATGAATCCTTGCAACAACTCTAAGATATAGATGCCCATTTTTACAGATGGGAAATTTTACAGATGGGAAAGTAATGCACAGAAAGGCTAAGTAACTTACCCAGGATTACATAACATGTGAGTGGTGGAGCTAGGACTTCACACCCAAGGAGTCTGGCTTATAAGCGTTACATCATACTGTCTCAAATGTGCTGGGGTCTGCAGAGTTTGCAGAACATTCCCTAGATACACACTTTATTAAGCTTAGGCAGGGATCAAATCCAGACCTTTTCTCTACCCACAGGCTGTAGGGATGGACTCCTGACCACCACTTATCTCAAAGCCTGCATGGAGGCTTCAGAACTGCCTTAGAGGAAGACCAGAGACATTATGGGACACCTTTGTTTTCTGTGGCTCTGGGTAGAATCCATGAGGAGGCTGGGGCGGGCATAGTTATCAGGCCATGGTGATAACAGGAGCGAATGGGATCTGACCCTTGGTCTGCAGTTGTGGCCTGCCTTTGTAAACAGTTTTTGTTATTAATTTTTTAAATTATATATATATATATATATAAAAGACATATATATGTATATATATTAGACAAGGTCTTGCTTTGTCATCCAGGATGGAGTGCAGTGGCATGATCATAGCTCACTACAGCCTTGATCTCCTAGGCTCAAGCAATCCTCCCACCTCAGCCTTCCAAGCAGCTAAGACAAGTGTGTGCTACCATACCAGGCTAATTTTTATTTTCTGTAGAGACGGGATCTTACTGTGTTGCTCAGGCTGTTCTTGAACTGGCGTCAAGCGATCCTCCCCACCTTGACCTCCCAAAGTGCTGGGATTACAGGCACGAGCAACCGCACCCAGCTGTAAACAGTCTTTGTAGTCTGGCCCCAGATGCTCCAGTCAGTCCTCTTCACCTTTGCCTGCTCAACCCCTTTAAGCAGCACTGGAAGCTTCTGTGGTCTACTTGTAGCTTGACTATGGACCTCAGGAACTCTTGAACAGGCTCTATCCCAATTTAGTTCCTGGCTCCTCAACTGTTTAGGTCTCTCTCCAGAGCCACTGAGCCTACATGATGTGTGAGGAGCCAGATGGTGTGAGAGGAGACTCAAGGAGGTTCCAGGGGCCACAGTCTTCCCTAGTCTGGTCTAGCTGGAATAATCTCTGAGATTTTTCCACCTCATTTTTTAAAATTGAATTTTTAAAATAAATGTAATACTTATAATGATCTACTGTCAAAAACCCAAATGTGATAGGAATCTATAAAGTAAAAATCAAAAGCCATCTTCTTTGCTGGTATACCTTCCTCTACCCCACAGGTTACTACAGGTAAAAGAACGGCTGTGAGAATGGTTTGGTTCATGACCCTCCAGATTGTGCTGTGTGTTTCACAAATCCACATATCAGTGCACCTATGTTTTGGTGCTTTTATTTTATTCGGGTTTTACTTTACTAACATGTAGCCTACTCTGTACATTCTATATCTTATAAATTTAATAATGTATCATAGAATTCTTCCCATGTCTTATTAACTTAGCTTTATTTTGTTTTAGAGATGGTCTTGCTCTGTTGCCCAGGCTGGAGTGCAGTGGCACCATCATAGCTCACAGTAACCTTGAACTCCTGGGTTTAAGCAGTCCTCCTGCCTCAGCCTGCCAAGTAGCTGACACTACAGCTCCACACCATCACAACCAGCTAATTTTTTTTTTTTTAATTTTTTGTAGCGACGAGGTTTCACTGGTCTCGAGCTCCCGCTCTCAAGTCATCTTCCCACTTGCACCTCCCAAAGTGTTGGGATTACAGATGTAATGTGGGATTACAGATGTAATGTGGGATTACAGATGTAATATGGGATTACAGATGTAATGTGGGATTACAGATGTAGTATGGGATTACAGATGTAATGTGAGCCACTGCACCCAACCAACTTAGCTTATTCTTACAACAACCATATGACAGCCCAGTGTATAGATATACCATAATTTATTTAATAGTTTCCTACTGGTAAATGTTTAGGTTGTATGAAATTTTTTATATTAAAACGGTACTTTAATGAACATCTTTGAACATACATCATTGTATACTTGGGCTAATATTTCTTAGGATAGGAATATTAGCTAGAAGAAGTAGATTGTTGAGTTCAATTTTCAAGGCCACCTTGTGGAAGGCATTCTATTTAACAACGATTATTAAGCACCAACAAAGAGCCTTTTGCTATGCTGAAGCCCTGGGAAGACAGAGTTGAGTTTTTTTGAAAGCCTCCCACCCCGTCTTCAAAGAGTGCCCTGATGCTGGCTAGGTGGGGGGAATGACAAATAGACAAAAGTACTTCTAATTCAGCATGCTTGGTGCACTGAGAAAAGCAAGGTCCCAAGGAAGGTGGGATGAAAGAGCTCTTAATTCTGACAGGGATTCAGGCAGGGCTGCAGAGAGGAGGGGATATGCCAAAAGGATGCCTCCCTGCTCCTCCCCAGAGCCCATTCGTGAGGCTAGGTATTCAAGAATAAATTTGTTCTAAAGAATTATGATGCTCCTACAGTTTCTCCCACACAAAGAAGGAAATTCAGCGGTACGCCCTTTCCTTTCCTCCTCTTGGCACTTTCTGATTGATGGTTGGAAATGATGGCAATACATAAACTATTTTTCTTTTTATTTTATGACCTGGTAATAGCAGTAACATATTTCCAGTAAATGTTTTCTATCACAATAAAAAAGTTGTAACAAGACTAGAAATGGGTATAGTTAAACCCTAAAGAAATCACACTTTCAGAACTGTGGATTGAGGCAGTAAGTCTGTAAATCACTTAACTTAGAAAAAGAACCCCCACCCCAACCCTGGAAAAATCAGGGCAAGCAGCTGGTGTTCATGTGACACGCCTGCTGTGAGGGTTGATGGACTCTCAGTTTTGACCCCCTCAAGATCAACTTCCTACTCTTCCCTGCTGCCTGGTCTCCCACACAGCATCTTTACTCCTTTCTGAACTGATAAATCATCTAAACCTTACAATTCTTTTTTTTTAACCCAAAGATCAAAACCTATACTGTTCTTTATGGGATACAGCAGAGCAGAGTGGTGAAGAGCACAGGCTTTGGAATTGGAAAAACTTGCATTCTCGTCCTGGCCTCACCGTGGGTACATGACTTAACCACTCCATGGTTTATTTTCCTCCTCTGTAAAGTGGGATTATTGTAGGGCCTACCGCATAGAGTTTTATGAAGATGCGGAAAGCAAATGCATGGAAAGCACGTTGTTAAGGGCCAGGAAAGTCCTCCATGTCAGTTGCTGATGCTGTTATTATAGTCCAGGAATGAAGCAATATTTGACTTGTTTTCAAAAAGGGCAAGTTGATGATTTTGTCAAATTTGTGTAGCAATATAACTGACATTTATTAAGTACTTATGTGCTAGGCATTGTGTTACACATAATCTGTGGAATTACTCCATGAAGGTTTAGATCCACTAACTTGCCCAGAGTCGCATAACTTGTAAAAGAGCCAGGATTTCAATCCAAGTCTTTTTGACTCCAGAACCCACACTCCAACTGCCACACATCTGCCTTCTAGGATTAGATGCTCACAGCAGCAATAGAGATTGTAAAACATTGGGTAGTTCTGTCTCACACCAAACATCTCCTCCTTTGGCTGATGAAGATTGTGAGCTGATAATATTGAGAGCCTGTGGCCTTGGAACTCCAAGGCCAGGCAAGAAAAAAAGCATTTTCTTTCCCTAATCATAAGTAGAGTAGCCCTTTCTTCTGCTTATCCTTATTTAGGCTCTGTTACTCTTAAGGGGATGAATGGCTGCCGCTTCTATGTGTCTGGTGTCCTTAACATGCTCTAAAAATTAGGCCTCTTCCAGTCTTTGTCTTTAATTTCTGGTTTTAGCTGACACCTTCATTAATGGTCTAGTGCAAGCTTTCTGTCGACTTGAAGACTGCTGTGTGAAAGTGGTTTTGCTGTCCTATCAATAATGGTCATAATTTCCCCAATACTCTCATCAGCAGTGAATTGAGTCTTGCAGCAAAGAAATGGAAACCCCAGTGCAGTGGTTTGAAAGTGATTTGTCTTGTAGACGGCGTCTTCTTTCAGTAAAATCAGGTCAGTGCGGCACTGCTGGGTCAGATGTAAGTCTGAGACAAATTAGTTGGAGGAAATTGATCATTTGAACCTTAGGTTATTTTTAGCTACAGTAGCTTTTTAATATCTTTTTTCTTTATATTTGTTTTAATAAACTTTAATCATCATCATCATTCGCCAAATTAAATGTCTTCTCAGTTTCAGCCAAGCCTTAGATAGAGGAAAGAGTGCCATCTACTCAGCCCACAGAAGCGGCCTTCCCTTCACAGTTTTGGGGCTTGCTTCCATGATGGCACTGTTGTTGTTTAAACACTGAAGCCCACTCCTCCTCATCTTCTGGCCGGCCCCCTTGCTGGGCTTTGTTTATTGCACCGACTGGCCCCTTGACCAGTCTGTTCTTCATTGCTATTGAAAGTTAATGGGGGCAAAATTGCATTCCCAAACATTTGAACCTGAAGTGGCCAGGGCCGAACTTAGTTGATCTCTGGTGATCGGTTCAATTTAGTTACGATTTTTTGCCATTAGGCTGGGGCTGAATGATGGTGATTTGGTTGAGGCCAAATGTCTGAAGAAAATTGGCTCTCTGATAAGAGTGCTGTTATCAGAGGGGGCTACCTTCTCATTTACATTTAGATGAGTATTGATTATTTATTTACTCAGAGAAGTGAGATTCGTTTCCAATCTTATCTTTCTCGTCTCTGCTTGTCAGCAGAAAGAGAGATAGAGCTCCTGACATCAAGCCAAGATAACAGCACTTTGTAGCAAAGATAAAAGTTGGAATGGGCCTTTTTCTAGTGTTGACTGAAAGGATAAGTTTTAAAAATTAGAACTGATGGGTCATGCTTTCAAAACCTTTCCTGAAGGTTTTGCAGTTTAACTAGGCAGGAGAATTGGTTTATTGGAACAGCCTTGGTCTTTCTTCTTTTGTAATAGGAATTGTATTTAATTTGATTATATTCAGCTGTTTCACAGAGAGCAAATGGTGTATTGGCTCAGAAGAGGCTAAAGTGTGACCTTATTGTCATGTCAGCTTGTTCCTTTTTTATTATTTAAATTCCAAACTATCCAATCTGAGCCTCAGAGGGGGTATAAGCTACAGCGGTTGTCACTTGAATATAGTTCAGTGCTTATATTAAGATCAAGCAGAAAATGATTATAGTTGCCTCTGGAGGAAGAGTTATAAGCGATGGAGCTGACACTAAATGCAGACATTTTAGCATAGCTGATGTTGGGTCCGAGCTCTGATACGGACGGCATCAGCGTAGTGGCTTTGGCTCAGTGAGGAACGCAGATTCAGTCAGCCCCTGCCATAGAGTAGTCAAGGCTTGGCACGATCCTCCTGGAATGGGTCTTCCTGCCATAAGTCTCCAGCCCATTGTCAGCAGTGCCACCAGAAGAATCTCACCAAAATATAAAGCTGATTGTGTCACTTTCCTGCTCTGTTAGCACCTGTTGCATATGAGAGAAAATCCAAATCTTGACCAACAATCTGGGCCAAGCTTCTCAGCCTCAGCTCCTCCTTGAACAAGCTTGCTTTTAAGCTATAGGCAGCATTTAAGATTAGAGACTTGCTCGGCAGCCAGGATTCACAGTTCCTCAGTCTCTCAGGTCCTACAAATATTGACTAAAAATGACAAGTAAATGTCAGAACCCACAGAACAAACCATGATCGCACAGATATCAAAGGACATGTGATGCTACACTACCATCCAAACATCCATCTAATGAATATTTTTTGAGCATCAACAATGCACCAAGCACAGAGATTACTCATCCCTGCCTCGAGGCTGGGGGAGGCAGCGAGGCAGCTTGAGCTGGTAAATTATAGAAGAGCCCAATGAGTGTTCCTACCAAGGTAGGAACAAGGCGCTGTGTGGGAGCACAGAGAAGGGGACAGGTAGCTCCACCCTCCCCTTCCCTGAGGTGGAAACATCTGAACCAGGTTGTCTTGAAGCAGGACTCAGAGCTAGGTGAAGAAGAGGGAAGAGGGAATGGCACGTGCAGAAGCCAGGAGGCACTGAGGAACCCACGTGGACCATGGAAGGTCATTGTGGAAGAAGCCAAGGCTGTGTGGGGTGGACATGTGAGCTCAGACCCAGCGTCACGTGTCCTTTGATATCTGTGCTGCCGTGGTTTGTTCTGTGGGTTCTGACATTTACTCGTCATTTTTAGACTATATTTGTAGGACCTGAGAGACTAGGGAACTGTAGGAATCCTGGCTGCTGAGCAAGTCTCTAATCTTAAATGCCGTCTGCAGCTTAAAAGCAAGCTTGTTTAAATAGATATGCACCCTGCACCCCTACTTTGGACACACGAGGGAAAGAGCACAGACTTTCGCTTTGATGCCAGCATTCCCTGCCCCGGTGTGCCCTCCCTGGTAAGGCTGTGAGCCTGTTGTGACTCATAGGCTAGGGATCTACCTAAACCTTATTGCAGTGGTTTCTGTTTCAGTCTGTATTTGCAATAATAGCAGCTCTCATTGACCGAGCACTTTGCTAAGGGAAGTCCTGCATTGTCTCATTTAATCCTCACAGCAACCTTCTGAGGGAAGCTCTGTTATCCCTATTTTACAGATGAGTTTAAATTCCTTCCCAAGGATGCATAGCTGGCAGCGTTACTCCCTCTCATGGCACAAACACCAGGGATGTTCTGCTCAAGTCTAGCCTTTCCTCTTACTGCTCACACTTAGCTTTTTTCTGGCTACCAGAAGCTCTTTCAGATTAAAGCAGCTCTTTAAATTGGTGAATGGAAAACAGTTGACATGAAGACATAACCATGAAAGTGTTCAGCTTTTGACTGTCATTTTTCCTTGCACAGGTGATTCTCAAACTTGTTCTTATGGTCAGCAATGATGATGATAGGTTAATTCACTTATATCCTACCTTGATCCCAAAAATATTTGGAATTATTATAATAGATTTTAAAATACACAAACCACTGAGTGCAGTGGTGTGTACCTGTGGTCCCAGCTCCTCAGGAGGCTGATATGGGAGGGTTGCTTGAGTCCAGGATTTCTGGGCTACAGCCTAGATCAGCGCTATGCTGATCAGATGTCCACACTAAGTTCAGCATCAGTATGGTGAGCTCCCGGGAGTGGGTAACCACCAGGTTGCCTAAGGAGGGGTAAACCGGCCCATGTTGGAAACGTGCAGGTCAAAACGCCTGTGCTGATCGGTAATGGGATCGCACCTGTGAACAGCCACTGCACTCCAGCCTGGGCAATATAGCGAGACCCCACCTCTTAAAAAAATATACATACGAGGCTGGGCACAGTGGCTCACGCCTGTAATCCTAGCACTTTGGGAGGCCGAGACAGGTGGATCACAAGGTCAGGAGATCGAGACCATCCTGGCTAACATGGTGAAACCCCGTCTCTACTAAAAAATACAAAAAAATTAGCCGGGCATGGTGGCGGGCGCCTGTAGTCCCAGCTACTTGGGAGGCTGAGGCAGGAGAATAGCGTGAACCCGGGAGGCGGAGCTTGCAGTGAGCCGAGATTGCGCCACTGCACTCCAACCTGGGCGACAGAGCAAGACTCCATCTCAAAAGAAACAAAAAAAAAATATGTATACATACGAACCAATAAACTACGTGAGAGGAAAAGAAACATAAAGATTAAACGACAAGTTTACGAGTCCCCAGGAGGAGGAGCTGGCAGAGAAATGCATGTCCAGGTCATCATAGTCACACGAACATTTAGTGCTGAGCTTCCTGATGGGCAAAGGAGAAAGGGACATGATAGGAGCTAGTTACAAGATTTATGTTAAACTTTCTAAAGATACAAAAGCAAGCCCTTTGCTCCAGGGAAGTACAGCTTTTCCTGATACCAGGATCTGAAAGAAGTTTCTCCCACGGGTCTCTAGAAAGAAGACACAGAGCAATGGAGGCGACAGTGTGTCTTCCCTCTCTTCGGACTTTGGCAGGCACTTGCTTTCCATTGGATTTCAGCTTTCAGCTAGCTAGCAGCTGTTAAAGAATTGCATGCTAAAACCTTTTATGTTTCAGTTAGGGGTTAAAGGGATCGAGGAAGCTGCTCTGAGCATGTAGCCACCAACCAACAGATTCTGCAGATTTTCTTTGAAACTTATGTGCTGAGATGTTTGCCTCGGGTTTACAAAATCCCATAAAAATCCTGCCTGGGTATTATAACTTGGAACCCTCCCAAAGTGCCCAAAGCAATATTTTGTTCCTAGGCCATTCGGTGACATGGTATTACTGCAATAAATACATCATTGGAATGCCCAAGCAGGTTTTCCCGTCGCTGCAGAGTAACTGCTTCCCAGAATCTTCCTTTTGTGTTCCTCTCTGCTGTGAAATGGAGGGTATGCGGCTTCATGCGCAGCTGTGACTTTTTAAATCCTCTTTCCAAAGTGTGGATGTTGCCTTGAGAACCTTGTCCTGTTCAGTGTGAAAGAGCCCTTTATATTTTATATAATCATTTCTTTGGCAAAAAGTATATTCATAGAAATTGACCTCACAGTTTGTCTTTTTGAAATGGCTTTTGGATGCTATTTTTATTTTCCTCCCATGTCAGCCTCCTAAAAATTAAACAAGTATTTGATGGAGACTGTACTTTGATATAGGTCTGGGTTATCATAATCTTCACTGTCAACAGGCATTTATTAAGAACTTTGTGTGAGTGAGATGCTGTGGTTCATAATGCAATATAGAGAGTGCAGGCCTGGGCAGTCCTAGGTATGAATTCTCTCACTTCTACTAGTTCCTGAGGGACACTGAGCAAGTTATTTAACCTCTATAAATCACAGTTTCTCCTCTCTTAAGTGGGTTTATAAACTCTTTACATCTTAGGGTGACCAAAGAGTGAATGAGATGATCTGTACATAAAAGACCTAGCACAGCACTTGTCACATAGTAGGGCCTGTGATGGTGGTAGTTAGATTGTCCATGCTGTTAGGATCACTTAGTATTATTACAGTCTGATGATGATGATGATGATGATGATGATGATGATGATGATGGTGATGATGATAGCTGATACTTAAATCACACTATTAATGCATTGGACATTGTTCCAACTGCCTTACAACTATTAGTTCGTTGAAACTTTAGACAATCCTGTGAGGTAGGTGCTATTATTATCCCCTGTTTTATAAAGAAGAAAACTGAGAGGTTAAGTTGGCCCAAAGTCATACAGCAAAATTGCTTGGCCAGGACTTAGGCCAAGGCAATTGGGCCCCAAGTTTATGCCCTTAACCACCTGGCTATATTGCCTCTCGTATATACCCTGCCTCTCATTACACAGTAAGACCTGAAATTATCATCCTGGCCTTTTTGGAGGGAAAATGTGTAAAATACTATAATCTTTCTCTGTGAAATATCCACTATTCAGGTGAGGATTATGGAGAGAAATGCAGATTTATAAAAAGCAGTTTTCCATTTGGATTTAGATATCGAGTTTCATATGCAGCTTAACCACCCTGCCTTCCCCCAGGTTGTTACCCATTGGTCCCTTGCTAAGTTCAGAAGTGGGTTTCCAAGTTGTTCTTCAGCTTTGATGGATGAGCAGGGAGTACCCAGGGCAGAAAACACACGGATTTTCAGTTACTGACTAAACTGAGCGTAGAATATTAGCAGTATTCCTAAGGAAAGATGGATGGGCCTTCCTGGATGGATAGAAAGACAAGGTGATCATGTCTGGTCATGTCTTCGTAAGAGGGAATGGTACTACCATGGACTCAGAAGGCAGCCAGAGCATGAAATACTTGGTATGTGTGGGTTTGTTGGAATAAATAGTTTCAGATCATTTTCATTTTGAATTTATAGAAGTTAAGTGATTCAGATTCTAGATGAATCCACAAATCTACAGAAACCTTTATTTATGGTATAAACTATGGCCTTTTTATAATTGGCCAGTAATTTGTAGTTTGCAGGAGGAAGGAGGGTTCAAGGCAGACTAGCTTTAGAGCCAGAAGACCCCCATGGGTTTCATTTTTCCCCCTTCCTACTTTTTACCTTTGTGATCTTGGGCAAGTTACTTCACCAGCATCCCAATCTGTAAACTGGGGCTAATATATCTGCCTCTGGGGGTTACTGTGAGGATTCAATAAGGTAAGGTATATAGCATGCTTGGCACATAATAAGCATGTATTAAAGTCATCAACATGCTAGGCTTCATAGGACAAAGTCCAAGAAGCTACTTTCAGAAAACTAATTTTAATAGAAATATCTGCAAGATCCAAGAAATAAAATGAATGTCAGATGATGGCATTTATGGCTTTGAGAGTGGGGCAGGGAGTTGTCTTCAGGGATAAGGGATCCTTCCTGGTACTCCCTGACTCCCCTGTTTTCCCTGATCCACGTTTCCCAGGCAGCTGCAAAGACTGGTAGGAAAAAATGTGCAAAGGAGACCGGCCTGAAATTCCTCCTGATGCAGCCAGGCCTTAGTTCCCAGTAATCAGGAAAGTGGTAGCTTATATATAATCCAGCTGTCAGGTAGCCTGACAGCTTGAGAAGCCCGACAGTCTGTGCACTGCTCTCAGAGTACACATGCCAGGGTGCACGGTTGCTTCACATGAAAATATGTCTACATAAACAGATCGTGTCTGCTTTTGATTAAATTACTGCATGTGAATGACCCATTGGAGATGCCACAATGTGTGCTAATTATAGTAGCCTCAAAAAGATGTCATAGTAAGAAATTGGAGAACTTTTAAGTTTATCTGGTGTTTTTAAATTACAAAAGTGGCCTTCATTTATTATAGCAAATTTGAAAAATACAAAAAAACACAAAGCAAAAATAAAAACAATTATTAATTCCACTATCAATTATAACTACTATTCACATTTTAGGAATAACCTCCTAGTCTTTTTTCCTCTATTCCTTTACATATTTTTTGCTTAGATTTACCTTTTTAAAATTCATACATAATGTTTATATATATCTGTGGAGTACACGTGATATTTTGTTACATTCATAGAATGTGTAATGATCAAGTCAGGGTATTTGGGTACCACCTGGGGTATTTATCATTTCTATACACTGGGAACATTTCATGTCCACTATTCTAGCTTGTTTTGAAATATATAGTACATTGTTGGTAACTATAGTCACTCCACTCTGCTATTATATTTTAAAAATTATAATTTGTATTTTTATAATTATAATTTAAAATGTGCTGTAATTTGCTGCTTTCATAAAGTAGCATATTATAAACATGTTTTATAAAATTAAATATTTTTGTAGCATCACATTTAATATTTTTATGGTATTTCATAATATTTTATTTAATCAGTCCCCGTATTAGACCTAGGTTGTTCCTAAATTTGGGCTATTATTTTTAAAAATTTTTTTGGAGATAGGTTCTAGTGCAGTGGCACAGTCATAGCTCATTGCAGCCTCAAACCCCTGGGCTCAGGAGATCCACCTCAGCCTCCCCAGTAGCTGGGACTACAGGCATGCACCACCACACCCAGCTAATTTAAAAAAATTTTTTTGTAGAGATGAAGGCTCACTGTGTTTCCCAGGCTGGCCTCAAACTCCTGGCCTCAAGTGATCCTCCTGCCTTGGCTCCCCCAAAGCGCTGGGATAACAGATGTGAGCCACCATACTCAGCCTGGGAAATGAATTATTACAGCTAAACTTTATACCCAGATTTCACTGTAAATTTATAGAAGTGGATGTCAGTTGCTTCTGCACACTGTGTTGCTGGGAGATTTTGGAGATAGGAACAGTCAGAGATTGTTTAATAGGCCATTATCTTAGAAAGCAGCCCTCCAGGTTCAGGGGTAACTCCCTTTCCTCTGCTAGACTAAAGGGGCCCACAGCTGTTTTCTTAAGGTTCAGCTTTCTGAGATTCCTTCTACCCAGTATTACGTGCCAGCATCCACTGATCAATACCAGATGCACCTATTAATTGAAAATTGTTGGCATGGACAGGTGATAGGTAGTAGAGACTACAAGAATTACCTGCATTTCCTTCCATACTTTGATTTACTTAACACTTTTTTTTTCCCAAGAGACACAGGGATTCTCTCTGTTGCCCAGGCTGGAGTACAGTGGCATGATCATAGCTCACTGGAGCCTCCAGCTCCTGGGCTCAAGCAATCCCCCCGCCTCAGCCTCCCGAGTAGCTGGGACTACAGGTGCGCACCACCATGCCTGGCTAATTTAAATTTTTATTGTTGTTGTTGTTACTGTGTGGCCCAGGCTGGTCTCGAACTCCTGGGTTCAATTGGTCCCCCCGAAGTGCTGGGATTTGGGAGAATCGCTAAGGGGGCTACCATGCCTGGCCTTATTTAACACTTTTGAAATTAGAATTTTAAAAAAAAATGAATTTACTACCAATAATTTTAAAACACAATACCTTTTTGATATAAATATAGTGTATTAGAGTTTAAAAGAACTGTGTAGGCTTCTGAGCATATGCTTAAATAGTTGTATATGTTTTAAGCATTTGTTTACTTACAAAGGTTTAAAAGCTTTATTTAAGTAGTGTAAAAAGGACTGAATGTATGTAAGAATTCAGAATAGGCAGAAGTGCTAATGAAATACCAGTTAGAGAAAAGATCAAATATACCCTGAAACTGAAATGAATCTCTACAGTGCTACAGCTGAACATAGAACATGGGAAGGAGAATGACTGGAAATGAGTGAAATGCCTCATGCTGATGATAGAGAAGCACTAGATGTGATTAATCCACAAGTTGACAGCAGCTGAAGAACATATCTAAAAATACGTGTTCCGCCTGGGAGCCCTGCACGGCCTCTGATGCTTCCCTCAGCTCTCTCACCTCTCCTTCTGTCTGACCAAACACGCCTTTCAGAGTCAAAATAATAAGACAGTTTCTTATGCCTCTAATCCTTTCAATAACCATTAACAGATCACAGGAGCAGTCTTTTGAATCTGATCATTGGACCCGTTATGTGTTATCTGAGAAGAACAAGATTGTCATTTGGGTTGACAAAGAAATACATGAATAAATGTATAAAATGCTGCAGTGTTTTATTAAGGTCTGCCAGAAGAACCCTCTATGTGATGCAGGGTAGCTAGTATTCCTGGCTTCCAGTACTACTGAACCTGTGTCTCGTGTTTTCATAAATGTTTCAACAAAAATGTGAATCGGTAGCCACTGTCTTTTCATCATCGTAACTCAGAAATCTGAGATTTTTTTAATTTAAAAACTTTTTCCACATATGAATGCCAGGTCATCTGAGCTTTATTTATTTAAGCTTACCTGTTTACAATTTGTTTTGAATTTTTTGGACTGTTATTATATTAGAGTTCTACACATATCTTATTCCTGATTGTAATTTATTGTTACATAATTATTAATAAATACCTTTGCCTCCTGTGAGGCAGGTACATTTCTAATAAGCATTTTTCCTACATCACCTCTGATCCTTACAACAATCTTTCAAGGTATAACTATTCCTACATTACATATTAGGAAACGGAGGTTCAGAGAGGGTAGGTGACCTGCTCATATCTGAGAAGTGGCGTAGTCACTCTGACTCAAAGGCCATTTACCTCTTACTTGGTTTCGGGGAGAACTGAGTGGCAACAGACTTGATAATAGAACAGTGAAGAATGTGAAGCCTTATGCAAAAGAAACCCCAAACTTCCATCCTGGATAGCTAGACCCTCAAGACAGACTTTAACACTTTACTAAGGCTTTATCAGCTTTTCACCAGTATGTGGTGTTTTTTAAATGTTAAATTCGCTGTTTCAGACTTCCTCCCCTCCTCCTGCCCCTTTGATCTTCCAGGCCCTCAGTACCGCCTGGAGAAGCAGAGCGAGCCCAATGTCGCCGTTGACCTGGACAGCACTTTGGAGAGCCAGAGCGCATGGGAGTTCTGCCTGGTCCGCGAGAACAGTACGTTGGCCGCCTCGCTCCATGCCCGCTTTGTCCGTTGCAAACTTGCTTAGAAGTCATGTGTTTGGAAACGCTCACTGGTCTGGTTTCCCTAGGCAGATTTGAAGTGACTGTTTTCCAAGGCAGACTGCAGTCTTCGTGCCAAAGTATATCCCAAAGTGAAATGATTGATTTTGTGCTTTTTGGTAGAGAGGCTGCATCCTGTTTAGCACTCTGTGATTAATATTTTCCTGTTAAACTGTCTTCCTAAGTTGGGAGCATCCCTGGAAACAGCTTAGAAGCATGAGGCCTTTTCTGAAGTAAAGGCTATTTTGTATATAAAGCAGCTGGCCCTGTCAGTATCACTATTCAGACATCAGGTTTTAGAAAATTTTAACCATTTGCATATTCTAGCAGGAGGCAGTGTAGTGATTCCTTATGCTATGTTGAGAACTTCAAAACTTGTTAACTTTGTTCATTCTCTCTTCAGAGTTTCCAAATTGTGCATTTTGCCATCCTCTCCTCCATACTCCCACTGACACAAGGGCAAGTGATGTGTGAAACTGCGCTTGCGGCAGCAGACTGTCTGTAGTCATTCCTGCTTCGAGGCTTTTACACAGGCTATTTCTTCCACCTGGAATGCTCCTTCCCCCATTCTGGTTAATAACTCTTTCTCATTCTTTGTCTCAGTTTAAATGTCCTGTCTTCAGAAAGGCCACCAGGATCTTCCTGTCCCCCATTGCTTAAACCTGATCCACCTCTCGTTTGAGTCCCTCGTTATATTCTGCCATACCGCATACTACTTTTTCTCCGTCGCGTGTGTTTCTATCTATTCATTTATTTATTATTTTTTAGAGATGGAGTCTTGCTGCATTGGCCAGGCTGGTCTCAAACTCTTTTTTTTTTGAGACGGAGTCTCGCTCTGTCACCCAGGCTGGAGTGCAGTGGTGCAATCTCAGCTCACTGCAACCTCCACCTCCCAGGTTCAAGCGATTCTCCTGCCTCAGCCTCCCGAGTAGCTGGGACTATAGGCACATGCTGCCATGTCCGGCTAATTTTTTGTATTTTTAGTAGAGACTGGGTTTCACCGTTTCTATGGTCTCTATCTCCTGACGTGGTGATCCGCCCGCCTCAGCCTCCCAAAGTGCTGGGATTACAGGCGTGAGCCACCGCGCCCGGCGGTTCAAACTCTTGGTCTCAAGCAATCCTTCTACCTTGGCTTCCCAAAATGTTGGGATTATAGATGTGAGCCACTGCAGCCAGCCTGTATTTAGAATTACATACTTTTCTCAGTGATTGTTTAATATCTCTCTTCCCTGCTAGATTATCAGGTCTGTGAGGATGACCCTGGCCCATACCAAGTTGCCCTTCATATAGATCTGCTGTAGACTATGTGCTACAGGATCTCAGTAAATATAGATTGAATGAGTGAATGAATGGTAGATCTTTACTCATGCCACTGACCCTCTAAACAAGATCAGGCTGCTACTCTTTGGATGTTTTTGGTTTTGGTTTTGGTTTGGTTTTGGGGTTTTTTTGAGACAGAGTCTTGCTCTGTCACCCAGGCTGGAGTTCGGTAGTGTGATCTAGGCTCACTGCAACCTACACTTTCTGGGTTCAAGCAATTCTCATGTGTCAGCCTCCCAAGTAACTGGGATTACAGGCATGCACCACCACCCCTGGCTAATTTTTATTTTTATTTTTATTTTTTATTTTTAGTAGAGGTGGAGTTTTGCTATGTTGGCCAGACTGCTCTTGAACTCCTGGCCTCAAGTGATCCATCCATCTTGGCCTCCCAAAGTGCTGGGATTACAGGTGTGAACCACCACACCGGCCTAGGATGCTACTCTTTGACTAGGGCCCCAGACAGCCTCTTCCGCCGAGCATGCACAAAATTCACCAGGAAGGTGAAATATGCTTTTGGCATTTGGTAGCAAATTCTCAAAGGCAGAAGGTTACTGTCCCCACAGTCTGCAACCAGTTATAAGTACCTTTTGTGAATACACATAGAAATAAAAATCACTGATTCCCAAATGGTCCAAAAAATCAAATGAGTAGTAAACATTTGTGAAAATATTTATCCTTATCAACATTGTAAAATACAAACATTTTAGAGCCACATATAAAATAAGCCAGGTGTTTCAAAGGGAGTCCTCATTGCTGGAGAGAATATGGAGAAATAGGCATACTCAAACATTGGGGTCTGTAGTATAACAGTATAATATAGCTGTAAATATCGAAAGACCTAAAAATGTTTTCTCCAGTAAATCTGTTTTTGGAAATTATCTTAAGGAGGCTGGGCAGGGTGGCTCTTGCCTGTAATCCCAGCACTTTGGGAGGCTGAGGTGAGTGGTTTACCTGAGGTCAGGAGTTCGAGACCAGCCTGGCCAACATGGCAAACCCCCGTCTCTACCAAAAATACAAAAAAAAAAAAAAAAAAAAAAAAAAAAGCCAAGCGTGGTGGCGGGTGCCTATAATCCCAGCTACTCGGGAGGCTGAGGCACGAGAATCGCTTGGGCCTGAGAGGCAGAGGTTGCAGTGAGCTCAGATCGTGCCACTGCACTCCAGCCTGGGTGACAGAGTGAGATTCCGTCTCAAAAAAAAAAGAAAGAAAGAAAAAAGAAATTATCTTAAAGAGAAAAGGATCTAAAATGCAAGAAAGATTTATGTACAGTGTTTTAACAACATTATTTCTAATATTTAACATTGGAAGAGTAGTCAGATAACTTATATCCCTATATTGGAAAATTATGCAGGGTTTTACCTTTCTAGTAAAGGCAGACTAAGTAATTTGAACCAACTCTTCCACTGAAGGTAACTTAAAAAGCTGATTAAACAAATGGTCATCCTAAAGTCATCAAAGAGCACAAGATAGAAAAGAATCAATGGCCATGTCTGGGAAAAGGTTGAAACAAAAGAGATCAACGCCTACGAGCGCTTTTGCCCGGACATTATCTGCCTGTCTGGCAGTGCAGCCTAAAGGTTGAGCTGGGTTGTGGATAGCCTTTAGAGGAAAGGAGACAAAAGAAGTCCAGGGTTTGCCAGGGGTAGAAAGCCCAAAAGGAGGTTAAATAGAAAACATGTAGTAAGATAATAGATTTAAACCCAGATATATCAGTAAATGAACTAAAGGCTTTAGTAGTAGTAGTTGTTGTCATCTGTAAGATGGTTAGGATGGGTTTTTCTCAAATACCTAAAACAAGGGTACTGAAAGTTTGAAGTAAAAGGATGGAGAAAGATGTTCTATGCAAATAGCAACTGAAATCTGGTGTAGCCATATTAACATGAGGCAGAATACGTTTTTAGATATAAAAACCATTACTTCATAATGATGAAAGGTTCAGTTTACTTGGAAGATTTAACAGTTCTAAACCTATATGCTCAAAATATATAATACAAAACTGAAGAATTACTAAGAAAAATATACAGGTCTCCAATCATGGAGGGAGGTTTTAACTCTCAGTAATTGAAACAGCAAATACATTTTTTAAAAATGTATAATAGAGAAAACTTAAAACAACAGTTAAACTTAACCTCATGGACAGGCGGTACAGAGAATATTTTACCCTACAACTGCAGATACGTATTTCTTGCAATCACACATGAACATTTACCAATATTGACCATATGCTAAGCAATAAAGTAAATCTTACATATCAAAAGATTGAAATCATATGTGATACATCCTCTGATCACAGTGAAATTAGGCTAGGAAAAAACAAGACAACTAGAAGATCTGCATATGTTTGGAAATTGAGAAACAGGTTTCTGAACCCATGGTTTAATAAAGAAATAATAATAGAAATTAGAAAGTATTTTGACTGAAAGATAATGAAAATTTGACATTAAAATTTGAGGATATAACTAAAATGGTATTTGAAGGAAGTTTTACAGCCCTCTAATTCAAATATCACAAAAGAAGAAAGGCTGAGCAGGGCACGGTGGCTCACGCCTGTAATCCCAGCACTTTGGGAGGCCGAGCCGGTGGATCACCTGAGGTCAGGAGTTCGAGACCAGCCTGGCCAAAATGGTGAAACCCCATCTCTACTAAAAATTTAAAAATTAGCCAGGCATGGTGGTAAGTGCCTGTAATCCCAGCTGCTAGGGGGGCTGAGGCAGGGGGATCGCTTGAACCTGGGAGGTGGAGGTTGCAGTGAGCTGAGATCATGCCACTACACTCCAGCCTGGGCAACAGAGTGAGACTCTGTCTCAAACAGAAAAAAAAAAAAGAAGAAGAAAGGCTGAATAGTAATGAGCTAAGCATTCAGCTCAAGAAATTGAAAAATAGAAAAACCTGAAACGAATAAAAGAAGCAATAAAGAGAAGAATAGAAATTAATGAAATAGAAATTCAGAAACATCAGAATCAAGAGTTGGTTCTTTGAAAAGGCCAACAAAATCGATACACTTCCAATGAAATGGACAAAAACAAGGAAGAGAAACACAGATAGTAGTAGGAATGAAAAGGAGGTACACTGTAGATCCTGTCATTAAACATTAAGATCCTGTCTTGTAAATAAATACAAGATTATTTTGAAAAAAATTATACCAAAAATATTAAAATTATAGATGAACAAATTTATAGAAAAAGACAACAAAATTGACACAGGAAGAAATAGAAAACCTGAATATTCTCATAACTATTTTGAAAAGCTAATTAGTAATTAGGAACCTTCCTACAAAGAAAATCCAAACCCACATGACTTCACTGGCTAGTTTCTACCAAAAACTTAAGAAAAAAATAACTCCAATCCTATATCCACTGTTGCAGAGAATAGAAAAAGGTTATAACCTCCAATTTGTTTTAAGAGGCTATCATAATCTTGGTACCAAACTCAGTAAAGACCATACAAGACAGAAAATTTTCAGGCCAGTTTGAAAAATATAGATGCAAAAATCCTAAACAAAATATTAATAAAGTGAATCTAACATTATGTTGAAAGAACAATATAACATTACGAAGTTGGGTTTATTCTAGCAGTGCACATTTGGTTTAACTGTGATGTAATGTTAAGGGAAAAAATGTCAAGACAAATAGATGAATCCCAACTATGTAAAAACAAACAAAAAGTAAAACTGGAAAGAAAATGTTAATAGTGGTTGTCTCTGGTTGACAAGATTCTGGGTAATTCATTTTCCTTCGTGTTTATATTTGTTCGTTCCAGAGTTTCTAAGGTGAGCATGCATGACTTTCTAAGAAGGAAAAGCAAACAAGAAATAAGGGCAAGTCTACATAGATAAAGATCGTATAGTGAGACAATGTCTTAGTGTAACAATCCTTGTGACATTTGAAATTTCATACCATATCTAGTACCATACCATAGTGAGCCAAAGGAAAAGTTACACCAATACACTCCTATGTGACTTGCTTATCGGAATTTTTACCCCGTAGAAATGAACAATCCCTCCCTCCGCCCCTGTCATTTTTTTTCATTCTTTAAAGTCTGTCATCTTAAACATACTTGAGGAACTAATTCATAGGTAGGAACTTTATAGTGGATTCTGTTTCAAAATGTTGATTCCTTGTTATACAAATAAAGTGGTGTTTATTAGAATCTTGGTAAATTTCTTGGATATGTAATACTTATACATGTAAAAAAAATTTCAGGTAACTAAAGTGTCTGTAGTGAAAATGAAGTCTCTCTTCTTCCATCCCCTAATTCCCCTTCCAGAGACAATAATTGTTCCTGGTTTCTTCCATATCTTTCCAGGGATCATCTATGTATATGCAAGCACATTTTGTATATGCATGTATGTATCATAGGTGTGTGTACACACAAGCACACTCATACCTATACACACACATTTGTATTCCTCCCTTTTTTAAAAACACAAATGGGGGCCGGCGTGATGGCTCATGCCTGTAATCCCAGCACTTTGGGAGGCCAAGGTGGGTGGATCACGAGGTCAGGAGATCGAGACCATCCTGGCTAACACGGTGAAACCCCATCTCTACTAAAAATACAAAAAAAAAAAAAAAGCCAGGGATGGTGGCAGGCACCTGTAGTCCCAGCTACTCGGGAGGCTGAGGCAGGAGAATGGCGTGAACCCGGGAGGCAGAGCTTGCAGTGAGCCAAGATCACGCCACTGCACTCCATCCTGGGTGACAGAGTGAGACTCCAGCCTGGGCCACAGAGCGAGACTCCATCTCAAAAAATAAAAATAAAAACACAAATGATAACAAACATTAGTGTTCTGCATTTTTATCATTTTAACAGTATATTATAGAGATTCTTCCACATTAATACTCATATTGTTCCACATATAAATTCACCAATTTCTTTTTAACTACTATGCAGTATTCCACAGTATATTGTGCTTTCAAATTAATTTTTTTGTTTGTTTTTGAAAGAGTCTCATTCTGTCACCCAGGCTGGAGTGCAGTGGTGAGATCACAGCTCACTGCAGCCTTGACCTCCCTGGCTCAAGCAGTTCTCCCACCTAAGCCTCCCAAGTAGCCATGATTACGGGCACACACTACCACACCTGGCTAGTTTTTTTTTAATTTTCTTTTTGTAGAGATGGTGTCTTGCTATGTTGCCCAGGCTTGCTTCTGCCTCCCATAATACTGGGATTACCGGAGTGAACCACTAAACCCAGCCACAAATTAGTTTTTCTGAAAAAAGATAAGCCCAGTTTTCTAATATTAGGAAAGAGAAGCTGTGAGGGTTGGTGAATAAAGCCTTGAAATCTGGGCTCTAGTTCCCACTCTACTTCCGAACATGAACATGGTCTTAATTCAGTTATGTGATCTCTCTGAGCCTCAGCATCCTCATCTTAAAGGATTTGCAAGATACTTCCCATCACTTTTTGACGCTCTGAGTCAAAATCACTGTGTTAATAAATGAAGCCCTACCAGCACTTACAAAGATCACAATCAATGGAATCATAACTAGTCTTTGTAAAATGGAAGTAAATTATGAAAACAATTTATTATTTTAAAGGCTTTTAAAAGGATTTTTTAAGTAGGAATTCCAACTAAGAATTACATTGTTTTCCACTAGCTGCCTATTAAGAAGGTGGATTGAGGCAAAGAAAAACATTCCAAAAGCAGAATTATTTTCATTTCTGTTACTATGTTTGATTAGAACAGCCTCCCTATCCTTAAAGCCATTGTAGATGTGGACTAAATTCTGATCATGTATTACGCAGTCCTTAAAGAGAATGTGCTGTCAATGAACTGTCTCAGTTCACATCCTGGCCTTGCCACTTACTAGCTGTGTGACCTTGGGCCATTTACTTAACCTTTCTTGGGTAGTTTATCTGCCCTCATAAGATTGATAGGATTCAGTAAGCTCTAATAATCATACAGCTCGTAGAACAGCACATAATAAGTACTCAATAAATGTTAACTGTAATTAATAAATAATGGAAAAGCAGCATTCTGTGGCTGGTAGAGCAGATGGGGCACAGGTGTCGAGGTTTGGAGTCATAGACCTGGCAGAGCCCTCGAGGAGATGTATGTTGGCTAGAAGGGGGTGACCCAGAATGGAAAGGGAAGGAGAGTGGGGAGGGGGCAGGTCTGTAAGTCTGTGTCCTAGGACCAGAGAACTTAGAAGCAGCGTACCTCCCAGCAAATATTTTTTGGTGTCCCAGAATGGATATACGCTTTATAAATAAAACCATTTGTTTGAGAAGTCTGTTTGCCATAAGGGTGGATAGAAGCCTTTCAGTTTTTCTTTCAAGGAGGAATGTGGCATAATATTTTATATCAACCACGTCAATGAATGTTTTTTGTTATTTCTTTTTTATTTATTTATTTTTCTTTCCATCATACCTAGTCCTGCAGAAAAGGGTGTTTTTAAAAATTACGTATTTGGGCCTACTATTGTAAGGCATTGTGCTAGACATTTTGCAAATGCTTTATCTTTCAATTTTCATGGCTACCCTACAAGATATTGTTCTCATTGTGAAGAGAGGTTGTGACTTGCTCGAAGTTATCCAGCCAGTAAGTGATAAGACCAAAATTTTAAGTCAGATGTCTGATTCCAGAGTCGACCCTGAGATTGTTGATAAAACAACCTGAATTTTCAGTCCTAAGAATGGCTATTACAATTGTCTTTATATGCTATGAGAGAGAAGCTTACAGATGAAGCAGATATGACAAGAGTTTCTGCCTAGGTACTGAGAGCTAACATTTGTGCTTGGATCTTGGCCTAAATAAGAAAATGACAAGCCAAAGTCCTTGAGCTTTCCAGTTTGGATTCTTGTCGGATAATCTACTACATCCTTCAGCCAAATGCCTGCTAGAAGCTGGAATCATACCAGAAGGAAGCCCAAGTACATTATGGGGAGGATGTAACATTACAAGACTTCCATTCTTGTCCAAGCTTCTATATACATCCTGGCACCAAACTGAGCCTCAATTCCCTTGTCTGCCAAATGTTGCCAGTGACCTTTCCCACCAACCATGTGGAGGTAGTCCATGCAGGTCCTTAGAAGAAAGGTGCCGCTTGAACCAACTTATTCTTTCCACAGCTTTAAGAGAGAAAGTGGAATTTCCCATCATCAGGGCCAATATAAGCCTGAAATTAAACTGGCTTTATGGAATACTAACAAAGTGTCAGACACCATCTTTCTGTTTTATCCCTGACTAGTCTGTCATTCACAGTGCTTAAAGCACAGTCATTAGAATCAGGCAGACCTTGGGTGAACCACTTGCAGCCTGTGACAGTGGACAAATTATGTCATCTCTGATTTCATGTGTAAATGGAGGTGAATGAATCTATTTCACAAGGATTTGGTGAGAATTGAATGAGATATAAGTGCTCTTATTATAACAACATTTTAGGCCATGTAGTCATCATCCTTGTTTTATAGAAGAGGAAACTGAGGGGTGAAGTGATTTGCTAATATCACATGAACAATAATGAGAGGCCTGGAAAACTGTCTTTTATTCATTAAGTCTGGTGAAAGAGCTGAATCTAATTATTGTATTTCCTAAATAGAAGGTGGTGTAGAGAGAGACTTCAGTTGCTCTGTAAACATTAATTCAGCTTCCTTTGATCTTTCCTTTTGAAGGAGATTCACAGAATGTTTAAGTTCATCCATTATTTCAGCACTTAATGAAATTCTCATTTCCTAATTTTAAGGTTATACTGAGGAAGGGCCTCAACTCACCAGGTGGGTAGTCATGCAGGAGGGTGGACTATGGGAAGGAAGAACATCCAGAGGTCTTAGTCTGAGAGCCCTCATTTACCTTCTTAATTTTCCCCCTGAGGCCCCAGGAGAGGAGGCAACTCCTAGGAGCTGCCCAGATTACCTGGCTGCCCCTCCATGGGCTCGTTACAGTTCCTACCTTTACTCCTCTCTGATCACTGATTCCCCTGAATGGATTTGCCAAGTCCCACACTAGACTGTGACCACCCCTCACACTGGAGAGGAACCCAGTCTGAGTCCCCTCTGCATCCTGGTGTCTGTGGCCAGGCCTGGCTCTTTCCCCCTGATAGAGTGAGCCTCCTGAGCCCCTCACATCTCCAGGCTTCTCACTGGACCAAGTACAAGATGGCTTTTAAGGAGAACTTGGGTTTGAATAAGCGTCTTTAAGTGTAGGGGTTTCTTTGTTGGACTACCACCACCACTACAAAATAGAAACGGAGAGAGGGAAGAAGCAGCTGTAGAAAGAGGATGAAAGTCAGCTTTATCCTGGTGTGCTTCCGACCCTCTTTGTGATGCTTATTTATAACGGGCTGATTCTTCCTCCTGCGTGTGCTCTGTGCCAGCTCTGGAGACTCCCTGGTGGTTCCATGCTGCTTCTGGAGGCTCTGCCTCCTTCAGTTACAAATTACTGATCTCCCCAATTTCTATCATGTGACTTAAGCACCTCCTTTATTATACCACAACAGCACTCTTCAAATACACAAGAAAATGTGATCATGCAAATAAACTCTTATTTACAAATGAAAATGACTTGTGATGTTCGTTTTACATATTTTAGGTTGTTATTGCTGAAAGCCAGTTAACCTGTCTGGCTTTAGCGGGGAGGTGTTCACTGTAAGGAATTTTCTGTAGGGTGAGGATTTTTATCCAAGTCGATATTGCATAATAGCTCCCTGTTTGCTGCACGCTATTAGAATTTAAATGAAACAGAAACATTATTCGCCACATACCTGTGAGTCCTTGTCTTCCTCTCTGGTTAATGTGGACTGGTTCGCACTATAAAGGCAGGATATTTGGCACCACTGTGTAACCTTGTACAAGTCCTCCTTCTTTGTGGGCCTCATTTCCCCTGCTGCAAAATGTGATGGTATTCCCTACCCTGTAAAGCGTTGTGAGGCTTAAACCATTGAAACAAGTCAGTGAGATTGTGTACAGTAAAAGCCCATAGTGAACTGCAGTGCACTATACAAGCGTTCACCATTACTGAGTGTGTCTGCCTGAGACTCAGAGGCCAACCAACTGTCACAGACACCATAGCTTGTCTGAGCATGTGTGTGGTGACCCTTTCCCTCCCTGTGATTCCTGTTTTCTTTCCCTCTAGCCCCTTAGACTTCCCACAGGCCCCTTTGGGCATTGGCCAGCACCAAGGGTAGCTGACACCTGGGGCAAAAAGCTGTGCTGACCTGTCTTGAAGCAAACTTGTGCCTTGTCCACAGCTACTTTTCAGTAATGAGTGTCTGAATTGTGCTGTGTGGGCTGAGAACTTCCACATGATTTGCATTTTTCACTCTCTTCTTTCTCTAAAAGTTCCCCCGTTTCCGTTTTATCATTAGGTAGTAATTAGTATTCAAGGGAAATTGGTCTTAATATATTAAAATTGGTTTAAGTGCATTTAGACCTGTACCACAGCCAATGTCTTATTGGAAAATGTAATTGGGGACTCTGTGTATGTAATTAATTGAATTACAATTAAGAACTTTCATTAAGCGATACACTGGTACATTAGAGCAGTAAGGAAGCATGTTTGATGAGCCACAAACCCTGTCTGGGCTCTAAGTGAGGGCATGGAGATTTGCATCCCTCTGATAGGCTCCTGGCCCCAGAATTCGCCCTGAAGGTCCTGACTAATGGTTTGGTAATGCATCAGGTGACATTTCTGCAGTGACTCTGAATGGGAGGTGGGATTCTTCCAGCGGATATGCCCTCATCCTCTGACTCTCGAGTCAGGGAAAGGGACACCTTGGTGTTGATCAGATGTTACAGTTCTTAGATATTTTGCCATGTAAATTGTCAAAAATGCCATGCTCCTGAGAAGACCCCATTACTTTTCCTGGGCTTTGAACATGGACAAAGACATATTGGAGAAAGAGGAAATAATGAGAATTCTGTCACTAATCTAACTTCCAAGCAAACCCATAATGAACCATTGGTCCAGACCCTTAAGTGGTCATGCTTCATCCTGTAAAGGGTATTGGATTCACTTTGGGCACATATTTGTTCATGCATTCCCCAAACATTGATTGAGCCCTCCTCTGGGCCAGCCACTGTGCTGAGACTTAGCCCCACGTTATAGAGCACACAATTGTGATCAGTGCTGTGAAGGGTAGAAAAGAGTGCATAGCAGGGGACCAGAGCAGGTGAGAAGAATGAGAGGCTTGAGTAAGAAGAAAAAGGAGTTAGTCCAATAATGAGTAAGAGAAGAATGTTCCAGGCCAAGGGACTGCTCATCTGAAGGCTTTGAGATGAGAAGGAGCTTGGGGTGTTTAGGAATGAATAAATGGAATGGAATGAGGGAGAGTGTGCTGAAAGATGAGACTGAGGGATAGCAAGGGTCTAAGATGCAGAGCCTCGTAGGCCCCGCTTCCATGATCTGCTCTTTTTCGAAATTCTACAAACCTGAAACTGTTTCTTTCTGACTACCTCATAAAACAAGATTACCTTGATTTATTGAAGGGGGTCTGAAATCTCCATGTGGAAAGTCCTCCAGCCTGGCTGGCTCTGGCTCCAAGAGTTTAATCAATTAAGCACTGACAGCAAAGATCCCTACCCCGGTGGTAGCATGGCAGATTCTAGTGAAGGGTATATCCTACTGCGTGATCCCGATGGCTTTAAAGAGATTACTGCAGAGCGGTGGGCAGGCGGGGGGCATGAACGTGTGTGTGTGTTTTAGTATATCACCTATTGATTGTTTTTTAGAGACCAGCAAAAATAACTAGTAGCCAAAGGGAAGTGTTTAATAGAAGAGAAGTTTTGGGCTTATGGGGCTTTGGGGACTTAAAAGGCCTCTGGAAAAAAAAATGTGATGGATGCAGAGCGCTAAGGAAGAGTTTTCTCTGTGACTCACTTATGCATCCAGCTTTAAGTCTTACCGAGGGAGTGGAGAGTTAGGTTTTATCCCTGATTCCTTTGCTCTGGCATGGCCAGGCGTGACTGTGTTCTCCTTAGATACCATTACAGCCCATGGAGTTATGCATTTCCAGCCCATCTGAGGAACATTTTTACTCACAGAGGTTGTGTGGTGGTTAAAGGTGCAATTTTGGAATTAGACCTGGGTTCAGTTCCTAGCTCCAGCTTGTACTGTTTGTATGACTACTGTAGCAGAATGACATTCTGAGTCTCATTTTTCTCACCTGTAAAAAGAGGATAATATCCAACTTAAAGAGGCATTGGGAAAAATGGAATGAGATGACGTCTTTAAAATGCTGAGCATCGTGCTGGCATGCGTTAAGC
Organism: Homo sapiens; assembly: GCF_000001405.40. NCBI lineage: Eukaryota > Metazoa > Chordata > Mammalia > Primates > Hominidae > Homo > Homo sapiens. Next base: position 125,493,722 of record NC_000009.12, on the reverse strand, counting down.
ACTTAGTGTGTGTTAGCCACCGTCACAGTTGTTGAGGCAGAACCCCTGTCCTTGACAAACCTAGTCTGTTGGGGAGTCTGAATGGAAAACGAGGAAAGGTATGTTAGGTGCTGTTAGCCAAGGTAAATACAAGGGGTGGTGTACAAACCTCAGGTGCTGTTAATGGTTAACCTGTGTTGCATCACACTTCACTTGTTCCATCAGCAGCATTTATTGAACATCTACTGTGTGACCATGTGCTTTGTAGAATGGGATGTTCCTGCCCTCAGGCTCCTTGTCTGGAGGGGAGTGCAAATACTTACCATGTAAGATACTTACCAGAAGAACCTTCAATAAAGGGCTATAATGCTTTAGGAGAGAGACAGGGGAGGTTCCATTTGGACTAGACCTTGAAGCATATAAATTTTAGAGCATAAAGGACATTCTGACCAAATGGTAGAACCTGAGCAGAGTCCAGTTTAGCTGAAGCAGGGCTTCTGCGTGGGGAGTAGCAATAAGACTTCAAGATAGAGTGGAGCAGAGAAGGGTTTATGTACTTCTCATTGTCAGTCACTTGTACTATTTTACTTAATTGTGTGCCAGGTGCTGAGCTAGATACTGCTCCACTTTTGAAGAACTACTCCCACCCCCACCATTTTCTTTTCCACCATTCCGCTTCACACACTGTGCCAAAGGCAAACACTTGGTGTTCCCTGTGTAGGTCCTCATGCTTTGTGGACTTTATGTTTTTTCCTATATTCCTCCATGGATTGCCTGTCCTCCTTTCATCATCTGGGAACACTGCCATCCCCCTAAATTCCGGAAGCACTAGCACAGCACCTGGCATATGGCTGGAGCTAAGTAACTGCTAGTCTAGAAGAAACAGTCAACAGGATTGTGCTATGGACAAAGGTGAGGATATAACAGAGGCCACTGATCTTCCAGTTGAGTTCTAGAGTTGGCATAGATCTTTTTAGAGAAGAGACACTGAAGTTGCTTTAATTTATAACTAGATTGGGGCCTTTTAGACTTGGTGTAAGACTCCTTGAACCATAAAATGAATGTTAAAGTCCCATGCAGTTTGTATCTATGAGTACAAGGAATCTTCCAGTAATATACGGTGAGTTCATCTGAGCTATGATTTAATGATTAGTCCTATTTGTTTGAAATAAAGTCATATAACTCTAAGTGTCTCCCTCAGTTCCAATTAAATCACATCTATGAAAACACTTTTAAAACTATAAAACAGTATTTATAATTAGCCTTGGTCTGATCACCTGAAAGTAAACCTATTGCTTTTATGTGTGTACAGGCTTTGCAGCTGTGTTTGTTGTCAGATTATAACACATATACACAGCTATAACTGCACTTTCGTTTCCCATTATTATTGTCCAAATAGATATCAGGGGCAATGAAAACATGGCATTATAACCAATAAAGTCAGCAGTTCTCAAACTTTTTGGTTTTAGGACCTCTTTATACTCTTAAAAGTTATTGAAGACCCAAAGAGCTTTTGTTTTGTTTTGTTATTTTGAGGCGAGGTATTGCCCTGTCGCCAGGTCTCGCCCAGGATGGAGTGCAGTGGCAAATCAGCTCACTGTAGCCTCAAACTCCTGGGCTCAAGTGATCCTCTCATCTCTACCTCCCGAGCAGCTGGGACTACAGGTGTGCACCACCATGCCCAGCTGACTTTTTTTTTTTTTTTTTTAACTTTCAGTAGAGATAAAGTCTCACTATGTTGCTCAGGCTGCTCTTCAACTCCTGGCCTCAAACAGTGCTCCCGCTTTGGCTTCCCAAACTGCTGGTATTACAGGTGTGAGGCACTGCACCTGGCCAAGCTTTTGTTTATTGAGTTACATCTATTAAAAATTGATTAATTTTAAAATATTTATTGAAAAACAGTAATTTCATTAATGTTAATGACAGTTTTATGTTTTTTTGTTTTTTTTTGTTTTTTTGGTTTTTTTTGAGATAGGGTCTCTGTCACAAGGCTAGAATGCAGTAGTACAATCACAGCTCACTGCAACCTCCACCTCCTAGGCTCAAGCGATCCTCCCACCTCGGCTTCCCCAGTAGCTGGGCCTATCGGAGCACACCACTAAGCCTGGCTGCTTTTTTTTTGTATTTTTTGTAGAGATGGGGTTTTGCCATGTTGCCCAGGCTGGTTTTAAACTCCTGGACTCAAGTAATTCACCTGCCTTGGCCTCCAGAAGTGCCGGGATTACAGGGGTGAGCCACCATGCCTGGCCCAAATGACAAATTTTATGAAAAGTAACTATAATTTCTTTAAAAAAAATTTTTTTGAGACAGGGTCTCACTCTGTTACCCAGGCTAGAGTGCAGTGGCGTGATCACAGCTCACTGTAGCCTCAACCTCCTGGGCTCAAGTGATCATCCCACCTCATCCTCAGTAGCTGGGAGTACAGGCATGAGCCACCAAACCCAGCTAATTTTTGTATTTTTTGTAGAGTCAGAGTTTTGCCGTGTTGCACAGGGTGGTCTCAAACTCCTAGACTCAAGCAATCCACCCACCTCAGCCTCCCAAAGTGCTGGAATTATATTCATAAGCCACCGCACCTGGCCTAAATTTTTTTTTTTTTTTTTTGAGACGGAGTCTTGCTCTGTCGCCCAGGCTGGAGTGCAGTGGTGTAATCTCAGCTCTCACTTCAGCCTCCGCCTACTGGCTTCAAGCGATTCTCCTGCCTCAGCCTCCAGAGTAGCTGAGATTACAGGCATGCCCCGCCATCCTCAGCTAATTTTTTGTATTTTTATAGAGACGAGGTTTCACCATGTTGGCCAGGGTGGTCTCAAATTCCTGACCTCAAGTGGTCCGCCCACCTTGGCCTCCCAAAGTGCTGGGATTACAGGTGTGAGCCACTGCACCTAGCCAGGCCTAAAATTTTTAATGAGAAGAGTGTCATTATTTTATTATATTGCAAGTTTCTGTAATGTCTGGGCTTATAGAAGACACCTGGATTTTCATATCTGCCTCTGCATTCAGTCCGCTGCAATACATTGCTTTGGTTAAAGTATGTGAAGAAAATTTGGCCTGACACAGATATGTTGTTGAAAAAGGGAAGAATATTTCAATAGCCTTTTCAGATAATTGTGGGTATTAATTTTTGTTACTATACCAAAACTCAAATGATAGTTTCTATTTTGTTGTTGTTTTTTTGTTGGTTTGTTTTGTTTTGTTTTGTTTTTTGAGACAGAGTTTCGTTCTTGTTGCCCAGGCTGGAGTGCAGTGGCGCAATCTTGGTTCACTGCAACCTCTGCCTCCCGGGTGTAAGCGATTTTCCTGCCTCAGCCTCCCAAGTAGCTAAGATTACAGGCGTATGCCACCATACCCAGCTGATTTTGTATTTTTAGTAGAAACGGGGTTTCACCATGTTGGTCAGGCTGGTCTCGAACTCTTGACCTCAGGTGATCCACCCACCTCGGCCTCCCAAAATGGTGGGATTACAGGTGTGAGCTACTGCGCCCAGCCAAGCTTTTTATTCCTTTGTGCACTTGTAAGAGAATGGACATGAAAAAAGTAAGTCATGTCTTGCTGTTGTTATAAAAATAGTATTGCAATTATGGACCCTGAAGGGGACTTGGGAATTCCCCACCACCACCACCACCATAGGACCCAGTGTGCACTTTGAGAACCACTAATTTAGAATTTACAGTTATTCGACTCAACAGTCTATTACAGTGCTGTTGCTGTAGGAGTGTGGTGAGGTAGGCAGGGCAGGAGCAGCCTTTAACCACTTGAGGGAAGGGAAAGGAGAAGGCACGTGGACTCCAGAGTCCAACAGATCTGTCCCGGTTTCACCTTTCCTAACAGTGGAACCCTGGGCAAGGTTTTGACCCAGTCTTGACACTTTGAGTGACAGTTTGAATCTCTATCTCTGTACTCTTATATTCCATGTTCTTTCTAATGTTATTAATCCCCAAGGCTGCCTCCCAGCACCTTCTCTTTCTTTCTTGGCTGCAGGCCCTAGACTCCACCTGCCTCCTTCCTCAACTCCTCTCTGCTTCCCTTTGCCTGCCGTGGCCTCTTCTTGCCATTCTTCACTGAAGACAGGTGTGAGGCCTCATTCCTCAGTTCTCCTTTCCTGATTTTGTATTCCCGAGACTTAAGCTGCTTCTCCTCCTGGGTTTTCTGCTTGTCCTCCATACCTTCCTACATTGTGATTGTCATTCTTCTGGAGCCTTGTTGTCAGTCCATTTGAGCTGTGGTGCTCAAGTCACTATTAGGCCCCACCCCAAAATTTGATCTATCACAATACATCTTTGAGTTATTGCAGCTTGAGCGTTTTGACACAATACATTATGGTAATCCGTGGCTTATAGAGACATTAACCCTCCCGACTTTGACAAAATACATTGTGAAGTCTTTGAAGGCACCATAACAATTTATCTTGTCATTCACGAGGAGACCCAGTTCAGCATTAATGTAGATGAACACAGTGTGGCTTTTGTTTCATTTAATTGCTTGTGACCTTTTTATTTGCTAATTTAACAAAATACCAATGGGTTATATTTCAGTTAAATTAACAGGGAGTAGTTTTTGTTTTTTCAGTATGTTTATTTTTAAGATGTTCTGGTTCTCTCTGCTTTTCACTTTGAGTTGCTAAAAATGTCTTCTCTTGAACAGAAGTGGACTTTTTAATGTGAAGGTTGTCGTAGAGTAATTTTAATATGCAGATGGTACAATATCAAGCATCTTTCATCTTTCATGTGTGGTTGGGTTCACTCCTTTCTGGAAAGATACAAACAGTAAACGTATACATGCAAAGTCATAGAACTTTTCTGGTCCAAAAAATATGCTTTTGGAATAATGAATGCTTTGCTTCAGGTATTTGTCTTTAGATAAAGTGTCTATTGCAGGCACCATTTTTAGGCACTTCTTTCTGCCTTGTACTATTTTCTGGCCTTTGGCTAATTTGTAAGCTCCTGAAGATCAGGAACCCTGCTTTATCCTCACCAGTGTCCCCCACCGTCTAGCATACTGCTAGCATGGGCAGAGAAGTGGTTGCACCATTGCATATACAATAGACATGACCCCTCCAACAAGTGGTACTCCTGAGCCTACTTTGAGAAATGACACTGGAGGCTGGGCACGGTGGCTCACGCCTGTAATCCCAGCACTTTGGGAGGCCGAGGCGGGTGGATAACCTGAGGTCAGGAGTTCGAGACCAGCCTGGCCAACAAGGCGAAATCCCATCTCTCCTAAAAATACAAAAAATTAGCCAGGCGTCAGCTACCTGGGAGGCTGAGGCAGGAGAATTGCTTGAACCTGGGAGGTAGAGGTTGCAGTGAGCCAAGATCTCCCCATTGCACTCCAGCCTGGGCAACAAGAGCAAAACTCTGTCTCAAAAGAGAGAGAGAAAGAAAGAAATGACACTGGAACTCCAAAACCAGAAGTTGATCCCATTCATCAGATAACCTGCTTTGGAGTGAGCAGCGTGAATTGGAGGCGAGTACAGGACTATTCCTTCTGTACTCCCTCAGGTGCTGTTATCCTTCTGATCATAAACACAGACATGCCCCTTGTCAGTTGGGGCAAGGCTCAGAACTCCCCCAGGTATCGGGGGGACTTAAATCCTCAAATGGGATATGAATTTACGCTATCAGAGAGTAGAAGGTCAATGCAAGAAGCATTACTGTGTTGAGCCAGCTCCAGCTATGTAAGTCTTGTACAAAATTAATACAAGGATATTGACAAGCCTTGCTGGTTATTTCATAGCTTTAAGACCTCTACTAAAATCCTATCATCTCATCTGCCCATTATTAACATTTCAGCAAAATATAAAGTTTTCATTAATCTCCCACAGCAAATTTAGGAGTGAAAACTGGCACTTGTTTGAGCTTTTAGGACTACATTAGCTGGTGTATTAAACAAAATATGTCATTCTTCAGTAGCTTCTGTAAGAAGCTAAATCAATTTCCAGCCATATTTATGCACCACTTTATCTAAAAGCATCTGAATTATCATTTATAGCTAAGATGCTTTATTAGCAGCTGGCATTGAAATTGCTCAGTAAAAAATTATATGTCACGTTATAGTAATTTTTAAATTGGTTTTAATCCAACATCATAAAATGTAAAAATCTTAAGTGTGGGTTTTTTTTTTTTTTTTTTAGTAATTGGCATTTTAGCATAATGAGCTGTTACCTCTTTCCAAATCAAATACCTGCAATATTTAGAAAACACTAATTAGTAAAGCAAACAGAAGTTCTTGAGCTCAGAGCTAAATTGTATCTAATAATAGCATTTTCTCAGAAAAGATGACTTGAAATGATTTTTAAAACATTAAATGATTTTAATATTTTACCAAAATTCTCTGCAATTCTCATGTATAAGAAGTTCTAAAATAGAAATAAAACATGTTTTGGCAGTTATGTTTCAGTAAAAATGACTGGAAAAAGTGAATGATTATTTGAAACTCCAAATCCTAACCAGCCTCAGTATTACCCAGGAGAGAGTGGTAATCAGGATCATGGCATCTCTGTCCAAAATCATAGGTGCTGCAAAGAAAGGAAAGGGGCTACCCAGTGGCCCTTGCAGATGTGGAGTGAAGCTCTGCAGTGTCCTGGAGGTGCAATGTTGGTTAAGTCACTCTGTCTCTTTGACCCTCACCTTCCTGTGGACATGGCACCTGGTATTCGTTCAGTACATGTTTATTGAGCTCTGCTTTATCCTCTGAGTGGTAGCACTGGCAGTGTCTGAGTTGCAGTGGTGAGAAAGCAGTCCCTGTGTTCTTGGGGTTATAGTCTAATGGCAGAGACAGGCAATTACTCCCTGTGATAACTGTTCTGAAGAAAAATGCAGGATACGGGGACAGAAGGAGCCAAACTAGTGCCGGGGGCTTGCGGCCAGGGAAGGCTTCCCTGGAGTGTCACTGGTGCTCTGCTCTTCAGTAGGAAAACAGGGAGGGGCCGGGAGAGAATGAGATGGGGAGAAGGGTGACCTGGGCAGAGAGGACAGCATGTGCAAGAGGCTCTGAGATGGGATTCTGCCAGAGGCACTCAGTGAAGGGCGAGGTCATGTCCTTACTGAAGGAAAGTACTATTGTGGGTGCTGGGATGGTCCAGGTTGGGAATTACTGTAGTGTTTGCAAATAGAACACAAATTTCCTAATAAATGATTTCACTGTGAAAGCATCAGACACCAACTTTGACTTAAAATACTTGCCCCGTAAGCAGTAACTGTGGGAAGGAAAAGCATATCATTGTCAGGCTACCAGTTTGTTACAAAATTTTCCAGTTTTATACCCAAATCTAGAGTTTTCCATTCCCCCTAGAGTTCTCCCTAGGTTTCCCTGTGGAACTGTCTCTGAGTGCTCAACACGAGGCCTAGAGCACCCTACTGTGGTCAGCCCCTGCGAGACAGGCTCCTCCCCTCCCAACCCATTCTACCCCCTGCACTGGTGATGGCACCAACAGCTGCATCTGCAGAAGTCCACATTTCAAAGTCCAGGGACTGAGAGATAGTTTAACTTTGCTTAGTGTAACCTTGGCATGTGACAGCCTCCCAAAGCCTCAGAGTTCTCATCTGTAATATGGAAAATTATAAGACCTTCAATGCAGTAACGTGTGAAATGCTTAACACCAAGCCTGGCACATGGTAAGCACTCATGTATACTAGCTATTATTTATCTAGCACAATTTAGTGAGAGCATACCAGTTGCCTTTACTGCTTGCAGAAGATATAAAAATGAGTAAGAAACTTTCCTGACCTTCACAAAGCTTCCAGATTAGGACAGAGCAACCACTAAGCAATTCTAGCACACGGCTGAATATAATCCACCCTGACACTAGAAGAAAAATAGTCACTGCTCTTATGAAGCATACATATTCTTTACCTAAATTTGGATGTGAATGGCAAAAACTGAAATTCAGAGAGATAAAGTCACTTGCCCAAGATCATACAGCAAATTAGAGGCAGAGCTAGGAGTTGCGGCCGCAGCTGTCGGGCTCCAGGGTCCAGTATAAGCCAACTTTTATGGAATTCACTTCCAGAAGAACCATCAGAAAAGATTTCACAGGAGAGGTAGAGTTTGAGCTAGCCTAGGGAGGGGTGGAGGGATTTCAACAGGTCTGGGTGAGGATGAGAGGGTTGTTCTAGGCCAAGGGCAGCACATGAGCAAAGGCCCAGAATTATAAAAGCCTGAAGCACTGTGCAGTCTGAGGGGTTTGAGAGGGCTGAGAGAAGGCATGTGTGAGAAGTGAGAAGAATATTGGTATGTTTCAGGCACATTATGGGCTGCCCCGATTGCCTGGCTAAAAAAGTGTTCTTCATTCAGGAGGCCGTGGAGCCAGGGAAGATTTTTGAGCACCAGGCTTCTTATCTGTCTCCAGTGTCACATATCAGAGTACTTAGCATGCACAGGGTGCTCTCTGAGCATTTGGTGAATGAATGAATGATCCAACCTTTAGAAAAATGGATCAGAAAGCCTGTGGCGGCTGGACTGCAGAGGAAGAGCCTGGTGACCAGGAGGCCAGTGATGAGACTGTCACACTCAAGCACTAGCAGGTGCCCCCTGAGCCAGTGGGGGCTCTGTCAGTAGACAGCTATGTCTATCAATAGACAGCCATGTAACCTTAAGCAAGTGTCTTAATCTTTCTGAGCCTCAATTCTATCCTGCGTGAATGGGAATATCAGTACCAATGGCTCAGGGTTGCTATGGGGAACGAGTGAAATCCCACATGGAGGCTGTGGGGCGCAGGGTGAGAGGCAGTAAAGAAGACGTTTTGGGAATCTTGGAAAGGACAGAGATTCTTCAAGGAATGTGGATTACTTTTGTGATTAGGAAAATCACATTTAGAAAAAAAACAAGACCCGTGACACTGCTAACACCACCCAAGCTCTTGTGCTTTTGACTCACTCCTGTGGACTGAGCTTCCTGCCAAGAGCAAGCAGGAATTTTTTTATCCTTGCATCCCTGCTGCCCAGCCAAGGACCTGCCATAGTGTTTGTGGAATTAATTGTTGAATGATTAATATGTTACCATTCTCTGTTTACTGGAATGGCATTATTAAGTCATCGCTCAGCCTTTTCTTCTCCAAATTAAATAGCCCATATTATTTTAATTTATCCCAAAGCATTTTAAGCAGACACCATTTGCCAAGCCTCATGTATCTTTATGTGTTAAACTGCCTTTTCCTCCCCAGGTTCAAGGGCAGACGGGGTTTTTGAGGAGGATTCGCAAATTGACATAGCCACAGTACAGGATATGCTTAGCAGCCACCATTACAAGTCATTCAAAGTCAGCATGATCCACAGACTGCGATTCACAACCGACGTACAGCTAGGTAAGTGTGTGAGCAGGTGATGAGCTAGCTTGTCGTGTCAGCAGTCGGTGTAGAAATGGGGAAAGAAACAACATACAACTTTTATGTGACCTGAATGACTAAAAGTAATTTGTTTTCTGAGAAAATGTTTAAACAATGGAATTTGAAGTACATCCTTTTTCCCACTTGAGTGCTCTGTCTTGTCTTCTTTTTTATGAAGCAGAAGATTAGAAATAGAACTAACTTGAGACTCTTTTCAAACTGATTGACTTCGGTGAAGTTCCATAATTCTTTTCATTCTGTAATTCTCTTGCCTGCTCTCCTTAGAACTGCTTTGTGACGGTGCCACCTGCCTGTTCTTAACTCAGCTAGCTCATTGCTTATTCATTCAGGCCTTTATTCAGGAAGCTTTTTAATGTCTCAGAAGGTATATTTGGATCTTCGTCATATAATTTGGAACTTTCAACTCATATTTGGGATTAATTTGTTCTAATTATGTGCTAAATTTCTGTTTTGACTTAAACCGGAGTAGGAAAAGTGTCATAGTAAGCAACATACTATTAATACATCATCATTATCATCATCATCATCATCATCATGGCTGCCTTTTATAGGTGTCTGCTGTGTATTAGTCACTGTGTTAAGTGCTTTACATGTACTACTTAACTACCTAAAAGGTGGGGTATTTTTACTGTCCCCATCTAACAGAGGGGGTAAATGAGGTACAGAGCAGTCAAGTCTCATGCCCAACTCACACAGTGGTTAGGTGGTGGTGCCAGGAGCAAACCCTGGTCTGACCAACTCAAGTGCACCTGCTCCCTAACAAAGGGTCTCCCATGTGATGGCCGAGGGAGAGGAAGAATGGGTAGTGATGCCAGGCTCACCCAGTCAGGGAGCTGAGCTGCACCCTGTCTCTGCCACACCACCTCTTCCTGCGTCTCCTTTTAACTCTTAGGGTTCATTTATTTTATGTTTCTCACAAATGCTTTGTATGCTTGTCATAATAAAATCTTTTCTAATGTTGGCATTAGTTTGAACCTGGCTAACTCGTAAGAGGCCTCAAAAATCTCCTCACATGTTCCTTTCCAACTTGACTGACAGGAACTTCCAATATGCTGACAATACAGCTTAGTGATTAAGAGATGGGCAAGAGAATCACAAATGGTTTAAATTGTGCTCTATCAATAGACAGCCATGTAACCTTAAGCCAGTGTTTTAATCTTTCTGAGCCTCAATTCTATCCTGCTTGAATGGGAATATCAGTAGTACCAATGACGCAGGGTTGCTATGGGGAATGAGTGAAATCCCACATGTAAAGCACTGAGTACGGGGCCTGCAGTTGTAAACTTCCCTATGTGAGAGCTGTTAGTTGGGAGGCAGTAGAGTGTGGTGCTCAGAGGGCTCACTCAGGAGTCGGAGGCCCAGGTACAAACCCTGCTCGTTTATTAGCTGTATCACCACCGGCAAATGATGCAGAGCCCCAGTTTCCTTATCTGTAAAAACAAAGATAATTTTTCAACTGTGAGGATGAAATGCCGCAGCACATGCAGAGAACTTAGGCACCTGGCCTCTAGCAAGTGCCTAGTGAGCATTAGCTGCTAAGATGATGGTGATTCTAGCAGGCTGATCAGATGAGACAGCACTCAGTAACTTCGAACCAAAGCAGACCCCACCTTTTTTTCCCCTCTGCATTAAGTCCTCACCTAATGTCATCCAAAGGTTCTTGGAAACTGTAACTTTAAGTGAAATGACATATAACAAAACTCATTTTTTCCCTTATCAACATTATAACAAAACGACATTGAACAAAATTATGTACATCATTTCACTTAAAGTTGAAGTTTCCAAGAACCTATGAATGACAATAAGTGAGGACTTAACTGTAGCTCTTCTTCCTCATAAAAACCTTAAATATCTAAAGTGGTGAAATTGCTTATTTAGTGTTGATTCTTAAATCATAAAGTCATTCAGTGTTGTTCCTCCTGGGGATGTTTTTCCTACTGTATTTCAGAAATAAGACTGATCAAAAAGAAGCCAGTTCTCAAAAATAAATAAAAGAGTACATACTATATGATTCTATTATATGACATTCACAAATACAAGGAAATAATCTTATGTAAGAAGTAAAGATACTGGTTATTCCAGGTAAGATGGTTGTAGTGGCTGGAGAAGGGCTTCTGGGAAGCTGGAAAGGGTCTGTTTTCTGATCTGGGTGCTGATTACATGGGTCTGTAGACTTTGTGGAAAAGTCATGGTATATATACTCATGATTTGTGCACTTTTTCTGTGTGTACACTTTCTTTCTTCTTCTTCTTTTTTTTTTTTTTTTTTTAGACAGAGTTTTGCTTTTGTTGCCCAGGCTGGAGTGCAATGACTTGATCTCGGCTCACTGCAGCCCCTGCCTCCTGGGTTCAAGTGATTCTCCTGCCTCAGCCTCCCGAGTAGCTGGGATTACAGGCGCCCACCACCATGCCCAGCTAATGTTTTTGTATTTTTAGTAGAGACGGGGTTTCACCATGTGGCCAGGCTGGTCTCAAACTCCTGACCTCAAGTGATCCACCCACCTCGGCCTCCCAAAGTGCTGGGATTACAGGCGTGAACCACCACGCCTGGCCACACTTTCAGTTTATGAAAGTAAGAATGCCACTCAAACATCCAGTTTGTGTTTAGCTGCAGTACTTGCCCAATAGCAAAGGGCCTGCTTTTTCTGAATGGGCCTACTTTTAAGAAGCCCAATAAGTAGGCTGGGTGCCATGGCTCACGTCTGTAATCCCAGCACTTTGGGAGACAAAGGTGGGCAGATCACTTGAGCTCAGGAGTTCAGGACCAGCCTGGGCGACATGGTGAGACTCCATCTCTGCAGAAAATACAAAAATAGCCAGGTGTGGTGGTGCCTGCCTGTAGTCCCAGCTACTCAGGAGGCTGCGATGGGAGGATCGCTTGAGTCTGGGAGGTCAAGGCTGCAGTGAGCTGTCATGACGCCATTACACTCCAGCCTGGGCGACAGTGTTAGACTCTGTCTCAAAGGAAAAAAAGAAGCCCAATAAGTAGCCCAACTGTGGTCAAGACAGAGGGTCAAAGCAAGGGCCCAGGTGAGCATCATCAGCAAATCCATCCCCGCTCATTCCCCAGTGTGAAAAGCGCTGCCTTGGAATGATAACCAAGATCATGGGCTTCTTTCCCCACTTTTTTCCAAAGGCAAAAAAGACAAACTTTAATTCATTAGAGCCTGACATGTAAATTATTTCAAAGGAAAAAGTCCACAAAAGGCTTTGTGGGAGGAGCCCAAGCTCTGCAGTCAGTCAGCACTGAGTTTGAATCCCAGCCTTGCCACTTACCTGCAGTGTCACCTGGACAAGTCTTTTCCCTTTTCAATCTTAGTTTTCACCATGTATGAAATGGGGATAATAATGTTTACCTTTTAACATTCTATGAAAGTGTCTGGCCCATAGAAGCATATTCTTTTTTTTTTTTTTTTTTTTTTTTTTCCCCGAAACGGAGTCTCGCTCTGTCACCCAGGCTGGAGTGCAGTGGTGCAAGCTCGGCTCACTGCAACCTCCTCCTACCGGGTTCACGCCATTCTCCTGCCTCTGCCTCCTGAGTAGCTGGGACTACAGGCGCCTGCCACCACGCCCGGCTAATTTTTTGTATTTTTAGTAGAGACGGGGTTTCACCATGTTAGCCAGGATGGTCTCGATCTCCTGACCTTGTGATCCACCCGCCTTGGCCTCCCAAAGTGCTGGGATTACAGGCGTGAGCCACCGCGCCCGGCCCATAGAAGCATATTCTAAGCAGTAGCTTATCGTAGTGTTATTATCATTGTCATTATTATTTATTTTGCCTATTGCCCTCTCTCCAGGTCCACCATCTTGAAAGTATTAAACCAGATCACTTAGATCAGGGGGTGGCTCTCCTGGCAAAGTTCCACTTGTGGCCATAATGGAGACTTGTCAGGTAGACATGAATGATGACAGTCATGCAAGTATCTCCCTGGTTGTTGGAAGTGAGGCGACTGGAGGCTGGGGCGTCACTTGTGAATGCTTGGAATGCTTCCAGTGACACACATGGCACCCTCTGGTGTAGAGTCGCATTTCAGAGGGGCTTCTAAAAGAGATGATGTCAGAACATTTGTTTCTGTCCTCAAAGTTCAGTCTTTATCATTATAATCAGAAATTTCATTAATTAGTCGTAAGGAATTTTGTGACAATCAGACAGACTGCCCATGAGTATTATATCATGCACTGAATAAATAAACCCATTTTCCCATCCCACGTAGATTACACAGGTATGTAATTGAAGACCCTCTCTCCCTCCTTACAAAGCAGATATCACCCTCACATTCTAACAACAACAAAAACCCACACCTAGCAATCCAGAAATTCTTTCTTCCTGAGACGTTCTACTGCCAAGAGTAGGGAGGCAAACAGCACACCCTGTATGAGTATTCAAGTGAGCAGCTGGATTTTGAGACGAGTAAATAATTTATTTTATTTCACCTGACTAGCCAGGTGCTTCAGGTCCTTCCTGACACTGATGGATGGTCACCTCCACCTGTCCATCCTGTGTCAATCAGAACAGAGATTTCACTTGGCCCCTGTGGCAACATCTTTTAAGTGGAAAGTAAGTGTGTGGCATTTGCCCAGCATCCCTGCTGATTCCACAGAAAACCACTCATCCATGCTGAATTAGTGGTAGTAAGAGCTGCAGCTGAGGATCAGAATCCCCAGGCTCTGCAGTGCCACCCAGTTGCTTGTCTTCTGATGGGGTGGTAGTGGCCTCTGTTCCAGTTGTTTCTGAGAAAGTCAGGGGATGAGAGACTCAAATTTTGACCTGCAAGACCCAAACTTAAGTCGATTTTCCACCAGACTTTTTTTTTTTTTTTTGAGATGGAGTTTCGCTCTTGTTGCCCAGGCTGGAGTGCAATGGTACAGTCTCGGCTCACTGCAACCTCCGCCTCCCGGGTTCAAGCAATTCTTCTGCCTCAGCCTCCCAAGTAGCTGGGATTATAGGCATGCACCACCACGCTCAACTAATTTTTGTGTTTTTAGTAGAGACGGGGTTTCCCCGTGTTGGTCAGGCTGGTCTCGAACTCTTGACCTCAGGTGACCCACCCACCTCGGCCTCCCAAAGTGCTGGGATTACAGGCGTGAGCCACCGTGCCCGGCCTCCACCAGACTTTTCTATGACCGAAAAACCCCATTAATGAAACATATGACACAGCTCTGGTCTTTTAAAATAATAGTAATGAGAAATAGAATTTTTACAAAGCAGTTATTATCAAGTGCTTACTGTGTGCCAAGCACTTTGCTAATTGTTCTCTTTGCATGCGCTGGCGCCTGAAATCGAAGCACTCTTATTAGATAGTACTGATTTTATCACCATTTTTTATATGATGAAACTGGGGTGTAGGAAAAATCTAGTAAGTAATCAAGCCGGAATAAGAATCCAAGACTGTCTGAGGTTGAGTCCTGAGCCTAACTGCTCTGCCTTACATGCGAATCATTGTGCTAAATCTCTGTGGAACTATGACAACTTACAATACACCAAGAGCTTTCTCCCTGATAACCTCATCTAATCTACACAGCACATTGATATTGTTGTTCCCACTTCATGACTGGGAAAACTGAGGCTTGGAGGAGTTTGGAAGAACGTGGTTTATGTAAACCACTGTGTTGAGAGGTACCTAGCTGTTAGTACCAACTCTCCCACACCTCAGTCATCAGATATACGGAGACTTCCAGCAGAATTGAGGCAGAAACTCAGTCCCATACGCCAGACCCAATCTGTCATACCACAGGTGCCAATCCACAGGTGTCATTAATAATTCACCCCCAGACTGGGCAGGATGGCTCAGATCTGTAATCCCAGCACTTTGGGAGGCCAAGGTGGGAGGATTGCTAGAAGCCAGGAATTCAAGACCAGTCTGGACAACATGACAAAACCCTGTCTCTACAAAACATTTAAAAACCTTAGCTGGGTGTGGTGGCGCATACCTGTGGTCCTAGCTACTTAGGAGGCTGAGGCAGGAGGATCCCTTGAGCCCAGGAGTTCAAAGCTGCATTGAGCTAGGATCGTGCCATTGTACTCCAGCTTGAGTAACAAAGCAAGACCCTGTCTCTAAATTTATATATATAAAGAAAAAATAACTCAACTGCACAACGGAAGTGATTACTTCTAGTTGGCCAGTTCCTAAACTTGTGCATATTCCTGCTCTTCTCCCGCCCCTAGTATCTGGAGATGAATGTCCACGTACTGTGATACCCTCCTCCTCTTTATTTTAGATGTTGTTTATCAGCCACTGCGCTTCCTCCCTCTGGGCCCGGACCTAACCTCAGAATTTGTTCCAACACAGTCCTATAAGCAACCCCTACCCATCAATTGAAGGTAATTCTTAAATTGAAATATCTTTGCCATTCCTGCTCTACCAGCCCAGAATCTTACCAAAGTCATCATTCCAAACCATTCCTGTATTTCTCTAAAACATTCTTGGAATATTTCATCTTGTCTGCTTTCCCTCTGTCAGTCCTAAAAAGTACAGATGTCCTTCAAGTGTAGCTTTACTTGAGATTCTACCAAGTTGAGGTTATTTCCATTAACTTGGTCTTCCATATACCTGATCCTGTGTGCCTAACCACTTGAGGGAGGTTGCACACTGAGATATGTGCCACCCAAACGGGCTGGTAGGGGGAAGTAAGTTAGGGGAACATTGAAACAGAACGGGTCAAGCGGAGAATGCAGCCACAATCTAAGAAACCCACAGTATATTATCAATAAGTATTTGTTGGCTGGCTGGCAGAAGCTAAATTACAATGCACCAGCCAAAGGAAAGCACAGAAACCAATGCAAGAACCATGGCAGACAGGGCCAAGACATCCCCACAGTGAACACCTCTTATATGCAGAGCACCTCGGGGCAGTGGGTCTGACCCTGAACATATATCAGAGTCACCCAGTCCCTGGCCTCATCCCAGGCCTGCTGGCTCAATATCTCCCCTAGATTGTGGTGTTTAGGGGACACAAACTCACAGTATTGAAAGGACTTTCTTACCCCTTATCTCTTTGTCCAAGCTTGTTTTTACTGACTGGGCAGGTCAACCTGGTTTTTCTGATGCAGTCTCACGCTGAGAAGTGGTTTGATATTTGCACCACTTGTACTCACTTGGTTTGTTTGCCTCATTTATCAGTGTAGACCGTTCCCATGTCACCGAAGGGATCTGTTACTGAACACGTAAGATACCATGAATTCCATCCTATCAGCATCGCATCTATAACCTAATAAAATAATTCTGTATAAGATATACAGAGTCTGTATAGGATTTATAGATAAATGATAGAAAATGACTTCTACCAAAAGGTTCCATGGTTACTTCCATTATCTTTTCATAAAACTGTCCAGTATGTATAATCATAAGACTTGTGATTATGGTAGTTCTTTATGAAAATATCAAGTACAATACCACATGTCCTAGAGAAGGCAAAAAGGTTTCGTCTCATCAGCTGGCTCCAGTCAAGTTTATAACGGCTGCCCAGAGCATTATGCTGAGGCAGCATCTCCAGCTGTGTCTGAGGGCAACATAAAGAAACTCTGTGATTGATTAGAAATGTCTGCCCTGGGCCTGAGCATGATGACAGGCAGCATATTTGCCATTTCTTGTCTTCCCTGCCTTGTCTTTCCTACCGCAGTTATTATTTAACCCACTAGTCAATAACCACAGGCCGGCACTCAAAGGAAGACTTTATTATGGTGTTATTTTTAAGTATACAACATGCAAACTTAAGAAACACGGTAACAGCACAATAGTGAGTGAAAGCAGCAGCGGTGGCCTGGACTGCCTCACTCCTCAGGCACACTCTCAGGCTAAACATGGTTCTGGGTGGCCACATGAATAAAACATTTTCCCTTGTTAGTTTCCAGTGGGGTACCTGTGGAGTACAGTTCAAGTAATCACATAATCTGAACATGCGTGTTCTTAGGAAGTGGATTGATCTTCCATGTTTCCATTTCACTTTGCCGTTGAACACTAAGGAGGTGCCCCTCTCCATTCCAAGACACAATCAGGAGGAGGCGTGCGTCACATTTAACTCAAATCCCTGGGTCCGTTCAGTAATTTGAAGTTGGCAATTCTGATATTAAATGATTGTTCAGTCCCTATTGTGACAGCATTTCCTGAACCAAACTTTGGAATTGACTTATACTAATGAACTGATGAGGCAGAGGATGCATGCTATCAAGACTGCCTCCAGAAAACTCCGTTACCACTTTTGCACTAAATGCAGTGATTGGCTTAGGGAAAAATCACCTAACTGGTAATATTGGAAACACTGTGGGCTTTTTCTTAAGGCCTAGCTTCCTCTGGCTCCCTGCTCCCAGAGCCACCCTTTTGAGAATTCCTATGGAGTAACCCAGGGTTATTAATGACAATGTGTCAGGTTCCTCAGGTGGCTGAGAAAGAATTGAGAATTGGAAGAAGTTGAGAAGCACTGGCATGATGGAATTAATGGGAGTCGGATTCATGAGCGTTCATCCAGAGTTCTGTGCTCCTTTAATCACTTCCTCATCTTTGGCACCTGAGCTCCAACAGGGCCTGAACATGGGGAAGATCAGGTTTTCCCCACTCTACAAGTGATACTGTAAATTCTCTTAGGGCCTGCTGCTTCCTAGCTGACATCATAGGCTCACCTGAGGTATCCATTTACTGAGAGAGTAGTTTGGTGATCTAGCTGTCCTAGTGCAGAATCTTTGTAAATGCCTTCTCTGCAGAGAGAACTTAGCACTCATTCAAAGACAAGTCTTTCTGGGATTAAACAGTCCCAGGTCTGATTTCATAAGCTCTGCCCTGGTGCTGTGTCCTGTGCTGACTGCTGCTCTGCGTTCGTTCGTGTCCAGGCCACTCCTTGTTTTGCGTGCCAAGCCTAACAGTCTAGTCAGGTACACTCGGACTTGTCATTGAGTCTCTTACTGACCACATATTGGAATTGGCAGCTTTTAGCTGTGGTTCCCAAACCGTTTCAGAATGGTTAGTCCTTTGAATGAAACCAGTGATCCTGGGGCCTAGAACTCCACTTGATCTCAAGAAAGTAAGGCTCTACTGGGTTTCATTTTAGTTGTGACCTGAAATATGGTTTTGTCATCTATTTTGGGTGCCTTAAATTGCTGGAGACAGCGCTTTTTTATTGTAATGCATTTGATCAGTGTGAATATGCAGTACTCCTGCATGGCAGGTGAGCTGGTCTGTTTAAGCCCTGGCCTGGTAGTATGGGGATATGAATTATGGTTACAGCTCTGTCATTAATGGGTGACATCAGACAAGTCATGTCCCAGCCCTGAGCCTCAATTTTTTCATATGGAGAATGAAAACCCCAGACTAGGTGATCTCTAAGGTCTCATTAAGCCCAAACAGCCTGTGTGTCTGATCTTGTGTGTAAATTCAGACAAGTTTCAAAGACTTCCCTGACTGCTCTGTGGATGCTATCGATTGGCTGTATATATTCAGCAAAATCCACTCTGGCGAAGAGTTGTTCAGTGGCACTCCCTTGGGGGCTTTTCCAGGCTTTCATAGGCTCTCGGTAACCTGAAGACAAGAGGATTGTAGAATTGTGTAAAAAGCTGCTCCAGGATTTAACAGCAGTGGGACTTTTGTAGCCTTAGATTCAAAGCTGTAGGAAATTGATGAATGAACCACAGCTTATGATATCTGAGCAAATGATAACAGGAAATACACTAAGACATGAATTGTTAAATGCCTTAATTTTTGCCAAAGTGGTGTTTTAGCTTTTTTAAGGGGGTATTTTAAGAGTACCATAGGGGAGGTTGTACCTCCCAAGAGTCAAGCAGTCTCCTCTGGGACAATAGGAAACAGCTGGCAAGTCAGAACTCACCAGGCAGCTAGACCTGGACTTGAACCCAAGCTCTCCAGTTTACTAATTTGATTCACCATAGGCTAGTACATTTTACAGAGGAGAATGATCAGGCTCACCAAGGGAGCAGTGACTTTGCCCAGGATAACACCAGTGGGGATGTGCCAGCATAATCAGGGCCTCCAAATTTGTGGCCTGGAGACCCAGTAGGATGAGGATTCCCTAGCACAAAAGTTTCCACATTCCAGATCTGAGAACATTCTTCCTGATTTGAATTGAACTCTTGGAGGTTGTGAGGAGGAGATATGCCCAGTGACACTTGGTGGTGGGAGGTTACTGGGGGGATTTGTGGGGATGAAGGCATTGTCTCCCAAACTGGATCCTGGTGCTCCCAAGACTGGGATGTAGAGAAGGTCCCAGGGAGAATTCTTCTCGCCCTCCAATTCCAGAGCCAGGCAGGTCCTTTATTCACCTCCTTCTCGTGGCTCCCTGAGCTCCCCAGACTCGACCCTCATCACTGAGTCTATGTCACATCCTTAACCCAGTGCCTGACTTCTGATAATAATCATTAGAAGGAGTAATATTCATCGCTAGCTATGTATCAGGCACAATTCCAAGCCCTTGTCATGCCTTATTTCACCTAATCCTCACAACAAGCACTTGAGGTATCTATTATTATGTGTATTATTATCATCTCCGTTTTATAGAAGTTTTTCCCAAGTCACGTAGTTAGGAAGTAGGAAGGCTGACATTTGAACAGAGGACTTTCTGACTCCAGATTTCCTACCCCTAAGCCCCCTCTTTAAATGTAAGATAGGCTAATAGTGCCTTCCTGATTAGAGGTGTTCTAAGCTCTCAATAAGCCTCTGTACACAAAAGGACCTAGTGTGGGGGCTACCCAGAGTGGGCGCTCAGTCTGTGTTAGAAGAAGATGCTACGCGGTGCTAATTTCCTTTTATGGAAATCTTGGTTAGCTAAAGCAGACAAGGGTCTCCTTGTGATAACTCTAAAGGCTTGCACAAATAGTTTCCCCAGAGAGCTGTATACACATTAGAGTTGCGTTTTTGTTTATTTTGAGCTGTCTTGTTAAGGAAGGATTTATATGCTGGCGTTGATGTAGGACAGCAATCAGGCAATGTTTTCTGCCTTTGACAGTTGGTGTGATAGTTTGCTTCCAGTGAAGTTTGACTCACTGTATCTGGAAGCTGTCAGAAGTGGGAGCATGAAAAGGTCATGACGGATGGCTGTGGATAAGTGGTTAGGGGAGGGAGCTGGTAAGGGAGACAAACTGCCTCCCTTGTTTCCAAGAGAAGGGGCTGACCCTGGCTGCTCCCGGCCAGCCCCCGTGCTCTTTTCTTCCCCACCTGCCTGAGCTGGAAAGAAGCCTGCCGGGCTCCAGTTTTGAGAGGGGCACCAGGTTGGGTGTAGTGTAGCTCATGAGCCCTTCCCAGCAGCGCAACCCCTGGCATACCACTAGAACTGCTAGAAGTTCTGTTAAAGAAATTCTGCTAAAAAAAAAAAAAAAAAAGTTCTGCTGAAGAACTGCTAGAAGGAAGCATTCTTTCACTGAGGATCACTTCACCATTATCAAGACTTCAGCATACTTATCCTTCCCCACATTTTAACAGTCGAGAAAGGATACTGAATTCTGAAGTGGAAATCAAAAAGTGTCAGCTTTCAAAGTGATGTTTGTTTTTATTTTTCGTGAAATGTTTATCTTGGAAAAAATACAGAAAAGGAAAGGATATAATTCTACTAACCAGAGTTGGCCACTGGCACCAGTTTTTGGAGCACGTCCTTTTGACATCTTTTTTTATAAATGGTTTTCCTGTCCTTTTCACTTACTATTGTGTTATAAGGATTTTTCTAGTCAAAACTTTTCGTGGTTATCTTGTATTTCATCATTGTTGGATCAACTATTCCTCTATTACTGGCCACTTAAGTTGGAGAAATGTCAATGTAACAAAAGCCAGTTTCTCTTATTTCCTTGGAAATACATTTATAATTTGAATTACTTAAAACAGTGCATACGTGACACTGTAAGGAGTGCCTCTGCCATTCCTTAAATGACTTTACGCAAAAACTTTAGCCGAGGAAATCAAAACTATGCTCGGTGGTCAGAAAGAATATTGATCGGATTTCATGCTCCAATTTGCCATGTATGAACAAAAAATAGATGTGTGCATTTATTGGCATTTGTGAACATTTATTTGTTCCTTGGTGAAAATTGAGAGAGGAGATGGAGGACTGCTTGGGCAGAGCTCCTTATTATTAATACATCTTCTGACACGGCTGAGGCTGTGCAGAGCAGCAGAAAGAACAGGGACTTGAGACCCAGGCAGCTCTGGGTTTGAACAGTGGCTGTTCCACTTAGATGCTCCCTGACCTAGGCAAGCACCTTCCCCTCTCCTGGGATATGTTATATGAAACATTTAGCACAGTTCTTGCAGAATAGTGTAGTGGCTGAGGGGACACATTCTGGAACCAGACTTCCTGAGTTCAAATTGCAGCTTTGCCACTTCTGAGCTGGGTGATCTTAGGCAAGTTACTTGACCTCACTGTGTTTCTGTTTCCTCGTCAGTAGAATAGGATGAACATACTAGCCAACTTCATGAGGTTATTAAGAGATCTGAGTCCATGCACACAGTGGATTTCTAACCATGCTGGCACATTGTTGATGGCAGTTAATGTTAGCTGTTATGTTAATACTGGAGGTGCTCAGTGAATGGTGTCTATAACTGGCGTCATGCCTGTTGGGCCTAAGGAGAAAATTGTACTGAATGATCGCTGGTGCCCGAGCCTGCCGAAGCAGAAACGGCAGTGAGCCTACCAGGGTTGCACCTTTGCTCTTGGCCTAGGCCTTTGCCTTAAGGAGTCTGAGCTACAGGGACCGTGTGTGCAGCAGCCCTCTTCTCCTGGTGCTCTGCTCACAGGGAGACAGTGCTGCTTCTGCCCACAACCCACTCACTCCCCTTAGCATAGAGAAGTGGCAGTGACAAGTGGGGTACTACTCAACCTCCGCACTTGCAACCCCACTAGCCTGGCTTCCACAACCTCTTCCCCCACCCCTCATCACTGCGGCGATGCCCCAGGAACCTCTCTGACTCCCTTCTCCCTCACACCCTGTGTGCAGCCATCTGCCTACTCCTAACTCTTTTGTCTTTAATATGCTCATCCCCACTGCACCCCAGCCGCGACTGTCCCTGCCCCTGGCCTGGGCTGTGGCACCTGCTTCCTCACTGATCTCTCCTCCACCAAGCCAACTCCTCCTTGTAACCAAGAAGACTACCGAGGGCTCCGAAGCCAAGGACAGAGAGGCCTCTGTTTGCCTCCAGGCTGGATTCTGGGCCTCCTTTCTCTTTTCTGCAGTAGGTGTGCACTCTTCCCGGGGGTGCTCAGGAAGAGGGCTGCTCCCGTGGACTGCCTCAGGCCGAGTGCTGACACATGGCGGCAGGAGCAGATAGGGTGCTGCGGTGCTGCCTGCGCTGCCTTAAGAAGCTGAGACTCACACAAGTGTTAAGAGGGTAAGATTATTTAATGTACAAAAGGATTTTTCCCATCAGGAAAGATTCCCCTACAGGTTTCTTTAAATAGTGACTCCTCTAGGCAGGCAAGTGTTTTACAGATCATTAACTACTTGACTGAAAGCCTACAGGGCAGAGAAACTTAAAACTAAAGTGTTGGGAGCCCCTGCCAATTACAGATCAATCTAAAATGAAGATAAAGTAGCTCTGGAACTAGAAGTCAGTGGGAAAATGTGATTCGATTCAGAAAAAAAAAATCTGATTCACATGCAACTTTTTTGGAACACACCGTCTAAATGATATCCCACCTGTCTGCCCATCTTGAGCCTATTGCATTCATCTCCTACATCTTCATCCCCAAGCCCCGGTCTTGGGGTGCCCCTCTGTGAACAGTAACTGCACAATAACCCCAGGAAAGGGCGTCATTGGGAAAGTGTTCTGTGGCTGTGCAGAGCTTAGGCAATTGATGCAGAGATACTGCTGGTAATGGATGAACTATACGGTAACAATTTGCAGATAAAAATAATAGAAGTTAAAGTGTACTTTACATGATAAAAGAAAGATGAAAGAGGACGAGAGTCTGTTACATCTGAGATGGTTACAAAAGTCCTGCTTTGTGAAGTAGGCTCTGTTGAAAAGATTGATGCAATGGGGAGTGACCTTGGCTTGGAGCAGGAGCTGGTGATGTATGTATGAGCATCCCTCTGCTAAATGGACCCAGATTTGTAGCACTAATATACATGGGAGCCCAGAACCAAACTCAGTACGGCAATAAATCAACAGCCACTTTGGGTGTCATTTCTGGTTTATATTCCACTATTGTTCTATCACTTTAATTCATGTCACTATCATCTTTTCATCTGGAACAGTTTTATATAATTTTCCAGTGGAGTTACCTGACAAATCCTATCAAATTAACAAGGTACATTAACAGTATTGACTGACTACAGCTTCAAGAGTTGTAGGGGCATAGAACAAAATTTTAAAACCATGTCTCTGGTGATGATATTTTTCCCCATTCTTTCTGAGAAAAGAATGTGGAGCACGGTTTATTTTCACATAAGAGATATGCATGTTTATTCTGCTCGGCTCATTTTGACTTTTATAAATGTCAAAATAAGAAGAAGAAGGGGAACACACACATGCACACACACACACCCGACAACCATGGCTTCAGTACTTCTTTCAGGGAACTATAGAAATGTCCAGATCTTTAACAATTAATGACCAAATTGGAGGCAAGAGTGTAACTGGGTAGTCGTAATCTATTTTAACTGAAATGTAATAAAATTGGTCTCCTGATACATTCTCACCCTCCTGAAATCATCTAGACCTGAACGTCCAGAGTCAGCTGGACTTACGACATTATGCCTAATTGAAATATGGTGTTCCTGAAATAGGTCTAATGACAAATTCCAGCGTTCGATTAGTAAAAAATACCAATGGTTCATCTTTACCAAAGACCACACGTACTGACCAGGGTACAGCAGCCATCTCTGCATTGTCTCCCCTGGAGGCAGCAGAGGAGCCTCGACTGTAGTCTGTCTGCACACATTCTTCTTCTGCCTTTGTCTAGCTGGTATTTGGGATTTATTTATTCATAAAATAAAATATAAATGTATGGAGCGTGTAGCAGACCTAATCAGTAGGATTTTGTTTGTATTTGTTTTTTTAATTTTAAATTTGCTGTCAGACTGTGTTTGGGGTGTGTGTGTGTTTTATTTTGGGGGGAGGTTAATTGAACTGTTTCTTTTATCTGCTGCTGCTTTTGGCTTACTAAGTTTTCTCACATTTTGTTCAAAAATTTGAGTGTGATTCGTAGGATGAAATATGTTAACTATGTCTTTTCTGTTTCACTTTGTACATTTGGTTATTTTAATTATTTCTTATATCTTCATTTTGCTTTTTTTCACTTTGACCCTGACCTTTAAACTATGGCCTAAAAATTAATTACTTTTAAGGTTCCATATGGGGCCCACTATAGAAGGCATGTTAAAGGTTTTTGTCTCACTTCATGAACAGATTCCTTAATTTTCAGCAAAAGAGGAAAAAGAGCACATCTAGCCTAGGTGGTGTGTGGCGGGCTGAGCATGTACTCCTCTGCAGTACTGAGAAAGCGGTTGCTGTGCATTTCCACACTTATTCCAGGGCCCCTCCCATACCTGGCATTACCTTTGTTCTGCAAACACCTTTATTCCCGGTCACTATACAACGTGTTGTCTTTTAAGCTCTGAAAATAAAATCTGAAGTGCCAGTATTGAACATTCTGGATTCCTGTTGCGTAAAACTCACACCCAGTGCCGAGTCTCGCCCTCAGCAGGGGGGCAATGACCTCTGCAGCCTGAAGCCAGGCTCCAAGACTTGAACTTGGAAGGTTTTATGTAAGGTTTAATCCTCTCGTGACTTCCCTTAAATATAGCTTGGATAATTATTTAGTGTCACAGAAAGGAAGAGTTATTTTATTCTTTTTAGTGTATAAGGTTGTTTCAGATCAGAAGCTGTTCATTGGTAGCTTAGCTGTTTAAACATAGGGATGTTACAGATTTATCTGTCCACCCCAGATCTTCTTAAATGAGAACAACAACTCAGAGCACCAATCAAAACTGTTTTTTAAATAAACCTGATGGTTATTTCATTACAATATAGAGATAATGTACGGCTGTAAATAGCCTCTCTGTGTTGGATCCATGTTATATCTAAGAAGGCTTGTTTCTTAATACCTTCTCATATAGTTTGGGGGGGTTCCCCCACCCTCAACTCACCCACCCAGGAAACCAGACTATGCAACTTGTGTGTGCCATTTGGAGTGTCCTTATGTTTGTCTCAGGAAGCCCGTGGCATTCCCCAAAGCCCTAAGAAAGAGCTCACGTTCATGCAATTTCAGATTTATAAAACAGGTCAAATGATTTCCCTGAAATCACTTACACCTTCTACTTCTTGTGTTTTCTTTTGTGTCCTCACCTTGGCTTACAGGTATCTCTGGAGACAAAGTAGAGATAGACCCTGTTACGAATCAGAAAGCCAGCACTAAGTTTTGGATTAAGCAGAAACCCATCTCAATCGATTCCGACCTGCTCTGTGCCTGTGACCTTGCTGAAGAGAAAAGCCCCAGTGAGTAGTCCCTTTTATTTATGTCTCCTTTCTCTCTTTCCCCTCTCTTCTCTTCTGTGTGCTGGGTGCCAGGAGAATATATTGCCACTGTGTCCTTTTTTCCTTGGGTCTGTTTTAATTCATTACCAGAAATTTCTTTTAATCAAACGGGATTGTATTATGGTGCCCAGAGCCTGACATGTGCCCCATCCTGTTCGGTCTTGATGGCTGCAGAGAACTTCGCAGCCCACCTCCTGACCTCAGCAGCCCAGCCCCGGGAGCTGGGGGCACAGGGCCAGATTTCTGCTGGGAATTTGCACTCACCAGAGCCCTCATTTCCCTTTGGGCTCCCTTCCCCTTCCCATTTGGGGGACTTGACCAGTCAGACCTGGACCTGCCTTCCTTCCCTGTGAGATGGAGGGAAGCTGGGGATTTCCCAAGGCGGCGAACGCCTAGATTTAGATATATCCATCATGCCGGAAGTGTCAGCACCCCCTAGATTATTGGCAGCTGCATGACCTACCAGCTCATGATTAAACTCTTGCCTGGTCCTACAGAAGAGATCTCTGCTGGGTTGGCATTCCTCCGCTTAAATTATCAAAGTAGATACAGTCCAGTTATGTATTTTGGCATATTATACTTTTGCAGTTAAGTAATTGGGTGTAGCATTTAGATTAATCACTTAATCATTTTTAGGACTCCAGTCCTATCAAGGGGCAAAAAGGGCACATAGATCACACTGAAATTCCTCTGTGAAAGAAAAAAATTTAAACTATATAAGAGTTTGTTAGTTGCCTAGAGACTGCTATAAGATAATGGTTCTCAAAGTCTGGTACAGACAAGCATTATCTGCAAAGCCTGTTAAATGCAGTTACCGAGGGCCCACCCTAGTAGATTGTGATTCAGTAACTTGGGAGTATAGACTGAGCATCTAATTTTTATTAATCCCGTGTCCAACATTCACTAAATTTGAGAACAGATGTTATAAGGAATTACTTACTCAAAAGGAACAATAAGAAATGTAAAGGCCAGCGAGTGTTTGTAATACGATTCAAGTTTTTGAGATAACGCTGACTAAACAGGGGCTGACGGGGGCTGATAGACTGGGCACATGCCACATTGCTTCATTTATGGGTGGGTGTTTAATTTTTTGTCAAACTCTGCTGGACTATGTGTTCAGCTCATTCGCCTACAGCTTGGCAAAAAGGGAGAACTTAGGGGGACCCAGGGGAAGGAGGAAGGCCACCCCACTCCCTTCCTGCCATTCCTGTCATCCCAGCGAGGCCTCCGACCCTGCAAAAGGCTGTGAGAAAAGTGCCTGCTGCTGGGGGGCCTTGCCTCAAGGTTGCTGGATTCCCTCTGCCTTTGGATAAACATCTTCCTAATCCCGCTCACTTCAGCTTGTCGGCCAATAAAGATGTCATTGTTCTAGCATCTTTCTCTCCAAGAACTTAGGATGCTTTGAACAGTAACATTTTATAAATTCTCCATGTCTCTGAGAAATGAAAGGCAATCACTTCTGTGTTGCATAAAGGGATAAGCTAGAGTGGAAAGGTTAGAGAAAGAAATAGATGCAGGATTCAGGTTTTTTCCTTAACAAAGAGGCTCACTGCACCAGTAAAACACTGCCTAAGTCCCTGTCCCCTATGGCAGTGCTTTTTAAACCGTGTTCCTCAGAACTCTAGCATCTCAGAGAGACCTCAGGGGTACGGGGTGGGTGGTGGGGGAAGGTTGGGCATAAGGCCTCCCCTTGAACCAAAGGAACTCTACTTAGTTGTAGACACAAAGTCTTGCTATGTTGCCCAGGCTGTTCTTGAGTTCCTGGCCTCAGGCTATCCTCCTGCCTCAGTCCCCCAAAGTACTAGGATTACAGACGTGAGCCACCACTCTCAGCCAGAAGAAAAATTTGAAATAGGCTTACAGAATAAAATGCAGACCAGCATAGCCTTTGCAGACATTGGCAAGCAGCTGACACGCTAGCCTCATAGCCCATAGTTTCCCATCTCACATTTGGGCTGTGGTCACTGTAACTACTTGCACACGATGCATTCTGTGCTGTTCCCACTGCCTGGAATATGCCTTTCGAACCTGACCCCCTCTCTAACTTACAAACATTTCCACCTCCCCGTACTCAGCCTGCTCATTTTTCAAGACCCAGCTCCAGTGTCAGGCTCTCTCTGTTCACTTTGCCCCCCAGGAGTTTGCACATGCCTCTAGGAATACCCCTTTGTGCTGTATTTATCCATTGGAGGCCCACCCGTCTCTCCCACCTCCATCTCCATAGTGAACTAACTGACCCAAGAACTGGCTTCCGTGTCCTCACTCCCTAGCACGGAGCCTGCAGAGTTGTCCTCACTGAATGTTTGTTAACTGAAAACTGAACTTACTGAAGCCAGAATTTAGAATCCAAAAGTTATTCCACATAATTTATGTTGTAAAGTGCCCAAAGATGTATTAAATGAATCGGCTTGATGTTATGTGTTTTATGATTTCCAGTATCTTCATCAAATTAATTCAGTGACTCAATCTAGCAAGTTCATCCTCAGACCATAGAATTAATCTGTGGGGCGTCTTCTGTTTCTTTATTATTTAAAGGATTAATGGTAACCCTTTTTATCTTTTGTGTCTGTTGAACCTTAGAAAAAAGTTATTTTAACATCACTAAAGAAATGAAAGTCACTATATTTCATAAGTTTAGCCTGTGATTTTTATCAGCATAGTGATGTATGTTTGTAGCTGAGTTTACATCAAAAATTGTTCTTGGGGCCTTCTTGAATGAATTATGGCAAAGAGAGAGAGTCTAGAAGTAGATAAGGTTTTTGATTTCTGCAATATATTTCCTTTTTCATGTTTTTATCTCTGGTAGCACAAGTGTCTTGCCGAAGACCGGAACGTGTGACCAACTGGAATAATTTAGTTGTGAAAACAGAGCAGACATGTTATTAAACAGCTTTCTTTACAAAAAGACATTAAGTGTAGGGAGGATAATGAAGTTGTCCCCAGTCTTAGTTGAGACATGTTTGTCAGAATTTTG
Organism: Homo sapiens; assembly: GCF_000001405.40. Classification (NCBI taxonomy): domain Eukaryota; kingdom Metazoa; phylum Chordata; class Mammalia; order Primates; family Hominidae; genus Homo; species Homo sapiens. Next base: position 125,464,958 of record NC_000009.12, on the reverse strand, counting down.
AACAGAAAAGAAATGGTTTTTAAACCTTCGACTGTGGCCAGTTTGCAGTGTTTATTGAGAAAGCCGCTGTCAAACCATTAATTTGGTCGTCATAAGGCATAGAACTCAAGTTTAATTGATGCCATATCCAAAAAGTGTGTGAATAGCTGACTTGGCAAAGAGACTGAGCATTTGAGCGGCTGCAGGGAAATACATAATTACACATACTGCGGGACCGGAGAGACCCAGGCTCAGAAGCCGTGCTTCGTAAACAACAGTTCTGTGGCTCTCTTTCCATTCCCCTCGACTTCTCCCTCTTAGGCTGGGGTCTCAGAGGGAAGATTTATTGCTCTGTCCCTGTGAGTGTTTAAGGACTTGAACTTAATGGCTAAATAGATACATGCCTAAAAAATTGTACATATAAATATGAATTCTTAAAAGAGTTATTTGAGAATCTGTGTATCACAAGCCTTGAGAAATTAAGAATTAAATCCTGTCTTTCTAGATTTAAGGAGAAAAAAAACATGCTGCCATTATTATTCAAATGAGTGATTCCCTCTGTCAGATTTTGCTATTTTGAAAGACGTCATAAGCCCCTAAAAGGTGAATTGATTTTAATTTATTATAACTGGTCAAGGATGTATTCAACACATACAAGAGGAGAATGTTTCCGTATCAGAAACTACCATGTTTAAATTTTCTTAGGGAAATAATTTTCCATCCTTATATACCTCTAGATACAGGTCTTTTTTTTTTTTTTTTTTTTTTTTTTTTTAATATATGAGACAGGGTCTCACTGTGTTGCCCAGGCTGGGCTCAAACTCCTGGGCTCAAGTGATCCTCCCACCTCAACCCACCAAATAGCTGGGACTACAGGCATGCGCCACCATGTCCAGTTCTAGACACAGGCTTTGAATGCTGTGGCTCTCTTTTTAAGTGCTGGCCTCACATTCCTACCCTGAAACAAAAGCAAGGGACCTTTCTGTGAAGCTGGTACCCATCAGAGACACTCAGGCTGTATTTCAGAACCAGACTCAGCCATGCCAGATCTGGTTTCATCATAAGAAGGTTGTGCAGGTTTAGAGTCTTTAAAGGAAGCAGCCTATCATTAAGAAATCAGATTTAAACCTTAATAAAGTAGCTGTCATCTTTATAGCTGAAAAGAGCGCTGTATCTCAATTAAGCATAGATCATATAAAATCTTAAGGAAGCAACATAATAGAGGTAACCTGATTACATTCTCTTGCAATAGTATAATTCAAAGGAAATCTGATTCTGTTCATGCTGGTTATGTTAGGGGATTTCTTGTTTTGTTTTGCTTTTTGTCCAGAACACCATTTGGATGCAAGATAGGAACTCTTTGGGGTTAAGAGTTAAGCACAACTGCAGGAGACTGGTAAACCCTAGTGACTAGAACTTGCTGGATATTTGAAATGAGATTCAGTTAAGGCTATGAGTTAAATGAGCTGGGCTTATTGGTGACCTACCACTTAAGTGAATCTTTCTTTTCATAAGTACTTGACAAGATCTGTAAAGTAGTGTATTTAATTTACTAATTAAATTAAAGCTACTGAATAATGATTTGTCCACATTGATTTAGCTTAAATAGAAAAGATCAGCATTGTTGTGATCTTCAGCAACCTTAATGGCCAAGCCAGTTAGACACAAAGGCCTCTTGTGTTTTATAGGTCAGAAGGACATAGGTAAGTCCAGGCTGTAATTGAATTGCCTGCACTGCACCCTGCAGTCGCAGATTTCCTTTGCCTTCCCGTTCCATTGTTGCACTGGGGCTTAAGAGAATGTTAACGCGGTAATAGGCACAGGGCCTTCCCCATTATACGTCTTGCTATCGAGCGGTTCTGCATGACTAGTTAAAGAAGATGGCAAGAAGATTAATGAAAGCAAGGCTAATACAGAAGGGGGTACTTTTGCAAGACTTCTACCGAGGAGATATTAGAGCTGAACCAGAGCTTGGCTTTTTCTTTATCCTGTGACCTTTGAACCTGCCTTACTGTTGAGAGCTGCCAGGGAAGTCGACATTTTGATTGATGTTGGTACACGAGTCAGTCTTTCCCATTGAATTCCACATCTGTACAAAAATAGCTTTTCCAGCAGAATTCATACTGGCTAGAAGTGATAGCCAAATTGATGGCTGAAATGCTTGTGTGTAGTTTTCAGTTAAACTAAGGGTATTTGATGGTTTAATTCAGTATCCAGTTTTCCTAGATTATACAAATTCACTTACATGTTTTTAATGGGTTCATTAACCCATAGTGAAAGACCAGTATTAAGAATGTTCATAGGTTTGCAAATAGCTCCAAACAGGCTTTATGAAGAGTAAAAGCAGTCAGTCATTAAACAAACCCTGAGGGCTCAGGGAAACTGACTTCAGGGTTTATGTAAACAAAGCAAAGCTGGTTTTTGGAAAGCTATAGATGGGCTGGTCTGAAATCTCACCTCTGCATCCCACCTTAGCCCCAGTTCAGAGGCTGTCTTAATCCACCCAGATGCTGGGTTCCCTAAACTGGCATTCCAGCTGCAGGGGATTGTCATGGGCCACTTGTAAGACAGCCTTGTGAAGATACAAACTTCTTCATATGTTCTCACTGATTTTGTTACTTGTTTGTAGAGCTGCAGGCCTCACATGTATATGTGTGGCTGAATGTGCCAGTATGTGCATTCCTCACCCCCAGCCCACCCCCAACAAAGGAGAGCAGGGAGACTGTGGCTGAAGGATTCATGCTTGTTACTGAAATCACCCTGGGCACACCCCAGCTTATCCGTCGGATCCTCGCCACCTGATTTCTTTCTCCCTATTTGACATGGGTAGTTCTAGCAGAGAACACACGCATGTGCGCTCTTGCTTGCTCATGCGCTCTCTCTCTTTCTCATGTGATAGGCATTCTAGTTCCTAAGGGAGGAGATACCCAGGAATTTTGTCATATTCTTGAGATGCTCTCATGAAATGTGTGAAAGAGGAATGAGGATGACTTTAGTTACCTTTGGATGAAAGAGCTACAGCCCCAAGGTAGACAGGTGGATATCTACAGCCCTGCTGGTGCACTGAGGGCCCAGTAGGTGAGGCACCTGCAGTTATACTCCAGTATAACTGGAGCTGCAGCCCAGGAAGGCAACAGCCCTTCCTCAGGCTCTGTCCACTCCCGGGAGATCCAGGCACTCCAGACGTTAGGTGGACACGTTATGTTGTGTTTTTATTCTCTAACAAGGGCTTATTTCATAAGTTCCAGATCAAATACAGTAAGTACTGCCTGATTACAGAACACAACGGACTCTCACATATTAATGCCCCAGTTATTGAATTGCCTTTTCATAAGAGTACTCTGGAGCACAATCAGGAGCAGGCAGTGCCTCATCCTTTTAACAGATATGTTTCCTAGCCCTATTAAAAGGGGTCTTCATCTATCCTGTCAAAGGAAGTCTGCTGGGGTTTTTTAGTTTAATTACACTATCCAATTAAAACTCCTTGCTGCATTTGGATGCACCTCTCCTTGGGCCTGAGTGGATATGACATTTACAAGGCTCGCCTTTCAAGCAGACAATAGTGTGATTGATGAGGTGCACATTCAGTGAAGGAGGCGAATGCCTGTGGAAGTGCTGCTTAGTGCATTTTGATTTATTTCTCATCTCCTTCCAAAACAAGGGAGTGCCGGGGAGATGGGTTTAGGCAACCAGAGGGACCACCACAATTTTTCCAAGCGTGTGGGAGGGAAAGACTTGGAGTGCACCACAGGATAAAGGTGGAGAAAAACCGTAAGCAGACGGCCAGCTTGCGTCATCTAATGTTGAACTGTCTTCTTAGGTTCTCTGACCCAGTTTGGTTTCCAGTAACCTCAAGCCACAATCTGCTGTTAAACAGGCAAATCACTGTGCTTTCAGGGAACAGTTTGGCAGAGTTGGATAGCATTGGCCAGGTCCCTGAGAACTCAGCCAGGCCAACGTGTGTCCCATTGACTGACCTGGTCATCATGAGCTGACATCTGACTTGTGCTTTAGGCATGCCTATTTATTTACACTCCCTGCTTCCTCCAGAAATCCAGCAGCTTCTGTCCAGTCATCACCAGTGCTTGATGACTTTTTCTAATTCTGCCTAGGCACAATGAGATTTAAAAGTGCCTCTGGAATTTGGAATCAGCCAAGAGCAAGTGTGGCTCTTCAAAAAGGGGTATGGGAGCACAGTGGAGAACTTCTCACAGTTGTAGTGACAAGGGAAACCTAACATCTTACTCTTAAACTATTGCTATTGACCCTCAGTGTATGATAGATGGTACCAATGTGCTTGTCTCTGTAGTTCCTATAAAAAAGGTGTTTTGATACAGTGGGCCCTAGAAGGATCAACACTCTGAATTTCGGAGTCAGAAGATTCTCCTCTGACCCCCAGATAGTTGGTAAGAAGAGCACACCTCCCATATTCGTCATCAGGCACTAGAGTTGCTCATAGGGGACGTTATGTGTATGTTTACAGAACGTGTAAGAATGTCTACGAGGAAAATTGGCTGGTGCTGAGATAGTGAGTTTTCTTACATTTTCTGTAAATTTTCTTCATTTTTCCCTCGGACGTATTAATAAACAAGAAAGAAAATTTGTGTTGATTGGAATATTGATATTTGTTAGAGTAGAAAACATTTTGAGGGTATCAACTTTTTTTTTTTTCTCCTGGGAGAAGCCTCCTTTTTGCTATTAAGTTTTCACTTAATTGTTGACTTGGGCTTTATGGACCCATTGTAACAAAACAATTGCCTAGGTAAAATGAAAAATTTCTATACATTTGCGTTTTCCTAGATTTTGATTACCATTTTCTCAAATTCATTCTTTCTTGATTTTAATATCAGAAGAGATCCTAATTGAGAAGAGGGTAAGGGCAGGGGCTGTTCCCTACTGAAAAATTCTGTGTGAAAGATTTCTCAGCTGGATAAATGATGGGGGATAATCTGTTTTCCCTTGCCTCCTGCCAAGCTCCAAATTGTGTTTTCATAATAAATAAATGGAGAGCTTAGATTTTAAGTTACTCTCTTAGACATGGAAAAAGTAAGCCATAGTTTCATTAAAATCAAAGTGTGTATTGCTTATAAGACTCCATATGCGTCCCTCTCCCTCTCCCTCTCCCCACGGTCTCCCTCTCCCTCTCTTTCCACGGTCTCCCTCTCCCTCTCTTTCCACGGTCTCCCTCTGATGCCGAGCCGAAGCTGGACTGTACTGCTGCCATCTCGGCTCACTGCAACCTCCCTGCCTGATTCTCCTGCCTCAGCCTGCCGAGTGCCTGCGATTGCAGGCGCGTGCCGCCACGCCTGACTGGCTTTCGTATTTTTTTCGTGGAGACGGGGTTTCGCTGAGTTGGCCGGGCTGGTCTCCAGCTCCTAACCGCGAGTGATCCGCCAGCCTCGGCCTCCTGAGGTGCCGGGATTGCAGACGGAGTCTCGTTCACTCAGTGCTCAATGGTGCCCAGGCTGGAGTGCAGTGGCGTGATCTCGGCTCGCTACAACCTCCACCTCCCAGCCGCCTGCCTTGGCCTCCCAAAGTGCCGAGATTGCAGCCTCTGCCCGGCCGCCACCCCGTCTGGGAAGTGAGGAGCGTCTCTGCCTGGCCGCCCATCGTCTGGGATGTGAGGAGCCCCTCTGCCTGGCTGCCCAGTCTGGAAAGTGAGGAGCATCTCTGCCTGGCCGCCATCCGATCTAGGAAGTGAGGAGCGCCTCTTCCCGGCCGCCATCACATCTAGGAAGTGAGGAGCCTCTCTGCCCCGCCGCCCATCGTCTGAGATGTGGGGAGCGCCTCTGCCCCGCCGCCCCGTCTGGGATGTGAGGAGCGCCTCTGCCCGGCCGCGACCCCGTCTGGGAGGTGAAGAGCGTCTCTGCCCGGCCGCCCCTTCTGAGAAGTGAGGAGACCCTCTGCCTGGCAACCGCCCCGTCTGAGAAGTGAGGAGCCCCTCCGCCCGGCAGCCGCCCCGTCTGAGAAGTGAGGAGCCCCTCCGCCCGGCAGCCACCCCGTCTGGGAAGTGAGGAGCGTCTCCGCCCGGCAGCCACCCCGTCCGGGAGGGAGGTGGGGGGGTCAGCCCCCCGCCCGGCCAGCCGCCCCGCCCGGCCAGCGGCCCCGTCCGGGAGGGAGGTAGGGGGGGTCAGCCCCCCACCCGGCCAGCCGCCCCGTCCGGGAGGTGAGGGGCGCCTCTGCCCGGCCGCCCCTTCTGGGATGTGAAGAGCCCCTCTGCCCAGCCACCACACCATCTGGGAGGTGTACCCAACAGCTCATTGAGAACAGGCCAGGATGACGATGGCGGTTTTGTGGAATAGAAAGGGGGGAGGGGTGGGGAAAAGATTGAGAAATCGGATGGTTGCCCTGTCTGTGTAGAAGGAAGTAGACATGGGAGACTTTTCATTTTGTTCTGTACTAAGAAAGATTCTTCTGCCTTGGGATCCTGTTGATCTGTGACCTTGCCCCCAACCCTGTGCTCTCTGAAACATGTGCTGTGTCCACTCAGGGTTAAATGGATTAAGGGCGGTGCAAGATGTGCTTTGTTAAACAGATGCTTGAAGGCAGCATGCTCGTTAAGAGTCATCACCACTCCCTAATCTCAAGTACCCAGGGACACAAACACTGCAGAGGGCCGCAGGGTCCTCTGCCTAGGAAAACCAGAGACCTTTGTTCACTTATTAATCTGCTGACCTTCCCTCCACTATTGTCATATGACCCTGCCAAATCCCACTCTGCGAGAAACACCCAAGAATGATCAATTAAAAAAAAAAAAAAAAAGACTCCATATGCAACTTCCAACACATGGTAACTTCGACCAGATTAGCCTTTCTATCGTAAGTGATGAGAAAACTGAACAAAATATAAAAACCACTTTTGGACATTAGAAAATATGCAGTTCAGGACTGTGATCCCTGAGAGAAAGGTAACAAAAGAGGTGAGACTGATGATCACCTCAGCTTTTCTCCAGATTTTCGCAGGAAGAGAGAACCCAAGGAAAGTATGGCAGTCTCACTGAGCTGGAAGACAGAGATAAGAGATGGAGGAGGCTAAAGCAACGGAAATTTGCAGAATAGAGTATGGAAGGGAGAAAGAGCTCTAGAAAGAGCCCCTTGAATCTTTCACTGTATACTAAACTATGCATGCCTGCAGTGGGACCTTACAAGGCTGGGCAAGCAACTACTGGGGAGCTATAAACTAGAGTTCTGGCTAACCAGAGTGGAGCATCCAGGGCATTTAGTAGTGATTCCAGGAAGGCCATATCTTAGAAATAGGACTAAATTAGCCATAGACTAAAGACTGCTCTAATCCTTGCAAAAACCTTAAAAGGAATCTTGAAAGGATCAAACTGATCCACAAGTAAATTAGCTTCTACCAGAACAAAGCCCAATACTCTGTAAAGGACAGCACAATGCAGACACCTACAGTGTAATATTGATAGTGTCCAGCATTCGCTTAAAAATTACTAGACATGCAAAGAAGCAGGAACATGTGTCTCATAACCAAGGAAACAATCAATCAATAAAATAGAACCAGAAGAGTCAGAGGTGATAGAATTCACAGAGAAGTACCTTAAAATAGCTATTATAAATATGTTCAGGGACTTAAAAGAAGAACTCAAAAAGAAGAAAAATTAAAACTTAAGAAGAACCAAATGAAAATTCCAGAGCTGAGAAATACAATACCTGAATCAAAAAATTCACTAAATGGGCCGGGCACAGTGGCTCATGCCTATAATCCCAGTACTTTGGGAGGCCGAGGTGGGTAGATCACCTGAGGTCAGGAGTTCGAGACCAGCCTGGCCAACATGGTGAAAGCCTGTCTCTACTAAAAATGCAAAAATTAGCCAGGCATGGTGGCTTATGCCTGTAATCCCAGCTACTCATGAGGCTGAGGCAGGAGAATCGCTTGAACCCAGGAGGCAGAGGTTGCAGTGAGCCAGGATCGCGCCACTGTACTCCAGCCTGGACAGCAGAGTGAGACTCTGTCTCAAAAAAAAAAAAAAAATTCACTAAATGGGAGCAGATTAGTATGATGATGAAAAAAGATCAGTGCATTACTTATCTATTGCCACAAAACAAATTGCCCCAAAACATAGTGGCTTAAAACAGCAGTAACATTTACTGTCTTACAGTTTGGTGGGTCAGGTATCCCACAGCTTAACTGAGTCCTCTGGCTTGGGGTCTCTCAAAAGGCTGCAATCAAGACATCAGCTGGGACTGCAGTCATCTCAGGGTTTCATTCAGACAAGGTCTTCCAAGCTCACTGAGTCGTTGCTGGCAGAGTTTACTTCCTTGGGAACACCCTCAGTTCTCCAAAGAGAAGCTTACATGATGGAGCTGGCTTCATCAAAGTAAGCAAGAGTGAGAGAGTGCTAGCAAGGAATAAGTTACAGTCTTCTATAACTTATTCACAGAAGTGACATCCCAACGCTTCTGCTATATTATTCATTAGAAGCAAGTCGCTAGGTCCAGGCCACAAACAAGACAAGGGCATTACACAAGGGCATGAAAAGCAGAAGGTAGGATCATTGGGAGCCATTTCAGAATCTGCCACAATCAGTGAACTCTATGACAGAACAACAGAAACTATTCAAGGCACAGAGAAAAAATGGATGAAGAGATTAGAGCCTTTGGAGTCATAGCAAGTGTTCTAACATATATGTAATTGTAGTCTTGGTGATGGAGGGGAAAAACTATTCCAGATTTGATTTCAAATATCAAACCAGCAATCTTGGAAGCCAAATGAAAGCTAAGCATGATAAATATAAAGAAAACCACACCAAGGCACATTATAATCAAACTGCTGAGAACCAGCGATAAAGAGAAAAATCTTAAAAGCAGCCGAAGAAGACATATTACGTAGAGAAACCAAGATAAGAATAGTTGCTGACTTCTCATTAGAAATAATGCAATCCAGAAGACAATGGAATGATGCCTCTAAAATGCTAAAAGAAAAAAGTCTGTCAACTTAGAATCCTATATTCAGTGAAAATATCCTTCAGAAAGGAAGGTGAAATAATGACATTTCAGGCAATCAAAAAAAATGAAATAATTTGTCGCCACTAAACCTTACACTATGAGAAGTGAAAGGCTGGAGGGTAAAAATACCAGAAGGAAACCCAAATCTGCACAGAGAACTGAGAACACTCAAAATATCAGTTACCAACGATATGGAATGAACCAAGAAAAAGGGAAGGAGCAAGAGAGACCTTTTCCAGCAGGAATTGGCAAACTGTGGCCCACAGGCCAAATCCAGCCCACTACCTGTTTTTGTATGGCCTGTCAGGCAAGAATGGATTTTACAGATAAACATTTGCAATTGATGTGATGATACAGAACACTAATTTTGGATCCCATTTAAGTGAAATGTTATTCCCTCAACCAAAGGAAAAAAAAAAAACTACACTTCTTATTAATAGATCTGTATTACCCAAAAATGTATTTGATGATTAAATTTTGAATTTTGTCAATAAAAAATGTGAAATTTTTTTTCTCTCTTCTTGTGTATCTACAAAGTATCCTCAGTTTTATCTCTTGGTCCATAAAACCTAAAGCATTTACTATCTGGCCCTTTATAGGAAAAGTTTGCTTGTCTGAGAGTAGAGGTGAAAAAGGAAGCAAGGGGAACATCCCCCATCAGATAGTGTTCCAAGTCCTTTTTACACATTATTTAATTCTTGCAACAACTCTGTGAGGTTGTGTCTACACTTATTATATAATTCTAACATTGTTGGACGACTTTTTAGGGTTATGTAATCCTAACAACTTGTGAGACAGATAATATTCCCATTTTATCAATGAGTTAACTGGGGCTCAGAGAAGCTACATAACTTGTCCAAAGTTATCTGTAAATGGAACAGAGGTCCACAGTCTTCCCTCTGCCACTGACACAAAGCCAAGGCACTTAAATGTCTATGTTTTCTCATTTTTTTTATTTTTGTTTTTTGGGTTTTTTTTTTAATTATTATTAAAATAGAGATGGGGGTCTCACTATGTTGACCAGGCTGGCCTTGAACTCCTAGCCTCAAGCAGTTCTCTCATCTTGGCCTCCCAAAGTGCTGGGATTACAGGCATGAGCCACTGCACCCAGCCAACATCTGTGCTTTCCTGAAGGAAGAATAACCCTAGCCCCAACTCAGAGTGTATGAAGTCTTCTTTTTTTAAACAAATTTCATCCTTGCTTGGTTATCTGGTTTCTCTTCCTAAAGGATATTAAATGCAGAATATTAAAAGAGGGAGAGAGAATGACAGAACTGAAATAATAAAGACAGTGGGAAGTGAAAGCTAACAAGAGTTGACCAAAAATAAAACTAAACAAAAACTATTAAAGAGCATTCCAAAAACTCAGTAAACAGTGTAGTATGGAGCAATTTTGTGGCACAACATAGAGCCTTTTGCAACCCTGGGAGAATCATGATGTTCAGTACTTATACAGAAAAAAGTGATAAAACAGTATTTTCTTTTCCTTATACTCTAATGCAGAAGGAAGGTCTATAATATAGAATTTTAATGCTTAAAATGGAAAAGGGCTTTTTGCACAAAGGTTACCCTAGCTCTCCACTCCAGTGATTCTGGATAGATGAGGTTTCATTTGTAGTAATTTAGCCTCCCATAGAGTACTTGCAAACTCAAGCTTGTCATAGACTTTAAGTCCCTCCAAGGAGGAAATTCCCGGATGCAGAACTTGTTTCTTATCTACTTCTCTAAGAGCTGAAGAATAAACCTCAACCAATACTTGGTTATTGAAATGCAGTGTGGTATTTTACTAGAACAACTTACACATGAATTGAAGCGTCAAAAGGCCCTCATAAGCCATTGTTCTTAATTTATTTCCTGAAGTACATGGAAGCATTTCTGCTGCATTCAGAAGTAGGGTACTTGTCTCAAGGAATAGCACTTGTTTAATTATTTGAATTGCAAGCTGAACCAGTTGTTTGTTTCATGGAACCTTATTATAACTTGAAAGAACAACTGACAAACTATGGTTATTCAAATGAATATTGGGCAGACCTTTTCTTGAAAATGAAGGAAGTGAGTCTGTCACTTCAAGGAGAACAAGTGATAGTATTTATTGCCAGTGATGAAGTTCAAACTTTCAGGTGAAAATTAGAGTTTTGGGAAATTTCCATCACTGAGCTTGGCTTCTCATCGCTTAAAGACTTTTCCAATATCAGTAGTGATATTAATGAAAGTGATTTTTTTTCGATATTGTCAAATGAAATATGTCAACATTTGGAAAATCTGCATAACTCAGTGAACCAATATTTTCCAGACTACTGCATGATGTTACAAAAGCAGGCAAGGGGAAAGATTCAAAATGTAAAACAGACCAATAGATTTTAATGTAACAGAATACAAAAAAGTTTATTAATGAGGTTTATATTCCACATTGCAACTAATCTTTAAGAAAATACCATTTATCAAGTTCAGTGTAGTATCAAAGAGGAATATTTACAAAGAAGAACATTAAAATATGCCTCACTTTTCCAAAAACATATCTGCGGGAGTCTGGCTTTTCTTCATTTACTTTAACCAAAACTATATCACAGCAGATCAAATGCAGAATCAGATTGGATAATCCAGCTGTTTTCTGTTCAACCAAATGTTAAAGAGATTTCAAAACATAAAATAGGCTGGTACGGAGGCTCACGCCTGTAATCCCAACACTTTGAGAGGCCGAGGCAGATAGATCATCTGAGGTCAGGAGTACGAGACCAGCCTTGCCAGCATGGCGAAACTCCATCTCTATTGTCTCTACTAAAAATACAAAAATTAGCCAGGCCTGGTGTTGCACCCCTGTAGCCCAGCTACTCAGAAGGCTGAGGCAGGAGAATTGCTTGAACCCAGGAGGTGGAGGTTGCAGTGAGTCAAGATCATGCCACTGCACTCTAGCCTGGGCAACAGAGTGAGACTCTGTCTCAGAAAAATAAATAAATAAATAAATAATGCCACTCTTATTTAACTTTGGGGAGATATAAGGGTTTTTCCATTTTAAAATATGTTAATTTGTAATGGGTGTATTATTTTAGTGAGTTAATATATATTTTTTAATTTCTCAGTTTTAATTTCATTTATTTTCTTTTTTTGTTTGTTTGTTTGTTTTTGAGACAGAGTCCCGCTGTGTTACCCACGCTGGAGTACAGTGGCCAGTGACATGATTCCGCCTTACTGCAACCTCCACTTCCCAGGTTCAAAATTCTCGTGCCTCAGCCTCCCAGCCCAGCCTCAGGCACACACCACCACACCCGGCTAGTTTTTGTATTTTTAGTAGAGACAGGGTTTCTCCATGTTGGCCAGGCTGGTCTCAAACTCCTGGCCTCCCAAAGTGCTGGGATTACAGGCGTGAGCCACCACACCTGGCCGAATTTCTAACACAATAAATGTTGATAGGTATAATCCACATAAGCTTTTTGGACTCCTCAATAGTGTTTAAGAGTATTAAGGGCTTCTGAGACCAAAAAGTTTGAGAACTGCTGATCTGGGGTCTTGAAAATCATCTTATGAAGCTTGGACTTTATTCTGAGGATGACAGGAAAAGAAGCACTGCAGAGTTTTAAGTAGGGGGTCCAGATGGTATGTTTTAAAAGAATGACTCCTGGCCAGGCGTAGTGGCTCACGCCTGTCATCCCAGCACTTTGAGAGGCCGAGGTATGCAGATCACTTGAGGCCAGGAGTTCGAGACTAGCCTAGCCAACATGGCAAAACCCCATCTCCACAAAAATTTCAAAAATTAGCTCGGCGTGGTGGCGCACGCCTGTAATCCCAGCTACTTGGGAGGCTGAGGTGGGAGGATCACTCAAACTCAGGAGACAGAGATTGCAGTGAGCCCAGATCGCAGCACTGCACTCCAGCTGAGTGACAGAGGAAGACTCTGTCTCAAAAAAACGGGCTGGTGCGGTGGCTCATGCCTGTAATCCCAGCACTTCAGGAGGCCAAGGCGGGCAGATCACCCAAGGTCAGGAGTTCAAGACCAGCCTGACCAACATGGCGAAACCCCGTCTCTACTAAAAATACAAAAATTAGCCTGGCGTGGTGGCAGGCGCCTGTAATCCCAGCTACTCTGGAGGCTGAGGCAGGAGAATGGCTTGAACTTGGGAGGCGGAGGTTGCAGTGAGCTGAGATCGCGCCACTGCGCTCCACCCTGGGGGATAGAGCGAGACTCTGCCTCAAAAAAAAAAAAAAAAAAACTCCTGTGAGTAGATGTTTGAATCTGCAGAAGACATGATCAAAAGAAGGAAAACCAGAGAAAAAGCAATAGATGATCAGGACCTGGGTGAGGGCTGTGGTCCCAGGATAGAGAGGGACGGAAGATAAACGTGAAAACTAGGAGACCAAATGCCCAGTACTTGGTGCGTGGTGAAGCCTCCAGTTGTGCCACCACAACTGCCAATTTAAGGGGAGATGCTGATGTCTGTTCTGGACATGCTGCACTGGGGGCCATGTGGAGGTGGCAGCCATACCCACTGCTCAGCTCTGAAACTCTGGAGAAAGGTATAGGCCACATAGCTGCTTCAGGATCACCAACATGTGAGTAGTAACTAAAACCCAAGGGCAAACCCGACACAGGAAAAACGTAGTTAGAGGAGGTGCTGATCAAGGATAGAACTCAGGAAGACCATTGCTTAAGGGACAGGTGGAGGTCCAGAAGATCACAAAGGAAATGTGAGAAACAGATGACTGGAGACGTGGACCCAAGAATCAGGTGACCGTGCCTCCAGGGAAGCCAGGACTTTAAGAAGTGTCGAAAACAGCTGAGAAATCTCTACTGGATCTCTCGACATTGAGGGCATAGTGACCTTAGCAAGAATGTTTTCGATACATGAGAGGAAGGAGGGAAATCACATTGCCATGGGAGTTTTTATAATTAGAGATTTAATTATGTTTACAGGAAGGAGCCAAAGAGAGAGAGAGAGGGAGTTTGAGAATCCAGGCAGAAATGTAAGTAGGTCAGGCACATCCCCGGCTCTAGAGGTCAAAGAGGTCATTACTATGGTTGCCCAGGCCGCTGCCCACGCAGGAGTGCTTGGGAAGGAGCACTCCCTTTTGCCAGTTGAATTACCTTGAGCTGAAGCTCCCTGCAGGCAGCCCAGAACTGTTGCTTACGGTGGAGAGGAGACCCAACCAGGAGGGAGTTTTCAGCCCAGAGACCAAAGAACCCCAGTCCAGCATTTCCTACTAGGACCTACAGAAAGATACAGCTTTGCCTAAAACAATGTGTGTTCCCATCGGTTTCCCCCAAGAAATCCAGTGAGAATGTTCCCCTCTCAGGCCAGAGGGCCCAGAAGACATCAGACCTTGGAAACTGAGTTTTCAAAAAGTATCCATGCCTGATGTAAAGGAATTGAGAAAGAATCCCAAGCCTCAAAGCTGTTCTTTGTAGCCTTATTTATAGTACTGGCAATTTTATAAGTAACCCAGAAGCCCAACAGAGATAGCAACATGACCCATAGCTCACGTCTACTGGTTGGAATAAGATGCAGCCATTGAAAACGGTGGTTATAGAAATTGTTGCAACAGGGAAAGGGGTATGGTAAAATGTTAACTTAAAAAAACTAAGCTCAACTTCTAGTATACAATCTGATTACAACTGTGAAAACAGGCGAGAATGGTTAGGAAAGAGACCGTGAATGGCATTGTGCTAGTGTTGGGATTTTGGGGTGGGGTGTGGAGGTTCTCCTCTGTCTTCTAAATTTCTAGTATTTTTAATAAGGAAAAGAAACAGGTTTATTTTTATATTTTTGGCAAGTGGTGACACCTGGGGGTTTAGGCAAAGGTGGGCTGCAGGCTCATTCTGGCAGCTCCAGCTCTGACCAGTCATGGCCAGCCACAGTCAGTACTGGCAGGTTGTGTTAGAAGAGACCCTCCCTTGAGACTTTTCTTAAGGCAGATGGAAAGTAAAAAAAATGATAGCCGGGCATGGTGGGGGGTACCTGTAATACCAGCTACTCAGGAGGCTGAGGCAGGAGAATCGCTTGAACCCAGCAGGCAGAGGTTGCAGTGAGCCGAGATGTCACCACTGCACTCCAGCCTGGGTGACAGAGTGAGACTCCATCTCAAAAAAAAAAGAGCAAAAATTGAAAATCAAAAAAAGACCCTTCTTTCAGTTGATTTGCAGTGGAAGTCTGGGAGCACCTCTTTTAGCAGGGTTGTGAGTGCTGTTCATGTATGTTTAAGCCATCCCATCTCATGACCACAGCAGCCTTTCCAACATGGCCACGCCCCCTGAACTGGCAGGAAGAACCTGTTTTTTCAGCACAGCCTCCTGTTTTAGTTAGAATCCATAATACAGAAGATGAATTAAAGCACAAAAGCTGGACGTCTCCACTTCTGACATTTGTGCCACTAATTAGTTTCTGCTTGGTATTAAATTCTATCTTCTCTGTCTTACTTTGAAAAACTTACATAAGTGTAAATACAGTTCTACATATCCAGATTTTCACTTCAGTACTCACGAGTGGAGGTACAGTTTCAGTATCTGCCCTGAGCATGTGACCAGTGCTTAGATGCCACATTTATACCCTCTTATATTGCATTTTATTTACATAGCACTATAAAAGCAAATCTGCTCAAAGGAGGCCCAATTAAAAATGCAATCTTCAAAGCAATTAGCATTTTATCATCAAATACCAGTTCCATCATAGTTAAATGAATGACCACCTCCCTGCTATATGCAGGGATGTATGTGACATATAAGAGATCACTGACAGATGCTATCCCCTCCTTTACAGCCAGGCAAACCTTGGAAGGGACAGTGCCTTGCCAAGGTCCCACAGCTGAAACATGGCAGAGCTAGGATTTCATCCTAATTCTAACTTCAGGAATTATGCTTTTTTTCCTCTGTGTCTCAGGCTTTTGTTAAACCTTAATTTAAACAGAATTTAACAATTAATGCAAAATAATTTGAACTAATTGGAATATTAAACTTTACATTTTTTTAAAGTCATACTAATACATAACTTTTTCTTAGCTGATTTTTTTTTTTTTTTTTTTTGAGACAGAGTCTCGCTCTGTCACCCAGGCCAGAGTGCTGTGGCACAATCTCAGCTCACTGCAACCTCCGCCTCCTGGGTTCAAGCAATTCTCCTGCCTCAGCCTCCCAAGTAGCTGGGATTCCGGGTGTGTGCCTCCATGCCCAGCTAATTTTTGTATTTTTAGTAGAGACAGGGTTTCACAGTGTTGGCAAGGCTGGTCTCAAACTCCTAACCTCGGGTGATCCATCCACCTTGGCCTCCCAAAGTGCTGGGATTACAGGCTTGAGCCACTGCGCCCAGCATCTCAGCTATTTTTTTACAACTAGTGTCTCAGCTATTTTTTACAAAGACAGCTTGCTCCTGTGACTTAACCCTGTTCCTATGAAAACCGCTGGTGGTCTTGGAATTTTCAAAGGTAACTTGCCTACCTCTGATTCCCTCTAACGCCCCAGGGAGATGCCTGGTGGGCTGCAGCTGAGGAGGTCATTGGCCCCCTCTTCCTCTTCTACCTGAGATGAACTGTGAGGTGTCTGAGGCTGATGGTATCTGATAACAGGTGTTCTTTTGTTCAGTCAGTATTGAAGTGTGGGCAGTTCCTTCTTCCCAGACACCTATGGTGGAAATTTACTATGTGGCATAAATTACTCATGTTTATTGACAGATTCATTTCCAGCAAGAGGTCAATGAATTGTTACACTTTAATATATAGGTCTTGGTCTGGGTGAAATTATGAAAGTGTGAATTCTGATTATTAGCTATTATTCTGTTGTGAAAGAGTCTCCCCATCCTGCCAACATTACCTTCTCTGTAGTTCTCGCCTCCATTCCTTTTCAGTATCCTTTCTGCACCTGTCTAGCTCAAAACTGCACTCACTCCTACCTGGCTGACTACGGGAACTGCTTACCTCGCCTCCAGGCTCCAGGGAACCAGGGAGAACACCCTAAAACACAGTTTGCCCATTTCTTTCACTTGCCCTGCTTAAACCCCTCTAGTGACCCCCATCAGCTGGTGACTCCAGGCACTCTCAGCCCTTTGTGTCCCTCTCCCTCCCACCTGCCTGCCACACATGACCCTGGTTTGCCCAGAGCTCCCATGGAGACCCTGTATGTTTGCCCATGCCGTTTCCTTGCCCTGTGGCATCTTCCTCTTTTTCACCCTTCTCCACCCTCACCTTTACCCAGCTGACTCCCTGCCCTCCTCCAAAACTGCGGAGGTGTCAGCTCCTCCCAAGAAACTGTCCCTAGTGGCTCTTCTCCACCTCTGGCCAGGTGCTTCTGCCTTGGTGTCTCCACGGCAGCTCCCTGCGTTTACCTTCTTCACGCTCATCATATTTGACTCTCGGTGTTCATTTCTCTGTCCTTTGCTCTAGCCCATGCTCCTGGCAGAGCCCAGACTGAGGAAAACTGCCCTTCTGGCCGCCCAGCGAAACAGGGCTGCTAGCGAGGGGAACTCGGGGCAGAAACGCCCGCGGAGTGAGTCCGCCCCATGTCCTATGGCCCAGCATGGCTGCTGATCTTAACCTGCCCTTGCCCCCCAGGGTTCCGCTCATCACTCCTTGCAGAGAGCAAGAGGGGGCTGTCTGCTGTGGCTGTCCACCGTGCCTCGGCCCAGTGATTAACTTTGCAGCTGTGTCATTGTTCAAGTCCAAACACAAGTGCTCCACAGAACGTTCTCTGCCCTCTGTTCCCCTCTCCTATGGCGTGAGTGCTTTCACTGGAAAGGACAAACAGACCGGAGGCTTGAGGGAGAGTGGGGGAATGTTGGGACTCTTCCTCCTCCTCACCTGCTTCACTCTTCCTCAGATGGGTGCTGGAATGAGCCCTGGGGATAGGCAGGAGACACACACAGCCTCCACATGCAACCAAATACATTCAAAATTCAGAGGACGGGATTTGAGGTTACTTGGTTCAAATATGCAGCCTTTCAGGAGACTTGGCTTGGTATGATTTTTTTGTTTTTTTCACGTGACTGTGCAGATGAACCACAGGCCTCCCCTCTGTCAGCCCACAATTGACATGCTTCACAAGCACCATAGTCCCAAGGGGACAGTGTCAACGCTTCCTTTCTGGGGCTCTTAGGCCTTGCAGACTACTTATTACATGTGCTGTGTATAGATTGGGCTCTGCTTAAAGTGCAGGAAACCTTTTTAACAGTGTCTCAATTGTTCAGGCAAAACATGCTTTAGTGCTTTGAGGTTTGGTTTGGTTTTGTCAGTGACAAGCGGGAGCAGGTGGTGTGGACAGTCCATAAGCTGTCTTATCAAAGTGGTCAGTGAACCCCGAAGCTTCGGGTCTGTGGGTCTCCCTAAGACCTTCTGGTTCTTTCTAGCCCCAGGCCCTGGTGTCTTTGTGTGTCGTGACCAGTTGTCAGCAGGAATGCCTCCTGGAGGGGGTGTCTCTTTGTCCTTCACAGCCCTGTGTCCTTTGTAGATGGCTGTGCTTGTTCACAGCATGGCCAACAAAGGTGCCCGCATTGTTCCTCCACACAGGGATGTCACCGACAAGATTCTGATGTTGTGGGGTAGATCCTGTGAATGTGAATAGATACAGACGCACACACAGATGCCTCTGTGTAAGGTCCACCTCCTTATTAGAAACACAGAATTTATATGTTAACAGAGTGACTAGCTTCCAGTCAGGAATTCTCACATTTTAGTACCATGATTTAGAATCAGGCTAAATTTGTCAAGTGTCTGAAAGTGAGGTTTTTCAGAAATTATTAGGTAATTTTTTCAATTTAGGATTTATAGTCACAATTAGTACATCATAATGATGTTTCCAGGATAAAATACCAGTGGCTCAACTTTTCTGGCCACAAATGTACAACATATATCAGTTTATTTTTGGAGATCTGAAAAATTAGCTACTGTAAAGTCCCCAAGAAGATTTCTCCAGGAAAGAGGTGAACTTACAGTAATATGGGTGATATATTATTAATTAATAACTATGACCAGCCGCTGCTTCAATTAAAAGGACAACGGATGAGAAGGACTAATAGAAAGGATATGCTGAATTTTAATCTTACAGACACTAAGGTCTGTCGAAAGACTAGGGAAGGTCATTTCTGGGCGTTTTGCAGGAGACCTGTATATTAGAGATGTCACCTGCTGCTCCTTGGTCTAGGAAGGTTTACTGAATACTGACTACGTGTCTCTCTTGGGCACTGTTCCTTTGCTTGCCAGTAATGGAAACCAACTTCAGTAGCTTAAGGCGAAAGAAGAATTTCTTGGAAGGCCACAGGAGTCTCCTAGAACCCAAGGATAACAGTGCCGATAGGCCGGGGCAGCCCCCATGGGCCTGAGCCTGGGAGTCCCAAAGCCCCTCATCTTATTCTCAGTCCTTGTGCCAGTTTAGACAGCCTAGCATCTATGTCTGCATTTAGAAGAGGGAATCCGATTGACCTGTCTGGACATAAAAGGACAGGCCCAGATAATGTAGCCATGGCTGCAGGTATGATAAGACAAGCAGGTTCCTTTGGAGGGCCACGGTACCGTGTGGTAGGCCCACACAAGAAGTGCGCCTAGAAGTGTGGTTATGAAGACTCACCCAAGAAGGCGCCAGCTGAGCTGAGCCACCCAGGATCAGCAAATCTTTCCCATCCGGGTCAGTGAGAGAGGACATCCCAGGCTTGGGGAAGAACCTGTGTAGAGGCTGGTGTGGCAGGTGGGAGTGTGCAGCACTCTGGCAGCCTGTGGCCTGTCGGGGCAGCGGAGTGAGATGAGGCTAGACCAGGAAGCAGTCCCAGAAATGACAAGTGTCATCCTGAAGGTGGTAGGACGGGGCATGGAGAATGGAGACCTAGATCAGATTTATATTCAGAAGCTCTGCCCCCTGGAGTCGGTCGCTTTGTGAGGTGCCCACTTTCCATGGTGCCCCCCCCGCCCCCATCCTCCCAGGGTTGAGATGACCTGAGGCCTTTGGGAGCAGCTTCCAGCAGGGTCTAAAACTGGGATTCTCCCTCTCCAGGCAGGAGTCCTCTCCCAGCAGGAGCCCAGGCTGTGGAGCAGCCTCATAATAGTGTGGCTTTTGACCCTTCTCCTTCCTGTTGCTCATTTATCTGACTTTAAACAGTTAGTTTATTTTTAGAGTAATAATGTGGAGTTAATTAGCCTTCTCCCTTAAAAACGCCACCTTTTGCATGTAATTATCATATAGCAGCAGTTCCGTAAAGCCTTCCTAACGTGGCATTCCCCTGAATGCATTCCAGAGTGGAATGGGACCTAACTGGCTGTTGAGTCTTTAAAATTTTTTCATTGTCCATTTTATACCCAGCCTGTAATGAGAAAACGAACTACTCCTGGGAAGACTAGGTGCTGCTCAGCCTCCACTTGCTCTCGCTCGAATTGGAATGATAGGGGAGAACATATGGAGGCCCCCGCCATAGTTAACTCACCAGAACCCCTCAACACAGTTTTCTGTCTCTGCAGGTCACGCAATATTTAAACTCACGTATCTAAGCAATCACGACTATAAACACCTCTACTTTGAATCGGACGCTGCTACCGTCAATGAAATTGTGCTCAAGGTGAGTATTCCTTCTTGAACCAGAGACAGGGTAGGTGGGTCCAGCTTCTCTTCAGGCTGTTTGCGGCATGGCCGCAGCCCCACCCACTCCGCAGCTCTATAGAAGGTTCCCGGGCCCAGTTTGGCAGAGGAGGAGTGTCGCAGCTTGCCAGCCACCCAGGGGTGAGTGCCTGTGCCAGGGCCACACCAGCCCCCGCTCAGCTGCTCTGCACCTGCTTCAGTCAAAGCAGGACCCTTTTCAGTTTCCTCCCAATCCCAATAACCCTGGCTCTTCCTGTATTTGTTTATTCCTTTTATGTACTGTTTATTTTCCTGCAACCATTGTCAGGAGCTCCTTGAAGCTCCTGGAGCAGACTCTGAGGAAATTATTATTGTTTTGAAGATAATTATGCTGAAGGTGATTTTAGCAACCTGTTCTAAACATACCTAACTTTCTGCTAGACTTGTATGTCACCATACCTAAACAGTATACTCACTGAGCACCTTCCGTGTGCCTGGCCACGGCCTGGGATGCCACGGTGACAGACTCTGTCCCTGCCCCTGGAGAGCTTTTCCTCTACCAGAGGAAACAGGCATAAAACACAAAATTACAAAGAGATCGTTAGTCTCAAAGGTGTGGGTGTGTCACAGTAAACTGACTTGGGGTGGAGGTATGGAGGCAGGGAGAGCTGAACCCTGAAGGATGACTGAAAAGGCACAGATGTTGACCAGGTAAAGAGAGAGGAAGCACCACAGACAGGCAGCCTGGGAATGGGCTGAGGCAAGGCAGGCACAGGGGGATGGGGGGCTGGGGGGGCTGGGGGAGCTGGCGGGGCTGGCGGGGCTAGGCCGTGCAGGGCCTTGCAGAGTGGAGTGTGGCTGAGAGGAGCTCTGCTTGGCATGGGAGCCTCCAGGGGTCTTGCGGATTTGGGAGGTCTGGGATAGGACCTGAGATCATACGTTTCCAAGAAGCGCCAGATGCTGCTTTGGCCGCTGGTCTGGGCACCACACTCTGAGTAGCCCTGGACTAGGGGTCTCAGCCTCTCCCAAGCAGAGAATCCTTTCTTCAAGCCAAATCTTCCATAGGTTGATCAGATAGGAAAAGCAGCTGCTGTGGCAGAGCAGGGGCGAGGACCAGAGAGGGCTCCCCCACCCCTAGTTGTGTGACCCTGGCTAGTCACATCACCTTTCTGGGACTCAGTGTCCCCACCTGTAAAGTGGGGATCATAGTACCTATGCTACCCCACCCCACCAGGGCTGCTAGAGTACAAATCAGATGAGACATGGTAAACCTATGTAAGTTATCATTCAGTCTCTTCTGAAGAGTTGAAGTCATCACATAATAGCAGAAGTAGCGAAGATATGCTGAGGGACTGCACAGTGCAGGACCTGGGCCAGAGGCTCCACGTGTCCCATCACAGTGCATCTTCACAGCTCTGTGAGATCATGAGATAAAGTTGTTCCCATTTCCCAGATGAAAAGTGAGGATCAGGAATAAAGTAGCAGAGCCAGGATCATGACTCTGGTAAGTTGGCAGAACCAGAACTTGCCCCCAGATTTGACAGATTTCAGACTTGTGTTTTAATTCCCCAGATATGCATGACCTAAGAGTTGTGTGGGAGATTTCAATGAAATAGAATTGCGATCCAGGAATATATTGAGACACATTCCCCATGGCTGCAAAAGATTTTCAAAAGGAGTAGGTAGCAATTTAAAAGAGCAGCTGGAAGGACAGTTTGGAGCAGACAGAGTAGCATGATTAGCTGGATGAAAGGGAGAGGGTTCATAGACCAGCCTGATCAGAGCCCCTCCTTGGACCAAGGAGTGGGGACACGGGCCTGCCTGGGAGTGCTTGCAGCCAGCGAGCTTCGAGTTACCCACTGGAGCATCACAGACAGCACGGGCCCCTTGTGCAGAGTGTTCAGGGACCTGGCAGAGAAATATTCCATTACCCCGATAGGGGCTGGACTTTTTTTTTTTTTTTTTATAGCCAGCATTAAAATATTCAAGACTTGAGAAGGATTCTAGTAAAATTATAATCCCATGTTTGACATCAAAATAATTTTCACAACAGCAGATTGATGACAGAAACACAGGTTTATGACTTCAGTATGAGACTGTGGAAGATCAAGTGCAGAGAAATCATTTTACAGGTCCAAATGCTCCCTCGAAGCAGATGCTTCTCTGCAAAATCCGTGAGGTCTGTCACCTTCCCTAAAGTGTCTGTTTCCATATCAAAATATTTGCAGAAATATTGTGTCATGCACAAGACTCCAGAAGAGTTGTAGCATACCCTAGGCCTGATTTACTTAGAGCTAATGATCATGAGCCTGATGGAAGATGAGATAGTACTTCTCCCACCTCTGATTTTTTTTTTTTTTTTTTTTTTTTTTTGAGACAGAGTCTCACTCTGTTGCACAGGCTGGGGTGTAGTCGTGTGATCTCTGCACACTGCAACCTCCACCTCCCGGGTTCAAGTGATTCTCCTGCCTCAGCTTCCCGAGTAGCTGGGATTACAGGCACCCGCCACCAAGCCCAGCTAATTTTTTTCTATTTTTAGTAGAGAACGGGGTTTCACCATTGGCCAGGCTGGTCTCGAACTCCTGGCCTCAAGTGATCTGCCCACCTCAGCCTCCCAAAGTGCTGAGATTAAAGACATGAGCCGCCAGGCCCGGCCCCATCTCTGATTTTTATAGCAATTGGAATACTTAGTTTTATCCACCATTCCTGCAGTGTCCTGAGTGTGTCTTTGTGAGCTTTGCACCAGTACCAAGCAACGGAAGCCCAGCCCTGTGTCCGGGAGCTTGGGAGAAATGTTGTTGCCATCAGAAGCTCTTGAGGAGTCAGTTTAGACTCTAGTAATGCATGCTGTTGTTCTAGAATTCAGGAATTTTACATAAAATGAGAGCTTAGATGGAAATTGAAGGGAGGAAATAAGAGCCACAATCTGATGTCAAATAAACAATCATGAACAAAGCCTCCATCGAGCTTTTTGCGCTTGTAGAAATAGGAACGTCTCCCATTTATTGAACACCAGCTACATGCAGTACATCTAATGTCCATTATCTTGTTTAATCTTCCTGACCGCCCTCCAGAATGTAGACATTGTCCCCATTTTATAGAAGAGGAGATGGAGGCCCAAGGTCACAGAGCACACAAGGGTGGAGCCTCTACTTGAACCTGGCCCGAGAAGCTCCAGAGCCGCCCTCTTCCCATCAAGATGTCACTGAGCTAAGCCATGGGTGGTCCCTAATTCCACAGGCTTTGAGATGAATCTCAGAGGAGTTGTCGGGCTCTTCAAATCAGGTTCTTCTCGTGATTGAGTGATGGAGGCTGTGGCTTTATTGACCATGAAAACTCCCTATATTTTTATGCCTTAAGCTGTAAAATGCGTTGAAAATGAAACACTCTATAGTGCATAAAATTGTGCCAGTTTTAAGCCACAGCATATTAACCAGCTAATGGCAGAGCAAAGGGCGTTTTTATCTTTTGATTATTACATTAATCTTCCATTAACATTATCTATGTGATTATCACAAAGCACTGAAGATAATAAATTTGGGAAATAGTTGGCTTGTTAAGGATCATTTTAAAATGCTTTTGTCAAGTTATATGTGCCAAAAATACACTGAAAACACTAGGTTGGCTGAGTGTGCAAACAATATAATCCAAAGATTTCTTGTATTAAGAATGATAAAACCTCTTATTTCCATACACTGTATTGTCCCAAATCATCAACCTGGCCCTGCGGTCCTCATGATTTATTGCTCTCAGCTGGTAACTTGGCGAGGCAGCGGGCAGAGCGTGTCAGGCCTTCTGTACTCACGCACCAGCCTTTAACGCCTGCTGCTCCAACCAGCAGAGCAGAAAGTTGGGAGGGACAGTGTTGAAGCCTCGGCCATCTGAGGCGTTGCCATCTCGCGCTGCCTCCCCCGGGAGCCCTCTGGTTCCTTCTCGGAGTCAGCAGAAGCTCCTCTCCCTCTGGCACAGGACACATGGCCCTCGGAGTAGAATCAGCAGAGGCAGTGGCTGGCCTCTCTTGTCAGAAATATTCAGCCTTCTAGTCAAAACTTTTAGATACTTGCAGGTGAAGAGAAATAGCGTCTGTTCACCAAAAGCCCCAGCCAGAGGAGCAGAGGAGGTGAGAGGCTGCGGAGCAGGAAGGGGTGTTTGCCAAGCGCCTGACACCTTCTAGCTTTGTGACCTTGACTAAATGACATTATTGTCATTGGCCTTGACTTCCTCACCTGTGCATGGGGATGACAGTGGCATCTGTCTCAAGATTATTGTGAAGATTCCATGAGCGCTGAAAGGCACTCCGAGCAGTGCCAGTTGCCACCACTGATTTCACACTGCTGCTGCCGCCCATGCCCAGGCACAGGCTGTCCTCAGCACTGGGGCGTGTGCATCCCACTGTAGCACCCCTCCCTGGCTCCCACCACCTCATTTCACTAAGCCAGCCAAGCTCTCGCAGTTCCAGGGACACTCCCTTGTGGCGTGCCCCTGCTGTGCCTTGATGCATGCTGCGTCTCTCCTCCCCGTTGCGCACTCAAAAACTCCTGTGTATCCCTCAAAAGCCCGCTCACTCTTTTCCTCTGGAAGCCTTCCCTCCTCCACACCTCCCTGATACTCAGCCCCATTCCTTGATGCTCCTCTTTGCCTGCTGCAGTGCTGGTTCTGCTGCTGGACACCCACTCACCAGGCAGCAAGCTCCCCAGGGCCAGGACCAAGTCTCAGCGCTGTAGCGCTGGGGAAGCGCCTGGCGGTGCAGCTGCTACACAGAGTGGAAGATGCACATGCGACTCCGGGCAGACTCCCAGGGCTTCGTGGAAGCAGCAGCGTGCAGAAGGCCTGAGAGGAGCCCAGGAGGCAGCCCCGCCCTTCACACAGGGCTCTTTCAGCCCCCTCACAGCTCTCACCCTGACTTCCACGTGGCCTAGGCCACTTTGGCCTCCCTCTCTGAGCCTCTTTCCTTTTTGTCAAGTGAGCCCTGCCTGGCTGGGCACTCATGAGCCCTGAAGGAAGCACTGTGGTGGGAAGCTCTGCGCCTGGCTGGTGGGAGGCTGGATGGAGAGCCTGTCTTGGTTTGCTTTTCATCCCTGTGTTCTCGGCCTTCACACAGGGAAAGGCAGGCTCAGAGAGGTTATGTGCTTGTCCAGGTCACACAGCAGGTGGGAGGCATAGCCAGGCAGCCCAGGGCACAGCCTTCCGGGAGTGGCTCACGCCAGGAGGGAGCATGGGCTCCGGAACCTGAAGAGCTCGCCGCTCACTGACTGGGAAGCCTGGACTGGCCACTTGGCTTCTCCAAGCCTCTGTTTTCCCATCGTAGAGCAGCGGCTCTGGGCCCAGCCGCTGCCAGGTTGCTGTGATGACTGGACTCCTTCCACACGACAGCACCTGGCCCTGAGGCACCCGGCCCAGGTCAGGGCCTTCCCTGCCACCCCCTCCGATGCCCTGGGTGGGTAGGGAGCGGCTGGCAAGGTGACCGGGCTGTGTGCTCTTGTTTCTAGGTTAACTACATCCTGGAATCGCGAGCTAGCACTGCCCGGGCTGACTACTTTGCTCAAAAACAAAGAAAACTGAACAGACGTACGAGCTTCAGCTTCCAGAAGGAGAAGAAATCCGGGCAGCAGTGACACTGGCCTCCAGCCTCAATCTGTTCCGTAGCTCAGAGCCTGCCTGCCAGGGCCAAGTGCCCTAGAGTCCACCCGGTGTCCTGAAGTCCTCGGGGGGAGGCCAGCCCCTGGCTCACTGGCACAGGGCAGGTGGGCTCTCGGGGAAGGTGTCGGGGGCCCCCTAGGAGGGAGCGCTGGGGACATTGCCATGGGACGGAAGTCTGCTTGGCAGTGGCTTTGATAAGCGATGCTTGGGGGTCAGACCACCCCCTAGAGGAGCCACGTGCCGCCCAGCCACCTTCAATGCCTGCCACCCTGCCCGAGGATGTACAGAGCCGTGCCCACACATTTCCTTGCAACTTGATCAAATTTCTTAAAGCAAACAACAAAAATGTACATTTCTGTTTTTCCTTTTAATAAACAGGTGTACTCTTTATCATGGTTGGTATGATGGACCATTCTTTGGGGCGGAGGATTGATTATGTTACTCTCTTTAAAATCTGTTCCCATATTGAACAGGCAGATTGGAAAAGCTATGGTTCGATTTCTCAGAAGAAATGTTTAGGTCTTAGTCAATAGTTTTAACTATGCCATTTGTTTAAATGAGTGCATTTGCTTCGAGGGTAGTGTCTTACTAAAAGTTAGGAACAGAGACCTAGTGGTGTGTCCAAGGCCGTGTCACTTTCCCCTTCAGCACACCCCAGCTTCTGACCTCAGAGCCCAGGAGCTGCGTGGACAGTGTGGGGTGCCAGGAGGAGGGGCGGTGGCTGGTCCTCAGGCACGCTGCACTCCCAGCCAGACATGGTCTTTCCGTTTCTTAAGTAGCAAGTGTAGGTTTCAGCTGGCAGTTCCACCTGCATGTTCTCTGCTTCGCTGCCTTGGAAGGGGCCACATTCCCCATTCCTCTTCTCCTTACAGCGCCTGCCTCCTTTTTCAAGCAGGCGGAAAGCTGCTGTTTCTCACGTTTCAGGGAGAGGGGTGAGCGGAGGGAGACCTGTGTCCGTGCCGTCCGGCTCCCTGGGTGGGAACAGGCAAGGGATCAGATGCCCCTGACACCACGCCTCTGGCCACACCAGATGCCTCTGCAGTCCTCGACAGCCTCTTCAGTGTCCCTCCTGCGGTGATGTCCTTACTGTCCCCAGCCAGGGCCGGGGACCGGTGTTTCACTGAGGACCTGCATTAGAAACATTTTTTAAATTGTTGTACAGGAAGAGATGTGTCTAAAACAGCATCTTAAAGCTGAGTGTATTTCTTTGCACAAGGGGTCATGCTGATGAATTCTTCTTTCATTCTGATCTTTGTTCAGCCAACAGGAGCGTCCTTTTCTAATGTCTTCCATTCCTACCCCCCACCCAAAAACAAAAGAAATATTTGTAGCTTGCTATCTGTATTTGAATTTTTAGCAATTTTATATTTAGATACTTTGAAAAATGTAAATGACTAATTTGGTCATTAAATCTTGTGACATATTCGATATTAAAATGATATTAAAATAAAAGTCATATAAATACACACTTTTGCATATTGTGTTGAGTTTCTGAAGTCTGGAGTATGTGATGCCGAAAACCATGACTCTGCCATGAGCCTCCTGGGTGGTGGCATTTGCCAGCAGTTGACGAGGAAGCAACATCTCTGAAATGCACCGGGGCCTCTTTGGTGCTAAGCACGACAGGCTGGCCCTCTTCACTCAGGGGTGACACCAAAGTCATCACCTCCTTCAGCCACAAAATCAACACCCTTCTCTTACTGTGAAATGCAACACTCTCAGTTTACATAAACACATGTGTCCAGGTGAAGGAACAGTGGAAAGGGAACACAGCAGCCACCGCCCAGGCCCAGCACGGATCAAGACTCTGCATTCAGCTTTCCCTGAGCCCCTCTCCCCCACCCTATACCTAGATCTCTAAAGACAGGACCGTGAGCTGTAGGACACAGGCATCTCACAGTCTCCCCGGCACGGGCTGGGCAAAGGCAGGAGGAGCTCGGCACACCCGAGATAACGGAAGTGACTGATGGGCCCCACTTCTGCTTTCCACCAGGTCTCCTGACCTGGCCCTGGCGTGGCCCCTGCCCAAGACGATGTGAAAAGTCAGTGTTGATGATAATTCACGACTGGGCCTCTGAACTCGGTGGAGGACTTGCAAGGTGTGGGCTGCCTGGCAGGCCTGGGTAGTGGGTCCCGGGAGCCCTGGCCTTGCTGGCCCCTGGGAGCCACCCTCCTCTTCCAAGGGCCCGCTGTGCGCTGCCGTCTGTAAACATGCAGTAACGAAACCCGCACAGGCAGCCTCCGTCAGGTCCCGTCACCACCTCCATTGCAGGGGTCAGGAACCGGAAGGGCCACTTCACTGGCCCCAGACTCACCATGAATGACTGGCGGACACGGTAGCCCTGCTCTTAACCACTGGGCTCTGCCCTCCACAGGTGGCAGCCGTGTGGCTCCAAGCTGGTTCCTGCCTCTTGGGCCCTCGTTTTCCTAAGCTGAAAATGAAGGTGCTGGATTAGAGGACCCCACAGACCCTTCTGAAGCATGTCCTAAATGTCTCAGCATCGTGGGAGCCCAGCCTTGCTTCCAGTGGTTTCTGTTTGCCAAACTTTGCCAGAGCCTCTCTGCTTCTGAGGGAAGGTCCTAAGAGCTGAGAATGCTGTGAGCTGGTCTAGCCCAGCCCAGAGATACTTCCAGCCCAGAGTCTTCGGCCTCTGCCTGCATACCTCTGGCAGTGGAGCGCTCACTGCTGCTCAACTCAGAGCTTTCCCTTGTTGGCCAGTTTGGTCATTCTTACCAGGCCCTGCCTGCTTTGGGCCATACTCGCCCCCACCTCTGAGGCCCAGGCCCAGCCTGTAGCCCTGCATCCCCAGCCTCTGCACAGCGCATTCCTGGCCCTGGCCCTGAGCTGGCAGCTGCCTCCAGACACTTCCTATCCAGGCCCCCAGGACCAAAGTGCACCACGCCTCAGTTGTTCCTCAGCTGTGTGGGGACCACAGGGATGTCTCTCTGTCTTCTCTGCGTGGATTAAGAGGCTGGGAGGTGATCCCCACCCCAACATGTTCCTGAATACCTGCCAGCTGCTTCTTAGGGCCCCTCACTTCCCCAGATCAGGGACTGCAGAACATCGGGGGTAGAGGCGAGCGAAGATCAAACCCGGCCATCAAGACAGGCCAAGAGGTGGGGGTGAGTGGCCCTCCGGCCACACCACTGTGAACTGCATGCGGGTGGCCCACGTGCACTTGGAAGGTGCCAGGGAGGCAGGATAGGGCAGTGGGCAAAGGCCTGAGGTATGAGGCGTAGCCTGGGTGGGCTGGTGGGGGCTGGGGACACTCACATAGGACCCTTACCCACCTGCTGAAGGGGGCCCCTCCCAGCTTCTTCATGGACCTCTGCACACCCTCCGACTTGAACAAGCCCCTTCCCCTCCTGGAGCTCCAAGACGCCTGTGACAAGATGGGTTATTAAGCCAAGGCCAGGAGGATGGGGCACCAGCGCTGTCTCCCAGTGGCCTTGGGTGAGTTACTCTACTTCCCTGAGCCTCAGTTTCTTCTTCTGTTAAAGGGAGACAGTACCAGCTCCTTCAGAGGGACATGGTGAGGGCGGGGTGAAGTTCCTGGCCAGGCCCTGCCAGGCTGTGCTGCAGCTTCACAGAGCATAAGCTCACTCCCTCCACACGAAGCCAGCTGTGGGTCCCCACGACCTCTGGGGGCTTCCACAAAGACTGGGACCGGGGCAGGAGGGCCAGAGAATGGGGCAGCAATGGCAAAATGCTAAGGCTGGAAAGAGACACAGGCACCTCTCATTCCCACGCACATCCCATTGGCCAGAACCCACCGCATGGTGCCACCTACTCCAAGAGGACAGGCAGCATCACCGCCCGGGCATTGAAGGGCACAGATGTTTGGGAAACAGTTGTAATGTCTGCCACCAAGAGGTGACTCCATGCTCCCCAACATCACTGTTCACAGGCTCCCCGTCCCGAGGTGGCTCCTCATCTATGATTTATTATTTTCCCTTTACGATGCAGGCTAACGTGATTCTGTGCCTTAACCATCCTAAGCAAGAACAGCCATGAAGCCATGGGGTTGGTGTGCTGCATGTGTGTTCTGATGCACATGAAATAACTGTTGAAATGAAAACACCCATCTGCCTGCCCCTAAAATGCTGCTGCGTGTGGCCTCAGTGACACCCCCCACATGACAAACGAGCATGTTAGGACTTCTTTTTTTTTTTTTTTTTTTTTTTGTGAGACGGAGTCTCGCTCTGTCGCCCAGGCTAGAGTGCAGTGGCACAATCTCAGCTCACTGCAAGCTCTGCCTCCCAGATTCAAGTGATTCTCCTGCCTCAGCCTCCCGAGTAGCTGGGACTACAGGCGCCCACCACCACGCCCAGCTAATTTTTGTATTTTTAGTAGAGACGGGGTTTCACCATGTTGGCCAGGCTGGTCTCGATCTCTTGATCTCGTGATGCACCCGCCTTGGCCTCCCAAAGTGCTGGGATTACAGGCGTGAGCCACCGTGCGCGGCCGCTCGTTAGGACTTTCTATTCTTTCATCAGCACCCGCCTCCCACCTGCTATTGAGCAGCTCGTGTTAGTTATGAATTAACTGTTTTCTCCATTATTCTCATGCCCACCTAATTCCCATTTTACAGATGAGGAAACTGAGGCCAGGCCATTGGAAAGTGGTGGAGCTGGCCCAGGGTCCTGCTCTCTGGCCTCCCACCCCACCCAGCCGTCCCCCAGCCTCTCTGGGCCTCTGTCTTGGCCCTTGGGGCCCAAACACCCTGGATTCTGAAGGCTCCACAGAAGCCCCTTTCAGAGGCCCCTGCTATTTGGAAAGCAGCCAGGGAGAAGGAAAGAGTTAAACCCGTCGCGTTGTGTTCCCACCAAACACCTCTGCCTAAATGCAAAATCCCAACAGGGCGGTGTTCCCTGTACTCGATAACAGCCATAAGAGTGATTTGTGAAGTCTCGAAGCCCGGTAATCTCGTCAGCATAATGGGATTATATTTCAAATCACCACAGCCTGTTCATTACCCATTTAAACTCCTCTGACAGAGGAAAACTTGCATAAAACGTGCGTGGCAGCCCTGGCCGACTTCCCCACTCTCCTTCCTGATTAGACAAACAGATGCTGAGGTCTGGAATGAAAAAATAATGTGCCCATTTATTCATTTTTCTGACAAGTCACAATAGATTTTTAACTGCCAATGAGTGACCTCCCAGAGGTGTGGCGGCCAGGGGGTGCCCACCAGGCAGTGAGTGGTCATTTCCGCCCACGCCGGCCCCCCTGCCCTGGCTGGATTTCTCCTGGGGCTGGAGCCACCTGCCTGAGCCCCTCTGCTGCCCCAGCATCGGTGCCTGCAGCCGGGCTGGAAAGGGCTGCCCACTGGGCCTCTTGGCAGCCACCACCCAGGAGGTCTGGGGGCTCCAGAGGCCACCAGGACACAGCGATGCCCTAAAGCCACATAGCGTGGGGTAGGGATCCTGGCCCTCCCCTTGGCTAGCCTGACTGGTGTTGGCTAGCCTGACTGTCTTTAATCGCTCTGAGCCTCAGTTTCCCTATCTGTAAAGTGGAGATAGTAAGAGGCTCCTCTCATTGGGGATTCCTTGGGGCAGTCGCTCAATCAGCACCCCCTGCTGTGACCACCAAGTCCCACGGCCTCCCTGACCCCTGACCTCTGGCATTTGAGGGCTTTGCAGATGGGCTCGTCACCCTCTGGGTCATGGGCTCGCAGCTGGCAGGTAGAGGAGCCCAGAGTCTCACCCCAGAGCCTCTCACTGTCTGCTTTGTGCCACTCCCCACCTGCCCCCATCTTGGGAGCCGGATCCCCCCAGACTCCCAGGAGATGGGCAGTGGATGTTCAAACAGCACCGAGACTGATGACTGAGCTGAGGGTCTGGAGAAGGAATGAAAATCCATCCACCTCTGTGCTGTGTGACCGCAGACCCATGACTCAACCTCTCTGAGCCATTTTCTCATCTGCGCAACTGGGAGAGAATCCCACCTCCAGGGAGTTGCATGGGAAGTAAATGAGATAAAGCGCATGGGCCTGGCACGCACTAGGGAAACCCAGGCCCTCACCCCAAACATACTGGTCGCAGGACCTCGGGCCTTGGGGCAGCCCCAGCCCTCCAGGGAAGCTCTGGGGCCCACGTAAGGCCTATGCCCTCCCTCTAAGGGCCCCACTGCTGGCTCTCCCCTCCCTACCCCTTCCTGCCTCCACATAGTAGCCCCAGGCAGGAGGCACATCTTTATGCATTAACTCCATGAATGTAAGAAAAACTGAGGCTAATTCTTTCTAAAATGATAAAATTTGTCTGTATTACAGCATTCCAGCCCCCAGCTTCCTGAAAGCTAAAAATATTTTAATGTCATATTTCCATGTAAATTTTAGTTTAGAATTTAATACCCTTTTAACATACATTAAATTGTTAGCGTTCTTCAAGCCCTTGACTATTTTAAGGGCTTAGCTGATGTGCATTGCAGAAAAGGGCTGGGGGAGGCTGTAAATTATGAGGGAAAGTTCTAGAAGCAAGGTTACCCTAAACCACCACGCCCACCTCATCTTGAGAGTTACTCTTCAGGACAAACGCTGGAATCCTGGGGAGATGTCAAATGTCTTGGTTTTCCTGCTGGGAAACGTGGCTATGATTGGTGGCATCCCTGGGGGACCCGAGGATCTGCTGCAGAGCCCAGGCTGGGAGACGCCCAGATGGCTGAAGGGCCAGGGACAGGGGCGCTGCAGTTGCACGGGCTGGGCTCAGATCCTAGTGCTGCCACTTGCTGGCAGGTGACTTTGTCATGCTTATCCATGCCGGTCTCCTTGCCCAAAATGGGACCAAGGTTAGAGTTCATGCACAGGTGTTCTGGGTGAATTCACAGGAAAAGAGGTTATCGGCTCCACAGAGGAGGTAACTTCCAGGGTGAATTGGCTGGCCTTGCTGAGAGCCGCTGGTGACATGTGAGTGCAGTGGTGACATGTGAGTGCTAGGGCTGGCAGAGAGGCAGGGAGGGGTCCTGGCAGGACTGGGAGCAGAGGGGGCCCCGGGCCACAGGAGCCATGGGCAGGCCCAGGTCCTGCTCCCACAGCAACCCGCCAGCAGCTGACTCAGGGACCAGGGCCCCCCAGCCTCGGCATCGCCTGAGAGACCTGACACCACTCTGGCGGGGCAGGTTCCTTGAGAGGAGGAAGTAAAGTTCCCCACTGGGCTGCTGGAATGGAGCCTGCGCATAAACGTTGAGTTACAGGAGCTAAGCCAGTGCTGTTACCTGTCTAAGTGGGTTCGAGGACAAGGTTTGTCATGCCCCTTACAAAACTGACATACGTATGATGGCTAGAATGTCACCCCATCTGTGCATCTGGGTGAGAGAAGCCTCCGCTAGCTGAACCACATTTTGTGTTTGTTTTTGGGTTTTTTTGGAGACAGGGTCTCACTCTGTCACCCAGGCTGGAATGCAGTAGTGCGATCATGGCTCACTACAGCCTCGACCTCCCAGGCTCAAGTGATCTTCCAACTTCAGCCCCCCAAGTAGCTAGGACTACTGGTGCATGCCAGCACATCTGGCTAATTTTGTTATTTTATTTTATTTTTGTAGAGACGAGGGTCTTGCCATGTTGCCCAGGCTGGTCTCAAACTCCTGGGCTCAAGTGATCCTCCTGTCTCAGCCTCCCGAAGTGCTGGTGAACCATCATTTTTGTTTTGTTTTGACTGATCTGCACCCCACCCCAGCTCCTAGGAGCTATCAATCACCTGATGATGCAGGGACCCCCACGGGGTGTGTGTAAGTCCCCAGGCTTGGCCCGTGAGGTGCAGCCTCCTGTTCCTTCTGTCTGTCCAGCCCCTCCTCCTGGGACTAGGCCAAGGACAGCCAGGGGAAGGCCCTGAAATGGCAGGGATGGGTGCTCACAGTTACCTTTGGGGGAGGTGAGGCTGGGGGATTCATGTCCCCCTAGACTCAGGAGGCTGAGGCCTGAGGCACACACCCCACCAGCCTGGGCTGAGCTGCACCGTGAGTCCCCAGGCCAGGGTCTTTGGGTGAATCTCTCAATCTTTCTGAGGACCTGTCCGTGAAATGGGGACAGAAATAACCTCCCTCACAGGGCTGCTGGGAAGATGCACTGAGATCCTACACAGGGAGGGCCCGGCCCAGTGGCAGCCAGTGGTCTGCAGTTGTTAACCAGAACAGGGAATGTACAATGTGGAGACAAAGAATCTGGTGAGACGCACGGCTCTGCCTTCTCATCACTTTCAGGGCAGGGTTGGATGCATTGATCAACAGAGATGAGCCACAGTTTGGGCTCCAACCAGTGTCTGTGACTGCAGCAGCCTTGTTAATTGAGATTTATAAAGAGCGTCTGCATCCCGGCAGGGGAAGGCACTGGTGGAGTGAGCTGCATCCGTGCAGGATGCTGGGGGAACGCGGGGACCAGGCGGGAACCCTTCCGAAGCCTGCCCAGAGGAAGCCCGAGGATTCCCTCCTAATTCGGGCTCAGTGGGGCAGGCGGCCACTAAGAAGATGAGAGCAGTTTCCTGGTGGGAGGTGGGTTCCCACCCAGGACGAACGTAAGCATTCAGTGCTCATTCAACACGTGTCCACTGACGCCAGCCCTGCACCAGGCCTCAAGAGGGCCCTGAAGGTAGAGAAAGGACCCGAGTCAGAGCCTTCCTTGGGGAACTCACAGTCCAGGGCTTTGACCCATCCTCTAGTGCCCGGGTGACCAGATGTCTGCAGCAGGCAGCTGGGGAGTGGAGGTGGACACGTTCTCCCCGTGTCCTGTCTGTAGCCCGGGCCTGAGAACATGCCTGGGGAAAAGCTGCCCCGGCCCTGATGCATCCCATTGGAGGGTGACAGTGGAGGACACCTGGGGAGGACAGATTCTGAGGCAAGGAACCCCAAGAGGAATTCGCCAAGGGGAGGAGTTGGGGCACAAGTGCAACCCGTTCTCAGTGAGAGGTGTGATGGGGTGAGTCCGGGCTCGGGTGCCCTGGCCACAGGGGCCGAGAGGTCAACCTGCATGAAGACCCCAGCCAAAGGGTCCCCATCATGGGAACCGTGTGAGTCCCCCACTCACCACAGAAAGAGGGGTTCTCGGCACTCCTCTCGCATTGCTGGTTTCTCCCCTTGGGAAAGGAGGTCTCTGGGTTTGCGGGGAGGGACTTTTGTGTGTCCCTGCCCAGAGGCTGTGAGGGGCCCTTCGTGACTTGACACAGATTCCTGGGCTATCACAGAGCCAGCTCCTGGCGGACAGCCACAGCGCCGCACCTCCCAGACATGGAGGCCAGCTCGCCACCCATGTGCCCACCTTCCATGGTCAGGGACCTCAGCAGCCACCCTAGAGTGAAGGAAAGGGGCAGGGGACAGCCGGAGTGGGCGGGCCTCTTCAGCTGTTCCTAGGTGCCAATCACAGTGCAAATACTTTTTAAAATTATTTTTTCAAAATCCCCCAAAAGCAGGGGTTCTTAGCATCATTTCACTACGGCAAGACCTAAAGGGAGAAGGAAGGAAAGGGCATTCATGGACCTGGACCTGGCTTGGGCTCCAATCCCGAACACTTCCTCCCAGTGTGTCCTCGTGTGGGTGTGTCTGTGTGTGTCTCTGTGAGCATGTGTGTGCAAGTGTGTGCATGTAACCATGTGTGAGTGTATGTGTTGTGAGTTTCTGCATGTGTGTACATGCACGTGAGTTTAAGTGTATGCACCTGGCGTGTGTGTGTGTGTGTGTGTGTGTGTGACTTTAATCCAAGAGCGGCCGGCCCCGCACACCTGCGCTCCACATGGCCTGGCAGAGGCGTCTGTTCTCGGAGGAGGCCGTGTGGGTCCCTCAGCAGCCCCTCCCCCGCAGCCCAGCAGCTGGCCACCATCTCAGCACACATTTCCCTGTCACATCTGATTTGCAAAGTCGTATCTGTGACGGACCCACAGGAGCGTCCAGTTGAGGCTTTTTCAGGTCAAGGAGTATTTTCCCAAGCCCCACTCTTCAGAGGGGAAGGCAAATGTGAGCAGCCCTGTCTCCTCTCCCAGGCCCATGCTGCCAGCAGCGGAATCTTCCCCTGGGCCACCGTGGGTGAGGGCCTGAAGGGCCACCTCCAGGTCTGTCATCATCCCATTTTACAGATGAGGACATCGAGGCCTGCAGCAGTCATGTTGTTTTCCCAAGGTGCACAGCTGCCAAGGCGGGGCCAATATTGGAAGTGGATTCTCTGGCCCCTCCCCAAGCCCTTGGTTGTCACCATCACTATCTGCAGCCTCCCCACAGGTGCCTGGGCTGGGCTGTTCCCTCTGGCCTGACTCCAGGACCTCTTCCTCCAGGAAGCCTGCCTGGGCTGTCTTGGCTGGTTTCCAGAGCATCTGGGGAAGAGACTGCCAAGCTGGGTGGCTTTGATCCCATGAAGTCAACATCTTAGTCAAGACACTTTGATGCAGGAGTGGAAACCCATGATGGGGGATGCCACCAGAGGGAATCCCCTATGAGCCCAGCCCTCAGCACAGGATCCAGCCAGCCAGGCCCAAGGGCCAAGCCACACACCCTTTCACTGAGGGCTGGGTTGGTGTCACCTCTCCTTCTTGGTCTCCTTGTCACACCGGTGGTGAGGACGCCCATGGCCTCCAGACCAAAGACTACTAGGCCTCCCAGGGCCACCCCCACCCAGCTGCCGCGGCCCCACCTCTGAGCACTGACTCCCAGAGGCGGGAGGGGCTGCAGGGAGGACAAGCAGCCTTCCTGCCCTGGGGCTCCCTCTTGTGGTGGGGCCCAGGGAAGGGGCCTCACAGGCCATCGCTCCCAGATGACAGGGACCAAGCCAGCTCTGCTCATCAGTCTCTGGCATGTAGCACACACTCAACAAATATCCAATGACTAGAACGTATGTTAAAAAGTGTCCAAAAGGTTCCATGGCCACAGAGGTCTGGGAACTCCACGCTGAACATGGCAGTTTTTGCTCCTGCGGGGTCCCTCAGAGCCTTCAACGGGCCACTGTGCACTGTGTTCCAAGAAGGGGGTGACACGCAACTTCCCCAGGCACACTTGTGACCGAAGTGCATGCACGCATGTCTAGAGCTGGGGTAGCTCGGGACTCGGTATGGGCGATGCTGTTTCGGGAGCCGTGGCAGTGGCCGGCTGACAGCGCGGTCTCCAGTCAGACAAACTGGCGCCACCGCCTGTTAACTGTGTGACCCTGGGCAAGTCCCTTCACCTCGCTGAGGCTGAGTCACCCTTTACACTTCCATGGGATCCTCAGGGCCACTCTTGCCTCCATCCGGGTGCCACCATCACTCTCCTGGACCACATAGCAGTGGCCTCCTCCCGGGCCTCCCTAGCTCCAGTCTGTCTCCTGCCCCGGGATAGGAGCTCTGGTGGGGGAGGACTCGAATCTGACTTGTTCCCCTCTCACTGTATCCCCAGCGCCCAGAGCAGGCCTGGCACAAAATAAGGTTTGTTGAATGAATGCATGCATGCATGAATGAATGAATGGGTGGGCGGGTGTTCCCATGGGACACTCTCAGGCCACTTGGCCACCCCCTTGCTACCCCTCTCCCACACCTCAATCTGGCTTGAACCTGAAGGAGCCCCAAGTCCCACTCAGCAAATTAACTCAGTTTGAATAATTCTATTGTGGTGGGAGGTGCCAGACCATGAAAGCTGAATGGGGATACTCTTTCTCACACACACAGAGAAGCTCTGGCTTCCACCCCTAGAATGCTTTCCAGACTCCAAGCCTCAGCCCCCGCCTGCAGCTCCCGCCCGCACGCCCCGCACGCATGGCTCCCGCCCGCACGCCCCACGCAGGCCTAGAACATGTATCCCGTGCGCAGATGAGGAGAGCAAGGCTCAGGGTGCCCAGTGAGTCCGCCAGGGCACACAGCTAAGGCACGGGACACCAAGAGCGCCGTTCTAGAGCTGTACAGGTCGGTGTTGAACTCCCAGCTCTGCCTCCTCCCCTATCTGTGTGACACCAGGCCAGTCACTTCACCCTCTGAGCCTCAGTTTCCTCATCTGTCAAATGCGCTAGTAATCCCTCCTCTACAGGGTTGTGAGAAATAAATGAGGTAGTCGATAGGAGAGAGATTTCTGAGGAGAGCCGGTTTTGTGGCTGTGCACGTGCGGAGGGGGACAGGGAAACCTAGGAAAAAGCCACCCAGAAGATGACGCCCTCAGCTGAGGATGAGGCATTAGGACCCAGCACAGTGGCCGGCATGTGCAAGTGTGCAGGTGCTCAATGAGCTTTTCTTTTCGCTTTTTTTTTTTTTTTTTTTGAGACAGGGTCTCCCTGTCTTGCCCAGGCTGGAGTGCAATGGCGTGATCTTGGCTCACTGCAACCTCCATCTCCCAGGTTCAAGCAATTCTTGTGCCTCATACTCCCGAATAGCTGGGATTACAGGCACATGCCACCACACCCAGCCTTAAAAAACATTTGTGGGACAAATGACTGCCTTCTGCTGGTGCAACTGAGAAGCCCAGAACACAGACAGAGCCACAGAGGACAGGACTGGACCAAGGGTGCCCTTGGGCAGACAATAGGAAGGCAGGGGATGCAGCTGGAGCCGTGAGCACGAGGCCAGGCGTGGCCTAGACCCATTCTCCAGCTTCAGGAGCTCTGCCTGGGCACACGAGCCTGGGTACATGTCGGCCACCACGAACCCCGTCAGTCAAGGTGGCTGCACTTCGGTCAGAACGAGCATCTGGGTACCTGTTAGCCACCAGGAACGCCCCTCAGTTAAGACGGCTGCACTTCAGTCAGAACGGGCACCGCTTCTGCCAAGATGGCTGCCTCCAGTCAAGATGGCTGCCAAGTTGGCCCCATAGAACAGGGCCCACTGGGCAGTGAAAGCCCTGCTGCAACTGGCTTCAAAACAGAACAAACGAACTGTTAAATGGTGTCAAGACTGTAAATGGGAGGACTCAAAACCCAAGGCAGCCCAAATTCTCCAAAGAATAAGAGAAAACCAGTCAGCCCAGCCCTGTGCCTCTGAGAATGCTGGGTAATTTCATTTTCCTCTGTCTTTTTGTTTTCCTTCAGCAGAACCACCAAGAAGCAGCCACAAAAATCAGTTAAGACTTCCAGAGTGCTTCCTTCTCCAGAAATCTTTTATAAAAGGTGAAAGATTTACAAGACCTGAAGAGCAAACCAAGCAGGATAATTGTTTTTGGAATGACCCCAATATTTTCACCCCGGCGACCCCGGCTGGGCGTCTTGCCCCATATTTATGATTCCTGGTCCTCTGTGCGCCGCTGGGCGACCTTTCTGAGCCCCCTCTGCAAGCCCCCAGTCCCTTATCGGGCCTGTAACTCACCCTGACGTTATCTCTCGGGAGGGTTTTATGCACTTTAATTTAACTCCCTCATCATTATTTCCCGGACTTCAAGGTTTTCTCTTTGGAGCTGCCCTTCCTGGGACAAGCATAATCTGTTTGCCATCAGGCCCAATAAATATGTTTGTGCGGGAGATGGGAACCGTTTGGGGAGAGCAGCTCAGGCCTGGGAAGCAGCCTCAGGCTCTCACCCCCTTCTCGGCTTCCAGGCTGGTCTCTGTCCTTGAACCTCTGTCGGATGGGAGTCACAGCCTTAGATGCCAGGCCACGTGGCCAGATCTAGCAAATGCAAATCCAGGACGCCCAGTTAAATTTGAATTTCAGATAAACAATGGATTGTTTTAGTATAATAAGTATGTCCCATGCAGTGTATGCGAAAAAATTATTCATTGTTTATCTGAAATTCAAATTTAATTGGGTGTCTCGTATTTTCAGTGGTATCAGCTCCTAGGGGGCTGCTGCACTCACGACTCCAAATGCACGTTCATATATTGGGGGTGTATTTGTTCCCGAGGGCTGCTGTAACAAAGTTCTACAGATTTGGTGGGGGCGGGGGGGGGGCGGGTAAACAAAATAAACTGATGTTCTCACAATTCTGGAGGCTAGAAGTCCGAGGTGGAGGTGCCAGCAGGGGCGGCTTCTCCCGAGGCCTCTCTGCCTGGCATGCGGATGGCCGGCTTTTCCCTCTGTCCTCATGTCTCCCCTCTGGGTATCTGCGTCCTAATTTCTTCCTCCTATAAGGACACCAGTCAGATTGGATTAGGGCCCACCCTAATGATGTCACTTTCATTTAATTACCCCTTTAAAGGCCCTGTCTTTGCCGGGCATGGTGGCTCACCCCTGTAATCCCAGAAATTTGGGAGGTCAAGGTGGGAGGATCGCTTGAGCCCATGAGTTCAAGACCAGCCTGGGCAATATAGGGAGACCCCGTCTCTACGAAAAATTAAAAAAAAAAATTAGCTGGATGTAATGGCACATGCCTGTAGCCCCAGCCACCTGGGAGGCTGAGGTGGGAGGATCACCTGAGCCCAGGGAAGTTGAGGCTGCA
Source organism: Homo sapiens (assembly GCF_000001405.40). NCBI lineage: Eukaryota > Metazoa > Chordata > Mammalia > Primates > Hominidae > Homo > Homo sapiens. Next base: position 125,424,559 of record NC_000009.12, on the reverse strand, counting down.
TGAGCCGTGATGGCGCCACTGCACTCCAGCCCAGGCGACAGAGCGAGATCCTGTCTCAAAAAATATAATTAAATAAATGAATAAGGGCCCAGTCTCTCATTACAGTCACATGCTAAGGCAGTGGGGGTTAGGACTTCAACAGATGAATTTGTGGGGGAGATAGAATCCCGCCCATCACAGGGGGTATGTAACCATCACCCACCAGAAGGGGTCTGGGCAACCTGTGAGGACAAGGGCTTTGCCTGTCTGGCCACCACTGGGTCACCAGTGCCGGCCCCAGGGCTTGGCTCAGAGCAGGCACACAATGAATCATCTGCAGTAGGGCCCCCTGTCAGATGCCACCCATGCTGTCCCCTGACCTTCCCACGGTGTGTAGCAATCCCGAGGGGGCCCTTGACCGCTCTGTGAGGCGGGTATGCGGAGGAGGAATGGAGCACAGAGAGGCACAGGAGCAACCCTGGGTCACACAGCAAATCAGGGCCGACCCTTACAAGCAGGTCTCAGGCTCCAGAACCAGGACGGATTCCCCTCTATCCACCCCTGCCAACCACCCCTAACCATTTGTTCCTTAACTCTCTTAGGGTCCCCATAAGCCCACGGCACTCATTCAGCCACAGTGGACGCCAGGCAGCATAGCAGGGGCCCAACTGCAGGTCAAGAGGGGACGATTTGGGGTCACAACCTCGGACAGGCTGTGGAAGGAGTTTCCTGCGGGAAGGGGCCTGGGTCCACCTCCCCCAACAGGGCCCTGTCACTCCGAGGGTTTTCTGGATGAGGCGGTCACAGTTGGAGGCTCCAGAGGGAGACAGGTGTGAACTGAAGTCCCTGCCCAGTGACTTCATGGCCGTGTGATCTCAGCACTTCCCGTGGGCACTCCTGGCCTCAGTTTTCTCTCCTGCAAGGAGCTGAGGCAGGAGGATGAGATTTGATCAAAGTAACCACGATATTTGCCCCTCTGTGTTTCCTAACAAGTCCCAACCCTGCCCCATGTGCAGGGAGCTTGCATTTCTCAAACAAGGGCGCTACTGGAACTTGGGATGGGACAATTCTCCATGTCGGGTGACTATTCCGTGCCTTGAGGGATGTTTGGCCTTCCTAGCCTGTGCCCGTGGTTATAAAACCGATCTGCTCCCCAACCCTGTCAACCCCTCCCCAGGCGACAACCAAAAATGTCCCACCCATTACCAAATGACCCTGGTTGAGGCCAGCAGCCCCCACTGCTCTGGGGAGAGGATGCCTTAGCAGGAGCTCAGGCAGGTCCTAGAGCAGATTCCAGAGACCAAGGGTACGGAGCAAGGAGATCCTGTGGGTCTTTAACAAGGGGGCTCTGCCTCTAGACCGGGACAGGGCGAAAAGGACAACAGCACCCTAGACAGGCTTGTGGGAGCCCCCAGCTGTGTGGCTCATGAGCAGAGGACCTCAAGGCTCTCTCTTCTCCATGCCGTGGTGCCCCGCAGCCTGGTGATTCCCGTGTGCCCAAGAGTGACACTGAAGCCTGAGAGGCTGCCAGGCATGATGGAGCCTCAGAGTCGGGAGCAAAGGTCGATGGGGCCCCAGCCTGAAGACACCTGGACGAGGTGCCCATGGGCCAGCTGTGTCAATCGTGAGTTTTGCTTTCTGTATTTTATGATGCTTTGACATTTTAGAGGCCTTGTTAATCTTGAAGGAACTGCCCCTTCCGGGGCTAGCTAACTCCTAGAGACAGCAAAGAGCATGACTTTCACATGCAAACCCACCACCCCGAAGCGTACATCCCCAGCCTCCTTTATCCAATTCTCACAGCCAAGCCCATACTTCCCCTGCCCAAAGTCACTCTAGGTACTCTCATCTCAGTGCCTGGGGGCCAGGGGCAGGTACCAGACAACCAGACACTACTTCTACAGCCCGGAGCCTGCCAAATTATTCAAACTAGCCGAGAATCTATCCAATCCTACACGAGCTCGAACTCGCCCACTCTGCCTTGTCCATTTTTTCTTCCCTTGGAAACCATGATGAAGGCTCTGGGCCATGTTCCCTCCAAGCTCCAGCTGCCTCCTCCCTGACCCTGGAGCTTCTCCATGGGGCCCTGCAGGGCGTGCTGTACCCTCTTCTCCAGGAAACTGTGAGTAGTAATCACTCTTTCTTTTTTTATTTTTATTTTATTATTATTATTTTAATATAGAAACGGGGGGGGGTCTCTCTATTTTACTCAGGCTGGTCTCGAACTCCTGAACCCAAGTGATCCCCCACCTCAGCCTCCAAAAGTGCTGGGACTACCGGCATGAGCCACCATGCCCGGCCAGTAAACACACTTTCAATGGCATTGGCCTCTTCATGTCTGCCACCTTACCATACCTGATTAAAACACATCCCAGTACACTTTACAACAAACACCCTCTTCTCCCAGGGTGTACAGGTACCACATTCACATCTGGGCAAAGGGGCACCAGAAATTGACTGACATCCACCACCACTCCCAGCCAAATAAACCTGGCAAGAGGCATCATGTTCCATTATCATGCGGAGCAGCAGCCCTGCACACCAGCGAGGAGTGTGATGAGTAGCGCCCCGTGTGAGGCTGATGACAGAGACGGACAGAGAGCCAGGACCCAGAGCCCAGGGATCCCTCCCACCTGCACGGGATGACTTCTGGCCCAGCATGGCTCAGGGCACCCCAGCCACAGCGTGACTTTGCCCCACCTGGGCCAAGTGAGCTCAAGGGCCTCCCAGTGCTGGGGGAACCCTCATCCTCATATGCTCCCCACCCCCTCGCCTCCCTTCCTGGGCCAGTGCGATTGGATCTGGCAGAGGTGGGTGGACACACCCAGAGTTGCCTGTGGTCTGAGGCCAGCTCTGCCGTTCATCAATCCATCAGCCGTGTGCCTGGGTCGAGTCATCCCCTGGGCTCTCTGCTTCCTCCTGTGTAAAATAGGGACAAGTGCCTTCTTTCCTAAGGAGATTAATCACATAAATAAGTAATCGATGATGATTGGACTCCTCAAAACACAATTGCGGCCAAAGAGGGAGAAGCACCCCCACTTCCTACTCACTCTACCACAGAAATGCACGGATTTCAGACCATCAGGCAGCCGCATTGTGTTTGGGACATTTCTTCTGCAGAATCTCTTGAAATGATCATTATTGGATTTCTAATGCCACATAAAATATGCCCAGGATGATGTCACCTGCACTAGAAGGACTCTGCGTCCTCATTGGCTCCAGGACCAGGGGGTGCAGCCAATCAGAGCTCATCTTGGCTGAACACGGACGGGGTGATTTGTTTCCATGTTTTCTTTCTTTTTAACAAAAATTTAATTGGCAAGTAAAAATTGTATATATTGGCCAGGCACGATGGCTCATGCCTGTAATCCCAGCACTTTGGGAAGTCAAAGTAGGTGGATCACCTGAGGTCAAGAGTTCAAGACCAGCCTGACCAATATGGTGAAGCCCCATCTCTACTAAAAATACAAAAATTAGCTGGGCGTGTTGGTGCATGCCTGTAATCCCAGCTACTAGGGAGGCTGAGGCAGGAGAATCGCTTGAACCCGGGAGGGAAGGTTGCAGTGAGCCAAGATCGCACCACTGCATTCCAGCCTGGGCGACAGAGTGAGACTCCATCTCAAAAAAAAAAAAAATAAAAAATAATAAATAACAAAATAAAATTGTATATATTTATGGTGTGCAGCATGATGTTTTGATATATGTGCACATTGCAGAATGGCTAAATTGAGCTATTTAACATGCATTACCTCACAGACTTTCCATTTTTTTGTGGTGAGAACATTTAAAATCTACTCTCTTAGCAACTTTCAGGTATACACTCTGTTGTTATTAACTGTAACCACCATGTTGTACAAGAGATCTATTGAAGTATTCCTCCTGACATTTTGTGTCCTTTGATCACTATCTCCCCAGCCATGCCACCCCTACCCTCTGCCCCTGGCTACCACCATTCTGCTCTGTGCTTCCTTGAGTTCAACTTGTTTACACTCCATGTGTAAATGAGATCGTGCATTATTTGTCTTTCTGTGCCTGGTTTATTTCACTTAATGTCCTCCAGGTTAATCCAAGTTGCTGCAAATGACAGAATTGCCTTGTTAAGGCTGAATAGTATTCCATGGTGTCTGTACACCACATTTTCTTCATTCATTCGTCTGTCAATGGACAGTTACGTTGTTTCCATATCTTGGCTATTGTGGATAGTGCTGCAATGGACATGGCAGTGCAGACATCTCTTTGATGCTCCCACCTCAGCCTCCCAAGTAGCTGGGACCACAGGTGCGCACCACCATGTCAGGCTAATTTTTTTTTTATTTTTGTTTAGAGATGAGACCTTGCTATGTTGCCCAGGCTGGTCTTGAACTACTGGGCCCAAGTGATCCTCCTGCCTCGGCCTCCCAAAGCGTTGAGATTATAGGTGTGAGCCATCACTCCTGGCCTCTTCACTCTATTGATGGTTTCCTTTGCTGGGCGGAAGCTCTTTAGTTTGATGTAGTGTCATTTGCCTATTTTTTGCTTCTGTTGCCTGTGTTTTTCGGGTCATTTCTAAAAATCTTTGCCTAGACCATGATTATGTGTTTTCTAAGAGCATTGCTCTCACCTGCTCAAAGCTTTGTCCTGACTGCCCCACCCGCTCCTGGTAAAGCTCCACCTCCTCAAAGCAGCCCACAGCCCTTGCAGGTTCTTCCTTGCCACTCTGTCCAGCCTGTCTCACCCATTCCTGTTCCCTACACACACTACCCTGACAGTCCCACCTCCGAGCCTTTGCCTGGCCATGCTCTTGACTGTGACTTTTTCTTCTCTTTTCTTTCTCTGGGACTGACCCTCCCTGGCCACACCACACTCAACAGCCCCATCAAAGCCCAGCACCTTCCTGTCCTGCTGTTCCCCGCCAGGCTCTGAGCTCAGTTAGGGAAGGGACTAGGTCCGTCCAGTTCAGCCCCTTGCCCAGTGCTTGAAATACTGCCCCAAACAGGACCCTTTTTTTTTTTTTAAGAGAAGGAGTCTCGCTCTATTGCCCAGGCTGGAGTGCAGTGGCGCAATCTCAGCTCACTGCAGTCTCCGCCTACCGGGTTCCAGCGATTCTCCTGCCTCAGCCTCTAGGGTAGCTGGGATTACAGGCGCACGCCACCACGTCCAGCTAATTTTTGTATTTTTAGTAGAGACGGGTTTCATCATGTTGGCCAGGCTGGTCTCAAACTCCTGACCTCAGGTAATCTGCCTGCCTCGGCCTCCCAAAGTGCTGGGATTACAGGCGTGAGCCACTGCGTGCCAGCCAAGAGGGCCCATTTTTAAAAAATGTGTAGCATTTGTCGAATCAGAGTGATAAACACAGAATCACTCGCCATGATGAGTGCCAGTGATAAAATAAGCATATTGTACCCATGACAAAAGGCTCCAGGGGGACCTCCCTCACTTCTTGCTCCAAAAGAAGCCAGACTCAGGGGAGCACAAACTGTTCCACGAGGTGCAAGAACAGCCAGCGCTGCTCCACGGCACTCGCCTCAGAGCGGCCGGCCCATCTGCGGAGGGGCCACTCGTGAAAAGACACTGAGCTGCTCACTCGGAATCTGTGCAGCTTACACAAGGAAAGTTACATCTCAAAAAGTCAAAAGTTAGGAAAAATAAAGTAATTATTAAATGTGTCTCAGTGGCTGGATGCGGTGGCTCATGCCTGTAATCCCAGCTCTTTGGGAGGCTGAGGTGGGAGGATCCCTTGAGCCCAGTAGTTCAAGACCAGCCTGGGCAACATAGTAAGACCCTATCTCTACAAAAAAAAATTTTTTTTTTAATTAGCCGGGCCTGATGGTGCACGCCTGTAGTCCCAGCTACTCAGGAGGCTGAAGTGAGAGGATTGCTTGAGCCTGGGAGGTTGAGGTAGCAGTGAGCTGAGATCACACCACTGCACTCCAGCCTGGGCAACAGAGAGAGGCCCTGTCTCAGATTAATTTAATTTAACAAAAATTTTTTTAAAGAAGTATGTCTGAGTCACACAAACCCATACATGGTATTAAATTGCATAAACAAACTCACACAGAAATGAAAGTGTATAAAACCTGGTAAAATCGGAATTAGTCTGTCTGCTTAACAGTATTGTACTAATGTCCACTTCCTGGTTTTGATATTGTATTATAGTCACACAAGATACTGCATGAAGCTGGGTAAAGGGTATCCAGGAATCTCCAAACTATTTTTGCAAATTCTTGTAAGTCTATAATTACTTTAAAATAAAAAGGGTTTTTTAAAGTTAAAAACTAGAAATGTGTTGAAGGAATCAGAACAAAATCATTATTTACATAGCATTTATTAAACTCCAGTTAAGACTACAAAACACTCTACTGGCCCAGATTGAACTAGGAAAGTTATATAAACATGATTTGTAAACTCAAGAAATTCTGTGTGGGAAAGTCATTAATACCTAACAAATTGAACTAATACTAGTATAAAGAGGCACACTGAAAATAGGATAAAAACTCATAAACATTGGATGAAGTAATAATCCAGTGTTCTTGTTTTGTTTTGTTTTGTTTTTGAGATGGAGTTTTGCTCTTGTTGCCCAGGCTGGAGGGCAACAGCACAATCTCGGCTCATCGCAACCTCTACTTCCCGGGTTCAAGCGATTCTCCTGCCTCAGCCTCCCAAGTAGCTGGGATTCCAGGCATGCGCCACCACGCCTGGCTAATTTTGTATTTTTAGTAGAGGGGGTTTCTCCATGTTGGTCAGGCTGGTCTCGAACTCCCGACCTCAGGTGATCCGCCCGCCTCAGCCTCCCAAAGTGCTGGGATTACAGGCGTGAGCCACTGTGCCCGGCACACTCCAGTCTTTTAATGCTAATTTTCTCTCCTGACTCCAAGGCTGAGGGATTTTCATTAGCATTATCCAATCATGTGCCTCTGATAGGAAGACTTGTTGACCTGTTTTTTTATTTTTATTTTTAGACTCTACCAGCTTCCAATATTTCTTTTCTTTTCTTTTCTTTTCTTTTTTTTTTAACAGAGGCAGGGTCTCACTCTGTTGCCCAGGCTGGAGTGCAGTGGTGCAATCGTAGCTCACTGCAGCCTCAAACTTCTGGGCTCAAATGATCCTCCCCCTTCAGCCTCCTGAGTAGCTGGAACCATAGGAGCACACCACCACACCTGGCTAATATTCTATTTTTTTGTAAAGATGAAGTCTCCCTATGTTGCCCAGGCTGGGCTCAAACTCCTGGGCTCAAATGATCCTCCTGCCTCAGCCTCCCAAAGTGCAGGGATTATAGGCATGAGCCACCATGCCCAGCCTCAATATTTCTAAATATTATTAATTAATAACTTGGTTTCTGTACTTGATAATCCAAATTAAATAAAATCAAATGGAAAAAGGGATATGCTGGATGGGAGTGGTGGCTCACGCCTGTAATCTCAGCACTTTGGGAGGCCAAGGTGGGTTGATCACCTGAGGTCAGGAGTTCAACACCAGCCTGGCCAACATGGCAAAACCCATCTCTACCAAAAATACAAAAACTAGCCAAGTGTGGTGGTGCGCGCCTGTAATTCCAGCTACTTGGGAGGCTGAAGCGGGAGAAGTGCTTGAACCCAAGAGATGGAGGTTGCAGTGAGCCAAGATTGTGCCACTGCACTCCAGCCTGGATGACAGGGCGAGACTCCATCTCAAAAAAAAAAAAATATGCCAGAGAAAATGACACAGGAGCAAGAAGTCTTAATCAGGTGATGCAGGGAAACAAAGGCAACGACCCCGAGAGGCTGTGACCCATCGGTCTCTCCATTTGTCCATCTCTCCGTCTGAGCACCCTGCATTCCAAATGTGGCACAGAGAAGGCGTACAATAAATATGTGTTGAGTGAATGAATGAGTGAATGAATGAATTGAGTGAATGAATGAGTGAATGTCAGTTGGCCTTACTGGCTGAGGGGCCTCCCTGAGTTGGGTCCCAGCCCACAGAGGCCCTGGCTGTGCACCCTGGAGCTAGGGACAGCCACTGCCAGGCCCTTCCCAGATACCCTGGCACGAAGAACCCACCTTTCTGGGTACCTGGCAGTGCCGCCTGAAGCAAGGGCCGAACCCTGGGAGTGGAGGAAGAAGGGGCTTGGCTCAGGGGGCCTGGCCTGGGCAGCCCAGCCGTTCGGGAAGGCTGCAGCCTTGGAAAGACACAGTGCTTCCGTGAGGGTCTCCTGATACAATAAAAGATTATCAGCTAAATAAAACAAGAAGTGACTGGGGCCACTATGCCCTGTTGGATTGAAATCGTGTGAGCAAAGTGGTTTTCTCTGAGAGATTTATTTTCTGCACTGGCTTCAGGCAGCCAGCCCAGCCAGAGAGCACGGGCAAGAACGGGGCTGGTCTCCCTCCACTGGCAGGGAGGGGATGGGGCTTTATTTAATCTTCCAATGAGCTGGAACAAGAAAGATGGCGTGAATGGACATTAATTCTGAAACAAATTATTAAAGAGAGATCTGGGATTCCGGGAAAGCCATCTACCCCCTGCCTGTCTGCCACCCCCCCTCACCAAGGCCATAAACTCCCTCCTCTCCACTGAAAACCCAACACCAGGCCCACTGGGTCTCCCATTCGGGCTGAGGAGAAAGGCCTAGAACCGACCCAAGCCCGGGGCCAATAGGGCAGCGGGTCTAGCTGGGCTGCCCATGTCCTCAGTCTGGGCCATCTGCCTCTCTGGGCCTTGGCCCCTGACGACACCCCTGCGTCTCGCGTTAGTTGTCATCTGCACGTGTGCTTGCAGATGTCCTAGGCAGATGGCTGCCACCTCTCCCACGTGGGTCCAACCTCTATCCCCCGCCACCACGGGTACCTTAGCCCACCCCAGGCCTCCCAGGCCTCCTTCCTTACACTGCACCCAGCACAGGCTAAGACCCCCTCAGCTGTGCTTATCCCATGCCCTACTGCGAGGCCCTAGACAGAGAGCGGCCAGACCCACTGCCCCGGAGGCCAGCCTGGGAGGGGTAACTGCTGTGAAGAGGGTGCATGGGCGCAGGCTGGCACACGCAGAGGAATCAAGTCGGCTGGGTGCTGGGGTGGCCCTGACTCGGACGTTGAAGGAGGGGGAGGAGCACACCACTGGCCCAGAACATTCCAAGTGGAGGGAACAGCATTTGCAAAGGTCTGGAGTAGCGCGTTTACTGGGGTATCCAGAATCTACAATAATCACCATCGTAACAGTTAAAATGTGGTGAGCATTCACTGTGTGCTGTGCCATGTACTCCATACATGCTAGCTCATTTTTAAACATTTATTTTATTGTTAAATTTCAATCTATTTTATTTATTTATTTTGAGACAGGCTAATTTTTGTATTTTTGGTAAAGATAGAGTTTCACCATGTTAGCAAGGATGGTCTCCAACTCCTGGGCTCCAGCAACCCACACGCCTCAGCCTCTCTGGGATTACAGGTATGAGCCACCGCACCCGGCCCATGCTACCTCATCTTAATCTTCTCAACAGCCCTATGAGGAGGTAGAGATGATTATTTTTCTCCTGTATTACAGATGAGGTGGCCGGTGGCTCATGCCTGTAATCCCAGCACTTTGGGAGGCCAAGGCAGATGGATCACCTTGAGGTCAGGAGTTCGAGACCAGCCTGGCCAACATGGTGAAAACCCATCTCTACTAAAAATACAAAAATTTGCCAGGCGTGGTGGTGCAAACCTGTAGTCCCAGCTACTCAGAAGGCTGAGGCAGGAGACTCACTTGAACCCGGGAGATGGAGGTTGCAGTGACCTGAGATCACGCCCCTGCCCTCCAGCCTGGGCAACAGAGCAAGACTCTGTCTTTAAAAAAAAAAAAAAAAAAATGAGGAGACTGAGGTTCAAAGAGGCCCAGGTGTCTAACATAGAGCTACTATATGGGAGAGCCAGAATTTGAACCCAGGTCTCTCTGATTCCAAAGACAATGCTCCCTGCCCCACCACACTCCGCCTCCCGCTCTGGCCCACGCTTTGGGGGAATCGTAGGCTTCAAACCCAGGTCAAGTCTCCTGACCAAGACACCAAGGAGCCTGGGACCTTGACAACCACACCCTCCTGCCCACCGTAGGCACTCTGGCCCTCCCATCTTCCCCAGCACCTTCCTGTCCCTCTAGTGACAGGGCCTGTATTCCAGGGTGACAGAGGCTTGGAGCCAGAGCTCTGTGGGGACTGAGACACCCTAGGCAGCTAAGCCCTCCTGACACAGCAGAGCAGCCCAACCATGGCCACGGGGCCACCTGCGAGGGACCCACATTCTTTCACCATCAGAAAACATCTCAAGGCCCACATGGCATGATGTCTGAGGTGGACAGGCCACTCAGGGCCCCCGAGATCCAGAGCCTGGCATGGATTAGGGCCGAAGGTTCACCAGGCTCCCATCACGCCAAGCTGGAACCCCAAACCTGCCCCTCATCCAAAAAATGGAGGCTTCATCCACTCAGCTGTATAAGCCAGAAACCTGGGAGGGCCCTCAGGCCTCCTGTCCATCACACCCCATACCCAGTCCCTCAGCAAGTACTGTCAGCCCCCGATCCACCACCTCCTTCCTGGGCCCAGCACCTCATCTCCCCTGCACATGGGCAACAGCCCCTCCACACCTCCCAGCCACCCTCCCCTCAACAGCTGGGGGAGCCTTTAGAAGCCCAGGTCCATAGATGCTCCCTCTCTGTCCCCATCTTGCTTAAAACCCTCCAGTGGCTGTTCCCACAGGCTTAGAACAAAACCCAAAGTCCTGCCAGGTTTAGCGGCACACGCCTGTAGTCCTAGCTACTCGGGAGGCCGATGCAGGAGGATCACCTGGGCCCAGGAGTTCGAGTCCAGCCTGGGCAACACAGTGAGACCCCATCTCTAAAAACAATAATAATAATAATTAAAAGACAAAACCCAAAGTCTTTCCCATGGTCTAGGGCACTGTGCACCCATCCTCTGCAAGCCACGCCTGCATCAATCCCCACCATATACCTGCTTTTGGAGCCCTGGATCCGTGGCTTGCCCTCCTGTTCTCTTCTCGAAAAGCCACATCCTAGCTGGGCGCGGTGGCGCATGCCTTTAATCCAAGCACTTTGGGAGGCCAAGGTGGGCAGATCATGAGGTCAGGAGTTCAAGACCAGCCTGGCTAGTATGGTGAAACCCCATCTTTACTAAAAATATAAAAAATTAGCCAGGCGTGGTTGCACGTGCCTGTAGTACCAGCTACTCAGGAGGCTGAGGCAGGAGAATCACTTGAACCCAGGAGGCGGAGGTTGCAGTAAGCCGAGATTGCACCACTGCACTCCAGCCTGGACGACAGAGCGAGACTCCATCTTAAAAAAAAAAGCCACATCCTTCCCAGTTCAGGTCCAGCACACACGTGGGTGGCCCCTCATCCATTCAGCCTTGAGGTCCCAGCTCCTGGCACCCCCAGTGGAGACCAGGCCCTGCTATGTGCTTCTGTCCTTCTGGAAATCAATCGATGCGTAGTTAGCGGCCAGCCCCTGGAAGACTGAGCCCATGGAACAGGGCTTGAAATGCTTAGCCAAGGAGCTGGCAAACAGTGGGTGCTCAATAAATGATGACTGCTGAATGAAGAAAAGCACCAACCCCCAGCCTTCAGCAACCCTCACACCTCCCAATGCTCAGCACTGCAGGGTGTAGGGGCCACCCTCAAGGAGCTCAGATCCAACGGGGGTGGAGATGAAACAGGCCAGAAACAGGGGAAGGCCCAGAGCAGGCAAGGAGGGGACCCACATTCTCCTTGAACCCTTCTAATATCACTGAAGCAGGAACAGTTGACAGCAAACAGCAACAGGATCACAGACAGGACAGGAAACCAGGCACATGGTAAACAGAAGTCATCATTCTCTAGTTTTCTTTTTATTTTTTTTAAGATTATTTATTTATTTATTTATTTATTTATTTTGAGACAGAGTTTCACTCTTATCGCCCAGGCTGGAGTGCAGTGGCGTGATCTCGGCTCACTGCAACCTCTGCCTCCCAGGTTCAAGCGATTCTCCTGCCTCAGTCTCCTGAGTAGCTGGAATTACAGGCACGCGGACGCCTGGCTAACTTTTTTTCATATTTTTAGTAGAGACAGGGTTTCACCATGTTGCCCAGCCGGTCTGGAACTCCTGACCTCAGGTGATTTGCCTGCCTCGGCCTCCCAAAGTGCAGGGATTACAGGCGTGAACCACTGCGCCCAGCTCCATTCTCTCATTTTCTGATGAGGAAAGAGCACATTTTTCAACAGCCTAGACAACAAAAAGATGCACCCTTGCAAAGAACCGAGTTCGCCACGGCGCTTTCTTTCATCATCCACCTCCTCCCTGTGGGCAGAGCGCTCACCTCCCTGCCCAAGCTACTTGTTTCAAGTCAAATTTTGCCTCACTCAGGACTCACAGGTCTCCCTTTGTCTGGGATGGGATGTACAGTCTCTCTTGATTGCTGCAATTATTTGAAAACGATGTCTCGATTCCCCAGTCCCTCTCAGGGCTCTCTGTCCTCATGGCCATGTGTCCCCTGCCCCCCATCTCTCTGCTGTCTGGGGCAGAATTCCTCGGAGGGATAGCTGGAGACACAAGCAGCCCCAGTGGGTGATGACGGACACACCCCCAAAGACTCATTCCTTGTACATCACTTTTGGGGATGAATAAAGACGGCCGATTGGGGTGTGTGAGGAGGGTGTCAGTGAGCTCTTCCTGGAGAGCTGGGTTCAAGCTGAATGGGGCTTTCTTAGACAGGCATTGATGATCAACCATAAAACTGTGGCTCACACAGGTTTGGCCCTTTCAGGGTGCCAGACCCTGGGCTGAATGCTTCACATGCCCCACAACTGCCCTAGGAGTTGAGTACTCTATCACCATCCCTGTCTTGTAGATCAGGAAGCTGAGAGTGAGAGGGTGTGATTTGCCCGTGGTTTTGGAGCTCAGAGAGAGGAAAATCCTGAGCTCAGAGAGACTCAGTCCTCGCAGCAGCTCTGAGAGAGGAACTGCTCGCCCCATTTCACAGACAAGGGCACTAAGGCCAGCAGAGGGGCGGCGGCCCGTCCTGGTCACCCAGGGCACCTCCAGCACTGCCCCTCCCATGGGGAATGGCTGCCGGCGTAGGTGCCCCTCACCTTGCAGCTCTGGGGTTAGCATCCAGGGCTGGAGGGCTCGGAAGAACCCAGTTCACCCAGCACATGGGATCAGGGCACAGCAGGAGCGGGAGGTGCAGGTGCAGGCAGCCCTGAAGGTGGTTTAGGAACTCAGGACTTGGTCCAGCCTGTGACAGGGGGTCATGCTTGGGTTTCAAGCCGGGGCAGCTCATGGTCATGTTTGGATTTGGGAGCTGCCTGGCGGTCCCATGGTGAGTGGATCAGAGGGAAAGAGACCCACGGCTGAGCAGGCAGGAGGAGGCTGCAGGTGGCCAGGGGGAGAGGGAAGGGGTGAGGACAGAGGGGTGAGCAGGGATCCCACAGACGTGACCAGCAGAGTCACTGGGGGGCTCCAGCCTTGGTGATCTGGGGGCTGGCAGGGGCTCCGTGTGGGACAGCATCTCCCTTCATCAGGGTCCGGCCCTGCAGCTACTGTGCACCTCCTCTCTCACCTCTGGATCCCTCCTGTTCTTTGTCCCCTGGCTGGAGGCAGGGGGCTGTGGGGCCACCAGCGAAACTGCAGTCCCCCTCCGTTGATCTGTGTCAAGGCAAGGATGGGGATCCTGGTGCCTCCACCACGGCACTCCCTCCCTCCTGCCGGCCCTCGCTGTGCCCGCGCTCGCCCAGACCCAGGCCTTCTGGGTCAAGGAGGGGAGGCTCCCCTTCTGCGCCCACTGACCGCTGCCCCTGTCGCCCCTGCCCCTGGACCGACAGCCCCTCCTGCCCCTTCTGCCGGCCGCCATCGCGGTGACTCAGCCTCGCAGCAGCCCTGAGAGAGGAACTACTCGCCCCATTTCACAGACAAGGGCACTAAGGCCGGCAGAGGGGCGGCGGCTCGTCCCGGTCACCCAGGGCACCTCCAGCACTGCCCCTCCCATGGGGAATGGCCGCTGGCGTGGGAAGGGCGCTACATACAGTGTCAGTATTACTTCTGAGCCGCTCAGAACTTTCTCGATGGCAGGACAGAGAGAATGCAAAGCAGCTCAAGTCAAAGAGCGCTTCGGGGCTCTAAAGCCAAGGGAAGAACCGTGCGAAGATGGCTTCCAGCAGCCCTTCCAGCAGGAAAGCCTCTGATTGGCCAAGAGAGGGTCACATGTCCATCTCTGAACCAATAAGAGCATTCAGATCAGGCCTTTGATTGGCAGGCCTGGGTCCCGCCCGGTTTATAAACAACTCAGAGAGGATGAGCCACCCTCCCAGATCACACAACATGGCTGTCCCTTGCTCTGCTCGTGTGTGTGTATGTGTGTGTGTGTGGTGTGGTGCGTGTGGTGCATGTGTGTGGTGTCTGTGTGTGTGGTATGTGCGTGGTCTGTGTCTGGTGTGTGTATGGTGTATATGTCTGTGTGTGGTGTGTGTGGTGTGTGTGTATGGTGTGTGTGTGTGTGGTGTGTGTGTGTGGTGTGTGTGGTGTGTGTGTGTGGTGTGCGTATGGTGTATGTGTCTGTGGTGTGTGTGTGGTGTGTGTGTCTGGTATTTGTGTGTGGTGTGTGTGTGGTGTATGTGTGGTGCGTATGGTGTATGAGTCTGTGTGTGTGGTTGTCTGTGTGGTGTGTGTGTGTTGTGTGTGTGTGTGGTGTGTGTATCTGTGTGGTGTGTGTCTGGTGTATATGTCTGTGTGTGTGGTGTGTGTGTGTGGTGTGTGAGTGGTGTGTGTCTGTGTCGTGTGTCTGTGTGGTGTGTGTGTATGTGTGGTGTGTGTCTGTGTGGTGTGTGTGGTATGTGTGTGTCTGTGTGTGATGTTTATGTGTGTGGTGTGTGTGTGGTGTATGGTGTGTCTGTGTGTGGGTGTGTCTGTGTGAGGTGTGTGTGTGTGGCGTGTGTCTGTCTGTGTGTGTGGTGTGTGTCTGGGCCCCCAAGCTCTGGCTCCTGTAAGGCCACCTTTCCTGCCCCCTCCTCCTCTGATCACATCGTCGGGTATGAGCCACAAGTCCCACCTGCTCTGCTGGACGGGACTTCCCTGGCCGGGGTGGGGCCTCGCTCATCTCTGAACCTCCTCTCCCAACCCACCCTCCAGGGCGCCTCCCAGCCCTGGGCCTCGCTTGCTGTGTGGATTCTGGGAGCCCTTGGGCTGGGAAGGACCTATGGTCCCCACCTCCAGGCACAGGCAGCTCGCCCCCTCCAGGGGCTCCCTGGGGTGGCTGGTTTGGGGGAAGTCGATCCGACCCTCCACCCCCTAAATCGGCCCGGCCTCGAGTCAGGGACGTCCCCCAGAGGCTCCGATGCCCCTTTCCAGCTGCGCGACTTGGAGCAGGTTCCGCATCCACGATAGCGAGGGGGTCCGGGCGCGGTGGCTCACGCCTGTAATTCCAGCACTTTGGGAGGTCAAGGTGGGCGGATCATCTGAGGCCAGGAGTTTGAGACCAGCCTGGCCAACATGGTGAAACCCTGTCTCTACTAAAAATACAAAATTAGTTGGGCGTGGTGGCAGGCGCCTGTAATCCCAGCTACTCGGGAGGCTGAGGCAGGACAATCGCTTGAACCCGGGAGGCGGAGGTTGCAGTGAGCCGAAATCGTGCCACTGCACTGCAGCCTGGGCAACAGAGCGAGACTCCGTCTCAAAAAAAGAAAAAAGAAGAAAGAAAAGAAAAAGAAAAGATAGCGAGGGGATCAAAGGGCTTTCTCCGGGCGCGGCGTGGTCTCAGGAGGACGCATGGAAGACGCGCACACGCGGCTCCCCTTCCTTCCCCCGGGGAGGGTGACATTTCCCAGCCAAGGCTGCCCTCGGGAAAGCAGCCAGGGAGCCCGAAGGCTGGATGCTGAGCGGGAGGAAGGGGCGCCTGCCTGTCCCTACCCACCGTCGCTTGCGTCCCCACGGGCACAGCTCGCAGCCTGGGCCTTGCGTCCTCCCTGACCAGGGCCCGCAGAGAAGGAAGTGCGAGAACAAAGGAAGGGTCCCCTGCCGGCCGCGCCCACGGCCTCCGCGCACGCACACGGCCGACGGACACAGCCCAGAGCGCGATCCTTCCACGCCGGGGCCCCCGCCCTAGCGGCCTCCCGGACCTCGGCTCCCTCGCACGCCCGCGCGGCTGGGAAGGCCCGAGGGTACGGGGGACCCGTTTCTGGAGCCTTCGCAGCCGAGGCCCAGCGGTGGCAGCTGCGGGGATCGGGAGTAGGGGGTGGGGCAGGGGGCCCGTCCGCCCCGGGTTCGCACCCCGTCCGGTGCCCGCGCGTCGCTCTCGGTCTTGGCCCAACGGGGTGTGAACCTGGGTGCCCTAAAAACACCTGGGATCTCCGCGGACCGACGGCGGTGGGAACGGCCACGGGGGACGCTGAAGCCCCGCGGGTCCCGGCTCCGCACCACCCTCGGCCTGGGCGACGGAAACCCAACTGCAGCCTCGCGGCGCCACCTACCGACCGGATTCCGTAGCTAGATTCCCGGCCCCGGGGCGCCCCGTGAGTCCCGCGGTGTACCCGGCTCCCTCTGGCTCCCGGTTCGTCTCTTCCTCCTCCGGGGGCTCCCACCCCAAGTCTCGACGCCGCCCTGCAGCAGACAGCCCGGCCCGGCTCAGGCCTCGGACTCGGTCCTCGTGGAAGGGGAAGGGGTGTTTAAGCTGCCCGGGTCCAGGCGGTATCTCCTGAGCCCGGGGAGCTGAGGCCCCGTCCCCCGCGCCACCACAGGGAGGGACCATTTCCACGTTTACAGAGGGGGAAACTGAGGCCGAGGACCGAGCCCTGACTGTTTTTATGTGGAATTGGGGCAGCTGAACCAGGCCTGCAACCTCTTTCCGCCCCTCTCCAGATCTCTGACCCTGCTCGTCTCCCAGCACCACCCACTCATCCCGAGAGCTCTGCCCCTCTCACTCCACCCAGCCCCCAGCTCTCCTCTGAACCCCCCAGCCACATCCTGCCATCTGTCCTCAGGGACTGCACCTGCCTGTTTAACTCTGTCCTGGATTCTTTGAAAAATCACACACCAGGGAAAGAGGCCCTTGGAGACCCAGCCTCCAACCCCACCGTAAACCCCAGAAACCAAGGCCCTCACCGCCCCACTGTCCTGGCCTGAGCTCTGCGAATTAACATGGTTGTCTGTCTAGACTGGATCCTTCAGTCACCGCCCACCACTGCCTACCGGGCCCAGCGGGGACGTGGCACTTAACACTTGTGCAGATGACAACAGTGAGGGCCCTGGAGCTCATGCTCTGGGCCAGCCGTGAGAATCTCTCCTGTGACCCTCAGCAAATCAGCCCTGTGGGGTGGCAGGACAGTCCTGTGTCCTTAACAACAGGGATGCATTCTGAGAAATGCATCAGCTGCGAAGAGCATAGAGTGGATTTACGCCAGCCGAGATGGTGCGGCCCCTACACACCTGGCTCTTGCCCCTGGGCTACACTCAGGTGCCGCCTGTCTTTGGACCGAATGCTGTAGGCAACCGTGGCACAGTGGGAAGTATTTGTGTATCTACACATAGAACCGGTACAGGAGAAATACGGCGTTGTGATCTTATGGGACCACTGTCGTACATGCAGTCCCTTGATGACCGAAGCGTCCTTCTCTGGCGCATGACTGCATTATTGTTCCCATGGTTCTACAGATGAAGCTGAGGCTCTGCGAGGTCAGGCCTGTCCGAGCTCACACGAAGCAGGTGAGTGGCAGAGCTGAGATTCCAGCCCTGACTCCAGCGTAATTACTTCTCCGCTCTGCCCAGGCCTCCTAGCCCAGTCCATGGCCAGCACCTGGATCCCCGGTTGGGCCGGGCATCAGCAATGGTGACGTGACCCACCCTGACATGGGGCGTGGCTACCCACTCACACATACATCATGTGAGTCACACTCACATGGGTCACATGGTGTGAGGTTCCAGCCCACATCTGGCCCTCAGAGTTCCCAAGTGTCAGATGCCTCTAGGCTGACCCTCCCATTTTATAGACTCAGTCCGCCGAGGCACAAGGCCTTGCTCGGAGTCGCACAGAGCAGCTATGGCCTAGGCTGCTCAATACAGCAGGTAAGACGAGAGCCCGGGTCCCAGGATCTTGGACCTAGCAGAGTTTCCAGGGCTGCAACTTTCACCCTGTAGGATGAGTAACAATTCCGCTGGATTTCCCAGTCCGGGGTGAGGGAGGAAGTGGAAGAGACAGACACTGACACAGAAAATGACAAACCCAGAGATTAGAGCTGAGCTGAAAGACTTGGCTGGGCCTTGGGGAAGCCCAGAGGAGAGATTAGAGGTGGGAGTAGTCAGTCAAGCAAGGATTCTCAAGGAAGTGATATCAAGCGGGCTTTGAAGGATGAGTAGGAGTTTGCCAGCGGAAAAATGTAGGGAGGGGCGTTTCAAGGGAAAGCATGGGGCTTAGAGGGAGCTTGGCTAGTTCCACCTATAACTTACTAGTTAAGTGTGGGCTTGTATGCCAGCCAGACCTGGGTTCAAGTCCCTGCCCTGCTGTGTGACCTCCAGGAAGTGTCTTAACCTTTCTGAGCCTTCTTTTCCTCATCTGTATAATGAGGCAACAAAGCTCTCCTTGATCATGGACAATTGTGGAGTTAGCATAGAGTGGGACACACAGGAGCCCACCAGGGAAGACTAAAGACCATTGGGAGGGGGTGGGCGAAGATAGGAGTGAAGGACGAAGTGGCTGGAGAGGTCACCAGAGGTCAGTTGGGCCTCGAGCGACACTGAGTGCCAAGCTAAGGAAGCTGGCTTCATTCTGAGGACAATGGGGAGCCATGGAAGGGGCTGGAGCTAAGGAGTGACCCACCTGATTTGTGTTTTAGAAAGTGCGCACCCGGCAAGGGCGAGGGCCTCCTTCAGAAAGATGGAGTCTGGGAACTGGAGCCCTGCCTGCCCTGGCCCTGCCCTGGCCCCTTTGTCCCCAGGCCTCCTCTTGCCCTCAGCACTGTGAGGATGAGAAGCTGCCCTGCCCTGAGGCTGAGGCTGAGCCAGGGCCAGAGTGGGTGGCCTGGTTCCACTGCCCCTGGCCCAGGACACCCAGGCCCCAGCACCTGCGCCCCCAGAGAAAAACCAGGGTCTCTGCTTTCCACACAGCCACCTTTTCCTCCCCACCCCCAACACTCCGAAGCCCCCATTACAGAGAAAAGACGGGCAGCAGCACCATAATTTTTGTTTCCCTCTAAATAGGCCTGCTCCCACAAAACCAATTAAAGCACCTGCCGGGACGGGGCTCTGTCAGCAAATTATTTCCAGGCTCTGCAGCCCGAGAATAAATCTCAGAAGGATGAAGTGGACCCGATGGCAGGGGGCTGGCAATGGGGGACCAGGCAGGCAAGATCGGGGGTCACTTTGGGTCCAGGCAGCCGCAGACAGGGTCTTCACGCTGGTCCCCAGACCCTAAGCCTGGATCCCTTCTGCTCCACCAAATCGTCAGTCTCTAAGGAGTGGCACCCTGGCTGTGATGGAAATGACTTCCAGGCCATGGATGGGGGAGTGGTGGCCTGGAGAACTCCACCTCTTTGTCCGCAGCGCCACCTTCTTTGCCAACTTTGACTGCCTTCTCACCATGCGGTGGGATGCAGGTGTGCCCAGCCTCAGTGGGGGGTCTGAAGGCCCAGGTGCCTAACTCTCTGTGGGGCCCTGAGCAAGGCCTTCGCTGCTCTGAGCCTTGGCGTTCCTATCTGTAAAATGGGGGTAGATGGGCCGAGTGCAGTGACTCACACTTGTAATCCTAGGACTTTGGGATGCCAAGGCTGGTGGATCACTTGAGGCCAGGAGATCAAGGCCAGCCTGGGCCACATGGCAAAACCCCGTCTCTACTAAAAATATAAAAATTAGCCAGGCATTGGCTGGGTGTGGTGGCTCATGCCTGTAATCCCAGCACTTTGGGAGGCCAAGACTGGAGAATCACTTGAGATCAGGAGTTCGAGACCAGCCTGACCAACATGGTGAAATCTCATCTCTACTAAAAGTACAAAAATTAGCCAGGTGTGGTAGCACACACCTATAATCCCAGCTACTTGGGAGGCTGAGGCACGAGAATCACTTGAATCTGGGAGGCGGAGGTTGCAGTGAGCCGAGATTGCGCCATTACACTCCAGCCTGGGAAACAAGAGCGAGACTCCATCTCAAAAAAAAAAAAAAAATTTAGCTGGGCGTTGCGGCATGCACCTGTAAATCCCAGCTACTTGGGAGGCTGAGGCATGAGAATCGCTTGAACCCAGGAGGTGGAGGTTGCAATGAGCTGAAATCACGCCACTGCACTCCAGCCTGGGCAACAGGGTGAGATTCCGTCTCAAAAATAAATCAATAATAAAATAAAATGGTGGGGAGGAGGTGGAGCTTGGCTGGCCCTCCCAGCTCCAGCTGCCTAGGAAGTCTCATAGGGCCTCCTGGTTAGCACCAAGGCTGGACCTCGTGGGATGCCCATGAACTCTCTCCTTGGGCAAAGGGTAAGGCCAGGGGTGGGTGGCCTACCAATTCGATGCAGCCGTCACTGACCCCAGGAGCTCACAGCCTGGCGTGGGGTTTGAAGGGACTGAGGGACCCTGGGTAGGGAAGTGGGCAGTGACTCCAACATAGAGGCTAGAGGCTTCCCAGGCAGGGGTCATGGAAGCAGGACTTAGAAAGATGAGTGGGAGTTCCCCAGATTTGAGGTGTCATTTTCCCAAAGTAGAAATGATTCTGAGCCATGTGGCATCTCTGTGAGAATTATGAAAAGGCACCCTTGCTTCCACTTTACTCCCATCTTTAAGAAAATTGTTGGCCAGGCGCGGTGGCTCACGCCTGTAATCCCAGCACTTTGGGAGGCCGAGGCGGGCAGATCATGAGGTCAGGAGATCGAGACTGTCCTGGCTAACACGGTGAAACCCGTCTCTGCTAAAAATACAAAAAATTAGCCGGGTGTGTTTGCAGGCACCTGTAGTCCCAGCTACTCGGGAGGCTGAGGCAGGAGAATGGCCTGAACCTGGGAGGTGGAGCTTGCAGTGAGCCGAGATCGCGCCACTGCACTCCAGCCTGGGCCAGAGAGCAAGACTCCATCTCAAAAAAAAAAAAAAGAAAAAAAGAAAGAAAATTGTTCTAACTTTGGAAAATCTGCCATGTCTATGATCTGAACGGTGCCTCTAGGACTGTGCAGTGCACAACTTGGATAACTGTGCACTGCAGCTCTAGGGGACTCAAGCCAACAGGGGCAAGGAGCTGCTCATCCCATCAGCCTTGAAAGGGGCTGAGGCAAGATGAGAGGGCCTCCTGCTAGCAGAGGGGTGGGAGGGCGCTGCCCCCAGGGACAACATCAGATGCGTCCCATCCTCAAACACTGGAGATTCCAAACTTTCGAAGGTATCAAGAGGGCTCCTCCAGTTTGGACCACAACCCTCGAGGGGCAACTGACACTGACTCTGGGCTGGTGGCACACTTCACCCCCAGGAATCCTCACCCAACCCTGCAACAGGGTGCAGTGGAAAAAACCAAGGCAGCTAGAGATGTCACAGAGACTAGGTACCCATGTGGCACCTCTGCGAGAAAGTACCCGTGCCCTGAGTCAGCCAAGCTCAGCAAGTTCAGATCCCTGTTGGGGGACTGGGCGTGATGGCTCATCCTGTAATCCCAGCACTGTGGGAGGCTGAGGCGGACGGAACACTTGAGGTCAGGAGTTTGAGACCAGCCTGGCCAACATGGCGAAACCCCGTCTCTACTAAAAATACAAAAATTAGCTGGACGTGGTGGCAGTCACTTGTAATCCCAGCTACTGCCAGGAGGCTGAGGCACGAGAATCACTTGAACCTGGGAAGCGGAGATTGCAGTGAGCCAAGGTCACGTCACTGCACTCCAGCCTGGGTAACAGAGCATGACTTTGTCAAAAAAAAAAAAAAAAAAAATCCCTGCTTGGCCCCTCCCAGCGTTTGAGCTTTGACTTGGGGCCATCATGGTGCCCACCCCAGAGGCGCCTGGTGAGGTGCAGTCACAGCCAGTCGGCCCTCAGCACCACACCTTGCCCAAGGTGAGGGCTCAGCAGGTGTTGGTTATTGTACCAGCCCCACCCTCCCTAGACTGGCAGGCCCAGTGGCTCCTGGCTGCATCCCCAGGGCCACATGCCACCCCCACCCACCAGCACCCATCAAGGGGATCAGAAAGGACTTGGCGCACAGCTGAGCCCACGGTACGGTCACCATCCTCATCATCGCCATCCTCCCCCTGGCAACTGAGGCTCAGAGAGGATAAGCAATGTGCACAGCGTCCTCCCGCATGGGATCTGTGCCCAGCTGCCTCCAATGCCAGAATGAAGGCTCCAGCAGACTCCCCAGGTGCCCAGAAGGGGAAATCTTCTTTGGATGCACGTGGAGTGGGGGAGGGGGCAGTCAGGCCTGAGCAGAGGAGCTGAGGGGCTGGGGTACAGGAAGGTCAGCAGAAAGTCAGGAACCTCCCAATCCCCAAAACCGTTGGTGACAGCGAAGCCAGTGCTGCAAAGTGCCCGAGTCAGCAGCCCCAGTGAACACTCCGCCTGCAGGCTTATAAATCTGGATCTCCTTGGGGGCTGTGGGGCGAAGTTCCAGCCCTCAGCAATAGTGGTGGTGGCAGCTGAGGGAACGGAGCCCCCCCTCAGGCGGCGCCCAACCTGACCCCCAACCTGGGAACCCCTGGACTCTGGCCCTCCTAAGCACCTGCGGGGCCCACTGATGCTGCTAGTAATGGTAATGAAAAAATAACAAAATGATATCAATAACTGCAGGCACAAGGGCCTCCTGCCCCATTATCTGGGCCTCTGAATTAGCTGAAGGAACCCTGGCAATAACCCCTGAGACAGGCGTCATGATGATCTCACTGTCTTTTATTTTATTTTATTTATTTTATTTTATTTTATTTTATTTTATTTATTTTATTGTAGAGACGGGGATGTCTCACTATGTTGCCCAGGTTGGTCTCCAACCCCTGGCCTCTAGTGATCCTTCTGCCTCCTTCCCCCAAAATGCTGGGATTACAGGCGTGCGCCACTGAGCCCAGCCAAGGATCCCATTCTATAGATAAGAAAACTGAGGCTTGCAGGGGGGAAGCCACCTGCCCAGTGTTGCCCAGCTAACAAAGTGAGTCACTATTTGGAGCCAGATGGCTCCCAAGCCCATACTGCTAATGACTGGGTGGGAGGGGCGGTTTCCCAGGATCTCCCAGGAGCATTTTTACTTTAGTAGTTATGCATTTTATTTCATGATGTCAGAAAAAAATATAACCAGCCCTTCAAGCCCAACGTTTCATGGCTATGATAGATGAACTTTTTCTTTTCTTTTTCTTTTTGAAGAAAAAAAAAACCTCCTAAGTAAACAAGTAGAGCAGGTGAAGCTGCCCATGGGCCTTGCAGGGCCCACAGTAACTAAGTCTCATGCAGTATCCACCTCCCTCCCCGCCTCCACTTGTGCACAGGCAGCTGTGGCCCCAGAGCCAGGGAACTCTGGCAAAAGACTGTAGGCCACTCAAGTATCACTGCCCAAGGCCTGTTCTGTCCCAGGCTCCGTTGGGAGCTGGGAGACCCTGGGGAACCTCACCATCCAGATGTGACTTCTCTCATATGAAAGAGGAGAGAGAGGGGGCTCAGAGAGGGGAGGCCACATGCCCAAGGTCTCACTGCTAATAAGGAGAAGCGTGGGACTCAAAGGCCAGTCCCTGCACTGTCCCGGGCTTGGGAGAGGCTGGGCTTGCTGAGAACCCTTCCCAGGCCTTCAGTACCCACGCCCCCGAGAGCCTTCTCATCAGTCGTGCATCAGCCCAGCTCGGGAGGGCAGAAAGAGCCTAGAGGTCAGGATGTTTTGGCAAGTTTTTCAAATAATTTTTCCTTCTAACTGTAGAGGTGAGTCTAAAAAGCAGTCCAGGCAGACCCCAATGGCTCATGCCTATAATCCAACCATCTTGGGAGGCTAAGGCAAGGGGATCGCTTGAGGCCAGGAGTTTGAGCCTGAGCAACATAGCAAGACCGTCTTTACAAAAAATTTCACAAATTAGCTGGTATAGTGGCGAGTGCCTGCAATCCCAGCTACTCAGGAGGCTGAGGTGGGAGGATCATTTGAGCCCAGGAGTTCAAGGCTGCAGTGAGCTATGATCACACCACTGCACTCCAGCCTGAGCAAAAGAGCAAGATTCTGTCCCTTAAAAATAAATAAATAAATAAATAAATAAATAAATAAATAAATAAATAGCAGTATAGTGAAATATAGTGATAAGAGCTTGGATTCAGAGCTTTGGGACAGGCTGAGTGACTTCGGGGCACATTATTTCGTTTCTCTGAGCGCTGGTGTCCTCCTGTGCAAAGTGAGGATCCTAATACCGCCCTCAGAGGGGCGTTTCGAGGATGAAATGAGATAATCTATGTGTATCAGTCAGCGTCCCACCAGGAAGACAGTGTGCAAACAGGGGAAATGCGATTCAGGGCATTAACTACCCAGGAACCAGAAGAGCCGAGAAGCCAGAGAGGATGGGCAGCGACCCAGGAATTATCATAGCAGGAAGCCACTCTCCCCCTGAGCACAAGGAGACAAAAGGAAGAGATGGGGTTTGCAAGACCACCTGGAGCACGCTGGAGGCTGGGAGGACCCGCTGGAGGGGAGCCCGAGCTGCCGAGGAGACGCAGCCACTGTCCACCTGCTCATGGCGCAGCCAGAGTGGGAGAAATATCCTGGCTTACCCCGTCCTCCCACCCCGCTGAGGACCCCCAGTGTCTCCCACTGGCCTTTCTGGGAGGCCTAGGAAACTCAGTTGCTGGGCGGGCCTCGCCACACAGGGCAAAGCGGGAGAGCCGGACATGATCTGAGGGCTTTTCGCCAGGCGGGGCGCAGCACGGCATGGGGTGTGCGGCCCAGTGAGCAGTCGCTCGTGGTTCCTATTCTTTTCCTTCGCCCTATTAAAATAAGGCATGCTCACTCTATTAGTTAGGACTGTTTGGGTTGTGACAGAAACCTACTCAAGCCAGACAAAACATATCAACAGGGAACTTAAACACTACAGGGGGGTCTCCTGAAATTCCAGGGCAGGCCGTGGCCTGGAGCTAGCATCAGGAAAAGCTCGCTGGTCCCCCCAGGGGTCCCCCACTGTCTCCTGCTTCCGTGTGTGGGGGTCTCCTCCGTGTTCGCCCGCACCCAGCTTCCCAATCCTGGGACAGAGACTGCCCCAGACGGTTCCCAGATGTGCAGACTGAGTCTGGGATTTCTACCTCCCGGGGAGGGCATTCTGATTGGCCCGGCTTGGGTACCAGAGCTTGTTCTCATCCAATCAGCTGTGTTTCAGGGGGCGGAGCCACAAGGCTGCAGAAGCCCTGGGTGCCTATGCGTGGATTTGTGAGCTGGGCAGACCCTCTGTGTTAAAATGCACATGATTGTTTGAATTGTAACGAAATGTGTGATGTTTTCAGATTTGTCATTGCATATCTATTTTTCTCACGTTGTCAAGATCATGCTACATATGCAATTTTCAACCCCACTTTTATCAGTCGTTCTATCATAGTTATTTTCTTCTATCAAAACACTTTTAAGTTTCTTGCCGGGCGCGGTGGCTCACACCTGTCATCCCAGCACTTTGGGAGGCTGAGGCGAGCAGATCACTTGAGGTCAGGAGTTCGAGACCAGCCTGGCCAACATGATGAAACCCCGTCTCTACTAAAACACAAAAATTAGCTGGGCGTGGTGGGACATGCCTGTAGTCCCAGCTACTCGGGAGGCTGAGGCAGGAGAATCACCTGAACCAGGGAGGCAGAGGTTGAAGTGAGCTGAGATCATGCCACTGCACTCCAGCCTAGATGTCAGAGCAAGACTCTTGTCTCAAAAAAAAAAAATCATAAAATCATACAAAGGCTGGGTTTGAGCAAATGGACCTTTTCTCAGTTGGGAGAAAAGAGGTTTATTTAACAAGTAAAGAAGGCAAAGCAAGTTGTGGTGGCCTGTGGGGACAAATGTTTCTCTTCCTAATTTTTATTATAAAAATTTTCAAAACATAGAGAAGTTGGAAGTACAATGAACACCTGTATACATAGCCTCCACCTAGAATCAATATGATTCAGTTTGCCCACTTATTTTGTTTTACCATTTATCTCTTTCTCTTTGTCTCTGTCTCGCCATATATCTAATATATAATAATGATATTATTACAATTACATAATTATAACCAATATATTTTATATCAATATATTAATTATTATAATTATAATAATGTAATAATTATTATATAATTATTATTTATTATTATTTTTCCCTCCCTGAGCCATTTGAAAGTAAGTGGTGGATATCAGGGCCTTTCACCCCCAAACTTCCTTTCATCTCCTAAAAATAGACAGCCATCCACATATGCCATTATTATATCTAAGAAAGTTAATGATTCTGTGGTTCCATTAAACATTTCAGAGGGACTAATTCAAATTTCTGGGAGACTAATTGCCATTGATAGGCAATTTCAAGGAATAAATAATATATGTACGAGTACCCAGCATAGTACTGGCTCACAGCAGAAACCCTGTAACTGTCAGTGTCCCTGACCTCAACTCCCTTCTCCCCACCTGGTTTTGAAAAAGCCAGGTAATTTCAACCGGCTTCCTTCTAGGTGAGGCCACATGAAAGCAACATGGGCACACCACAGGTGGTCCAGATGGGGTTCCCCAATTCTCAAAGGCAGCCACACGAGCAGTCACTGAAGGCGGGAGGAAAATTACTGGAAACAAAAGGCAGAGTCACAGGGCGCTGAACTTGGCCTCGTCAGCCTCCCAGTAATGGCGCCAGGGCGGGGACCGGTGCCAGCCAGCGCTGCTCAGCCACCACATGGAAGCCAGAGCTGCGCTCCTGGCCGGGGTCCCTCCACTTACCAGGGCAAGAGTGGGTTTTTTTTTTTAATTGTTTTCAAAACAGATTTCATGCGGTCCCAAAATGAGACTGTGATTGTAAATTAAAGTGTAATTAGCCTTTACGCTTTTATATTCATTAACTCTTCTCTGTTAATGATGCTAGGCTGCAGCAGAAACCCTGCATTATGAAACCACATCCAGGAAATAAAATAGTGATTTAGATAATGGCCACAATGTATTGCTACTTACACATAATTAAACAAATGCTCCATTTAAACTTGGAAACATGACTGAATGTTGATTAACCCTCGCCCAGCAATTCTGCTCGGGACCGGGGAAGGGGCAGCGCAGACAGCTGGTCCGGAAGGAAGGGTCTGGTCCTGCCATGGCTTCCCACCCTGCTCCCCAGCCACGTCCACCAGCCACACCTGCACAGGGTGGGTGCAGGTCTTGTGCCAGGGAGCATGGCCGTGGGTGGTAGTGACCACAAGAGTGAGCCTGGGACCACTCTAAGAAACCACTGTACTACAAGAAATAAGCCAGACACAAAAGGACAAATACTGTCGTTTTGATTCCACTTACATGAGGTCCCTAGATCAGTCAAATTCATGTCAAATTCATAGAGGCAGAAAGTAGAATGGAGGCCGCCAGGGGTTGCGAGAGGAGGGTTTGGGGAGCGAGCATTTCTTGGGTGCAGAGTTTCAGCCTTTTTTTTGGTAAGAAAGTGATGGATGTGGATGTTGATGGTGTTACACAGCAATGTGAATATCCCTAAAGCCAACTAACTGCACACTTAGAATGCTGACAATGGCACATTTTATGTGTACCATAAAATTTATGACTTGGGGTTTCATGGAAATTTTTTGTATTTTTATTTTATTTATTTATGTATTTATTTTTAGAGAGTCTCCCTCTGTCACCCAAGCTGGAGTGTAGTGGTACAAACTCGGCTCACTGCAATCTCTGCCTCCCGGGTTCAAGCGATTCTCTTGCCTCAGCCTCCCAGGGTAGCTGGGATTGCGGGTGTGAGCCACCACACCCAGCTAATTTTTGTATTTTTAGCAGACACAGGGTTTTCGACATGTTGGTCAGACTGGTCTCAAACTCCTGACCTCAGGTGATCCACCTGCCTTGGCCTCCCAAAGTAGTGGGATTACAGGTGTGAGCCACTGCGCTCGGCCTTTTTTGTATTTTTAAAAATGAAAGTATATACACTACTATGTACCAACAAAAATCAAAATTAAAAGAATTGTAATGATAGGCTGGGTGCAGTGACTCATGCCGATTATCCCAGCACTTTGGGAGGCCAAGGTGGGAGGATCACTTGAGGCCAGGAGTTTGAGACCAGCCTGAGCAACATAGCAAGAACCTGTCTCTACAAAATAAAAAAATAACTGGGCATGGTGACACATGTCTGTAGTCCCAGCTACTTGGGAGGCTGAGGTGGGAGGATCACTTGAGCCTGGGAGATTGAGGCTGCAGTGAGCCATGATCATGCCACTGCACTCCAGCCTGGGAGACAGAGCAGACCCTGTATAATGTATAATGAAGAATTGTTGAAAATGTATATAATTCAGACATGTATTGAATACAAAGTAAAGTTTCTGGTTCTTGAACTCACTCCCAAAGAAGCAGTCAGTAATTATCTTTTTGTCCTTTTTCTATGTGTATCTTTTCCAAATAATGTGTGCCTTGACTGCATTCCCCCAGAAGCAGACACTGAGATAAGAACCAGAGTGTAGATGGTTGATTTGGGAGGTGATCCTAGAAAAAACGAGAAGGAGAGTGGGCAAATAAGGAAGGAGAAGCAACAAATAAAAGGTGCATGGCATTTGCCCTATGACTGAGTTTTCTATAGGAATTTTATTTAAAAATGTTTAATTTTGTTGTCCTTCTCAAAGTTGTCAGTCAAATAAATGACTGAACTGGTTTCGGCTGTTAAAAAAAAAAAAAGTGTGCATGGCACGCCTGTCGTGGTGGCTCACGCCTGTAATCCCAGCACTTTGGGAGGCCAAGGCAGGTAGATCACCTGAGGTCGGAAGTTTGAGACTAGCCTGGCCAACATGGTGAAATCCTGTCTTTACTAAAAATACAAAAAAAATAGCTGGGCGTGGTAGTGCGTGTCTGTAGTCCCAGCTACTCGGGAGTCTGAGACAGGAGAATCACTTGAACCCAGGAAGCGGAGGTTGCAGTGAGCTGAGATCGTGCCATTGCACTCCAGCCTGGATGACAGAGTGAGACTTTGTCTCAGAAAAAAAAAAAAGGTGCATAGTTGTATTGGTTATTTATTGCTGTGTAACAAATGACCCCAAAACCTAGTAGGTTAAAACAACAATAATTCTTTGTTGCTTCTCATGATTTCTATGGCTCAGGACTGCAGACAGCAAGGGTGAATTGACTCCGTGCCACAATGTCTGGGGCTCCAGCTGCAAAACTCAAAATCTAGGGACTGGCATCATCTGAAGGCTGCCACCCACACATGCTGGCCATCCATTAGGGGCCTAGGTGGGGCTGTCAGCTGAAACCCTCACAAGTGGCCTCTCCTGGTGGCATGCGCTCCTCAACATAATGGCTGGGTTCCACGGACAAGCATCGAGAGAGAGAGAGAGAACGGGGGAGAGAATGCCAGGTGGAAGCCATGTTTCCTGTTATGACCAGCCTCAGAAATTTTGCAATATCACTTTGGCCACCAGGTATGAAGGTCTGCCCAAGTTCAAGGGTAGAGAAAAGTCAGTGGCCCACTGTGACGAGAGCATACAGAGAAATACAATCTGCCAGTGTATTGGTCTGTTCTCATGCTGCTATAAAGAACTGCCCAAGACTGGGCAATTTATAAAGGAAAGAGGTTTAATTGACTTGCAGTTCCATGTTGCTGAGGAGGCCTCAGGAAACTTACAATCATGGTGGAAGGCGAAGGAGAACCAGGCCCCTTCTTCACAGGGTGTCAGGATGGAGTGAGTGAGAGCAGGGGAAATGCCAGATGCTTATAAAACCATCAGCTCTCATGAGACTCACTCACTATCACAAGAACAGCATGGGGGAAACCACCCTCGTGGTCCAGTTACCTCCATCTAGTCCCTGCCTTGACACACAGGGATTATGGGGATTAAAATTCAAGATGAGATTTGGGTGGAGAAACAGCCAGTTACCAGGTAAGTTGCCCCTGTGGACAATTGGAGCATTATCCCACTAGGGAGCTCTGCGTGACAGCATGGAACACTCATGTCGGGGTTACCACACCTGAGGGGTCAAGTAGACAGTGTTGTCTGTCTTTGAAAGCCACACTGGAGGGTGGGCCTTAAGTTTCTGGCACTTCCGGCCTACAGGACACACAGTCACAGAGCCAGCTCTGGTTGCTAGAGAAAGCCACCAGGCAAAGAGACGAAAGCTGGGACCGTGTGTCAGCACGTAAGACTGGATGGACACTGTGAGGCGCTGACAGTTTCTGTGTGGAAATCAATCACTGGCAAGAGAACGGAGCCACTGCGAATGACTTAGATTAATCCAAATGTATCACCCAGTCTTCCCTTAAGCCGGTGCTAAGTTGGGATTCTGTTGGAAAGGAAGGAGACATGATGAGTATTTCTGCTGCCACATACACATTTATCAAGCAATCACTATAGGCCAAGGACTGTGCCACATGCTCAGATGTGACGTCAGCTGGGATGGAGTTAAACACAACAGGCTTGGGAAAACCTGTGTTGAAGATGCAGATGCTTCCTCAACCTGGGTCCCTGAATTACCTCATGGAAAACCAGTACATATTTGGGTCTATTTGTTTTTGTTTTTGTTTTGAGATGGAGTCTCACTGTGCTGCCCAGGCTGGAATGCAGTGGCATGATCTCAGCTCACTGCAACCTCCACCTCCTGGGTTCAAGTGATTCTCCTGCCTCAGCCTCTTGAGTAGCTGGGATTACAGGTGCCTGCCACCACACCTGGCTAATTTTTGTATTTTTAGTGGAGATGGGGTTTCACCATGTTGGCCAGGCTAGTCTTGAACTCCTGACCTCAAGTGATGGGCCCACCTCTGCCTCCTAAAGTGCTGGGATTACAGGCGTGAGCCATCATGCCCGGCCTGGGTCTATTTCTTACCAAAGCTCACTCTACTCTAATACAAGTGCATAGTATTAGATTGACTCATCTGAAATTGCCATCTTGCCATTTTAGAAGTCAAAAGTGGTCAAATGTGAGCAATTTCAGATGATTCAACCTGAAACACACAACCCATTCTTTTACTCCAGGGTAGTATTCACCCTGTGGATGGACCATAGCTGATTTAGCCACTCCCCTTTGATGAACCTCTGTGTCGTCTCCAATTTTTGTCCTTACAAATAACATGGCAATCCACATTCTTGAATATTTATCATTATGAATTTCTGCGAGTGTGTCTGTCAGATCCCACACATGGGGATGCTGGATCGGTGCTGCATATTCAAGATTTTGGTCTGGGTGTGGTGGCTCACACCTGAAATCGCAACACTTTGGGATGCCAAGGTGAGAGGATCGCTTGAGCCCAGGAGTTTAAGACCAGCCTGGGCAACATAGGGAGACCCTGTCTCTACCAAAAAAAAAAAAAAAAGAAAAAAAATTAATTAGCCAGGCATGGTGGCACACACCTATAGTCCCAGCTATTCAGGAGGCTGAGGTGGGAGAATCACTTGAACTCAGGAAGTCAAGGCTGCAGTGAGCTGTGATCATGGCACTGCACTCCAGCCTGGGTGAGAGAGCAAGGCCCTATCTCAAAAAATAAAAATAAAAAAAGAAAAAGATTTTGATACATGCTGCTCAAATTACTCTCAAACATTTTCTTTTTATTTATTTTTTTTTTTTTGAGACAGAGTTTTGCTGTTGTTGCACAGGCTGGAGTGCAACGGCACGATCTCGGCTCACCGCAACCTCCGCCTCCTGGGTTCAAGCGATTCTCCTGCCTCAGCCTCCTGAGTAGCTGGGATTACAGGCATGTGCCACCACGCCCGGCTAATTTTGTATTTTTAGTAGAGACGGGGTTTCTCCATGTTGATCAGGCTGGTCTCGGACTCCTGACCTCAGGCGATCCACCCACCTCAGCCTCCCAAAGTGGTGGGATTACAGGCATGAGCCACTCTGCCTGCCTCTCAAATATTTTCATAATGATTATATATGCATGTGCACTGTGTGTGTGTATTTTTTTTAAAAAACAAATACTGATACAGGGCATACTATGTTCTGGGCACGGCTCTATGTTCTTTACAAATATTTATTTAACCTTCACAACAACCCTATGAGGTAGGTATTATTGTTATTATCCCCATTTTACAAATGGGGAAACTGAGGCCAAGAGAGGTTAAGTCACTTGTCCAAGATCCACCACTAGTAAGTGGTAGAGCTGGGATTTGAGCCCAGGCACCATGGCGCCAGAGTCTGCCTTCATGACCACCATATCCTACTGCTTATGAGAGTGAGGCCTGGGGCCTGGGACAGCTGCCCTCTTCCCTTTCAGGAAAAGTAAGAGTATTCGAGGGCCAGGCACGGTGACTCACGCCTGTAATCCCAGCACTTTGGGAGGCCGAGGCAAGTGAATCACCTGAGGTCAGGGGTTCGAGACCAGCCTGGCCAACATGGCGAAACCCCATCTCTACTAAGAATACAAAAATTAGCCAAGCATGGTTGTGGGCGCCTGTAATCCCAGCTACTTGGGAGGCTGAGGCAGGAGAATCACTTGAACCTGGGAGGCGGAGGTTGCGGTGAGCTGAGATTGCACCACTGCACTCCAGCCTGGGGGACAGAGTAAGACTCTCTCAAAAAAAAAAAAAAAAAAAAAGGATTCGCAGCAATGGCTGCCATTGTGAGCACAGAGCATGCCTGGGGGTGAGAGCTTCATAAAGGCAATAAGCAAAGGAATGACTCGCTGGAGGCTTCTCCCTGATTTCCTTTATTCGTACTCAGACTCCTGGCTTCCTTTGTTTATCGGGTCCTGGTATCAGATCCAGCTGAGGATGAGTTCTGGCCCTGCCACCAGTAGTCTGTGCCCTTCTCTGAGCCTTTGTTCCTTCATCTGGAAAGTGGAGATAATAACAGGGCTCACATCTAAGGTCATGAGGATGACATGTATGAGAATAAAATAAGTGGAAGCACAATTTCAGTCATTTACTCAAGAATGTCCAGAGCCCTGACTGTGTACCCTTTACTCTTCTAATCCCATTGTTGGTCATCTTGGCAACTTCCAATTGTTTGCCCTCATAAACACCACCAACCTCACCACTATATGAACATCCTTGTGCACATTTTTTTTTTTTTTTTGCATTTGCCAAATTATTTCTAGGGGTAAATTTCTAGTTGTGGAATTGCTGGGTCAAAAGGGAGGGTAATTTTTTTTTTTTTTTTTTTTTGAGATGGAGTCTTGCTCTATCACCCAGGCTGGAGGGAGGGTAATCTTTTTCTCTTTTTAGATGGAGTTTCACTTTTTTTACCAGGCTGGAATGCAATGGCATGATCTTGGCTCACTGCAACCTCCGCCTCCCAGGTTCAAGCAATTCTCCTGCGTCAGCCTCCCCAGTAGCTGGGATTACAGGCATGTCCAACCACGCCTGGCTAATTTTGTATTTTTAGTAGAGACAGGGTTTCTCCATGTTGGTCAGGCTGGTCTCGAACTCCCGACCTCAGGTGATCTACCCGCCTTGGCCTCCCAAAGTGCTGGGATTACAGGTGTGAGCCACTGCGCCCAGCCTATTTTTTTTTTTTTTTGAAACAGAGTCTCTCTGTGTCGCTGAGGCTGAAGTACAGTGGCATGATCTCAGCTCACTGTAACCTCCATCTTCCGGGTTCAAGTAATTCTCCTGTCTCAGCCTCCCTAGTAGCTGGGAATACAGGCATGTGCCACCACACCCAGCTAATTTTTGTTTGTTTGTTTGTTTGTTTGCTTAGTAGAGACTAGGTTTCATCATGTTGGCCAGGCTGGTCTTGAACTCCTGGTCTCAGGTGACTCGTCCACCTCCGCCTTCCAAAGTGCTGGGATTATAGGCATAAGCCACAGCGCCTGGCCGATTTATTATCTTTTTGAGACGGAGTCTTGCTCTGTCTTCCAGGCTGGAGTGCAATGGCTTGATCTCGGCTCACTGCAACCTCTGCCACCCGGGTTCAAGAAATTCTCCCACCTTAGCCTCCCAAGTAGCTGGGACTACAGGTGCGCGCACCCCATGCCTGACTAATTTTTGTATTTTTAGTAGAGTTGGGGTTTCACCATGTTGGCCAGGCTGGTTTTGAGCTCCTGACCTCAGGTAATCTGCCTGCCTCGGCCTCCCAAAGTGCTGGGATTACAGGCATGAGCCACCACGTCTACCCTAAGTGACATTTTAAAATAACTAAAGGAGTATAATTGGATTGTTTGTAACACAAAGGATAAATGCCTGAGGGGATGGATACCCCATTTACCCTGCTGTGATTAGTACTCATTGCATGCATCTGTTAAAATATCTCGTGTGCCCCAGAAATATTTAATATATACACCTACACTACACCCCCAAAAATTAAAAATTAAAAAATGAAAAGGAACAATTTAAAAAATAAAATAAAATGCACTGACTTGATGAAAAATAAAATACAATTTAAATATTAGCCACGCATGGTGGCATGCACCTGTAGTCCCAGCTACTTGGGTGGGAGGATTGCTTGAGCCTGGGAGGTGGAGGCTACAGTGACCTGTGATCATGCCACTGCACTCCAGCTTGAGCAACAGTAGGAGACCCCATCTAAAAAAAAAATGAAAGAAAGAAAGGCCACACGTGCAGCCTCAGGCCCGCTAGCAGGATCTAGGAAGGCAGGGCATGGAGACTTCTCTTTCCTCTCCTGCCATGGGTACAAGATGGGGACCTGCTGATGGCCACCATTCTCACTGGCCATTTCTAAACTGGGTTTGTCACACGAAAACTGTTCCCAGGCAGAGCCAAGGAAATCCCTAAATCAATAATGATCTGGGCTGGGCACGGTGGCTCACGCCTGTAATCCCAGCACTTTGGGAGGCCGAGGCAGGCTGATCACTTGAGGTCAGGAGTTCAAGACCAGCACGGCCAGCATGGCGAAACCCCCGCTCTACTAAACACACACAAAAAATTAGCTGAGCATGATGGCGCGTGCCTGTAATCCCAGCTACTCGGAAGGCTGGGGCCGGAGAATCCCTTGAACCCAGGAGGCAGAGGTTGCAGTGAGCTGAGATCGCGCCACTGCACTCCAGCCTGGGTGACAGAGCAAGACTCTGTCTCAAAAAAAAGAAAAGAGAAAAAAGGAATGATCTGGAAGGAGAGTTTGGCCCTGAGAGGCACCCCCAACCTTTCCCTTCTCAGCTCTGCGTGGCTGCACTTTCCTCTCCTCTCCAGACCCCCAGCACGCACAGTGTAAGACCCCCACCTAGAGTCCAGCCAGGCCACAGGGACCGTCCCAGGACACTGGGCCATGAGTGGCAAGTTGGGGAGCACAGGGGGGCCCTGACCAAGGCAGAGAGTCAAGAAAGGCTGCTCTGAGGAGGAGCAGGTAGGGTGGGAGGACAGAGGGGCAGCACGTGGAAGGCTAGGAGGTGAGAGAGGGGCAGTCACGTGGAGGAGGCTGGACCACCTCCCGAGGGCCACGGGGGACCATGGAGGATTTACAGGCAGGCCCTGCCGCCTGTGGAGAATGGACCAGAGGGGCTGAGCCTGGAGCAGAGTGGACTTGGGACCTAGGTTTCTGCTTATATCTCTTGGTTACACATTCTGTTCTGGTAGTAGCATGCCACTACTACTTGGCTAATTTTTGTATTTTTAGTAGACACGTGGTTTCACCATGTTGGCCAGGCTGGTCTCAAAGTCCTGACCTCAGGTGATCCACCCACCTCCGCCTCCCAAAGTGCTAGGATTACAGATGTGAGCCACTGTGCCCAGCCCCAACATCTAAATTTTGCAGGGACACATATATTGAAGCACCCTCTGTCTGGCATGCACCTGCCCCACCACAGGGGTCCACCTGTTCCAGCCTCCCCATGCCACCTGCTGCAGGAAGTCCTCCGCAAGTCACTGGCCAGTAGTGGCCTCACCTGCCCTGCGCTTCCAGCCTGGTCTCTCACTGGGTTTGTCTGAGGCCCTGAACACATTCATCCAGGCATGTCCCAGCTGTTGGGGGCTCGGCTTATCTCCACCTTCCTCCCGCGGCCCCAGCCTTTAGCCAAATGCCCTGCAGAGAATAAGTACAGGCCACAACTCTGGCAGCAGCAAACCTCCTCCCTGACTTTTCTGTGTTCGTTGCGCCCAGCCCAGGGCCTGGCACCAAGCAGGCATCATCCCGTCCTCCATTCACCCGTCCATTTGCCAAACACACATTGAGCGCTGCTCTGTTCCAAGCTTGTGCTAATGGCTGGTCACACCCATGTTGAATAGAATAGACCCACCCCAGCATCTTAGTCAGCTGGGGAGGAGGTGCTGGGAGGGGCGAAGGCCTGGGAGGATCCTGACCCAGCCTGCAGATTGGCGGGAGGGAGACGTCAATGGGGCCAAGCCAACCTGGTGAGGCTGAGAGGCGAGTTTCCCAGAAGGCCTCCCTCTGTGCTTCCTGCATAGGAGCTTTTGAAATTGGAAGGGAAGCAGTGACCTTTGCTCTCTGAAGGTCACAGGAGGCAGCCATGGTGACAGGCAGACCCAGTGGCCTGGGGGGCTCCAGCTTGTCCTCGCCGTTCTCCACCCTGCGCTTGGTCTTCCTGACTGCTGGCCTGCTGACCAGCAGTGGCCCCAGGCCCACCCCAGAGGCTCCCCAAAGAACTCACAGAGGCAGCAGCTACACAGAGGCAATAGCTCCCAGGGGACCCTCCAGGAGCGTCCCCCACATCCCTTCTGGCAGCCAGACACACCTGGCTTCTCAGATCGCTGGGAGGTGTCAGCTCTGACCCCCCGTGTCCCCTCTGGGCCTTCACCTCCAGCTCCTCCCATAATCGTGTCAGGCCATCCCCATAATGAATCTGCATCCCATAATACCCGCAGTGGCTTTGCTTCCCTGATTGAACCCCGAGTGATACAGTGGTTGGTACTGGTGATGCTTCCAGGAGAAGAGAATCTTAAGGATGGGAACTCAGCATCAGTTCTCCAATCTCAGTGGATTTAGAGGTGTTCAGATCCTGCTGCCGGGGACTACACTGGGGCTCCATGGCACACAGTAGTGGAGCAGTTACATAACCCCTGGACCCAAGGCCCACAGAGGGCTCGGGTGACCAAGTCACTACTGGCATCAAATGTGTGGGTGGAAATAAAGGGCACAGGGACTGTGGGGTCACTTGGTTGCCTCTAAGTGCACTGGAAAACTAATGAGAAAAAGAGATGAGCTCAGGGCTTTGAATTCCCAGATCAAGGTTTTTGTTTTTTTGTTTTGTTTTGTTTTGTGTTTGTTTGTTTGTTTGTTTGTTTTGAAAGGGAGTCTTGCTCTCTCGCCCAGGCTGGAGTGCAGTGGTGCGATCTCGGCTCACCACAACCTCCGCCTCCCGGGCTCAAGCAGTTCTCCTCTCTCAGCCTCCCAAGTAGCTGGGACTACAGGTGCATGCTACCACGCCCGGGTAATTTTTGTATTTTTAGTAGAGATGGGGTTTCACCATGTTGGCCAGGCTGGCATCGAACTCCTGACCTCAGGTGATCCACCCACCTCAGCCTCCCAAAGTGCTGGGATTACAGGCATGAGCTACTGTGCTCAGCTCCCAGATCCAGTTCTGAGTGAAGAGCCAGACGTTGTCCCTGTGCCTGGAGACCCTTCAGTGCCCTGAGACCCTTTAGTGCCCCCTCCTGAGGTGGCCTCCACCTCCCATTGCCTCATCACAGGCGCGGGTTCATTATTGCTGGAGTGGGTTTCTTTTTTTTTTTTTTTTTTTTTTTTTGAGACAGAGTCTTTATCTGTCACCCAGGCTGGAGTGCAGTGGCGTGATCTCGGCTCACAGCAACCTCTGCCTCCCAGGTTCAAACAATTCTCCTGCCTCAGCCTCCCAAGTAGCTGGGATTACAGGTGTCTAACACCATGCCTGGCTAATTTTTGTAGGTTTAGTAGAGACGGGGTTTCACCATGTTGGCCAGGCTGTTCTTAAACTCTTGACCTCAGGTGATCCACCCACCTTGGCCTCCAAAAGTGCTGGGATTACAGGCATGAGCCACCATGCCTGGCCTGGAGTGGGTTTCTTATAAAAGGGTAAGTTTCCATCCTGGCTAACACAATGAAACCCCGTCTCTACTAAAAATACAAAAAATTAGCTGGGCGTGGTGGCGGGCACCTGTAGTCCCAGCTACTCAGGAGGCTGAGGCAGGAGAGTGGCGTGAACCCGGGAGGTGGAGCTTGCAGTGAGCCGAGATTGGGCCACTGCATTCCAGCCTGGGTGACAGAGCGAGACTCCGTCTCAAAAAATAATAATAATAAAAGAAGAAAGGATAAGTTTGGCTCCTTTTGCTCTCTCTTGCCCTCTCTGCACTTCTGCCATGGGATGACACAGCCAGAAGGCCCTTGCCAGATGCTGGTCCTTTGATCTTGGATTTCCCAGCCTCCAGAACCATGTGCCAATAAATTTCTGTTCTTTATAAATTACCCAGTCTATGGCATTCTGTTATAGCAGCAGAAAATGGACTCAAACAGCAGCTAAAAATTTTAACAACTTGCTAAATGTGGAGTGCGAGCTACTGTGAAGTATAGAATCTCCAGGAGCTGCAGACACAAGGAGAATTTTTACCCACTCTCAGGTTCTTCTCTAGGTACATCACCAGGTGCTCATAAGAAAGGTTGGGGCAGGGCAAGAGGTCTGAGAAAGCCTCCTGCAGTCCCTGCAAGAAAGCACGAAGCTCCACTCACTGTCTCTATTTCCATTCTCTCCTTTATGGGACAAAAGACTTAAGCAGTGGGGTCAAGGTGGGAAAAGCCCTCAAGGCACAGAGGAAGACCCACTGCAGGTGAGGGAATCAAACAGAAAAACCCTCTTAATTTTAGGGGAAGGGCAGAAATACATCCTGGGCTCAGACTATTAGATCTCATCTGCTACTGGGGGAGGAGAAGGAGCTCTGAGACCCAGCTCCTGCCTAAAACTGGAGCTGACCCAGAATAATGGAGAATGCCATTCCAGCTCGCCAACATCCCCGCAAAAAAAAAAAAAAAAAAAAAAAACATAAAAAAGGCTTAAAATCACTAATAACAAGTTACAGTTGTGGGTCTACTGCTGGGGGAAAGGCAAGAATGCAGGGAGAGATGCTCTCTTGGGAGCAAATGCAAAGAGAAGACCTAAAACTGAGGGTAGGCTGGGTGCGGTGGCTCACTCTTGTAATTCCAGCACTTTGGGAGGCCGAGATCAGGAGTTCGAGACCAGCCTAGCCAACATGGTGAAACCCCGTCTCCACTAAAAATACAAAACATTAGCCAGACGTGGTGGCACGTGCCTGTAATCCCAGCTACTCAGGAGGCTGAGGCAGGAGAATTGCTTGAACCCAGGAGGCAGAGGTTGCAGTGAGCCGAGATCACGCCACTGTACTCCAGCCTGGGTGACAGAGCGAGACTCCATCTCAAAAAGAAAAAAAAAAAAAAAAACTGAGAGTGGATCGGACATTGGGAAAAAACCTTCTAGCAAGTCAGGCCCCACTCTAAACACTTAGTGATATTAGAGGAATGTCAAGCAATCTGAGAAAGAAAAATGGGCAAAAGATTTGAATAGGCTGGGTGTGGTGGCTCACACCTGCCATCCCAGCACTTTGGGAGGCTGGAGGATCACTTGAGACCAAGAGGTCAAGATCCTGTCTCAAAAAAGAAAAAAAAAAAAAAGATTTGACTAATACATTACATCAAAGAAGATACATGTATGGTAAATAAGCACATGAGGAGATGCTCGATGTTGTTAGTTAAGCAAAGTGATGCTAGAGAACTGTGGGGCCCTGAGGGCAACAGAGCAACACCAAACCCCAAAGCCAGCTTAACTCCTGGCTAGACTGACCAGCTCCCTACCTGAAGGGCCTGGCAAAAGCAGCAGCATTAACCAGGCACAGGGGCTCACACCTGTTGTTTTTTGGTGTTTTTTTTTTTTTTGACAGTCCTGCTCTGTCGCCCAGGCTGGAGTACAGTGGCGCAATCTCAGCTTACTGCAACCTCCGCCTCCCAGGTTCAAGCGATTCTCCTGCCTCAGCCACCCAAGTAGCTGGGATTACAGCCGCCCGCCACCATGCCCAGCTAATTTTTGTATTTTCAGCAGAGATGGGGTTTCACCATGTGATGGCCCCATCTCTATGCCATGCAGCTGTGTTTTGGGAGGCTGAGGTAGAAGGACCACCTGAGGCCAGGAGTTCAAGACCAGCCTGGGCAACATAGCAAGACCCTGTCTCTACAAAATATAAATAAATTAGCCAGGCACGTGGAATATGCCTGTAGTTCCAGCTACTCAGGAGGCTGAGGCAGCAGATTACTTGAGCTCAGGAGTTCAAGGCTGCAGTGAGCTGTGATTGTACCACTGCACTTCAGCCTGGGCAACAGAGCAAAACACTGCTTAAAAAAAAAATAGAAGAAGTAAGCCCATTTTCAGGTGTAAATGCTATTTACCTCAGTCTCTACTATCCTATACAAGATCCCAGCTTTCAATCAAAAAAATACGAGACACACAAAGAAGCAAGAAAAGCAACACACCGTCAAGGGATAAAGCAATCAACAAAATCAGACTGAGATATGACCCAGATGTTGGAACTTTTAGGGAATTTTAATAATTATGATTAATATGTTAAAGGCAATGGGAGAAAAGGTGAGTAGCATGTACCCACAGTTGGGGAATTTCATTAAAGAGATGGAAACTATAGGAAAGAATAAATAAAATGCTAGAAATGAAAGTCACAGTAAAAGAGAATGATGTTGACAGGCTCATCAAAAGACTCAGCATAGCTGGGGAAGTAATCAGTGAACCTAGGCCACGAGCAGTGGCTTATGCCTGTAATCCCAGCACTTTAGGAGGCTGAGGTAGGAGGATTGCTACAGGCCGGGAGCTTGAGACCAGCCTGGGCAACATCGTGAGACCCTGTATCTATACAAAACAATTTTTAAAAATTAGCCGGGCATGGTGGTGCATGTCTGTAGTCCTGGCTACTTGGGAGGCCAAGGCCATAGGATCATTGGGGCCCAAGAGTTTGAGACCACAGAGAGCTATGATTGTGCCCCTGCATTCCAGCTTAGGTGACAGAGTGAGACCCTGTCTCTAAGGAAAAAAAAGAAGAAAAAAATAGGGGAGGGAAAAAAACACAGAAACAGAACAGAGCATCCTAAAGTTAGGAGACAATATAAAACAGTCTTAAAAAATATATGTAATTAGAATCCCAGAAGAAGAAAAGGATCAGATGGATGGAAGAAATATTTAAATTTAAAACGCCAGGCCAGGAGCAGTGGCTCATGCCTGTAATCCTAGCACTGTAGGAGGCTGAGATGTGAGGGTCGCTTGAGGCCAGGACATTGAGACCAGCCTGGTCAACATAGCGAGACCCCATCTCTATATTAATAAAAGTAAAAAATTATAAAACGCCATAAATTTTCCAAAATTAATGAAAGACATCAAATAACAGATCCAAGAAGCTCATGGACATAAATGTAAAACCTAAAACTACAAAACTTCTAGAAGAAAATACAGAAGAAAACCCTTGTGACCTTGGGTTTCTTTGCTACAATACCAAAAGCACAAAGAAAAAAATTGGTGGCCAGGTGCAGTGGCTCCTGCCTGTAATTCCAACACTTTGGGAGGCCGAGGTGGCTGGATCACTTGAGGTCAGGAGTTTGAGACCAGCCTGGCCAATATGGTGAAACCTCGTCTCTATTAAAAATACTAAAATTAGCCAGGCATGGTGGCGCATGCCTGTAATCTCAGCTGCTCCTGTGGCTGAGGCACGAGAATCGCTTGAACCCAGGAGTCAGAGGCTGCAATGAGCCAAGATCGCACCACTGTGCAACAGAGTGAGACTCTGTCTCAAAAAAAAAAAAAAAAGAAAATTTTCCAGAAAGTAAAAAGACAACCTGCAGAATAGGGGAAGACATTTCCAAATCATATATCTGATACGGGGTACTATCCAGAATATATAAAGAACTCCTATAACTCAGCAACAAAGAAACCAAGCAACCCAATTTAAAAATAGTTAAGGACAGCCAGGCACAGTGGCTCACGCCTGTAATCCCAGCACTTTGGGAGGCTGAGGGGGGCAGATCATGAGGTCAGGAGATCAAGACCATCCTGGCTAAGACGGTGAAACCCTGTGTCTACTAAAAATATTTTAAAAATTAGCCGGGCATGGTGGCGGGCACCTGTAGTCCCAGCTACTCAGGAGACTGAGGCAGGAGAATCAGGAGAATGGCGTGAACCCGGGAGGCAGAGCTTGCAGTGAGCAGAGATTGCACCACTGCACTCCAGCCTGGGTGACAGAGTGAGACTCCGTCTCAAAAAAATAAATAAATAAAATAAAAATAGGTAAGGCCCAGGTGTGGTGGCTCATGCCTGTAATTCCAACACTTTGGGAGGCCAAGGCCAGTGGATCACCTGAGGTCAGGAGTTCAAGACCAGCCTGACCAACATGGTGAAAACTCATCTCTACTAAAACTACAAAAATTATCTGGGCATGGTGGCGGGCGCCTGCAGTCCCAGCTACTCAGGAGGCTGAGGCAGGAGAATCACTTGAACCCAGGAGGCCGAGGTTGCAGTGAGCTGAGATCACACCACTGCACTCCAGCCTGAGCGACAGAACAAGACTGTCTCAAAATAAAATAAAATAAAATAAAATAAAATAAAATAAAATAAAATACATTAATTAAATTAAATAAAAACATCGCTATGATAATGCAGTGAATACCTGGGAATGTGGCTTTAGCTGGAAATAGGGTCTTTGCAGATGTAATCAAGTTAAAATGAGGTCCTTAGGGTGGGCCATAATCCAGTTTGACTGATGTCTTTATAAGAAGAAGAGAGGCCCATAGGAAGAAGACGGCCTTGTGACAAGAGACAGAGACTGAAGTGAGGCAGCTGCAGGCCAAGGAACGCGAAGCGTTGATGGCCACCACCAGAGGCTAAGAGGCCATGAAAGACCCACCTAGCGTCTCAGAGGGAGCACGGCCCTGTTGACACCCTGATTTCAGACTCCAGTCCCCAGAACTATGAAAGAATAAGTTTCTTTTTTTTTCATTTTTTTTTTTTGAGATGGAGCCTGTGTTGCCCAGGCTGGAGTGCAGCGGCACGATCTCAGCTCACTGCAACCTCTGCCTCCCAGGTTCAAGCAATTCTCCTGCCTCAGTCTTCCAAGTAGCTGGGACTACAGGTGCCCACCACCATGCACGGCTAATTTTCGTATCTTTAGTAGAGACGGGGTTTCACCATGGTGGCCAGGTTGGTCTCAAACTCCTGACCTCAAGTGATCTGCCCACCTCAGCTTCCCAAAATGCTGGGATTACAGGCATGAGGCACCGACCCCGGCCAGTGAAAGAATAATTTTCTGTTGTTTTAAGCCACCCAGTTTGTGGCATGTTGTTGGTGACTGGAATGCCAGCATTCCTGCCCATAAACCTAGAATGACTGTGGAGAGACTGCATTCGCATAAGGATATTTTCATTGTCCAGGGAGCGTGGAGCTCCTCCCGGGCCAGCAGAGGTGCTGCCATCGGTCTGTGGAAGTGGACTCAGCTTCCTGCCCCCCAGCTGGCCTGCTCTCCAGACGCCTGAGGGACTGGGCCCCGGAATGCACTGTTTCTCCAAGCCACAGACCCTCTGCTGTGACAGTCACCATCCTTCTAGGTACTTCCAAACCCCTGCAGAGGCTTTGAAAATGCTCCTTCATGGCTGGGCGCGGTGGCTCACACCTGTAATCCCAGCACTTTGGGAGGCCAAGGCAGGCAGATCACTTGAGGTCAGGAGTTCGAGACCAGCCTGGTCAACATGGTGAAACCCCGTCTCTACTAAAAATATAAAAATTAGCAGGGCGTGGTGGTAGGTGCCTGTAATCCCAGCTGCTTGGGAGGCTGAGGCAGGAGAATTGCCTGAACCCGGGAGGGGGAGGTTGCAGTGAGCCGAGATCAAGCTACTGCTTCTGCCTCAAGGTAGGGACCCCACAGGAGTTGGGGAGCTGTTCTCCAGGTGGAAGAGGCAGGATAAAGGCCGAGGGGAGCCCGGGTATTTCAAGCCACCCCGCTCTGGGGAATTTCCTGGTGACACATGCACAGCTCATGCACTCTGAGCCTGACAGCCTGGAAACCTGTCATTCCCAGGACCGTTCTCCAGGGACCACCCCACCCCCAACAGATGGAAGGACCTGATCTGCAGCAGACAAGCACACCTGGGGGACCCAGAGACATCCTGGTGGGAACCACCCCTCACACACGGGCCTGGCGAAGCCTCTCCTTGAAGAGGCCTCTTCTTCCCTCACTGTCTTCATCCCTCTGGTCCCTACCCCCAAGGTCTGCTGGCTCAGCACCCTCTGACAGTCCAGTGAATTCATCCA
Organism: Homo sapiens; assembly: GCF_000001405.40. Lineage (NCBI taxonomy): Eukaryota > Metazoa > Chordata > Mammalia > Primates > Hominidae > Homo > Homo sapiens. The sequence continues at coordinate 125,380,340 of NC_000009.12, read as the reverse complement.
TCTGGAAGGGAGGTTCATGCAGCCTTCTGGAGCTAGGAACATTCTGGAAGGGGGTCCAGGCCAGTAGGAAAATAAAGCATGACATCAAGATTCTGGGCTCTCTTGGCTGGGCACAGTGGTTCATGCCTGTAACCCCAGCACTTTGAGAGGCTGAGGCAGGCATATCGCTTGAGCCCAGGAGTTTGAGACCAGCCTGTGCAACATAGTGAGACCCCCTCTCTACAAAACAAAAAAACAGAAAACAAAAAAACTTAGCCAGGTATGGTGGCATGTGCCTTTGGTCCCAGCTACTTGGGAGGCTGAGGTGGAAGGATTGCTTGACTCCAGGAGGTCAAGGCTGCAGTGAGCCATGATCGTGCCACAGCACTCCAGCCTGAGCAACAGAGTGAGACCTTGTCTAAAAAATAAAAAGAAAGAAAGAAAGAAAAAAGAATCTGGGCTCTCTTGAGCTTGAAGCTTGAAGTCCGGGTGCATGTGTGTGTGTCTTGCGTGCGTGTGTTTGAGTGGTTGTGTCTGTGTGCACATGTGTGAATGTGTACTGAACTGGAACATAGGCACTCTCTGAATTCAACAAGGCCCACTCCAGATGGCTTTCCACCCTGAAACTTTTTCCCTAGGAAATGCATTTAAACACCATTTCACCTCCTTTCTTTCCCCAATCACTATTGGTCACAGTGGTCCCAGCCTCCGGTCCTCCAATCAGAAGGTCTTTTTCTGCCTGGTGCTCCCCAGCTCGTGACCAACTTCCAGGTAGAGTAAAGGATTAAATGGAAGGCACAATAAGAAGTGAAACAATTAGAATTTCTGCCTCATTATCATGGTAATCTTATCAGTCGGATAATGAGGTATTAATGGAGATTTAATGTGCATCTCATAACAGAATCCCTTGGAGAAAACACACAGGGAAATTGCTGTAAATCCACTTAATGATGGAGAAGTCCCAAAACACCATATTCCAAAGGATGAAAAATGCAGGATGCAAATGAGAAAGAATCAAGGTCAATAACACCACGGGGACGGGCCTAATGGCAGATTTGGAGATATATGTAATAAAAATTGCATGTTGCTTTTAAACCTCACCCTCTGTTGTTTTCAAATGTGCATTCCTAGTAATGAAACACAGACGTGCAGCCAGAATGATTTGTATGTTTTAGAAACCATAGGGGGGATGGAAACATGTCTCCAAACCCATCAGGCCCTCCATGGGGAGCCATGGGAAACGGGGTGTTTTACCGGGAGGCTTCCAAAGGAAGTGGGGCAGAGGAAGAGCCCGTCTGAGTTCAAGGTCATTTGGGAAACACCAATGGGAGGAAGACAAATGCATTTACTTCCACTCCTTCATTCAACAAATGTTTATCAGCCGCTGACCAGTCAACCCGGAAACACAAAGGACACACATAGATGCAAAGCCCAAAGCAAACGCTGCAATGGAGAGAGCGCCTACCACTGCTGAAATCCCTCCGTGGATCACTCAATTCCATCAGCAACATGGGGAAGCAGAAACAATTAAGATCCCCGTCTTTCAGATGAGAAACTGAAGCTCAGAGAAGCTAGGTGCCTCATGTTGCTCCTGGGTCTGAACATTACCAGTACTCTATTAGGAGGAACCCTGTGAAATGTCCCGTATTCATCTGCTTGAGATCTATAAAAAGGGACATGGCATAGGGTTCAAGCTAATATTTTATTTCCTGGCTGGGGATCCTTTCTAGACATGGGAGAATGTCTAACAAGAATGACAGAATCAAGGGACAGGAACTAGGCACTGAGCTGAGGATGGAAGAATCCAAGGAGCTGCCAGCTCCATGGCCTCACAGGGGACAAGGGACAGATCCCTCTGCTCCTCCCACAGCTGCTGAACTCACATGTCCCACACCAGCAGTGGGTACTCAGCACGTGGAAAGGAAGATCCGAAACATCCCACACACTGAAAGCACTTCATGAATCGGAAAATGCTAAGCAAACGTTGGCTGTTTGGCTCTTATAATTTATTGATGATAATGAATAACCCTTGGGCCTCCCAGATGTTTCCAGGGATTGAAGGTAAAGTTAGCTCTATTTTTAGGAACTCCGATAAGAGGAGTTTCAAGGGCACCAAGAGCAGGGTGACCAATGGTCCTGGTTTGCCTGGGACTGTCCAGGACCCTGAGAATCTAGCCTTCCCTCTTGGGTAAGGTGACCAACCATCTCAGTTTGCTCAGGATTGAGGGGTTACCTTGGATGTGGGATTATTCAAGACCCAACCTAGAATGGAGGCAGCAGGCCGGTTCCAGCCAGCGCTGGGCAAGGAGCCTCTGCCTGCCAGGCTCCATGCTGGAGCCCTAAGGGAGCAGCAGCTACAGCCTTTGCTTGTCATGGGCTGTCTGGGGAACCCTGGGGCCTCTGTCTTTGTGACAGCCTATGTGTGTACAAGGGCCAAGGAGGAAGACATAGAAGGACACTTCAGCACACAGCTATTAGCAGGGTTCCAGAAGGAACACTGAACATCCAACGTGTCCCTTATTCCTTGCAGGAATCCTGGCAGCCAGGAGCTCGTGAGCCCGCTTTACAGATGAGGAAACTGAGACACAGGCTAGTGAAGGCACTTGCCCAGCATCACAAGCAGCCAGTGAGCCGCTGAGGGGCTGAAGGATGACAAGACCCCACTTAAGGACAGGTGTAGCCCCCAGAGAACAAGTCAGTCCGAACCAGGGAAAAGGCAGAAATTAGCAACATTTCTGGAGTCTTGCAGCTGTGTTCCGTTTAATCACAGACTGCAAATTGAATGATGTTAAGGCAGTGTTGCCTCTTTGAATTTCCCCCAAGCCCTGTTTAATGAATAAATAGGCGTGATTTGTAATTAGCTTAGCCATCGTGCGAATGCTTCCAGAGCACCTGAAGTGAGTTAAACATGCCCCCTGCAAACTTGTCGACAGTATTCATTGACTCAGCAAACCTCTCTTCCTGGTCCACCGTGCATGCGACCAAATAATCACGTATCGCTCTGCCGTGGACATATTGAGAAAAATTGGGATTTTGTTGGTCTGGAAAGATGGAGACACAGTGTCTTCATCAGTCCTGCCTCCCAGGTGGGAGCTGAACGCTGCAAGCTCAGTTTTTGTTGGCAAATGCTAAGAAACCCCCAGAACAATCTCCCATCCCCTCCCTGAACCAGCCTTGAAGAGAATCCCACAACCACCAGCAGGAAAGTCTGGTGGCTAACGCCACCCTACGGAGGGGTGGGAAGCTGGGCCCTGGGTCTTCACCAACCCGGGCTGCCTTTCTTTTGTGAAAGCAGCTGCCTGATTCCCACAGCTGCAGTTGGAGTCCACTAACTCCTGCCAAGCTACCAGGCGCCCTGCACCATTTATCCTGTAATGGTGGCTGCATATCAGTTTTGCCTAGTTTCCGTGCTAACTATGTGGCTGCTGCTGAAATTCCAAATCCTAATATTCCCCTGCTCCGGGCAGGTGGGAGGGCCCCTCGGCACCGGTAGCCTTCTTGATTACCCACATGTTTTCCAGCAAAGGGGTTTCCATTCATCTTCATCATGGGCTCAGTCTGTGCACAGAGAGGAGGCATCCGCCCTGGCGGGGCCTCTCCACCCAATCACCTGGAGGCTTTCCCTCATCTGTTCCTCTGCCTTCACAGCCGCATTTATATTCCGCCTGCCCTGCTGCTTCCTCCCGGGCCTGCGGCGGATCCTCAGCGCCAGGCCTCCTCCCTCTGGGCCCTGCCTGCGAGCCCAGGTGCCAGCCTGCTGCAAAGAGGAGGCGTGGGTCACCCACCCCTTCTCCTCCTGAATCAGGAGGTGGAGACTGTCGGTCTGTCCTTACCATGACCTTGACACTGGGAAGTGGCCCTGGGCCCCGTGTGGAAAAGCAGGTCTTCCCTGCTCTGGCAGCTCAAATTCAATCTGATCTGCTGATGCCGGCTGGGCACCAGGCTTCATGCTGGCACTACAGATGCCCGGGTGTCTGGCCCTGCCCTTGACGGACTCGAGTGCACATGGGAAGTAAACACCAGGATCAGGATAATAAGGACCTGCTGTGGGCACCATCCTCTACAGTTTGCTCCCCAGTTCACATGAGCCCTCACAATGCTGTGGGGCTGGTTTTGCAGAGGGCAGACAGGATCCCTCAGTAGCTAAAAGTACAGATTTGGGCATCCTCTAGACCTGGATTTGGATCCTGGCTCTGCCATGCATTTTCTATGTGGCTTTGAATAAACCCCTTTGCATGTCTGAGCCTCGGCTTCCTCATCTGTGAAGTGCAGCCCTTACAATGCCCACTACCAGGTGAAGGCTCTGTGACGTCATGTGGGAAGCGTCAGCCCCGGGCCTGCACACGGAGTCTCGCTGTCACCCAGGCTGGAGTGTGGTGGTGCAATCTCGGCTCACTGCAACCTCCACCCCCCAGGTTCAAGCGATTCTCCTGCCTCAGCCCCCCAGGTAGCTGAGATTATAGGTGCACGCCACCACACCAAGGCTAACTTTTGTGTTTCTTTTTTTTTTTTTTTTTTTTTCTGGAGATGGAGTTTCACTGTTGTTGCCGAGGCTGGAGTGCAATGGCGAGATCTCGGCTCACTGCAACCTTCACCCCCCGGGTTCAAGTGATTCTCTTGCCTCAGCCTCCCAAGTAGCTGGGTTTACAGGCACGCGCCACCATGCCCAGCTAATTTTGTATTTTTAGTAGAGATGGGGTTTCACCATGTTGGCCAGGCTGGTCTTGAACTCCTGACCTCAGGTGATCTGCCCGCCTCAGCCTCCCGAAGTGCTGAAATTACAGGTGTGAACCACCACCCGGCCTAACTTCTGTGTTTCTAGTAGAGACAGGGTTTCACCATGTTGGCCAGGCTGATCTCAACTCCTGACCTCAAGTGATCCGCCCGCCTTGGCCTCCCGAAGTGCTGGGATTACAGGCGTGAGCCACCATGCCAGGCCATGAAGAAGGTTTTGGAACTCGAGGCATGGCCATGACTAACAACACAGGCGCCTCCCCAGAGCACCTTCCCAGAGAATGGGACAGGTGGCTCCCACAGTTCTCAGGACTGTGTCCAGTGAGATCTTACAGTGTTGGCACCTGTGGGCTGGGCTCAGGTCACTGGCTGTGGCTCAGGGCTGTTGCTGCATCTGTAAGATTGGAATAATAACCTTGTCGTTGGGCTGCTAGAGAAAAGCTTTATATCGGGAATAATGATTATTTGCCACAACGCAGGGTGGGCAGAGAGGAACCTGGTGTGTCTGCCTCGGGGGGCCTGGGTGAATTCTGGGCTCCAGCCACAGCTGTCTCATGAAGGGCTTGGTGCAAGCCCATTCGGGGTCTGAGAGCCGATTCCCTGTTCAGGAGCCCCCTGCCCTCCTGGGCATCCTCGAAGGCGCCCCAAGGCTCCTCCAGAGAGGGCTGAGGGCTGCCTTTGCTCCTCCTTTTCAGCCAATGGTTTGTACCTGTCCTTGGCCACAAGATGTCACCCAAGGAACAGCAAAGCCGGGGCCTGGGAGGAAACTGGCCGACGGCAGACTCGCGGGGGAAGGGGTCGGGGATGGTGCGGAGAAGCCGCAGAGGCAGCGTGCTGCAGTGGCTGCAAATCTCGGGATTTCTAGCAGAACGGGGCGCTGTTGCCCTCAGAGGACGCCGATTTGTAGATGCCACCTAAAGATAATAAATTCGAAAATAATAAGTAAATAGGGACAAAAATCCCACCTTCCCAGAGTAAAATTAAACCCTGCTAGCCAGATAAAGGGCTGCAAACAGACAAGACACTTTGGTGTGATCAGGGCTGCAACCCAGGCAGGCACTGAGCTGGGCTCCAGGCATCCTCATCCCGGCCCTGTGCTTGGTGGGGTGGGAGCAGACACAGGAGAGGTGTGACCTGGTGTGGCACAGCCTCTGCCCCACCTAATTCTACCCACTGGAGATCAAGGGCTTTGGGGCACTCTGTCTTCCCAGAGGACGTGAAGAACTACCTGGCCCTGGACCACGACAGGGATAGTTCCTGTCCCAGCAGGGCCTGAATTTGGAAGGAAAAGATGGTGGAATCCCCGCCCTGAAGGGCTACTTTCTGCCTCTCATCCATCCCCATCTGCAAACATTAGGGACACCTGCCATTTGGAGGCATGCCCTCCCCTAGGAGCACAGGCTCCAGGGAGACACTGCTCTGGAGAGGGAGGGATGGGGGTGAGGCCTCACTGAGGAGGGAGGCAGGAGGGGGCACCTGGGGTTTTCCTCCAGAAGGGCCATCTGAGGCAGGAGGAAGGACTGTGGGGGAGGCAGTCAGATCTGGGCATCAGCAAAGGCTTAGAGGCCGGCAAAGGGCAGCACTTTGGGAAAGGTGATAGTTCTCAGTGGCTGGAGTGGGGCTGGCTGGAGGGGAAGGAGAAGGACCAGAGGCATGTGGCTGAAAAGGCAGGACAGAACCCAGGTAGAAAAGAGAAGATTTTAGGCAGAAGAGGAATCTGCTCAGACTTGATGAATTTTTTTGTTTGTTTGTTTTTGAGGTGGAGTTTTGCTCTTGTTGCCCGGGCTGGAGTGCAATGGCGTGATCTTGGCTCACTGCAACCTACGCCTCCCGGGTTCAAGTGATTCTCCTGCCTCAGCCTCTCGAGTAGCTGGGATTATAGGCATTCACCAACACGCCCAGCTAATTTTGTATTTTTAGTAGATACGGGGTTTCTCCATGTTGGTCAGGCTGGTCTCGAATTCCTGACCTCAGGTGATCCACCCACCTCGGCTTCCCAAATTTCTGGGATTACAGGTGTGAGCTACCGTGCCTGGCCAGACTTGATGAATTCTAAGGGCACCTAGGAGAAGGGGTGAGAGGGAGGCAGGGAGACTAGGAGTCAGTCGTGATTGTGGAGGTGGAAAAACTGGCTGTGGCAGCGGGGGACAGGTTTAAGAGACATTTCCCAGCCAGGCGCGGTGGCTCACACCTGTAATCCCAGCACTTTGGGAAGCCAAGGCGGGTAGATCACTTGAGGTCAGGAGTTCGAGACCAGCCTGGCCAACATGGTGAAACACTGTCTCTACCAAAAGCACAAAAATTAGCCAGGCATGGTGGCGTGTACCTGTAGTCCCAGCTTCTCAGGAGGCTGAGGCAGGAGAATCGCTTGAACCCAAGAGGCAGAGGTTGCAGTGAGCCGAGATTGTGCCACTGCACTCCAGCCTGGGCGACAAAGTGAGACCCTGCCACACACACACGCACAACACAAAAGAGACATTTGCCAAGGGCCCCTCAGGAGGTTTGGGCAATCCAGAGCCTGGGCCAGGGAAGAAGGCTGGGCAGCGGCAGGCATGAGTGACAAAGAGGCGTGTAGGGTGGGGCACATAGGGATGAAAGTATCTGGACCCAGAAAGGCATCATGTGTCAGGAATCACTCCACTGTGGTTACTGTTTATGACCACAGTGGAAAGGGACTTGAGCTCACAACCCAGCCTGTTAGTTGATAAACTGCCTCCTGGGTACAGTGTCCAATATTTGGGTGATGGGTAGGCTAGGAACCCAACCCCATCATTATGCATGTAATACCCATGTAACAAACAAGCACAGGTACCTCCTGAATCTAGAATAAAATAAAAAAATGGGTTCTCTTGGCTGTCCATGGTGGCATCACCCCTGCCATCAAGGGGCTGCACCCCACTGAGTACTTGCCGCCCTTGGCCAAATGCCTCAGTCAGACGCAGATACCAACCAGCAGGGACTGGCAAGAACTGTGACAGCTGCAGGGCTGGGTGCTGCTGCTCTTGCCTTTGCAGGTCGCTGTGCGTCGCAGTCCTGGAAACCTCTAGAACAAGGATCACAGAAGCAGTAGAGAACCTTTGAACTCCTAGCCTGTCATCCTATTACAAAGGAGGATTTGAACAGAAAATGAGTAGGAGAAAAGCTAGTGTTATTTTAGGTGTAAGTTCACCTGCTGGCAAGGCTAAGATTAGAGCAGCTCACAGGAGAATCGTGATTTTGAATCACCCAGATAAAGGTGGATCTCCCTACTTAGCAACCAAAATAAATGAAACAGAAGATTTGCGAGAAGCGACCACCGATCACCGATGGATGCTCAAGAACCCCGCTGAGGAAAAAAGGCAGGGCGCCTTTAAAAAATCCTGCAAATCAATCTACAACATGATCTTCTTAATTTTCATACATGCATAGACCACAATCTTTTCTTCTCCCATTAAGCTATTATAACAATAAAAGATTAATAATGTCCAGGCGCGGTAGCTCACACCGGTAATCTCAGCACTTTTGGAGGCTGAGGCAGGAGGATAGCTTAAGCCCAGGAGTTGAAGACCAGCTTAGGCAATATAGCGAGACCCCACCTATAAAAAATACAAAAAAATTAGCCAGGCGTGGCGGCATGCACCTGTAGTCCCAGCTACTCAGGAGGCTGGGGTGGGAGGATCACTTGAGCCTGGGAGGTCGAGGCTGCAGTGAGCCATGATCTTACCACTGCACTCCAGCCTGGGTGATAGAGCAAGACCCTGTCTAAAAAAAAAAAAAAAAAAGATAAATAGTAACAACCACCAAAAAGGGCTCTGAGTGTCTGCCCTGTGCACAGGTGGTCCTTGTGCTCCTGGCAAGTCCAGCGCAGGCCCTCCCTGGCAACTGCCCTGCTGACCGGTGTCAGAGGAGGCACCTTTCCAGGATTCCCTGGCCTGTCTCCTCACCCACAATATACCAGGTTAAAAAGAAGCTTGGGCCAGGCACAATGGCTCATGCCTGTAATCCTAGCACTTTGGGAGGCCAAGGCGGGCAGATCACCTGAGGTCAGGAGTTCGAGACCAGCCTGGCCAACATGGTGAAACCCCCATCTCTACTAAAAATACAAAAATTAGACGGGCATGGTGGCATGTGCCTGTAATCCCAGCTACTTGGGAGTCTGAGGCAGGAGAATTGCTTGAACCTGGGAAGTGGAGGTTGCAGTGAGCCAAAATCGCGCCATAGCACTCCAGCCTGGGCAACAGAGCGAAACTCCGTCTCAAAAAACAAAAAGCAGCTTGGGGCCTGAACTTGTGTTCAGTGGCAAGACTATCAAGTCCCCTCTTGAGTCAGCTCAGTGGGCAGCCTTCCTGATCAAGGGTTCCGGACACCCCCGTGCTCCTGGCAGCCTCCACTGTGTCCCTGCACTTTAACCACCCCCTCCATTAAAGGCCAGTACAGGAGAAATAGTTCAAGATTTTATGTAGATGGTAAAACTGCAGGGGATCCGTGAGGTAATAAAGCCCAAATCAGGAAACGCCTTCAAAGGAGTTGCCACTTGCCTTAGGTCTGGTTAGAGACAGAGCTCAGATTAGATCCATCTTCCAGTTCCTGAGCCTAGCAACATAACCAAACACCGCTGGGAACCTGTGGCTTTTCAGTAATGGCGGGAGTGGCCCAGGGAGGGAAAGGACTAGTTCAGGCTCATTGGTATGGCCCACTTAGCTGTGGAGGGGCTTGTGGCAGGGGCATCCCTGAGGACGCTGCGACAATCGGATGGCCCTGAGCACTTCCTGTCATCTGTCCCCTTCCATTGCACTCTTCTCCTCACAGCATGCTGCCCCAAAGCAGCAGCAGCAGATGCAGCCTCTGCTGTCACCGCCACAGCCACACGAAAAGGAAAATAGGGTCGCCAGTGATCAAAATGTAAAGGGACCTAGGGGAGGGAACCCAGGCATGGAAGTCCACACATCAAATGTGGGAGGAGAAGTAGAAGAGGAGAAATTCTTTTACTTTCAGCAGAGGCAGCACTGGGGAAACAAAAGTGAAGTCAGAGGTCAAGGGCTGTGGGAACCAATGCAGTTATTTTACATGGGACACCAGTTATGAATGGTCACAAAACAATCAAAATGAAACAACTGGCTGGGCGCGGTGGCTCACGCCTGTAATCCCAGCACTTTGGGAGGCCAAGGCAGGAGATGACTTGAGGTCAGGAGTTTGAGACCAGCTTGGCCAACATGGTGAAACCCCAGTCTCTACTAAAAATACAAAAATTAGCCAGGCATGGTAGCACATGCCTGTAATCCCAGCTACTCGGGAGGCTGAGGTGGGAGAATCACTTGAACCCAGGAGGCAGAGCGTGCAGTGAGCCGAAATCGCACCACTGCACTCCAGCCTGGGTGACAGAGTGAGACTCCATCTCAAACAAAAAACCCAAAAACAAAACAAACAAACAAACAAAAAAACATTTTAAAAGCTTAAACACAGAAAGATTAGACTCTAAGAATTTTTCATACATAAATTTGGGTATGTCATTGAACACCATGATTCTCTGGAAATGTTTAGCAATTTGAGGCTAAGGAAACAGCGTTACATAACAGGCAGTTATGAGTAAAGAAAATGCTTCATTCTAAGCATATAAAAAGAGCTATCCTTAAAGGAATCATTGGATTGGCTGTAGGCTAACAATTCTCATTCTTTTAAAGGGGCTTCCCCATTCATGCTTATTACCCTTGTGAGCTATGAAGCCAAGTGTTTAGGAGTTAACCACTTTCACAGTGGATCATACATTTTCATGAGTTTCAGTGAGATGGGGAGCTTGCTAGAAATGCAGATTCCTGGCATCTTCCCCAGAAATTGATTCAATGGGTATGGGGTGGGATCATGAGTCTGTGGTTTTATGAACCTCCCCAGGTGGGCGATGAGGGTAGGCGGGCCACTGGTTCATTCTTCATCAAGTGCAAGCTCTCCTGGTGCTTCTCAAACTCTCTTGGAGAGGCTGGGCATGGCAGTTCACACCTGTAATCCCAGTACTTTGGGAAGCTGAGACAGGAGGATCGCTTGAGCCTGGGAGTTCAAGACCAGAGAGGGCAACATAGCAAGCAAGACCCCATCTCTGAAAAACTTTTTTGAAATTAGCCAGGTGTTGTGGCATGCACCTGTGGTCCCAGCTACTCAGGAGGCTGAGGCAGGAAGATCACTTGAGCCCAGGAGTTTGAGACCACAGTGAGCTAGGATCATGCCACTGCACTCCAGCCTGGGTGACAGGGTGACACCCTGTCTCAAAAACAAAAACTCTCTGGAAAATAAAAGTCACTGGGAGGACTTGTTCAAAGATTCCTGGTTCCCTCCCCTATGGACTCTTATATACCAACAAGAATACCAGGTGATTCTCAACAGGGAAGTTTGGGAAACAGTTTATATAGTATAACTCCCTAGAGCACCAAATCCTGGGCCCCATCCCCAAAGATGATCTAGTTGGTCAGGGTGGGTCACAGCATATATTTCGACCAGCAATACGCTGAATTCCTAAACAGCTAACAGAAATAAGATTACCATGGTTTTCACATTCATTGTTTACAACAGGTCCAAGGACTTGGAACTGAGAGCTGTTTCCGCTTTAGCATAAAATGTGGACGGTGTTCTGGATCTCCACAATAGCCTATATGGTTCTTTGGTCATATATATTTTTTCTTTTTTTAGAGACAAGATCTCGCCCTGTAACCCAGACTGGAATGCAGTGGCCCAATCTGCAGCCTGGAACTCCTGGGCTCAAGCCATCCTCCCACCTCAGCCTCCCAAGTAGCTGGGACTACAGGGATGTGCCACCATGCCTGGCTTATTTAAATTTTTTTTTTTTTTTTTTTTGTACAGACCAGGTCTCATTGTTTCCCAGGCTGGCCTCAAATTCCTGAGCTCAAGTGATCCTCCCGCCTTCGTTTCCCAAAGTGCTGGGATTACAGGCATGAGCTAAAACACTTTCTCTGGGCATGGGTCTTTTTTTTTTTTTTTTTTTTTTTTAAATCTATGGGCTATATTTTACTACCCTAAGTGGATGGAAAGGATTCTTCTGGAATGAAATAAGTGAAGCAAAAGCTCTTCGCTGAATACTTCAATCCTTAGGTGGAGGACACATTTATGGCCAAGAGGAGCTTCAGCCCTGGTTTCTCTCTACAGGATCACCACCCATTTTGCAGCAGTATGGCAGGCAGGCTCGTGAAGCTAGTGTCAGTAGCTCAGCATCCTGTGAGGAAAAGCTACGGAGCCCTGTACTTGCGGAAAGGGTTGAGTGGGTACAAGCGTAACAGCAGTCCAAGCGACACAGGTAAATTCCAAGTTGGCAAGAAAAGCTGAATGCTATTTTTGGTTCTAGGCGTCATACCACTCGTTTTAATATTGAAGAGTGGGCCGGGTGCGGTGGCTTACACCTGTAATCTCAGCACTTTGGGAGGCCGAGGCAGGTGGATCACCTGAGGTCAGGGGTTCGAGACCAGCCTGACCAATATGGCGAAACCCCGTCTCTACTAAAAATACAAAATCAGCTGGGCGTGGTGGCGCATGCCTGTATTCCAGCTACTCAGGAGGCTGAGGCAGAACTGCTTGAACCTGGGAAGCGAAGGTTGCAGTGAGCCAAAATCGAGCCATTGCACTCCAGCCTGGGTAACAAGAGCAAAACTCTGCCTCAAAAAAAAAAAAAAAAATACTGAACAGAGCAAATGGAAATGGGCCGTAAGCAAGTTTTTAACTATTTCCTTCTAAATGAAGTGCAATCAATATAAGAAAAGCGCCTTCTCACCAGCAAGGGAAGCCTGAAGAATGAGTTAGTACTCCTTGTCAAAAGTAACTTCCCTTGGCTGGAAAGATTAATAAAGGCCTAAATGAATATTGTGATTAGATGGCAACACTTTTGCTTTCAAAATGAAAAATGATAAATAGCTACCAAATATAGGCATTAGGCAGAAACTGTTAAATCCATAGATGAAGGTCTGGGTGCAGTGGCTCACGCCTGTAATCCCAGCACTTTGGGAGGTTGAGGCGGGCAGATCGCTTGAGCTCAGGAGACTGGGCAACATGGCAAAACCCTGCCTCTACAAACAATACAAATATTAGTCAGGTGTGGTAGCGTATGCCTGTTGTCCCAGCTACTGGGAAGGCTGAGGCTGGAGGATCTTTGAGAACAGGAGGCAGAGTTTGCAGTGACCCTAGATCCTGCCTCTGCACTCCAGCCTGGGCGACAGAGCCAGGCCCTGTCTCAAAAAAAAAAAAAAAAAAACCCTTAGATGTTCACCATTGTGTTAGTTACTGCCAGGTCATTCTAGTTCCTTCTTGTGCCATACTTAGCAAACACCCTTATTGTTCAGATAAAAAAGATGTGTGTGAATTCACGGAGAACATCAGAACATTCGGAAGTCAAATACGTTTTCAGAAATGCTTCTGAATATAAAATAGATGACAGAAACATAAAACCCTGTGAATCAAACTGCTCTCCCCTTTTAATCAGTTTTATAGAATATTTTACAGTACTAATCACATTAGGAGACAGGAGGGGTTTCCTGTACATATACAAGATTGTGCAAGCTCATTAATTGAGACTTATAGAAAGGTTTTATCTGTTTCAAAAGAGGCAGTACAGCTTTTTAATCCAGGTGAAGCACAAGAAGAATCCAGTAGACAGGAGAGTATTAATTTGACAGAGGTGAATTCCCCTAGTGCATGGCCGCTACCCACACTGTCTGCCATTATCCAAGTGGAGACGTCATCTCTCTTGAATTGAACCCTTGCTGAGCTCAGGCCTGTGGGATGCGGCAGCTCCAGGGTCACTCCATAGCTCAACCACAACTTAACACGGAAGCAAACTATATTTTCATTTATCCAAGTGTTCTCAAGAGTAATAAAGCTATTCCTTGTCCTACTACTTTCTAACCTACATTCTAAAATATATTAAGTAATTTTTAACCTGGCAAAGTTCTCAAGCATTTTGGCATTTAAAGTAATCGCAAATACCTCATCACTGTTAATCCACTTACTAAAAATCCTTTGGGCTTCAAGATAGTTTCAGATTTACTTCCCTTAAAATTAAAGCAATTGCGTACAAAATAAACTCACTAGACTTAAATATTTAAAAAGAGAGACAACAGCCTTTTCTTTAAAGAAACAAAGCAGGAAGAGATGGGAGAGAAAAATCTAGGAAGCACCAATTGAGGAAGTGAACCCCACTACACTTCTATCACTTTTATGCAATCCAGTAATAATTCTGAGTGTATTCCTACTTTCCCTCTTCACACCCAATCACATAGGAGAAAAACAATTTTAAAACACCTAGTTGACCTTACTCGGTCCAAAGTGGAAATTTCCATGGCAAACAATAGGAAAAAGAGTGCCCGGGTTCAGCACACCAGTCAGCTACAGATTCTTACGGCAAGAACACAGCCCCCGTATTGGGGCTGAGATTGTTCTCTTGCTCACGCACCTCAGGGACACATTTGTAAAGCCCACTTTAAACAAAGGCTTCCAGGACATAGGAATAGAAAAACCATGCAGCACATTTGCAATCCCTTAGAAAACCTGAGCCTCCTACTACAGCGATTTAACTATCTGTATCAGAAGGCCTTCATAAGCAGGTTTTTATAAAGAAAAAGCAGAAGAAAGCAATTACTGTGGCTGAGATTTTACCTAAAATGGAGAAAGAAAGCAAAATGTTTGACACGTTTAAATATATATACATATAATTTTGTGGTTGGGCACGGTGGCTCACGCCTATAATCCCAGCACTTTGGGAAGCCGAGGTAGGCGGATCACTTGAGGCCAGGAGTTCGAGACCAGCCTGGCCAACATGGCGAAACCCTGTCTCTACAAAAAATACAAAAATTAGCTGGGTGTGGTGGCATACACTTGTAATCTGAGCAACCAGGGAGGCTGAGCCATGAGAATCACTAGAGACTGGGAGATGGTGGTTACAGTGAGCCGAGATCACAGCACTGCACTCCAGACTGGGTGACAGAGCAAGACTATGTCTCAAAAAAAATTAAAATATAATTTTGTAAGTAAAGACAATCTTCAACTTGTATTTCTATTACTTCTAAAAGCAGAATATTAATACAAAATGCAAACCTGATTTTTCTTTTCCTCAGAGAAGTTAATCCTACAAGATTTCAGGGGACCTGAGCCAACTCTCTCTCCATTTAACATCCACTTTATAAATTCTATGTAGTAACTAGTGGCTGCTGAATGTTTCCTGGGCTGATTTTGTACTTTTACACTAATCTTTCATGTAAAGAAAGTACTGGAAGGCAGTGGAGGAAGAAACATTTGGGGAACAACTATTCCTCTTTTCTATTAAAAAAAAAAAAAAAAATCAAATCACTCCCCATCTCACATACCTGTCAAGAAATCAAACAGTGATGGTTAATGCCAAAGTAGTCCTTGCTCCTGACAGATTTTCAGAGGAAACCTTAGCTGCCCCTGCAACAGCTGTGCTGTGCTCCTCCGCCAGCTATGGAGTCATGAGCACCCGAACCCATTTCACAGGTGTCACAGATGTCAAATCTCTGGGGGGTCTACCCTCAGCCCCGGCTCCAACACAGCACAGCCCTATCTCCTGCCTCCAGTGTAGCCCTTCACCCCAATCCCACCACCTTCTCTTCCACAGAAAAGAGCCCCGATGCAATGTCCACATCTTCATATTTATTTCCACAGTGTTAACATGGAATAGACTTAGCAACCATTGCAGAGAAAAAAAAAATCTCTCATTGGTTTATGAGTTAAATCCTGTAACAATGAATTTCAACCATTCGAAGTCTTCTGCTGCTTAACATTTACTGAATCAAAGGCTGAAGTAAATGGACTCTCATCTAGGTCTCAGAAATCACACAGCTGGCCTCGTGATGTATTTACGATGGGATTTAACTTCTAATACAAGGCAAGTTTGACAGTTACAGCCAATGAAGTGCACGACTCTGTACATGGATTTCTTGACCTAACATTCAAAAGGACATTTCATAGTACTAGTTTAATTCTGATCTCTCTCTAGAAGGCAGAAACCACATCCCACACTCCTATGCAATTTGTTATTTTGGTATTGTAAAGTAAATGAATAAGAAGGGGTGGAGGCATAAAGAAAATCTAGTTTCTGGCTGGGCAGGGTGGTTCACGCTTGTAATCCCGCACTTTGGGAGGCCAAGGCGGGTGGATCACGAGGTCAGGAGATTGAGGATCATCCTGGCCAACATGGTGAAACCCCGTTTCTACTAAAAATACAAAAATTAGCCGGGCTTGGTGACATGCGCCTGTAGTCCTAGCTACTCGCGAGGCTGAGGCAGGGGAATCACTTGAACTGGGAGGTGGAGGTTGCAGTGAGCCAAGATCGCACCATTGCACTCCAGCCTGGGCAACAGGGTGAGACTCTGTCTCAAAAAAATAAAATAAAATAAAATAAAAACAAAGAAAAAAAAATAAAATCTTTAGGCATTCCCAGACACAAAGATCTCAGAGACAGACAACAGAGAGCCTCCGTGTTCATCTGCCCGAGGCTGTTTGTCACAGTTCCCTTAAAAGATGCCTGGAAATGCTCCCAACAACAAGGGACTCAAGTATGGGGCTGAGTTTGTTAAAAAAGCAGCTAAATGTGTTTAGGAAACACACGAAGTGAAACCAGACAGTGATGGCCCATGTACAAGACTTGTGCTTGAAGCTTTGGTGTGCCTCCATGGCCAATTTTTCAGGCACCAAAACCCATTCCTGATTAATTATTGATATACAATGCAAACCAAACTATGAAAACACAGACTTTTTTTCAGAAGAGGGAAATAAAGGCACAGAAACCTGCCAAAATAGATATTTTTTTCCATAAGAATAGTATGGTTGATTAAAATAGTTTATCACTAGTAAAACTTGTATCACTAGAGCAGACAATACAAATTAGTTTTTTAAAAAATGACATTCACTGAATTCTTGGTCTGTGCATTCAATGTGAATAATCATCAAAAATATATTACAATTAAAGGTTTGTAAGGAGCTCTGTCTGGGATTTCTGCAGTATATTATTTCGGAGGAGAAGAACCACCATAAAGTATGAGCTATCCACTGTTCCTTTTTATGTCATGTATGGTAATCAGTCTATCTCCTAATGCAGGCTCACAAACTTCCACGGTGAGATGTCTAAGTGACTTAGTGACCTTCACACTCATTAAAGGCAGCCCTGTCCATCAAACTCCATACCTAGAAAGTTCAATAAACTGTATTACATTTTAATAAATATTTCTGTGTACTTTTTGTTTTTTGCTTTTAAGCTCAGCTTAAATTTTGTCAAGGAAACCATTTCACAAGACAGTATGTCACAGCCTACTATCAGCAATAGTCCTTGTTTATTAGAATCTGCAGATGTCCATATTACATCAAATATAAATATATATTATATTTACATTTCCTTCTTAGCTTTCAATTTAGGTGAGTGTATTTATAGATAATGCCACTAACGCACCACTATTCTAATCCTCAGTGCAACTCATACCTTCTTTCCATTAGATGCTCATTAATGTAAGACAGCATCTTAAAAGAGGGGTACTGTTCTTTTTTAAAATAAAAGGAAAGAAAGGGAATCCAAGAATGGAGGTCTAGACATTTCCTAAGAGATTTTTGTTTTGTTTTTTATACTTAGAAATACTTGAAAAATGTGGTCCCTTTTTGTAGTACTAGTCTCTACTTGGGGACAAGAAAATAGAATATGCAACTCAGAAAGGAAAGAGCCCAAAGACGAGAGAACCTGCTTGTTAGCTCATTAACCTGTTTAGTAAAGATCTGCTTTAAAATGCCTGATGCTGTGCAGTATCATACAAAACAATCTTCAGCCTTCAAAGCAGCTGATGCACCTTCTCAGAGATCTGTTTGTCTGATTAACAGTCTGCTGCCTTGGTGGGCCTTGGTCTTGGTCACTTTCGGTCATCGATGGTTTTAATGAATTCTACTGCTGCTGTGAACTGCATCCACCAATAGGACTCCTCTCCAGACAGACAGCTAGCATAAAAGCTACTGATATACTGCACAGTAGACAGCAAACAGGGTGGATTTGCCTAGAGAAGTGAAAAATAAAAAAGAATCAATTACTCAGATGTCATAGCTCTGCCAAAATCATTTAAGTGTTCTTCGAATGTTCTTCTATGAAAGACATACCAATCCTTTTGAAAACAACCCCAAAGTTATTTTTTGGAAGTAATCTGTGAACCCTAGTTTCCATGAGTAGCAATAATATGCTGGAAAGGCAACCCAGGTTCTAATCTCAGCTAATCTATCTAGAGGTTTCTATCCTTGCAAGTCCTTAACCTCACTGATTTCTAAGAAGGCTGAACTAATCTCTGTGGTCTTACTCAACATCCCCGGATTTCAGAATGTTAGATAACAAAATAAATGCTGTAGGCAAATTGAGTTATATCTGGTAAGTCCAGGGAGAATAAGCTGAGAAAGAAAAAACTAAAAAAGATGACATGCCCTCTGTTGCCAGAGGTAACAGAGGACATCTCCTGAATTTTTTTTACCTTTTTCATGTGGTGAGAAAGGGCACAGGCTGTTAAATGGTTAAGAGGAAGAGCTAGGGCCTTTTCCTTAAAACTAGCTTAAACTGGCTCTACACAGGAACTAGATTTATCACATGTGGAAGCCAGAAGAGCGATGGCCAACAGGAGGAGCTGTGACGACCAACCCCATGGGTTTCTCCCTCCAAGCTAAGTGTTCAGGTTGTAGAAATATCACAACACTAAGAAATAGTAAGACATATGTCACACACACTTTAGACAGCAACAGCTGGGCTGAGCTGACTGCAACACACAAGTGATACGATCACTTAGTGGCTGTGTGCACCCAAACTACATGGTCACCCTCAAAATGTTCAAAATAAACCATTTAAATGATGAAACTTTAATTTTAAAGTCAACAAGAACTAGAGATGTCAGTACTTTTATACTACAATTACAAAATAAGAAGCTAAAAGAGGAAGGAGATTGGTAAGTTTGGTAGCCTATATGACAAGTACTGCAAGGAATTCCATATTAAAGAAGATGGTAAAAGTATAATATAAAGAACCTGCCCTCATCCATTCATCCAATAATTATATACTGAGCCCCAACTAAGAACTTCAGGCACTGCTTTTTTTTTTTTTAAGATGGAGTCTCACTCTGTTGCCCAGGCTGGAGTGCAGCAGTGTGATCTCGGCTCACTACAAGCTCTGCTGCCCAGGTTCAAGTGATTCTCCTGCCTCAACCTTCCAAGTAGCTGCGATTACAGGAGCCTGTAATTTTTGTATTTTTAGTAGAGATGAGGTTTCACCATCTTGGCCAAGCTAGTCTTGAATTCCTGACCTCGTGATCCACCCTCCTCGGCCTCCCAAAGTGCTGGGATTACAAGCGTGAGCCACCGCGCCCAACCTAGGCACTGCTTTTTAGCTGAAAATGTTCATCTAGGAATCTAGTCCTCCCATCCTTTCTTTCGAAAATCCTAAGGTAAGAACAAATCTTGGCTGGGCGCGGTGGCTCATGTCTATGATCCCAACACTTCAGGAGGCTGAGGCGGGCGAATCACTTGAGGCCAGCTGGAGACCACGAGACCAGCTTGGCCAACATGGCGAAACCCTGTCTCTAGCAAAAATGAAAAAAAATTCGCTGGGCATGGTGACGCACGCCTGTAATCCCAGCTATTTGGGTGGCTGAGGCATGAGAATTGCTTGAACCCAGGAGATGGAGGTTGCAGTGGGCTGAGATCACACTACTGCACTCCAGCCTGGGTGACAGAGTGAGATTCTGTCTCAAAAGAACAAATCTTGACATTAGGCACTTTCTTTCTGAGTAACCCAGAGCTTGTGACTTGGAAAAGAGCCAAGATATCTATGGTTGTGTGAAGCCCTGTGCCACCTGCTCAGAATGCCACATAACTCCTTAACTGATAGTAGTAAGGGGCCCACCTTTATCAACACAAACACCAACACAGGAACAAAGTCATCCGCTCCAGGGACAGAGTCCTCATTGGCCAGGCTCAGGAGGTTCATAATCGTAGAGCACATTCTCAGGATGCACTGCACTTTGTCCCGGGGGGTTTTATAAGCACTTATTGTCCTGATTTCTGATTGTGCAGATGGCCATGGTGCTTCTCGAAGATAAACCTAAGTGAGACCATAGACAATATACAGATTCTGAATCCAGTGGCAACCCTGCGCAGTGACTACTGCAACCTCCGTGTCAGGAGGCAGAGGATAATGTGGTTGCTTTTTCCTCTCTTTGGTAAAACCATATTGCAGGCCCCTTTCCCCTTCACTAAAGATTGTAACTTTAGAACTTTTAAATAAGTTGCTCTGAATTTTAAAATACAGCAAACCAGATATCCATTAATAGAAAAAGGGCATTCAACAGCACAGAAGCTAGAATTCACAAAATTTCAAACCATTCTCTTTCTTAAATAGCTAGAATGGAACTTCTCTACATTTAGTAGCTGATTCCAGAAGTACAAACTACTAAAAGAGGACTTTTCCTTAAAACTAGCTTAAACTGGCTCTACACAGGAACTAGATTTATCACATGTGATAAAAGAGGTTAATTTAAAAATATGTACCATTGTTGCAGTAATTCCAGAAATAACAGATTCAAAAAACTAAAGATAATTTAAAATTTTATGCTAATTCATGTCTCATTAGTGGGGGTTGTAACAAAAACAAACAGAAAGCTCAAATACCTGAAATTTTCATGTTTTCTTATTTTCTAAGAGATGTAGGACAGGTAAAAATGCTAATATCAATGACTAAAAGGTAATCTGAGATCACATGCAGACTCAATGACCTCTCCTGAGACAGCATATCTCACTCTTTGGAGTGCTATCAGCCTCCCACTTCTTCAAAACATTTCTGTAGAAACCTGACTATAAAAGCACTGATGGAGAGGTACTGCCCCTGAGAGCAGGGCTGACTTGAGAAGTGGCATCAAGGAAGGGCTCCTCACAACTGGCTTTCTACTATTTCATACCAGGGAATTTTAATCCCTGAAAGCATCTTCAGGAACTTCGCAGTTAGACTGAATTACATAGAGTGAAAATGATGTTTTATATTTTATCACATTTCAGTTCCTTGAACACGTGGTAACATTATATGGTATAATAACACGCAGCATTTAGTTAACATTACCCATGCTATATAAACCTGTATTACCTCTGGTATCTGAAGAGCTCTGTGATTTGCAGTCACTACTTTAGACAATCTCTGGATATGTTCATGAAGAACCCTGAAAACCCCCCAAAATACACATGTAAACATTCATTTCAGAAAATATGGTACACAAACAGTCATCATTGATTTTTACAAAACACGTGAAACATGTTGACTAGATATGGATTACAGCTAGATATGGATTACAGTTAGAGTTGAGCCTCTTAGATAAGTATTCTTTCTAATCTGCTCAGAAATGCTGAGTGAGCCAAGGGGATGCAGGGAGGGGAGGGAGTCTTTCCTCTCTGGACCAGACAGCACTGCAAGGAAGAAAGGAGAGGAGCCCTTGGTAGGAGCTGCTTGGACACATTATTTTGTAAGGTAGAGGAAAAGGAGAGGGGGGGAAAAAGTGAGAGGAAGTAGAAGGATCAAAAGCCAGAAACCAAAGATATTAATTACATGGAGAAGGGCCTCCACCATTCACCCAACCTTTCACTTTGTAGATGAAGAGAAGTAGGCTTAAAAAGGGAAAAGGCTTGCCTAAGCTACACAGGTGTCAGTAACAGGGGCTGAACCCAGCTTCCTGGCTGCTCGTGTTCCTTCCAATTCCTCTTTTGGCTTTCCACCCTCTATAAACCCCACAGAAATGCCACGGAGGGTGGGGAAAAATAATCTCCTTCAAAGTTGCTGTTTGTAGTCTATATGGTTTGAATGTCCCCATTCCTTATCCTATGCCTAAAGGCAAAAACTAGTGCTCTGGAGAGAAAACAGGCCCCATCTGGCATATTAAGCACAGAAGTCTGGGGTGGGCCAAACACTGTGAGACCATAAACAAATGAGGAAGGCAGATTGGAAGGATCCTAACCCACTTCACAGGAAAGTGAATTCTCTCAAATATCTATGCAACATCTGAAAATCTCCATGAAAAATATTTCATACAAACATAACCCACACCCCGAGGATCCTATTACACGGACCCCTGGGAGTCAGGCACAGTAAGCCACTGTCACTGTTAAGAAGCATGGTAACAACTTTAACATGGTTGAGGTCAGAAACAGGGTTATGAAGCAGTGCTCAAGAAAATACAGAAGGCCGGGCGGGGTGGCTCATGCCTGTAAACCCAGTACTTCAGGAGGCCAAGGTGGGTGGATCACTTGAGGTCAGGAGTTCGAGGCCAGCCTGAGCAACATGGTGAAAACCCATCTCTACTAAAAATACAAAAATTAGCTGGGCATGGTGCCATGTGCCTGTAATCCCAGCTACTCAGGAGGCTGAGGCAGGAGAACCACTTGAACTTGGGAGGTGGAGGTTGCAGTGAGCCAAGATTGCGCCATTGCACTCCAGCCTGGGTGACAGAGTGAGACTATCTCAAAAAAAGGAGAAAATACAGAGGAGGAAAAATAAAACTGCAAAATCTTCCCTAGTCTCTTTACCCAAAAATAATCGCTATTACTATTCCAGGTTAATTTTTCCCAAGATTAATTGTTTTGTGTGTGTGTGTGTGTGTGTTTTTTTTTTTTAAAGACAGAGCTTCGCTCTGTTGTCCAGGTTGGAGTGCAGTGGTGTGATCTTGGCTCTCTGCAACCTCTGCCTCCTGGGTTCAAGCAATCCTCCTGCTTCAGTCTCCCAAGTAGCTGGCATGACAGGTGTGAGCCATCATGCCTGGCTAATTTTTGTATTTTTAGTACAGACACAGTTTCACCATGTTGGCCAGGCTGGTCACCAACTCCTGAACCTCAGGTGATCCACCTGCCTCGGCCTCCCAAAGTGATGGGATTACAGGCATACGCCACTGCGCCCAGCCAGGATTAATATTTTTAAACAGCTTTATTGAGATATAACTCACAAGCCATACAATTCCAAGCATTTTCTGGTATTCAAATACTTAACTGTTCATTCTCTCTCTCTCATTTTTTTTAGACAGAGTCTCACTCTGTTGCCTAGGCTGGAGTGCAGTGGCGCGATCTCAGCTCACTGCAACCTCTGCCTCTTGTGTTCAAGTGATCCTCCCTATTCAGCCTCCTGAGCAGCTGGGACTATACACGCATGCCACCACACCCAGCTAATTTTTGTATTTTTAGTAGAGATGGGTTTTCACCATGCTGGCCAGGCTGGTCTCGAACTCCTGACCTCAGGTGATCCACCTGCCTTGGCCTCCCAAAGTGCTGCGATTACAAGTGTGAGCCATGAAGCCCGACCAACTGTTCATTCTTAATAAATATATAATGAGCATATATTAGAAGCCAACCACTGTGCCTGGTGCTGTTAGAATGGTTAATAAAAGCATTATTTCCTGGTCTCGCAGAGGGAATAAGGCAGTGTGGAGAGAACATTCATCAAAGGATCACACAAACCAGTGATTAAGAACAGGGGAGAGGCCAGGCATGGTGGCTCATGCCCTGTTATCCTAGCTCTTATCCCAGCACTTTGGGAGGCTGAAGCAGAAGGATCGCTTGTGTCTAGCAGTTTGAGACCAACCTCGGAAACACAGCAAGACCTCGTCTCTACAAAAAATAAACAAGGCTGAGCGCAACAGCTCATGCCTGTCATCTCAGCACTTTGGGAGGCCAAGACGAGCGGATCATCTGAGGTCAGAAGTTCGACACCAGCCTGGCCAACATGGTGAAACCCCATCTCTACTAAAAATACAAAAAAAATTAGCAGGGCATGGTGGCACATGCCTGTAGTCTCAGCTGCTTGGGAGGCTGAGGCAGGAGAATCGCTTAAGCCCAGGAGGCAGAGGCTGCAGTGAGCTGAGATCACGCCACTGCACTCCAGCCTAGGCAGCAGAGTGACACTCTGTCTAAATAAATAAATAAAAACAAAATCAGCCAGGTGTCATGGTGTGCACCTATAGTACCAGCAATTTGGGAGGAGGCCAAGGTAGGAGGATCACTTGTCACATAAGCCTGGGAGGTTGAGGCTTCAGTGAGCTGTGATCATGCCACTGCACTCCAGCCTGGGTGACATGGCAAGACCCTGTCTCAAAAGAAAAGAAAAAGAAAAAAAGAACAGGGGAGAATTTTGCCCCCACAAGGGACATTTGGGAATGTCTGAAGACATGTGGTTGTCACAACTGGTGGGGTATTACTGGCATCTTGTGTGTAGAGGTCAGGGATGCTCCTAAAGATCCTATAATGCACAGGACAGCCTCCCACATCATCAACAATCTGGCCCCAAATGTTAGTAGGGCTGGGTTCAGAAACCATGACTCAAACAGATGTCAAATGGCAACTGTGGCAAGTACTAAAGAAAGGCACCGAGGCCTGAGAGAGCCCTAACAGGATGTAACCTAGTCAGGACAGGCTTCATCAGGGAAACGATACTTAAGTCAAGACCTGAAGCATAAGTAAGACTTAATCACGAGAAGGAAGGGAAGATTAGTTAAGGCAGAGTAAACAGCAGTGCTTTCCAAAGAGGCTATACCAATTTCTACTCCTTCCAGCTTGACTGCCCACATCCCTGAAAACTGGGTATTATTCTTTGTGATCATGTAACTCTGACAGGTGAAAAATGGTAACCAATGAATTTCCTTTTACAATCAGACACTAAGTTACACGTATAGCTTGCCTAAAATATGGGCTACCTGGTAGATCCCTATGTAGTTCCACATAGGCACTCAACATAGAAGTACTTACTGGTCGCGAAGTATGTCCCCATCTTGATTAGGGTAGAAGGCGAGCTTGAAAATCCGGTTCATCACGCTTCGCTCAATGGCCAGCTGTGCATCTTGAAGCTGTTCTTCACTCGCGTTTTGCCATATGACATCCTGGGCCATTGCACCATAAAGAAACTGCAGAAAATCTTCTACCTGAGCAGTTTTATCGTCAGCTGCGGTGAGTTTCTGAAAGTCTCCAAAGCAAAATAATAATTTTTAAATAGTTTAATAAAAACTATCTAAATAATTTTAAAAAGGAAATCATAGAAATAATTTTAATCACTAGCTATGCAGACACCATGATCTTAAAGCCAAAAGTGTTTCAGTGTAGTTTATTTTAGGACAATATGTAGCCATATAATTAAATCAGGAGAAAAAGCAAGAAATATGTGAAAGTTTAAGTGCAAGGAATTTGTTATAAAAATATGTTTCTAGGCCAGGCACAGTGGCTCACGCCTGTAATCCCAGCACTTTGGGAAGCCGAGGTGGGCGGATCACGAGGTCAGGAGATTGAGACCATTCTGGCCAACATGGTGAAACCCCATCTCTACTAAAGATATGAAAATTAGCTGGGCGTGGTGGCACGTGCCTATAATCCCAGCTACTTGGGAGGCTGAGGCAGCTACCAGGGAGACAGAGGTTGCAGTGAGCCGAGATCACGCCACTGTACTCCAGCCTGGCGACAGAGCAAGACTCCGTCTCAAAAGTTTCTAAAAAAAATATGTTTGGCTTTTTAAAAAAAATGAGAAAATTTGTATAGATCCAAAAATTTACCAATGTCCCCAATTTAAAAAGTAAGCTACAGATATTCAATCCAGGAGAAAAATGCAATTTATTGGTTTGACATCAAAGTTTAATTTATTAAGATTCCATAAAATAATTGGGTATTTAAGGCATGCAGATACTTGAACAAACTAGCAAAACAAAACAGTATTTCTAAATCTTCCCAACAGTATTACA
Source organism: Homo sapiens (assembly GCF_000001405.40). NCBI lineage: Eukaryota > Metazoa > Chordata > Mammalia > Primates > Hominidae > Homo > Homo sapiens. The sequence goes on along the minus strand of NC_000009.12, from coordinate 125,354,877 downwards.
GGTGAAGAGATGCTTAAACTAAAGGTATTGAGTTACCTTGAATGAATTCCCTGATCTTCTTTTCTTTGCTCTCAAGCAGTAATCTCACACAGACAGTGGTAAAGTATCGATTGGCCACTTCTTTGTCCCGCAAAACTCTTTGCAATAGCCTTTCCAGGTGAGCCTGTGTGGTCTGTAGTCCTTGTCGACAACGAGTGAGATAAGCAATATATGGGGCTCTTTTTCTAAAAGGAAAAATACTTTGCATGACATCAGATATATTCAGTGCATACTCTCTTTGAAGAATAAGGGTCCTAACTTTTCTTTAGAAAAATTACTGCACAGACTGGTTTTACAAAGTAGCATGTCTGTGCTCTCTTCAGTAGCACATATACAAAGTAGCATGTCAGGCTGCAGACATGGTAGAGACTGATCATGGTGCCAGCTGCAGAACAGACACCCATTTTGCATTTTGTTTGGGAGGATCTATGGGGCTGAAGACTTAGTTACCTAATTCACTAAATGTTACTAAGCCCCTCTGCATACTTGGTGTATTTTATACTGGAGCTATAGGACCTCATACTTAATAGGAAATTGACAGCTACAGATGACCAACAATAACAACAAATACAGGTTATATGTCACTAGGTCACAAACATCCCCCACCAATTACTTGCTTATAGTCTAAATGTCACATTTACTAGAGTGCCCATTCCCTAAGCCTTGAAGCCTCCTCACTACCTAAGCATCTCAGTTACATTTTTCTCCATAATCATGAGCAGGGGACTGGCAGCAGAAAAAGCACAGCAATTCCTAAGGCTACTTACATCTGCTTCTCTGGTCCAGGAAAGTAGGCTTTCCTATCACCACTAAGAAAAGAAATATGATATTCTAGTTGTTCTAGCCTCAAAATATAGGCATACCTCTTTACCTGCTTTTGTGCAAAGCTGAAGTAAATTGCACTCTTCTATTTGGAACTGCTCATTTGTAACTACATTTCCAGAGTAAATATCCAAATATGTTGCTTAGAAATTGATATGATTTGGCTGTATTCCCCACCCACATCTCATCTTGAATTTCCATGTGTTGTGGGAGGGAATTGAATCATGGAGGCATGTCTTTCCTGTGCTGTTCTCGTGATACTAAGTCTCAAGAGATCTGATTGTTTTAAAAAACGGAATTTCCCTGCACAAGCTCTCTTCTCTTGTCTGCTGCCATGTGAAATGTGCCTTTCACTTTCCGCCATAATTTTGAGGCCTCCCCAGCCACATGGAACTGTTAAGTCCAATTAAACCTCTTTCTTTTGTTAAATTGCCCAGTCTCAGGTATGTCTTTATCAGCAGCATAATAACAGACAAATACAGTAAATTGGTACCGAGAGTGGGGTACTGCTAAAAAGACACCCGAAAATGTGAAAGCAGCTTTGGAACTGGGTAACAGGCAGAGGATGGAACAGTTTGGAGGGCTCAGAAGAAGACAGGAAAATGTGGGAAAGTATGGAACTTCCTAGAGATTTGTTGAATGGCTTTGACGAAAATGCTGACAGTGATATGAACGATAAGGTCCAGGCTGAGGTGGAGATGAGGAACTTGTTGGGAACTGGTGCAAAGGTGACTCTTGTTATGTTTTAGCAAAGACACTGGTGGCATTTTGCCCTTGCCCTAGAGATTTGTGGAACTTTGAACTTGAGAAAGATGATTTAGAGTATCTGGCAGAAGAAATTTCTAAGCAGCAAAGCATTCAAGAGGTGACTTGGGTGCTATTAAAGGTATTCATTTTTTTTTTTTTCTTGAGACAGAGTTTCACTCTTGTTGCCCAGCCTGGAGTGCAGTGGCGTGATCTCAGCTCACTGTAACCTCCGCTTCCAGGTTCAAGCGATTCTCCTGTCTCAGCCTCCCAAGTAGCTAGGATTACAGGAACCCACCACCATACCTAGCTAATTTTTTGTATTTTTAGGAGAGACAGAGTTTCACCATGTCAGCCAGGCTGGTCTTGAACTCCTGACCTCGGGTGATCCACCTGCCTTGGCCTCCCAAAGTGCTAGGATTACAGGCATGAGCTACCATGCTGGCCAGCATACAGTTTTATAAGGGAAACAGAGCATAAACGTTCAGAAACTTTGCAGCCTGACAATGCGATAGAAAACAAAATCCCATTTTCTGAGAAGAAATTCACGCTGGCTATAGAAATTTGCATAAGTAATGAGGAGCTGAATATTAATTCCCAAGACAATGGGGAAAATGTCTCCAGGGCATGTCAGAGGTCTCCATGGCAGACCCTCTCATCACAGGCCCAGAGGCCTAGGAGGAAAAATGGTTTCATGGGCCAGGCCCAGGGTCCCCATGCTGTGTGCAGCCTAGGGACTTGGTGCCCTGCCCTCCGGCCGCTCTAGCCATGGCTGAAAGGGGCCAACACAGAGCTCAGGCTGTGGCTTCAGAGAGTGCAAGCCCCAAGCCTCGGCAGATTCCATGAGGTGTTGAGCCTGTGGGTGCACAGAAGTCAAGAATGGGGTTTGGGAACCTCCACCTAGATTTCAAAAGATGTATAGAAACGCCTGGATGCCCAGGCAGAAGTTTGCCGCAGGGGCAGGGTCCTCATGGGGAACCTCTGCAAGGGCAGTGCGGAAAGGAAATGTGGGATCGGAGCCCCCACAAAGAGTCCCTACTGGGGCACTGCCTAGTAGAGCTGTGAGAAGAGAGCCACTGTCTTCCAGAATTCAGAATGGCAGATCCACTGACAGTTTGCACCGTGCACCTAGAAAAGCCAGCAACTCCACACCAGCCCATGAAAGCAGCCAGAAAAGTGGCTATACCCTGCAAAGCCACAGGAGCGGAGCTGCCTAAGACCATGGGAACCCTGGCTGGGTGTGGTGGCTGACACCTGTAATCCCAGCACTTTGGGAGGCTGAGTTAGGTGGATCACTTGAGGTCAGGAGTTCAAGACCAGCCTGGCTAATATGGTGACATCCCATCTCTACTAAAAAATACAAAATTAGCCAGGCGTGGTGGCGCATGCCTGTAATCCCAGCTACTTGGGAGGCTGAGGCAGGGGAACTGCTTGAACCCAGGAGGCAGAGGTTGCAGTGAGCCAAGATCGCACCATTGCACTCCAGCCTGGGCAACAAGAGCGAAATTCCATCTCGGGGGAAAAAAAAAAAAGAAAGACCATGGGAACCCACCTCTTGCATCAGCGTGACCTGGATGTGAGCCACGGAGTCAAAGGAGTTCATTTTGAAGCTTTAAGATTTGACTGCCCTGCTGGATTTCAGACTTGGATGGGGCCTGTAGCCCCTTTGTTTCTGCCAATTTTTCTCATTTGGAATGGCTGTATTTACCCAATGCCTGCACCTCCATTGTATCTAGGAAGTAACTAACTTGATTTTGATTTTACAGGTTCATAGGCAGAAAGGACTTGCCTTGTCTCAGATGAAATTTTTGACTGTGGACTTTTGAGTTAATGCTAAAATGAGTTAAGACTTTGGGCAACTGTTGGGAAGGCATGATTGGTTTTGAAATGTGAGAACATGAGTTGGGAGAAGCAAGGGGCAGAAAGATATGGTTTGGCTGTGTCCCCACCCGAATCTCATCTTGAATTCCCATGTGTTGTGGGAGGGACCCAGTGGGAGGTAATTGAATCAATGGGGACAGGTCTTTCCTGTGCTGTTCTCGTGATAGTGAATAAGTCTCACAAGATCTGATGGTTTTGAAAAAGGGGGGTTTCCCTGAACAAGTTCTCTTCTCTTGTCTGCTGCCATGTGAGATGTGCCTTTCACCTTCCGCCATGATTGTGAGGCCTCCCAGCCACATGGAACTGTAAGTCCAATAAACCTCTTCTTTGGTAAATTGGCTAGTCTCGGGTATATCTTTATCAGCAGCGTGAGAACAGACTAACACAGAAATCTACATCCAGGAAAATACAGCCAAGCACTTTGTAGGAAGCCTAGATTCATTTCTGAAATAAGGATAAAAAAGAAAACACTTGCAGCTAACAACTAGGTTTAAAAGCTGAACAGGTGGGGTATATTACCTGTAGTCCTCAGCAATCGAAGCCAGCAGTTTCCTACAAGTCCTATTATCAAAACGGCACACACAGCGCATTGTTTCTTGAAGTTGAGCCATTAGATTCTTATCTTGTAAATTAATTGCTTCAGCTATTTGAACTTTTAAGAAGCATACAATTTCATTGTCTAAATAAAAGATACAAGAATTCTGTTATTCTTGAGAATTTCCATGTGCTTAAATAAGCTAATTCAGCATTTGGGACGTCAATTCTGCTTTGTCACGTATCATTAGAACTAAGCTGTATTGCCACTCCCAATTAGAAAATACTTTAATAAATCATCAGTAATCAAAGTGCCCTTAAGTGATACTAATGTAAACATATTAAGTTGAACCATATGGAATTGCTGTACAGCTTCAACAGCTGAATACTGGCAATTTCATATGGTGCAACCCATAAACATAGGAAAAATTAAACGATCCTGCAGCAATTTACCTTCTGGGTCTGTGTGGTCTGGTAAACCATTCCTTGTTGAATGGGTCAGCACTGGGAAGGCAACAGAGTCCGCAGAGCAAAGAGCAAGCCTCAGTTTCTTTTTTGCATCTCTGAAAAATGAGTAGAAAATACATTAATTTCTTTATCCAGATATGGTCACATTTTACAAATATTTACTATATAAATTAATGTTACCTTAGGACTCAAATGTTTCAAACATTTTAAAGAAGATGATTCTTAACTGACACTCCACTTAAAAGAACAGGCTTTCTAATTACCCAAGGAGCCAGGTGTGCTCGGGGCAAGGACCATTCTTTAAAGCACCAGAATCAAACAACAAATCCTTTCTGACCTTTTTTCATACACTGAGTTCCATGACGGGTGCTATAAGAATCGGAAAAGCATATTATGGCAGAGTGGGAGGGACCACGGAAGTCAGAAGCTCCCAACACCCAGATTTGGAATGCCTTCTGGCACATCTCTTTAGAAACGCTGATGACGCCACAAAATAAGCTCACTACCTGACAAGAAACCCTTTCTTCTTTTTTTTTTTTTCCTTTTTCTTTTTTATAGAGATGGGATTTTGCTATGTTGCCCAAGCTGGTCTCCAACTCCTGGGCTCCAGCGATCCACCTGTCTTGGCCTCCTAAAGTGCTGGGATTACAGGCGTGAGCCACCACGCCCAGCGAGTTTTTTAAATCCTTGAATTAACACCTTTGATACATAACATCTACAACTGAAACAAAGTCTTCTTAGTAAACAGCATTTCATTTTTCTCTCCCTGCTTTATACATTTATTGACTCAAAACATCACTTGACTTGACGTGACTGCAATGGTGCTGAAAAGTCCAAACCCTAAAGTCCCAAATCCTATAAAAGAAATACCTGTAAGAGAAAGCTGAATCCTGCGGGTGGGCTGCTTGGCTTGCAGAGTCTGGGAGATCATCAGCCGAGATGTTCTGCAGTGCTTCGTCACGGGGAGAATCATGTGCACTTTCACCATCACCCATAACCTCTAAACAAAACCCACCCCCAAGAAACGGATACCCAGGTTCATTTGGAATATTATGGCACTAGTAGGTATTCAGAGCAACTCAAGAATAAATTACCATTGACTAATAATAAGAGTTCTCTGGAAAAAAAAGAAAGAAAAAACAAACTTCAAATACTTAACTGAATTATCAATAGCAACAATTATGTATCAAGAGACTAGTTGCTGAGAAGAGAGTGGTTTTACTTCTTATCCCAATACTAATGCAAAACAATGAACTAATGCAAAATAATGAAAGTTCACATTAACTTAATAAAGTTAACATCTTAGAATCACTGAACCAGAGAACTAAAAGAGGCTTCAAAAATCATTTTATACCCTCATTTTATAGACATGGACTCCTGCCCAGTCAGAAAATGGCTTGCTCTAAATTTCTTGGTTGGCCAATGGCCAAGGTTGACTATGGGTTAAGGTCTCCTGATTCTCTCTACTGGAGGTCTTCCTGCTACACCCAAGAGTGAGTCAAGGGACCAAATCACACATGCAACAAAGTCAGATCTGTGGTTTCCAAAGTTGGTTTTATGTCTTAATCAAGAATACACGGCTGGGTGCGGTGCCTCACACCTGTAATCCCAGCACTTTGGGAGGCTTTGGTGGGTGGATCACATGAGGTCAGGAGTTCAAGACCAGCCTGAAAAACATGGTGAAACCCTGTCTCTATGAAAAATACAAAAATCAGCCACGTATGGTGGCACACACCTGTGGTCCAGCTACTCGGGAGGTCGAGGCAGGAGAGTTGCTTAAACTCGGGAGGTGGAGGTTGCAGTGAGCCAAGATTGCACCACTGTACTCCAACCTGGGCAACAAAGTAAGACTCCATCTCGAAAAAAACCACACACACAAAAGAACATATAATACAACACATACATGTATACAATCAAAACGAATAAAAAGTTTGGACAGGCATGAGGCAGGAAGATCGCTTGAGCTCAGGATTTCAAGACCAGCCTGGGCAACATAGTGAGACCTCACCTCTACAAAAAAATATATAAATATAATAAATATATTGTGTTCATATATGAAAATATCCTTATTCTTCGGAAATAATTTCAAATGCTTCAGGAAAAAATATAGGGAGAGACCAGCCTGGGCAACATGGCGAAGCCCCATCTCTACAAAAATATACAAAAGTTAGCTGGGCACAGTGGAACGTGCTTGTGGTCCCAGCTACTCAGGAAGCTGAGATGGGAGGATCACTTTAGCCTGGGAAGGTTGAGGCTGCAGCAGTAAACCATGATTGTGCCACTGCACTCCAGCCTGGGTGACATAGTGAGACTGTCTCACAAAAAAACAAAAACAAAAACAAAACATATATATATACACACACACACACTCTCTATATATGGCGGAACGTGGCAAAATGTCAAGAATTGATAAGTCTAGATAGAGGGTAGATGAACCTTCATTGTATTATTCTTTCAATTCTTCTGCTATTTGGAAACTATTCAAAATAAAAAAATACAGGAAGTTCTCCTTTCTGCCCACTCTCCCTCTGAGGCTTCCTAGGAGTCTTCCTCAGAGCCAACTCATGTGACCAGTTTGTTGGGAGATTCTTCCAGGAGATACTCTACGTGCATATAAGCATAAACACATATTTATGCAGTATACTATTTATGTTTGTTTTTTTTTTTTTGAGACAGGGTCTTGCTCTTTTGCCCAGACTGGAGTGCAGTAAGCGTCATCTCAGCTCACTGCAACCTCCGCCTCCTGGGATCAAGCAATTCTTATGCCTCAACCATCTGAGGATTACAGGCATCTGCCACCACTTGCAGCTAATTTTTTGTATCTTTGGTAGAGATGGGGTTTTGCCACATTGGCCAGGCTGGTCTCAAACTCCTGGCCTCAAGTGATCTGCCCACCTCGGCCCCCCAAAGTGCTGGGATTACAGGTGTGAGCCACCGTGCTCAGCCCCTATTTATACTTTTATACACTTTTTCTCTTCATTTATCTTGGGGACTATATCTCATTTTTCTGAAAGCTATTCAGTATTCTATTATGAGGAAAACAGAATCCTTTAAAATAAGTACCAGGTGACAATGGATAACTTGTCCCTTTTGGGACAAGTTGCTCCCACAGCTATATTGAGAGTGCATAACTGGATAAAATTACAAAGCTGTAGACATTGAAAAAGAACCTCCTCCCATTAAAATATGCCCCAACTCTCTGTGGGCCAGTCACCCCAGATGCAAAGGAGGACAACTCTAAGGCATTTGAACATTCAGGGGTACCCAGGGCTAGTGGGAGAATCCAGAGAAGGACATCAATTTAAACATTTGTTTAGGCAGTCTGTAATTTTGAGGTAGTAAACTGACTCCCTTAGCTATTCTTTCTTTTAAAGGCCACTTAAATTCAGATTACCTTTATCACTATGATATAAAAGTTTACTACTCAAATCTCTGTCATGATTATCACCTGTACTTTCATAGTTTGCCATTGCTCCATCACTGGGGCTGGTCCGTTTAATGGCATTCCTGTATTTGTCCAGAATATCCTCAGCCACCTGAGCTTGTGCACTGAGTCTAGGGCTGGGATCATCTGCAAGGGAAAGGAGAGTGAGAGAATTAGCCCCTTGGGTTTGTACCACCTCTGATGTTAGTATGACACCAGTAGCATAATCCCAAAGGCAGATTAGGAGGTAAGACTTAAAAAGAGCACATATCTCAATGTTAAGAGGCACCATGCAGCTGCCTACTCATCCCATTTCTAGGTCTGAGAGCCTTGCCAAAGCAGGAAATTGGGAAGAGTAGCTCCACCTTCTCATCATCACCAGAATGACAGTGTCAAAGTTCAGGGCAGACTGAATGGATGACGGATTTCTAAAGTGTTTGCACTCAAATCACTGTTATCAGCAATTCATGCTAACAGAACTTCCAACAGTGCATTTTTACATGCAGACTTCATTTATTCAGACATCTCTATGCTGAAGGAGGAAAAAAAACTATTCAAATTTAGACTTAAACCCCTTTAAATAATAACAAATGTCTTTTTCCATTCTTCCTTTATGAATCTCTCTCCACGCATTTGAAAACTAACAATATTCATATTCTATCTCACTAGATCTCACCATGACAGTGCTGCTGCTGGAATAGAGCACTTTTGTGCATGCAATGATGTCAGAGGCACTCCTAGAGAATCTAGACATTCTTGGGGAGTGCTGGAATTGTACCTGAGATGCATAGAGAAAAAACGTACCACAATCACAAATGCAGCACTGTTTACTGACAGGACCATTACTCTGTCAAAATCAGCACATCAAAAATATTATCCTGGAATCTAAAATAGTAGTCAACTGGGTTGTTAAAGCAAGGGATTGCTATAGATCTACAGGACAAAGTTCCATAGTGAAACACAAACTCCTGGGTTAGTCCTAGGCCAGGCAGGTGACCATAAATGTTCACATTCTGGTAGAATCCCATTTTCTAAAAATTATACAAACACATCGAAATCACTAGATTTTATATATATATATACACACACACACACACACTTATGTGTATATATACATATACGTATTTTGTGTGTGTGTGTTGTGTTTCCAGCAGCTAATAGCAGCTAACATTTATTGAGCACTTACCACATGCCAGGAACTGTGCTAAGTACCTTACAGAGATTATCTCAACTACTGATCAAACAACCTTACAGAGAAACGTTGTTATCATCCTCATTTTACAGAAGACGAAATCAAGACATAGACAGCTTAAGTAGCATGCTCATCGGCTCTTCTTTTGTTCTCATGAAACAAACACATGGTATTCATGTCTCCGTGAAATTGTAGTAAACTGCAGTTGACCCTTGAACAACATGGGTTTGAACTGCACAGGTCCATTTATACACAGTTTTTTGCAATCAAATGCAGATTGAAGATACTGTATTAGGCTGGGCACGGTGGCTCACGCCTGTAATCCTAGCACTTTGGAGGCCGATGCGGGCAGATCACCCACGGTCAGGAGTTCGAGACCAGCCTGGCCAACATGGCGAAACCCCAACTCTACTAAAAATACAAAAATTAGCTGGACATGGTGGCGCATGCCTATAATCCCAGCTACTCGGGAGGCTGAGGCAGAAGAATCACTTGAACCCAGGAGATAGAGATTGCAGTGAGCTGAGATCGCGCCACTGCACTCCATCCTGGGCAGCAGGGCAAGATACTGTCTCAAAAGAAAAAAAAAAAAAAGAGAGAGAGAAAAGAAAAAGAAAACACTACATTTCACACAGAGCTGTGAAACAAGCATATAGGGAAGGCCAACTTTTCACATACACAGTTTCCACAGGGCCAACTGCAGGACTCCAGTATGCACGGATTAGGGTATGAAGTGGGGGGGCAAGAGTCCTGGAACCAATTCCCTGAGTATGCTGAAGGACAATTGTATATAGACAGGATTCCCAAAGTAATTTAGTATTTTTGCTATAACAGTATTTGAATTCATAAGAGATTCTTAATAAAATCTGATCTGTCTCCAAATGTAAACTGATAAAGCATTTATCATTACAGAATCTTGTTTTGAAGGGGAAGTACGTTGTGGCTACTGCCTTTTTTTTTTTTTTTAATAGAAACAAGGTCTTGCTCTGTCACCCAGGCTGGAGTGCAGTGGCACATAGCTTAATGTAACCCCAAACTCTTGGCCTCCAGCAATCCTCTCACTTTGGCCTCCCAAAAAGAGCTGGGATAATAGGCATGCTCCACCTCACTCAGTTGGTTATTACTTTTCAGTGCTGTTGAGAGGTCTGAAAAAGGGACAATACAATACATTATGGCCAAACACAGTGAGAGCCACAATGTTGCTTATAATCTTTATTTCTATTAACACTGTTCTTAAAAATTTTACCCCCAGAGAATAATTAAACAAAAAATGCAATTTATATAAATCTGTAATATTTTCATAATAAAAAATTGGGAACAATTTAAATAGCCATTAGTAAGAGAACGTTTACACTGCAGTAAAACCATGACAGATTATTTTATAGCTAATAAAAATGATATAAAACCCAACTATGTCTAAAAATTGGGGGAGGTTTTATAAAATAACTTGGTAAAAGAAGAATACAAAGTCACATGCATAATCTAATTCAGTCAAGAAAAAGCCACGTACAAATATGGAAAAAGATTAGGAGATAACAGGAAAAGAACAGTAGTTAGGGTCACAGAATTATGAACAGACTGCTAGGAAATTTCCTCCTATAACATTTTTAAATTGGTTTAATGAAAACTTTCAATGAGTCATTAATAAGGACTGGGTAGAAATTTCTGGACCAGTAAGGAAGCTAATCTGCTTGAATCACAGCCAAAGAAAATAAATTACTTTATGAAAAAGACTTATTCTACTCTACTTAGCTTCTAGTTCCAGTATCAAGAACCAAGAAAAATATATTGCCTAAAGAGGATAAGTAAAATATAACTCCTTCAAACAAACAAACCATAATAATAATTTATAACTTCTTCAGAATTGTTGATTCAACATTTTAAAAACATGAGATGTCATTAAGAGTAATTCACTTTGTAAACGCTAGTGTTCTTCTAACATTAGGAACATGTCGTAAGGATACAGAAATACTTTGCCAAAAGGACAATGTCTTTCCAGCTCTTCCCAATCAGACTGGAAGGTCCTGAAGAGTCATGTGTGATTTGACTTAATACCCACAACACTTAGCACAGTGCCTGGCATGAGTCACATGGTCAACAAGTATTTACTGATTGAATAGGACAGGCTTAGCTGCTCTCAGCAGGGAACTGTGGCCTGTAAGCACATCTCCTGCTGTTCAAAACCCTTTATTCTGGGGAAATCACCATTTCAAATAAAGCAAGGACTTATATGCTAGGATATGGAAATACATATAAATATATGGAACCAACCATTAGAATAATAGGCATTAAAATGGGATTCTACCTGTAATGCTGAACTCTTTGATGAGGATGTTCTTATCCTATTATCTATCCCATTTTTAAATAAAATTGTTTAATGAAAAAAATTTTCACTTTAACTTAGTAGGAAAACAATTCAAAATCAAAAAAAAGAGGTGAGAAATGAACTTTCCTCTAGACCAGGGGTGTTCAATCTTTTAGCTTCCCTGGGCCACACTGGAAGAAGAAGAATTGTCTTGGGCCACACATAAAATACACTAACACTAATGATAGCTGATGAGCTTAAAAAAAAAAAAAAAGGGTTCCTGCATAAATCTCATACTGTTTTAAGTTTATGAACTTGTGTTGGGCTGCATTCGAAGCTGTCCTGCTGTCTTGGGCTGCCTGTGGTCTGCGGTCCGTGGGTTGAACAAACTTGCTCAAGATGCTCTATAATAGCCACTGGAAACAATACACAGCTATCAAACCCAAGACTGGGTCATTAACACTACTCTCAAACTGTCCTTTTAGGGTGCTCATTCATAATGTGCCAAAAAGCAGCTGCAGAAATACAAACGCTTAATCAGGTAAAAACCCAACCCCCAGCTGTATTTTCCTTGGGTCAGATGGCAATGTTAAAATGGTTCAAGCTGTAAAAAATTAGTAAAGTTTTTAAAACTTTCATTATAATGGTTGGCATTTATGATACTGTTTGAACAAACACTTTATCACAAAAAAGGAAACGATTAGGTAAAACAGAATTTCACTGTGATCCTGAATAATCAAGAACAAACTGTAGATGAAAATAAATGTAGAATTCTACGATCAATGTTAGAGAAAACTATTCAATCAATGATCCAAAGATACAGCATGCACAGCACCAAAACTGTCACCACACTTTCCTAAAAGGCACTGTGTGTCATCATCCCACTAGATGTTGAGTTGTAGGGTATGCCTAGAGGCTCAGGATCAGGGGCCTCATCATAAACGGAGTTATGATAATGAGGATGATGATGGTGGTGGCAGTCTGCAGGAAGAGCACACAGGTTTACTGTGGCCACCAACTGGAAACCACAGAGCTATGAAGAACATACTCCCCACTGTACACACAGACACACTCTTCTAGAAAGGCAACGCTTATGGCACCCAAGAAAAAGTGTTATGAAATATGTGCTCTGGGAATGAAGGAGCCAGGAAGTCCATGGGTCTACAAACCTGTGAGTGTTGAGAATCTGTCAGGCCCCAGATCATCTTTGTCTTTTTCTTGTTTTTCTTTCTTTCTAAATGGTATAGGAGCTGGAAATTAAATAAAGTCAGTAGTGTGACATATAACATACTGCACTACTCGGAAGTTAACTGGTGTGCCAACATTTCTAAGTGAAAGGAGGCTGAAAAGTTTAAAAGCTAAGAAATTCCAAGTGTTGACTGATAATTGTCCTTAAAATAGTAATGAAGGTTTTTAAAGGAACTTTCAGAACCTGCTTCGGAGTCATCTGTCATAGGAAGAATAATTTAACAGGAATCCATTGGGACTAAAATCAAAACCACTGACTCTTAACCTCTGCTCAAAAACACATTCAAAACTCCTAGCTTCATTCTCTCCTCCTCATCAAGCGCTTGAGTATGGCGTGAAAGCAGCTCTCCCCAGAGTTCCTGAGTGCCACCGTGCTGAGAAGAGGCCTTTGGAATAAGTTTCTAGCTTTACTCCTGGATGCTCTCTTCTTTCAGGAAGAGATGCTTTTGCCAACTCAAATGATGCCAGGCTGTTCACCAAAAAAGTAAACAATTTTATACAGCTACCTTCCAAAATAAACACTCACTGATATTTACAGTATAAACATTCTCAATGAACATAGACATAAAAAGCTTCAACTTATTCCAGGAATGTAAAGGATGAGTTTTCAATGTTTAATTACCAATAACGTCCCATTTTCCTGCAATAATTAATAGCAATATATATGTCAGAAGTCCTCTATATGTTTAACTTCAATGGTATATGATATTTAAACAATAGTGACAGGCATGACTTCCATTTATGAAACCACTATCACTTCCTGCAAAGAACAAGAACATTTCTAAAGCTCTGCCTTAGCATTCATCTGAGTGGAACCACTTTCTACACCCTCAAAGTAGCTAGAAACTTAAGCCCAGCAAGTCTTACAGAGGAGTTGAGACATTGGCTCTCTGAAAGAGATTCTGGGGCTTTGCTTCTTATTGCTAATACAGCGTTCTAATATTTTATAAAATTACCTTTAGGCATGGCTGAAACAAAACGTTTTCTCCACCAAGGTCTGTTCCTGTCTGATTTCTCATCATCGCTATCTTTGCGTTCTTCAGTCTGTAGAAAAAGTTGGAGGCTTTATTTGGAGTTGGATAGCAGGATAAATTACTAAGAAAAGGATTTCTTTTTGTTTGTTTTTGTTTTGTTTTGAGATAGGATCTCATTCTGTTGCCCAGGCTGGAGTGCAGTAGCACAATCACAGCTCACTGCAGCCTCGACTTCCCTGGCTCAAGCGATCCTCCCCGTATCAGCCTCCCAAGTAGCTAGGACCACAGGTGTACACACCACCATGCCCAGCTAATTTTTTATTTTTATTTTGTAGGGACAGGGTCTTACTATGTTGCTCAGGCTAAAAAGGATTTAAGTAAGTTTGTGAAATAAGAAAGTCAGTCTTGTTTGCCTTAAGGCACAACTCTTATTGCCACGTAGGTGACTTTTGGAGCACGGTAGTTTACCTTTTCAGCACCACTGTCATCTGCTTGAGGGCAGGCACTATCTCATTACTGTTAATAAACTGAAGCCTTAATACAGAGCCTGGTATAGACTAGGCACTCAATAAATACTTATGAAAAAAGTAAATGCAGTACAAATAAACTCCAGAAGGGCAGTAGAGATGGTAGCAGTAGTATTAATAATAATAAAACCAAATGTGTACTATGTGCCAAATGCTGAGCATAGTAAGGATATGTATAATCTCATTTAATCTTTACAGTAACCTCAGAGATAGGTCCTATATTCGGCCTTTTTTATCGATAAAAAATATGAGACTAAAGAAAGGTTACCTCCCCCTCTTCCTCAAAGTTACACAGCCTATATGTGGCACAGCTGAGGACTCAAACCTAGACCTAAGCAACTTTAAAGTTCATGTTTTGATCACCAATTATATTAAGTTATCATTAACACATGACAAAGAAGCTGGATGCAGTGGCTCACGCCTGTAATCCCAGCACTTTGGAAGGCCGAGGTGGGTGGATCACCTGAAGTCAGGAGCTCAAGAACAGCCCGGCCAACAAGGTGAAACCTCATCTCTACTAAAAATACAAAAATTGGCCGGGCGTGGTGGTGCTCGCCTATAATCCCAGCAACTTGGGAGGCTGAGGCAGGAGAATCACTTGAACCCGGGAGGTGGAGGTTGCGGTGACCCGAGATCGCACCACTGCACTCCAGCCTGGGCGACAGAGTGAGACTCCATCTCAAAAACAAACAAACAAACAAAAAACAGGCCAAAGGACAGGGACTGTAATTCCTTTAATAGCCTATCATGTGACCATGGACAAATCACTTAATTTCCATTTTCATCTACATACCTGGGATAAAGAATTATCAGAACCCTAGCAGAGAGATGAGGGCATCTGTGCCAGGGAAGAGTTAACTTAACAGTGGGGATGAGAAATTGAATACATACAGGAGAACTGATGGAATAAATATGCCCATGAAGAATAGTGAAAGTAGATTTCTCACTGTTGGAGAAATGAGTTACAAATTTGGAAAGGAAGAAAGACGAAACAAACTCTGTTGTGTTTGGACTAGAATTGAATGTGTCAGTGTAAGTTCATGGTCTTATTTATGGAGAAAGGTAGATAAATGAAATATACAGGTAAATGTGTGTGTAACACACACACTCCCTAGCTCTATTCACTGAGTAGTCCTGGGAGCAGCAACACTCCTACAGCAAATAAACACTGTATCCAGATCTCAATTTCCAAAAAAGCATTTTTCATTAAAAGAAATAAGGGTACTTCGAGAAAGAGCTAACTAGGACAAAGTACAGTATCCGCCTATAACATCTTTTGCCAGAAAGTAAAGATATGCTCAAAGAATAGTAGCAGTGCATCAAAAGAACTCAGGAGCCAGCCTGAAGGGGCTCTCATTGGCCCAATTAGGGACAACTGGGCTTCAAAATAAGTAATAGTGACAAACCCTAACCAAGACAGAAAACTGGGCCAGGCACTGTGGGTGGCTCACGCCTGTAATCCCAACACTTGGGAGGCTGGGGTGGGAGGACTGTTTGAGCCCAAGAGTTCAAGATAAGCACCTGGGCAACACAGTGAGTCCCCATCTCTACAAAAACAAACAAACGAAAAAATTAGCCAGGCATGTGGTGCATGCCTATACTCCCAACTACTTGGGAGGCCAAAGCGGGAGGATTGCCTGAGCCTGGGAGGTTAAGGCTGCAATGAGCAGTGTTGGCACCACTGCACTCCAGCATGGGTGATAAAACAAGACCCTATCTAAAACAAACAAACAAACCACAACAACAACAAAAAATATATATACACACACACACACACACACACACACACAAATTTTTTTAAAAGACAGAAAACCATGAGACCACAGATATAATAAGTAGGTAAGTTAAAAATTTGATGGAGAACAGATAGTTACATATTTTTAAAGTACCCTCTCCCCCTAAATACTTATTAATTATAAAGGTAAAAGAGTAACTTTACAGTGGCAAAGCCTGGAAGACAACATTTCCTCAAATTATCCAAATGAACACTGTAGAAATGGGACAAATTAAAACTGTGCTACCTGACAAAGTGCAATGAAAAAAAGTGTCATTTCAGTGATATTCCTGCCAAAGATGAATAACCTCAGTCTAATCACAAGAAAACATCAAACAACCTAACCTGAGGAACATTCGAGAAAACAAATGGCCTGTAAATTTCAAGAGCGTCCAGGTCATATGAGTCAAGAAAAAACTGAGGAACTGTTCTAGACTGAAGGAGACTAAAAAGGCATGACAACTAAAAGCAGTCTGTGATTCTGAATAGAACCTTTTTACTATAAAAAATGTTACAGGGACAACTGGGACACATGAATGGGGTGTGATAAGTAACTGGTAGTAATGTATCAATGTTCATCTGCTGAAGCTGATGGCTGTACCATGAGGTGTAGGAGAATCTGCTTGTTTGTAGGAAACTTACACTGAAGTGTTTAGGGGTACTGGAGCATCAGGTTGGCAACTTGCTCACAAATGGGGAGGGAGTGTTCTTTTATTGTACTTCCAACTTGTTTGTAACTTTAAAATTGTTTAAAATAAAAAATACTCATGGGGCCAGGTGCGGTGGCTCATGCCTGTAATCCCAGCAACTCTGGGAGGCCAAGGCAGGCGGATCACAAGGTCAGGAGATCAAAACCATCCTGGCCAACATGGTGAAACCCCGTCTCTAATAAAATGCAAAAAATTAGCCGGGTGTGGTGGCGCATGCCTGTAGTCCCACCTACTCAGGAGGCTGAGGCAGAGGAATCGCTTGAACCTGGGAGGCGGAGGTAGCAGTAAGCCAAGATTGCACCACTGTACTCTAGCCTGGGCAACAGAGTGTGACTCCATCTCAAAAAACAAAAAACAACTCATCTAACATCTCAGAAAGATATTGTAAGGTTTAAATAAAATCAGATACAAAATTGCTTAGAGAAACTAAAAGTGTCATAAAAATGCAAGATAGTATCACTACAAAACCAAAGTTGTACAGGTTTCCTGCGGTTATGGTTGTGGGCCCATAGATTGACAAATCATCTTTAATCATGACTACTCTCTATCTGTAATCCTAGATTTATATATTCCATGTTAATTTCAGATATCAAGAGAACTAGGCAGGCAGAACATAATTCTTTTTCACGGCCTATGTCCCATACCTCTCCTCTTGAGGAGTCCTTACTCGGGGATGAAGATGATGAATGAGGTGCAGCCACCAAAGAAGTAGCACCAATGGCTGCAGCTGGAGGGAGTTCTCGCTCTTCATTTCCTGGACGCCGGTTCCAGCTGGGGTCACTCATGGGTCTCCGGACAGAAGATACTATATCAGAGCTCCTGCTTCGAACTAGTCTCTCAGGGTAAGAATGCCTTTGCTTGAATGCCTCCATTTCAGCTGGAGTTAAAACATGGGAACCAAAGTTTGGCAACCTGGCCTCATTTCCTCCCACAGCTCCTTCCAGGATTGGGGGATCTGGTGGTGGATGCGATGGCCTAGCATAGTGAACCTTTGGCCTTACCACAGCAGAAGCCCCTGCAACACAGGAAAAAAAGTTTTGTAACTGAGACACAACATATCTAACAAAGGCATTAACAAGGGGATTTGGTTTCCTCCTCCTGTCTGTGACATAAGTGAAAAAGTTCATTTCACTGGTTTACCTTCATGTGAAGACAGTGGATCAAACATGGCCAGCAGAGACTCTGACTGAGAAGGAGGAGAGGTCAGCTGGTGGGCACCTAAAACAGGAGGGAAACTGTGAGACCAAGCCAGGACGCAGGACAGACGGTCTCAACACAGTTTAAAGGGTTTTAAGTATTCTTTGACGGTTCCTTTTTTGATCCATTAGAACTTGAGAGGCATACCAGAAAAAAAAAATCAAATTATGATTACTTCCAATTCATTTTCTGTTTTTATGAGTATCTTCATACACAGATTTTCTTTACATTTAAGTGGTCTGGCATCTACATGCCTGTTACTTCTAATGGCCAAATGCTAGTATGGTTCATGCAAAGAGAACAAAGCCGGAAGACCTAAACCATCAATGTTTTGAGAATGTCACAGCTTCCCTGAGCCTCGCCTTCCCCTCACCTGAAAATATAGGGGGCAGGCCAGGTGTAGGGGCTCATGCCTTTAATCCCAGTGCTTTGGGAGGCCAAGGAGGGAGGACCGCTTGAGCCCAGGAGTTCAAGACCAGTCTGGGCAAGATGGTGAGACCTGGTCTCTACAAAAATTTACAAGAACTAAAAATTAAAAAATAAATAAATTATAAACATAGGGGCAATACTCTGTACAGACAGCGTACAAATAAAAGGCTGTAAATCTTGAAGTTCTAACACTGCTCTCAGCAAATAACTTTAAAATAGATAAGTATGCAGAGGATGGAAATTTCAAACATAAAAAAATTATTAATCTAAATGTTTTTAGTCTGAAGCTATTTTTTGTTTTTTGTTTTTTTTTTTTTTTGGTCTCAAGCTATATCTTTTGATAATGAATGAGAGTACTATTATGCCTTTTGATTTTTACTTTTGTTCTATAGTTAGATCATTATAAAAGATGGACTAAAACAGCAGTTCTCAAATTTTGGTCTCAGGCTTTTTTTTTTTTTTTTGGAGACAAAGTCTTGCTCTGTCACCCTGGCTGGAGTGCAGTGGTGCAAACATAGCTCACTGCAGCCTCAATCTCTTGGGCTCGAGTGATCCTCCTGCCTTAGCCTCCCAAATAGCTGTGAGCACACCACACCCAGCTAATTTTTATGTTATTTTTTGTAGAGACAGGGTCTCACCATGTTGCCCAGGCTGGTCTTGAACTCCTAGGCTCAAGCACTCCTCCTGCCTCTGCCTCTCAAAGTGCTGGGATTACAGGCATGAGCTACCATGCCTGGCCAAGATATCTTTACAACTTAAAAAATTACTGACCCTAATAGCTTTTGTTTATGGTGGTTATATCTATTGATATTCTATATTAGAAAACTGAAGTTTAAATATTTATTAATTCATTTAAATATACCCATTAAATGGTAATACAAGAGTCTCTCTGAACCTACTCTGGTTTGGGAGGCTGTCCATTTTTTGCTTTTTTGAGACAGAGTCTCACTCTGTCACCAGGGTGGAGTGCAGTGGTGTGATCTCAGCTCACTGCAACCTCCACCTCCTGGGTTCAAGCGATTCTCCTGCCTCAGCCTCCCGAGTAGCTGGCATTACAGGCACACGCCACCACACCCAGCTAATTTTTTGTATTTTTAGTAGAGATGGGGTTTCACCATGTTGGCCAGGATGGTCTCGATCTCCTGACCTCGTAATCCGCCTGCCTCGGCCTCCCAAAGTGCTGGGATTATGGGCGTGAGCCACCGCGCCCAGCCCCATTTTTAAAAAAAAAAAGAAAAAATTTTAATGGTAACACAAAAAAGCATTAAAAATAAATAAATAAATAACTATTATTTTCCAAAATAAAAAATGAAGAGAATGACACATTTTTTGCAAGTATTTTTAATGTACAGCTTACTAGAAGACAGCTGGATTCTCATGTCTGCTTCTGCTTCAATGTGTTGAAAATGTTGTTTTGGCTGAAGTATATAAAGAAAATCTGGCCTCACACGGACATGTAGTTGGAAAAGGAACAATATGTTAGTAGCCTTTTCAGAAAATTGTGGATATTATTCTTTGATACTCTACCACATCTTGAGAAGTATAGTTTTTTAAAGGATAGCTACAAGGTAGAATTTGAAACCAAATCAATGAACTTTTTGTCCTCTGCTAAATTCACATTTTTCATATCACCACCAATCTCACCAGAAAAGTCTTTAAACAACAGAAAGCTGTCAAGCTCATGCAGGTAGACACACGTTTCCAAAATTCTAATTTTTGTCCAAAAGTTTGAATTTCATCACTGGCAACAAACTCCACTCTATTAGTTGCTTCTCTAAGAAACAGGATCATTTTGTTAATTTTTTTTTTTTTAAAGATGGGACCACAGGCATGCGCCACCACACCTGGCTAATTTTTTTATTTTTTTATTTTTGTAGAGACGAGGTCTCACCATGTTGCCCAGGATGATGTCGAACTCCTGGGCTCAAGGACTCCTCCAGCCTCAGCCTCTCGAAGTGCTGGGATCACAGGTGTGAGCCAACGCACCTGGCCACACTTTGTTAATTTTTGAGATGTCTGCCAAATACCCAATTACGTATTCATAAGAAATACAGTTTATCTGTCATTCTTCCAAGTAAAAATAATATTTCATGAAAAACCAAATAAAAATAAGGAGAAACATTGGCTAGTTCAGCTAACAACTCAAATAATCCATAAGTGCTTCTTGAGACATCTCATCATATCTCAGAATGCGGTGAAAACGCAATATGGGTGCTTCCTATTTCTTCACACAGAATATTAAAAAGGTGTATACTCAAGGGTTGAGATGTGATTAAGTAATTTTTATTCCTTCATCAAAGACATTCCTAAGTAAAACTTTTTTTTTTTTTTTTTTTTTTAACTGTGAGTGAAGAATACAGTGTGGTGCCCTTGCATCCTGCTAGGGCCCCAGCAAATTTTATCCACTTTGCCTATGCACCGTAAGTACAAATGTCGACACGGTGAAAATGGACAGTTAACTTTGATTTTTATGAAAACAGTTGTGACTTCATCTACACTCCTCCCTCAAAGGGTCTTAGGACCTCAGTGGTCCATGGAGACCATGCTTTGAGACTGCTGGTTTAGAACAGTGGTTCTTGATTGGTGGCTATTTTGTCCCCCAAGAGAGCATTTGGCAATGTCTAGAGACATTTTTCGTTGTCACAACCCCAGGGGGTAAAGGGCATATACTACTGGTAGGGGCCAGAGCTGCTTAAACCTCCTAAAATGCACAGGACAGGCCCCCACAACAAAGAATTTCCCAGCCCAAAATGTCAATGGTGTTAAGGTTAAAAAACCCTGGTTTAGAACAAAAAAAAATTGTAAAAATAGAAAAAGTACCTCGCAGAGCGCGGTGGCTCATGCCTGTAATCCCAGCACTTTGGGAGGCCGAGGCGGGCAGATCACCTGAGGTTGGGGGTTCCAGACCAGCCTGACCAACATGGAGAAACCCTGTCTCTACTAAAAATACAAAATTAGCTGGGCGTGGTGGCACATGCCTGTAATCCCAGCTACTTGGGAGGCTGAGGCAGGAGAATCATTTGAACCTGGGAGACAGAGGTTGTGGTGAGCCGAGATTGCGCCATTGCACTCCAGCCTGGGCAACAAGAGCAAAACTCTGTCTCAAAAAAAAAAAAAAAAAAAAGACAAAAGGTACCTCAAAACCTAACACCCAATATATAAAACCACTGCTAGCATTTTGGTATTTCCAGTACTTACTTCTTGCATAGGTTTTTAAAAAATGTTTTACTGGCCGGGTGCGGTGGCTCACACCTGTACTCCCAGCACTTTGGGAGGCCGAGGCAGGTGGATCACGAGGTCAGGAGTTCGAGACCAGCCTGGCCAATGTGATGAAACCCCCGTATCTACTAAAAATAGAAAAATTAGCTGGGCGTGGTGGTGGGTGCCTGTAATCCAAGCTACTGGGGAGGCTGAGGCAGGAGAATGGCTTGAACCCAGCAGACCCAGGAGGCGGAAGTGCAGTGAGCCAAGATCGTGCCACAGCACTCCAGCCTGGGTGACAGCACAAGACTCCGTCTCAAAAAAAAAACAGAAGTTTTATTATTTTGTGTGTAAAGTTCTACAAAATAAATTCCATGTAGTATGTTCTAGTTTTTTCTCTAAGTCATTTCATATTCCTTAATGCATTTTAAAATAGCTACATAAATTCCAATAAGCAGTTACATCAAAATTATTTAGCCATTCCACTTTTCAATTTTTTAAGTTATTTCTAGTTTTCTGCCAATACAAAACATTATAAAGAACATCTTCGTGCTAAGGACTTTCTCTACACATGGAATTTTTTCATTATGACTGACACCTAGAAGTGGAACTAACCTGACTAAATTTAGAATGTGAACATTTAAGACCTTAAATAGATACTGACAAAGTATGTCCCAAAGTGCTATACCAACAGATGCTGTCACCAGCAATGTGTCACAGTGCCAGTTTCAACCACGGATGTGGTCATTTTTTAAGTCATCCTCATTTCCCCCTCTTACCGTGAGTTATTTCATCCATGTCTGGACTAGTGACAGAATCTTTACCCCCAAAATCAGAGCTGCACTCAGATCTCAGGTCTTCAATCTTATTGGGAATATCCTCAGAGGTTGCACTTATGCCTTTAAAAAACAATAGTAAAAAATAAACAGGAAGAAGAACAAAATATCCACACAAAAAGTATATGAAATTTGGAGAAACTGAAACATTCTCGAATTTTGTGTCCCAGTTCTATACATGTGAGTTTAGTATTATATCCTTTATGGTACTACTGCTTAAATATACTTACCTTGCTTTACACAACATAATCAGAATCGTACAATTCTAAAGTAGGACAGGCTACTAAGAACAGAAACAGTTGTAGAGAGACTGTTTGCCAATTACTTCAACAGGCTCCATAAGGCCACACATTAAGTTCTCAAAGATTTCAGGTGCAATGGAAATAAGTTTGTTTTCTGGAAATTACTCAGCTCTTAAATATAACATATCTTTTTGTATCAACTTTATAAATAGGAGGGGGTAGGGGGTGAACACCTTCAAATCCCTACTCCTTAAAACAAGACAGACATACCGGACACAACACTGAGGCCTGGTGTGCTGGGGCGGGAACTGACCTCCCTGACATCCGTATCATCAGATGTGCTACCCAGTCCAGAACAGCTCTCCAGTTCTTGCAGACGCTCCTCCTGCTTTAGGTCTGGGGCCTCTAAATAGAAGATAAGAGGTATGTTACATTTGTGATTCTCTTAGCACACCACAATTTCAGCTTTTGTGACCCAGATAAACAAAGCTACCAGGGCATGAATAAAATCAGTGCAAATACATGTGTAAGTCTGGACTAGTTAATGCTAGTTAGATTAAGTGTTAAGTCAAAGTTGTGATTTTCATCCCAATATAAGCCAGTTCACTGTGCACAGATGAAAACGTGGTTCTAGATCACTAATGTCACAGAGTATGCTATTGATTAACATGTGAACTGGACAAGAGAGTATGGAATAGCCTGGTATTAAATCAACCACTTCCTAAAAAGTAACTCCTATGAATACTCAACAGCTGGTAAGCTAATCCTATTGTCCCCAACTGGTCTTCAAACAAGGCTAGCATATCTGAATGCTTTAACATTATAAAACAGGCCAGCCGTGGTAGCTCACACCTGTAATCCCAGCACTTTGGGAGGTCGAGGCCGGCAGATCACCTGAGGTCAGGAGTTCGAGACCAGCATGCCCAACACGGTGAAATCCCATCTCTACTAAAAATACAAAAACTAGCTAGGCGTGGTGGCAGGTGCCTGTAATCCCAGCTACTTGGGAGGCTGAGGCAAAAGAATCACTTGAACCCAGGAGGCAGAGATTGCACTGAGCCGTGATTGCACCACTGCACTCCAGCCTGGGTGACAGAGTGAGACTCCATCTCAAAAAAAAAAAAAATTATAAAACACATATCAGGATCACTTAATAATTCTTGAACCAAGTAAATCAACAGAATGTAATGCAGATACACAGTTACTTATATTTACATTCTGGTAGTTGACATTTAGTTGAAAGCAAAGATGCGTCTTCATAATCAGAAAAAAATGCAATGCATATGAAAAGACAAAGTACAAAACACTTTATATACATTTATAATAACCTGCACAAAAAAAAAATCCTCAGGATTACAGAATCTCAATTTCAACGTATTTCAAAAACACATTAAGCATGTTTTAGAGAGTCAAGTTCTCCCCTGTGATAAATCTAAATGTGTTTACCAAGCAAGCACTCAGTTTGAACTGTGTTGCTACTCTTATCCTGTCATGAGTTTGTGGAAGATACTAAATTCAATGATTCACACGGACTCTGATAATCACAGAAAATTGCTTTCAAA
This sequence comes from Homo sapiens, assembly GCF_000001405.40. Taxonomy (NCBI): domain Eukaryota; kingdom Metazoa; phylum Chordata; class Mammalia; order Primates; family Hominidae; genus Homo; species Homo sapiens. The sequence continues at coordinate 125,330,768 of NC_000009.12, read as the reverse complement.
ATAACTCAACACAGAGTCTGAAAGCACCTGCCATCACAGTCTATGCTATCTAACAGAGCATTTTCCCTTAATGGACAGAAAATGCCCTAAACTAATTTTCCATTTGACATTCTTAGCAATGTGATCACCTCATCTTTGTCAAATGTATAACTGGCTGGGCATGATGGCTCATGCCTGTAATTCCAGCACTTCGGGAGGCCAAGGTGGGCAGATCACCTGAGGTCAGTAGTTCAAGACCAGCCTGGCCAACATGGTGAAACCCTGTTTCTCTAAAAATACAAAAATTACCCGGCATGGTGGGGCATGTCTGTAATCCCAGCTACTCAGGAGGCTGAGGCGAGAAGACTGCTTGAACCCAGGAGGCAGAGGTTGCAGTAAGTTGGGATCGCGCCACAGCACTCCAGCCTGGGTAAAAGAGCAAGACTCCATCTCCATTAAAAAAAAAAAAAAAGTGTATTTGACAAAATATACATAATACAGAGTTGGGATACCTTGCATTTAATTAAAACTTCTGTATAAATGAAAAAGCAAACAATGACAGCATACTAACCTGAGTCACTTGGCAATACCTCTACACTCCAAGCTTCACTTGTTGTCTCTGATATGGTAGAACCAGTGCAGGGGTCAAGAAGCACTGACCCTGAACCTGGGAGGCACAGCAAACTGCCTAACATGTTCTCTGCTGCAGCACCTGTATAACCAGTGGGAAGCAAAGGGTTAACAAAGATCCTGGAGGAAAGTGCAGTGATAGTGGAGAAAAGCCAAACACTAGCTAACAAAATCTCCTGGCTGGGCGCGGTGGCTCACACCTGTAATCCCAGCACTTTGGGAGGCTGAGGCAGGCAGATCACTTGAGGCCAGGAGTTCAACACCAGCCTGGCCAACATGGCGAAACCCCGTCTCTACTGAAAATACAAAAATTAGCCAGGTATGGTGGCGTGCACCGGTAGTCTCAGCTACTTGGGAAGCTGAGGCACAAGAACCCGGGAGGCAGAGGTTGCAGGGGGTGCAGAGACTGCAGTGAGCCGAGGTCATGCCATTGCCCTCCAACCTGGTCAATGTGAGTGAGACCCTGTCTCAAAAATAAAAATGGCCGTGTCATTTTGGGACTTTGTCTCAAAAAAAAAAAAAAAACCACCAAATTCCTCTCTACCTACAAGAAAGAGGCCAAAGTAAGAATAACTTCAATCAAGCACACCACTAAAAACACAAGTTCCTACTTTGGTCACAATGGCACAATACCCTTTTCACCAGTTTCCTCCAGTTCACCTTTGACTCTCCATAGAGAAAACACACATCATTAAGTCAAGTAATTTCAACAGCTTTAGCTTTGATTTCTCAGCAAATTTTACAGGGGTCCTTAATATCGTTCTAAAATTTATAGCCCTACAAAGATTAAAAACACTGAGAGTTTAACCACAGAATGTTATGCTGGCCAAATATTTTTTCTTCCAGCATATTAGTCACTATTCAGGGCAATAAGATACATTCACAGGAAAATACACATCTTCATAGCACTCACTCAACTGCAAATACAGCTTATTGCGCAAATACAGCTAACTGCCAAGAACAATACCACTTTGGCATCTGGAACAAAGTAATGTAAAACCAATTAAGAAATCTATTTACACCTCTCCCTCTCCCTCTCCCTCTCCCCACGGTCTCCCTCTCATGCGGAGCCGAAGCTGGACTGTACTGCTGCCATCTTGGCTCACTGCAACCTCCCTGCCTGATTCTCCTGCCTCAGCCTGCCGAGTGCCTGCGACTGCAGGCACGCGCCGCCACGCCTGACTGGTTTTGGTGGAGACGGGGTTTCACTGTGTTGGCCGGGCGGTCTCCAGCCCCTAACCGCGAGTGATCCGCCAGCCTCGGCCTCCCGAGGTGAGCCCCCCTGCCCGGCCAGCCGCCCCGTCCGGGAGGGAGGTGGGGGGGGGGTCAGCCCCCTGCCCGGCCAGCCGCCTCGTCCGGGAGGTGAGGGGCGCCTCTGCCCGGCCGCCCCTACTGGGAAGTGAGGAGCCCCTCTGCCCGGCCACCACCCCGTCTGGGAGGTGTGCCCAACAGCTCATTGAGAACGGGCCAGGATGACAATGGCGGCTTTGTGGAATAGAAAGGCGGGAAAGGTGGGGAAAAGATTGAGAAATCGGATGGTTGCCCTGTCTGTGTAGAAAGAAGTAGACATGGGAGACTTTTCATTTTGTTCTGCACTAAGAAAAATTCTTCTGCCTTGGGATCCTGTTGATCTGTGACCTTACCCCCAACCCTGTGCTCTCTGAAACATGTGCTGTGTCCACTCAGGGTTAAATGGATTAAGGGCAGTGCAAGATGTGCTTTGTTAAACAGATGCTTGAAGGCAGCATGCTCCTTAAGAGTCATCACCACTCCCTAATCTCAAGTAATCAGGGACACAAACACTGCGGAAGGCCGCAGGGTCCTCTGCCTAGGAAAACCAGAGACCTTTGTTCACTTGTTTATCTGCTGACCTTCCCTCCACTATTGTCCCATGACCCTGCCAAATCCCCCTCTGTGAGAAACACCCAAGAATTATCAATAAAAAAATAAATTTAAAAAAAAAAAAAAAAAGAAATCTATTTGCACTACTTAAAAATACAAATCGAAAGTATTAAACATTATTATACGTCTGTGTTAAAAACACTGAAGTTCAAAAGGCTTCACTACTTTGGATTAAACCTAATAAAAGAATAATTCTACTTCAGGGCATGAAAAAAAATTAGAAAAAAAGTTACTAATAAAAGTTACCTTTTAAAGCTATATCATAAAATAATTAGAAATAAAATAATGTCTGGAACTTGCCTAAACATAATGAGGGGAGAGAAGAGGGTAGTGGATAGGAGAACAGATGAAAGAAAGCTGGCCATGTGGGTCTAACTCCTGAAACTGAGTGATGGGTACACTGGGTTCATGATACCACCATCTCTTGTATTTGTTTAAAATGTTCCATGATTTAGGCCGGGAGCAATGGCTCATGACTGTAATCCCAGCACTTTGGGAGGCCGAGGCGGATGGATCACTTGAGGTCAGGAGTTCGAGACCAGCCTGGCCAATATGGTGAAACCCCGTCTCTACTAAAAATACAAAAATTATCTGGGTGTGGTGGTGGGCACCTGCAGTCCCAGCTACTCGGGAGGCTGAGGCAGGAGAATCACTTAAACCAGGGAGGCAGAGGTTGCAGTGAGCTGAGATCGCACCACTGCAACTCCAGCCTGGGCGACAGAGTAAGACTCTATCTTAAATTAAAAAAACAAAAACAAAAAAAAACCTATTGGTTACTATGCTCACTACCTGGGTGGCAAAATCATCTGTACACCAAACCCCAGCAACATACAATTTGCTCTAACAATTTCCCATGTAACAAATCTGCACATGTACCCCCTGAACCTAAAATAAAAGTTGAAGAAAAATAAACATATCAATAAATTTTCCATGATTTAAAAACAAAATGAAGATGAGGGTTACAAGACTATATATCTTTCAGAACTCATAAAACAGTATCCAAAAAGGAGCGAATTTTAGTGTATATACATAGCACCTGAATAAACTTCACATTAAAAAAAAAGAAGGCAGGAGGATCACTTGAGCTCATTAGTTCAAGACCAGCCTGAGCAACAAAGCGAAATCCTGTCTCTATTTGAAAATAAATAAAAATGTAAGAAGAAGAAAAAGAAAAACCTGGTTACCCTTAGGAACTGAATTAACTCTTCCAGAAGTGAATTCATTTTTTTAGAGAACAGCAGTATCATATTGTTGTGAAAGATTTTATGGCTATAATCTATAAGAATTTTCATCTTAAGGTTAGGTGTTTGGCTTCAAACAGAGAATATACTAATTAGAGACAGACTAAGAACTTATACTATGCCCTGCAAACAACACTTGACCAGAAGCTAATTCAAAACACTGGTTTTTCTTTCTTTCTTTTTTTTTTTTGGGCAGCTGGGAGGAGGATGGGTAAGGGGTGGGATTAAATGTAGAAAGGAAAAACACTAGTTATATTTAAGTAAAGAAAAAAGTACCCAAATGCCTTGTTCCATACAGTTATAACAGTTTCCCAGATGGTGCTAACACACACAATGTTTGTCAGGGCACTGGTGCTCCCTCCCATGAAAGGTTGGTGGATTTGAATAACTAAACCGTGATATTTCAGAGACATTAAATGGCAGTTACCTGCAATTTCTTGCAAGCGATCTTCATCAATATTAGGGTCAAAGTCACTTCCCAAGACGTCTGTACTCCAGGTCTCACTCACTGTTTCTGATATGTCCCTATCATCTGTTAATCCCATCATGTCACGAATTTCAAACTTCCTTAGCTTATCATCAAGGTTATCCTGTGTTGTAGCTATCAAAAACAAAATTAAGCACTTTTAAAATAGTAGCACAGCTATGACTTTTTAATCAACTTTAAAGAATTTTATCTCCATGTTGGTCAGGCTGGTCTCGAACTCCCAATCTCAGGTGATCCGCCCGCCTCGGCCTCCCAAAGTGCTGGGATTACAGGCGTGAGCCACTGTGCCTGGCCTATCAATTCACTTCTTAATCTAGCATTTTGCATATGCCAACCACCTATCTCAGAATCTCCCAGGAAGTTTGCTAAAGAGGTGACATTTGTTCAACTTCTTTCATAAGCTCATATGAAAGTTCCTCCTCCACTTATGCAATGGCCTCCAGTGGATAACTGAAGCTTCGGATCGTACCAAATCCTATATATTCCATGCTGTTTTCATCTGATAAGCAGTGACTAATAGGCAGGTAGTGTATATGTGGATACACTGAACTAAGGAATGATTCATGTCCTGGATGTGATAGAGTGAGACTGTGTGAGATTTCATCACATTATTCAGAATGGCACAGAATTTAAAGCTTATGAATTATTTCTGAAATTTTCCATTTAATATTTTTGCACCAAGTTTGCCCATGGGTAACTGAAGCCATGGAAGGTGAAACCATGGATAAGGAGGTACTACTTTATTACTTGAGTTTTCTCTGCTGCTTGCAACAAACTTAATCCTAATTAATACACTGATAAACAAATCCAGTAAAATACAGCATTACTTTTTTCAAGCCACACACACTCCAATGACAATACTCTTTTTCTTTCTAAAAACTGACTTCTTTTTTAGAAGTAAGACTTGGGAAATGGAATTTTTAAAAAGCTAACCAGGTAATTCTTATGCATGCTAAAATCACTGTGTCAAACCTAGTTGAGGGCATCATCTTTTTTTTTTTTTTTTTTTTGAGATGGAGTCTCGCTCTGTCGCCCAGGCTGGAGTGCAGTGGTGTGATCTCTGCTCACTAAGCTCTGCCTCCCGGGTTCAGGCCATTCTCCTGCCTCAGCCTCCCGAGTAGCTGGGACTACAAGCGCCTGCCACCATGCCCAGCTAATTTTTTGTATTTTTAGTAGAGACAGGGTTTCACCGTGTCAGCCAGGATGGTCTTGATCTCCTGACCTCATGATCCGCCTGTCTTGGCCTCCCAAAGTGCTAGGGATTACAGGTATGAGCCACCGCACCCGGCCCATCTTTTTTTTTTTCAATCAGAGTCTCACTCTGTCGCCCAGGCTAGAGTGCAGTGGTGCGATCTCAGCTCACTGCAACCCCTGCCTCCCAGGTTCAAGCGATTCTCGTGCCTCAGCCTTCTGAGTAGCTGGGATTACAGGTGCTCACCACCTCACCTGGCTAATTTTTGTATTTTTAGTAGAGATGGGGTTTCACTATGTTGGCCAGACTGGTCTCAAATTCCTGACCTCAAATGATCTACCTGCCTCAGCCTCCCAAAGTGCTGGGATTACAGGCACGAGCCACTGTACCTGGCCAAGGGCATCATCTTAAATGAACAAATCCAAAAAACTCTTTCAACTTAATCTTCCTAAGGCACCTCACTTCCTCATCTTCACTGAACCAAAAGCCTTCAGTGGCTTCCAGCTTACTACTAAAATACTGATATCCTTCTTTCCACAACAGGGATCCACCTACTTTTTAATCCTTACCTCACTCCATTTCCCTAACTGATACCTGAAAAAGTACTATGGCTTCCCACCTCTTTGACTTGCTTATGCTTGTCCTTCACCTAGAATGACCTATCTCCAACTTCTGCCAAGGCAATGCCAGCCAGCCCTCAAGGCTAATATTTTCTTCCAATAAACTTTCCCTATACTTTCTTTTTTTTGAGACGGAGTTTTACTCTTTTTGCCCAGCCTGTTGTGCAATGCCACGATCTTGGCTCACCGCAACCTCCGCCTCCTGGGTTCAAGCGATTCTCCTGCCTCAGCCTCCCGAGTAGCTGGGATTACAGGCATGTGCCACCACCCTGGCTAATTTTGTATTTTCAGTAGAGACGGGCTTTCTCCATGTTGGTCAGGCTGGTCTTGAACTCCCGACCTCAGGTGATCCACCCGCCTCAGCCACCCAAAGTGCTGGGATTACAGGTGTGAGCCACCGGGCCCAGCAGCTTTCCCTATACTTTCAACCATATGTATCTCTCACTCAGAACTGCCAAATACTTTCATGATACTTTAAATCAATTGTGTACTATTCTTTCCCTATTCTAAGTTCCTTGAGCCTTGAGTATTTACATTGTATCCCTAAAATATTACATAATTAAAATATCAAATATTACTGAATTTCAAGTAATTTATATTAATTTATTAAGCCTAAACAATCCACTTACCAACTAAATAGATTTTGAAGAACTGAAGGAATGATGAATAAATGTTAAGTTTAATGGTGATTTAATCTCTTACTGAACCAAGCCAACTTAATGAAAACACACTGCTCATCTTGCAATCAGGTAAATTCTTTGCTACTTAGGCAACTGTGTTCAACTTCACTTTACCTTGCTCATGTTCTAACAGCTGTAGAGCTTCAACTCCATTACTGCCAGAAGGTCCTGCTCCAAGTTCTGACACAGACTCTCCTTCTAGGTCTAGGGAGGACACTGAATTGGAGCGATTTGAAGGACCTAGAGAAATGTTTATAGTGTGAGCAATCTTTTTAAAACAGTCATGAGCCACCACACAATTTTTCATGCCTTGATAAAAGACTAACAACTGATTAAAGTGTTTTTAATACTTTTTATACCTTAAAAAAACACATGCCCTTTGAGAAATTCTGCTTCTAGGAATTTATCCTAAGGTGCTAATAACAAATTAATCTGCTGGGTGCAATGCCTCATGCCTGTAATCCCAGTACTTTGGGAGGCTGAGGTGGGTGGATCATGAGGTCAGGAGATCGAGACCATCCTGGCTAACATGGTGAAACCCAGCCTCTACTAAAAATATAAAAATTTAGCCAGGCGTGGTGGCGGGCACCTGTAGTACCAGCTACTCAGGAGGCTGAGGCAGGAGAATGGCGTGAACCCGGGAGGCAGAGCTTGCAGTGGGCCGAGATCGCGCCACTGCACTCCAGCCTGGGCGACAGAGCGAGACTCCATCTCAAAAAACAAAACAAAACACAACACAACAAAACAAAACAAAAAATATAAAAATTAGCCGGCCTGATGGCACATGCCTGTAATCTCAGCTACTTAGGAGGCTGAGGCAGGGGAATTGCTTGAACCCGGGAGGCAAAGGTTGCAGTGAGCTGAGATCGCATCATTGCACTCCAGCCTGGGCAACAAAAGTGAGACTCCATCTCAAAAAATAATAATAATAATTAATCTAAAGTTGCTTGTTATAGAGCTTTTTCTTCTTTTTTTTTTTTTTTTTTAGAGAGAGTCTCGCTCTATCGTCCAAGCTGGAATGCAGTGGCACCATCTTGGCTCACTGCAACCTCCGCCTCCCTGGTTCAAGCAATTCTCCTGCCTCAGTCTCCCGAGTAGCTGGGACTACAGGCACACGCTGCCACACCCAGCTAATTTGTTGTATTTTAGTAGAGATGGGGTTTCACCGTGTTGCCCAGGCTGGTCTCAAACTCCTGAGCTCAGTGAATCCACCCACCTCGGCATCCCAAAGTGCTGGGATTAGAGGCATGAGCCACTTCGCCCAGCCCAGAAGTTATTATGTCCAAAAAGTGGAAGAAATCTATAGATTTAATCACAGAAGAAAGTTGAAAAAAATTATGATATGCCATGTGAGGTTAAGGAAAACAGCCATAAAAACCATGTTATTTAAGAATGTTAAATTACAAAGGGAAATGTTAATGCCATATTATTAAATTACAAAAGGTTACAAAACAGGATAAACCTAATTTTGCTGTGAATAATCTAAAACGTCAACTGCTATCAACAAAATTTTGAGATTATAGGTGATTCTATTTCTCTGTTTTGTAGAATGAACATACATTACATGTCATTTTTTTGGAAAAGTCAGATTAAAATATGAAGTTATTATATTTTAGGTTTCTTTTTAAATGTCAGTAAATTTGAACTATTGTCTTTAAATAAAAAAAAACCCGGGGCCAGGCGCGGTGGCTCACGCCTGTAATCCCAGCACTTTGGGAGGCTGAGGTGGGCGGATCACGAGGTCAGGAGATCGAGACCATCCTGGCTAACACGGTGAAACCCCGTCTCTACTAAAAATACAAAAAATTAGCCAGGCGTGGTGGCGGGTGCCTGTAGTCCCAACTATGCAGGAGGCTGAGGCAGGAGAATGGCGTGAACCCGGGAGGCGGAGCTTGCAGTGAGCCGAGATTGCGACACTGCACTCCAGCCTGGGCAACGAACGAGACTCTGTCTCAAAAAAAAAAAATTGGTACTAGTAGGCAAAATGACATATTCTCATTTCACAATCTTGGCTTTGAATTTTCTTTTTAATACCTATTTCCATTGTCTTCTGCTTCATAAAGGTATGTGTGAGTGTGAGTAAAGGAATACAGAACATTTAAGAGTATGTGCAACATATTGAAATACTAGTAAGTCCATTTTTTCCCGTTTCGACATGCATGATATCCTTCTAAAGGAGCTCTATAAGCTTTGGTATATATTAATACTGCAGAAACAGAACTTGCTGTTATTCTATTTAAGTCTGAATAAAGACATATCTTCTCCATTTTATATGACCAAAGGCATCTTGCAATTTTAATTTTATTCAGGAAACAATCTTTACAGCCAACTGTTCAGGCTCATTAGAGGAAATCTTCATTAGTCTCCTCAGTGAGAAGCACAGATGGTATAATTATAATTTATAAGCTCCTTTAAAAAACACAAAACAAACTATTAATTGAACCACACAACTCCTTGAATGAAGTAACCCTTCACCTTCAGATATTCCTTCCAGATTATCACTGCAGAGGGAAAAGCGCAAGGTTTTATCAGGTTTACCATGGAGTTTGTTTTCATCAACAGGGACATCTCCTTGTCCTCCATCCGAAAGCTGCATGTTTAGGACCTAAAAAATAAAATGTCAATTTTGGTTTATCAATGGAAAGATTACTGATAAGGAAACAAACCACAGCAAATGCATATTTAACTCCTTAATCTTAAATTATCAATTTTTAACTACAAACCTATTTAGAAGGTCTGTCAAGCTTTTAAATACCTGTGGAATAAAAGTATATAAATTAAAGCAGCTGAAGCCATGCCTTTCCATTACCCTACGAGTGTTACAGATAGAACAGGCAACCAGACTACCAGATGAGTAGTGGTGAGAATTATACAAATCAGAAGTCTTTGGTGTCAGCACGCTGGTCCTTCTAATTCTGTCATGTGTCAACTATGTAACCTTGGATAGGCAAGTTATTGAAATTCTCTAAGCCTCAGTTTCTTCATCTATAAAATGGTGACAGTAACAGTATGTATGCCATGTAATTGTTGAGAATTAAGTAAAAAGATGCACATAAAACAGTTGTCATGTCACGTATTAAATTTGCAAAATTTAAAGAAAGTAAATCAACAAGGCTGGGCGCAGAGGATCACGCCTGTAATCTCAGCACTTTGGGAGGCCAGGGCAGGCAGATCACGAGGTCAGGAGATCGAGACCATGCTGGCTAACATGGTGAAACCCCATCTCTACTAAACTACAAAAAAAATTAGCCGGGCTTGGTGGTGGGTGCCTGTAGTCCCAGCTACTCGGGAGGCTGAGGCAGAAGAATGGCGTGAACCTGGGAGGCGGAGCTTGCAGTGAGCCGAGATCGCGCCACTGCACTCTAGCCTGGGCGATACAGTGAGACTCCATCTCAAAAAAATAAAAATAAAAAATCAATAAATAAAATTTTTAAACATACTAAATTTGCAAAATTTAAATAAAATTTAAAGTAAATAAAAGTAAATAAATTCAACTAGAAGAAAACGTGTAATCATGTTATTTTGTAGGCATCAAGATTTAATCCATCTAGTCTGAACGTCCACTTGATCACAACATACATACAGGGCCACAAAAGTCCACACCAGAAACTAAAGTATGACTTCACAGACATCTCCAGCTTAGACTGATGGCCTTTTTATATGCTTTCCATTTGCCAGATGACTTCCAAATAACATAACTACATCTCACTACTCCCTACAAGCCTCACAACTCAGCTTTGTGTGTATATCTCCACCTTAATGAAGAATTAAGTGCTTTGTTGAAAGTCACATAGCATGTTTTAGGTACACCTTGGACTTGAACTCAGAGGCCTTGGCTCCCTTGGCTGTTGCTGAAATATGAAGGAAGAATAGTACCCTCACTTACAAAGAAAAAAACTTACCACAAAAAATGAAAAATATGTGAGGCGATACAGGTTATTTAGCTTGATTCAGCCATTCCACAATGTATATCAAAACATGTATACCATAAATAGATACAATTTTGTCAGCTAAAAGATAAATGATTTTTAAACAGAAAGAAAAAAAAAATTCTTGGTTGCTGTTTTGGCTCTGAGTAAATTAAAGGTTTTGAAATGGTTTTATACATTTACACATGATGCCTTTAAATACAGGTTTTTTGGCTGGGAGCGGTGGCGGCTCATGCCTGTAACCCCAGCACTCTGGGAGGTCAAGGCCGGTGGATCACCTGAGGTCAGGAGTTCAACCTGGGCAACGTGGCAAAATCCCATCTCTACTAAAAATACAAAATCAACCAGGTGTGGTGGTGTACGCCTGTAATTCCAGCTACTTGGGAGGCTGAGACAGGAGAATCGCTTGAACCCGGGAGGTGGAGGTTGCAATGAGCTGAGATTGCACCACTGCACTCCAGCCTGGGTGACAGAGCAAGACTGCATCTCAAAAAAAAAAAAAAAAAAGTTTTTTTTTCCCTATTTGCTTGAAATTAATAGACATAGGCCAGGCGTCGTGGCACACACCTGTAATCCCAGCTGCTCAGGAGGCTGGAGAATCACTTGAACCTGGGAAGTGGAGGTTGCAGTGAGCTGTGATTGCACCACTGCACTCCAGCCTGGGTGACAGAGGGAGATTCCATCTCAAAAAAAAAAATTAAATACACATAAAATTTTTATTAAAAAAAATTTTTTTAAGATGGAACTCATTCTGTCGCCCAGGCTGGAGTGCAGTGGTGCAATGATGGCTCACCACAGCCTTGAACCCCTAGGCACAGGCAATCCTCCTGTTTTAGCCTCCTGAGTAGCTGGGACTACAGGTACACACCACCAAGCCCAGCTAATTTTTTTCATTTTAGTTCTTCGTATTATTATTATTATTATTATATTTTTGAGACAGAGTCTCAATCTTTCACCTAGGCTGGAGTGCAATGGCATGATCTTGACTCACTGCCACCTCCACCTCCCAGTTTCAAGCGATTCTCCTGTCTCAGCCTCCCAAGTAGCTGGGATTACAGGCATGTGCCACCACACCCGGCTAATTTTTGTATTTTTAGTAAAGATGGGGTTTCACCATGTTGGCCAGGCTGGTCTCAAACTCCTGACCTCAAGTGATCTGCCTGCTTCGGCCTCCCAAAGTTCTGGGATTACAGGTGTGAGCCACTGCGCCTGGCCTATTTATTATTAAGACAGGGTCTCGCCAAGTTGCCCAGGCTGGTCTTGAAGTCCTGGACCCAAGGATCCTTCTGCCTCAGCCTCCCAAAGCGCTGGGATTACAGGTGTGAGCCACCATCCCTGGAAATTTTTTTATTTTTGTAGAGACAAGGTCTTACTATGTTGCCCAGGCTGGTCTTGAACTTCTGGTTTCAAGCAATCCTCTCACCTCAGCCTCCCAAAATACTGGGATTACAGGCATGAGCCACCATAACTGGCCAACATAAATATTTTAAATTAGATAACTTAAACTATTCACCATAGTGAGTGATGTGAAACTAAAACATCAGGAGAAAAATCATTTCAAGGTCTGGAGATTCACGTGAATTAACAGAAAAGGGATTATATAACACAATGAAGATATTTTTTCCAAATCATATCCAAAGGCAAGCAATTTTGAGACGCCATACAGAAAGCCACTGTACAAAGTCAGTCACACTGGAGTATAAAATACAAAATACACACTGGAGTATAAAATACGAAAATCTAATTTCATGCTTCTAAATCAGAGCATCTGCAAACTCTGGATTAAACTAAAACCACAGAATCTGAGTGCTAAAAAAACTTTAGCTGGCCACAGTGGCTCACGCCTCTAATCCCAACACTTTGGGAGGCTGAGGTGGGCAGATCACCTGAGGTCAGGAGTTTGAGAGCAACCTGGCCAACATAAAGTGAAACCCTGTCTCTACTAAAAATACAAAAATTAGCTGGGCATAGTGGCATATGCCTGTGGTCCCAGCTACTAGGGAAGCTGAGGCAGGAGAATCACTTGAACAGGGGAGGCGGAGGCTGCAGTGAGAGCGGCCTCCCAAAGTGCTGGGTGTATCTTCTTAATGACTATTTATCAACATATAATGTCTTTGTCTTTTGTAATCTTTCTGCTCCTGAGACTAGATAATCTCAATTGATCCATCTTCAAGTTCACTGATTTTTCTGCCTGTACAAATCTGCTGTTGAACCCCTCTAGTGTATTTTTCATTCCAGTTATTATACTTTTCAACTCCAGAATTTCTATATGGTTCCTTCTGTAATTTCTACCCCTTTATTGATATCTTCTATTTGGTGAGACCTTGTTCTCTTGGTTTTCTTTAGTTCTTTGTCCGTGGTTTCCATAGCTCTTTAAGTATATTAAAAAAAAAATTGATTTAAAGTCTTGAGTAAGTCCAATGTCTGTGCTTCATCAAGGCCATTTTCTTTCTTTTCTTTCTTTTCTTTTTTTTTTTTTTTTTGAGACAGAGTTTCGCTCTTGTTGCCCTGGCTGGAGTACAACAGCACAATCTCAGCTCACCATAACCTCTACATCCCAAGTTCAAGCGATTCTCCTACCTCAGCCTCCCGAGTAACTGGGATTACAGGCATGTGCCACCAGGCCTGGCTAATTTTGTATTTTTAGTAGAGACAGGGTTTCTCCATGTTGCTCAGGCTGGTCTCAAACTCCCAACTTCAGGTGATCCACCCACCTCAGCCTCCCAGAGTGCTGGGATTACAGGCGTGAGCCACCGCCCGGCCATCAAGGACGTTTTCTTTTTTTTTTTTTGAGACAGAGTCTCGCTGTATTGCCCAGGCTAGAGTGCAATGGCGCAATCTTGGCTCACTGCAACCTCCGCCTCCCAGGTTCAAGCGATTCTCCTGCCTCAGCCTCCTGAGTAGCTGATATTACAGGTGCACACCACCACGCCTGGCTAATTTTTGTATTTTTAGTCGAGACGGGGTTTCACCATGTTGGTCAGGCTGGTCTCGAACTCCTGACCTCATGAACAGCCCACCTTCGCCTCCCAAAGTGCTGGGATTACGGCCATGAACCACTGCGCCTGGCCCATCAAGGACATTTTCTATTAACTTTTTTCCTGTGAAAGGGCCATATTTTTGTTTCTTTATATGCCTCATAAGTTTTGCTGAAAAGCAGACATTTTAAATATTATAAAGTGATCATTAAAAAGTCAGGAAACAACAGATGCTGGAGAGAATGTGGAGAAACAGGAACACTTTCACACTGTTGGTGGGAGTGTAAATTAGTTCAACTGTTATGGAAGACAGTGTGGCAATTCCTCAAGGATCTAGAACCAGAAATACCATCTGACCCAGCAATCCCATTACTGGGTGTATATACCCAAAGGATTATAAATCATTCTACTATAAAGACACATGCACACATACGTTTATTGAAGCACTATTCACAATAGCAAAGACTTGGAACCAACCCAAATGCCCATCAACAATAGACTGGATAATGAAAACGTGGCACATATACACCATGGAATACTATGCAGCCATAAAAAAGGATTAGTTCATGTCCTTTGCAGGGATACATGTGCCATAGTGGTTTGCAGCAATAAAAAAGGATTAGTTCATGTCCTTTGCAGGGATACAGATGAAGCTGGAAACCATCATTCTCAGCAAACTAATGCAGGAACAGAAAACCAAACACCGCATGTTCTCCCTCATAAGTGGGAGTTGAACAATGAGAATACATGGACACAGGGAGGGGAACATCATACACTGGGGCCTGTCGCAGGGGTAGGGGGTTAGGGGAGGGATATCATTAGGAGAAATATCTAATGTAGATCTATGGCACATGTATACCTATGTAACAAACCTGCACGTTCTGCACATGTATCCCAGAACTTATAGTATAATAAAAAAATTAAAATAAAAAATAAACAAATAAATGTTACAAAGTGGCAATTCTGGAAATCAGATTATATACCCTTAACCCCTAGTTGGTTGTTGCTGCTTGTTGTAGTGACTATTTAATGATCTCTCTAAATTTTCTGTCATGTGTGGCCTCTGAAGTTTCTGTTCTGTTAGCTTAGTGGTGAGCACGTGATTTGGCAGATTTAACACCTGGAATAACAAAACAAAACATTTCCAAGTCTTTGAAGATTGGCTCTGTTTTGGGGAACTTCAACACTTAGCCAGGCAGTTTGCAACTGTACCTTAGCCTTCACTTCCTACTTGGGTTCAGCCTGAAGGTTACCCAGCAGTGAGAGCTTGGATCTTCTAGGGTCTTTCCTGAGCACATGACCAGCCCTGGGTATGTGTACAACCTGGTAGATTCCCCAGAACACGTGGGAGCTTTTCAAAGCCTTTGTGCCCCCTGGTGTCTCCTTCCCAAGCCTCTTCCTTCATAAGCATTTGGATCTGTATGCGGATTGCCCTGACTGTTATCCCTTAATGCAAGCAGAAGCAACTAATATATCTGCTTTTCAATACTTTTGACAAATGCCACCTGTGTAGCTGCCTCGGCCCTGGGAAAGATCAGAGGCAGGCAAAACAAAGCCAAGCCTTTGAGACGATCTTTCAGGACCTACCAGACAGATCAAAATACACAACCATGCTGCTTTCAGAATAAGGTCCACATTCCTCCCTCAAGTACCAGCACACTGCACAGTAATATAAGCTGTCTTCAAAGCAGCCACTGGGCTGGGGGTTGAAGATGGTAACAGGGTAGGATCACA
This sequence comes from Homo sapiens, assembly GCF_000001405.40. Classification (NCBI taxonomy): domain Eukaryota; kingdom Metazoa; phylum Chordata; class Mammalia; order Primates; family Hominidae; genus Homo; species Homo sapiens. The sequence goes on along the minus strand of NC_000009.12, from coordinate 125,315,396 downwards.
GAGCTCTCTTAACAAAATTCAGCAGTCTTTTTCTTCATTAAGCATTCCTTTGTTGTTAAAAGTTTTTTATTAGATTCCAGAGTTCCAAATAAGTTGATTCTGACAGTTTTTGCCAGCTTATTTGTGTGTGTGTGTGGAGGATGGAGTTTCGAAGATTGTTGGTCTTCTTCCCTATGGGGTATCATGTCATAGTCCCAAACACAGCTTTACCAACCACCATCACTTTATCAATCACTAAAACTGGCCTCTTCTTTCTAGCCCATTTTCTTGAATAACAAGCAATCACTGTTGAATATAAGAAGCTGCTACTGGCAGGGCACGATGGCTCACACCTGTAATCCCAGCACTTTGGGAGGCCGAGGTGGGCGGATCACGAGGTCAGGAGATCGAGACTATCCTGGCTAACATGGTGAAACCCTGTCTCTACTAAAAATACAAAAAAATAGCCGGGCGTGGTGGCGGGCGCCTGTAGTCCCAGCTGCTAGGGAGGCTGAGACAGGAGAATGGCGTGAACCCGGGAGGTGGACCTCGCAGTGAGCCGAGATCGCACCACTGCACTCCAGCCTGGGTGACAGAGTGAGACTCCGTCTCAAAAAAAAAAAAAAAAGAAGCTGCTACTTTTTCAGGAGGTCACAATTTCACAATTCTATGAGAAGAGACTCCTATCTTTAGGGAGTCAAGATTTCTTCTTCTTGTCTTTTTGTTTCTTTTTTCTGTTTTTTGTTTTGTTTTGTTTTGTTTTGAGACAGAGTTTCACTCTTGTTGCCCAGGCTGGAGTGCAATGGGGCGATCTCAGCTCACTGCAACCTCCACGTCCCGGGTTCAAGCGATTCTCCTGTCTCAGCCTCCCAAGTAGCTGGGATTACAGGCATGCGCCACCACACCCAGCTAATTTTTATTTTTAGTAAAGATGGGGTTTTACTATGTTGGTCAGGCTGGTCTCGAACTCCTGACCTCGGGGGATCCACCCACCTCGGCCTCCCAAAGTGCTGGGATTATAGGTGTGAGCCACCAGGCCTGACCTTCTTTTCATTCACCTTTAAGCCAAGCTTTTTGTTACAAATATATTAAAAATGATTCCCAAGCCTCAAACTCCATTTCTTAAAAAAATTTATTTTCTTAGTTTTCCATTATTTCTTCCATTTTTTCCTGACCAGCCAAAGAATACAACATGTATCTCAAAATACATCTCAACATATTTTTGGCTCTATAATGCAGGAATACTACTAGTATACCACTAGAAAGAAAATGAACACAAAACATTTCCTACAAGTCACTGGAAAAGTCTCTTTAATTTCCATACCACAATCTCCTGGCTTCATCTCTCTTCTGCTACTGCCTGGAAAATTCCTTATGCTTGGACCTATTCACCAACCTCAGTGCCACAGATGTATTAATGTGAAGGGCCTCACAACTGTTCACAGGGAGCTTAGCATGTGATGGTGTGTCATGGTGGGACCACTGAAGATAACAAAGAATTAAGCATTAAATTCATTGGCTGGGTGCAGTGATTCACACCTGTAATCCCAGCACTTTGGGAGGCCAAGGTGGGTGGATCACTGGAGGTCAGAAGTTCGAGACCAGTCTGGCCAACATGGCAAAACCCCGTCTCTACTAAAAATACAAAGTTAGCCGGGTGTGGTGGCACATGCCTGTAAGACCAGCAACTCAGGAGGCTGAGGCAGGAGAATTGCTTGAACCCAGGAGGCAGAGGCTGTGGTGAGCAAAGATCGCACCATTGCACTCCAGCTGTGCAACAGAGTGACACTCCATGTCAAAAAAAAAGAAAAAAATGGCTGGGCACGGTGGCTCACGCCTGTAATCCCAACACTTTGGAAGGCCGAGGCAGGTGGATCACGAGGTCAGGAGATCGAGACCATCCTGGCTAACACGGTGGAACCCCTTCTCTACTGAAAATACAAAAAATTAGCCGAGCGTGGTGGCGGGCACCTGTAGTCCCAGCTACTTGGGAGGCTAAGGCAGGAGAACAGTGTGAATCCGGGAGGCAGAGCTTGCAGTGAGCTGAGATCGTGCCACTGCACTCCAGCCTAGGTGACAGAGTGAGACTCTGTCTCAAAAAAAAAAAAAAGAAAAAGAAAAAGAAAAAAAAAAATTCATTGCTAGGATCTGAATGTTTGTGCTCCCCCAAAATCTGTATGTTGAAATTCTAACCCCCAAGGTGATGGTATTTGGAGATCGGGCCTTTGGAGAGGTGATTAGGTCATGAAGGCAGGGCCCTCACAAATGGAATAAGTGCCCTTATAAAATAGCCCAACCAGCCAGGCGCGGTGGCTCACACCTGTAATCTCAGCACTTTGGGAGGCAAAGGCAGGCGGATCACCTCAGTTGGGGAGTTTGAGACCAGCCTGACCAACATGTAGAAACCCTGTCTCTACTAAAAATACAAAATTAGCTGGGCATGGTGATGCATGCCTGTAATCCCAGCTACTCAGGAGGCTGAGGCAGGAGAATTGCTTGAACCCGGGATTGGGAGGTTGCAGTGAGCTGAGATCGTGCTATTGCACTCCAGCCTGGGCAACAAGAGTGACACTCCATCTCAAAAAAAAATAAGCCCAAAGACACAGCAAGAATACATCATCTATGAACCAGTAAACAGATCCTTACAAGACACTGAATCTGCCTTGACTATAGACTTCCTGGCCTCTACAAATGTGAGAAATAAATATCTGTTGTTTATAAGCCACCCAACCTCTGGTGTTTTGTTACAGCAGCCTGTATGGACTAAGACATGAATATTGATTTATAGAAGCAACTGATTCATACCTCATTTTCTGACATCATCCCTGGAGTAAGCTGGGGACCTGTACCTAAGGAAATGACCAACACCTCTTCTGGTTGCACCTCCTGAATGGTTTCTTGAGATGATCCTTCATGGTCCATATGTAGGTCCATTAGCATATTGGTGCGGCTTCTGCTCCGAGTTGCTAATAAAAAATTTCAAATAAAATAATTTAGAGAAATAGACAAATGAAGAAAATGGTATGCTAAATATGAATATATTTTCTATTAGTGCAGAACATTTGCACATGCACAAGAGTGGTAAAAAATATAAATAAGAAAAAACAAAACAAAACAAAACAAACCAGATCCTCCCAGTTACTCTACTGACTAATAAAGATTCTCCTTCAAAACTGATAATCAAGAACAATGATCCAAGTGCATCTGACAGGAAGTGCCACACAGATGATCACATCTGCAGAACAGCAAACATGTCACAATAAATTTAAGACTTGGAGTGACAAGAAAAGCATTACCTCATTTCTTATCTTTTTAAGATACCTTCACTATTTTTCCTATAAATTGATGTAACTGCTACAGGTCTCCCATACCAATAACTGAGCTTACAAGCATTAGAAAATTTCATATGAGGGATTACTCCTGTAATCCTAGCACTTTGGGAGGCTGAGGCAGGTGGATTGCCTGAATTCAGGAGTTCGAGACCAGCCAGGGCAACACGGTGAAACCCCATCTCTACTAAAATACAAAAAATTAGCCAGGCATGGTGACATGCACCTGTAATCCCAGCTACTCGGGGGGCTGAGACAGGAGAATCACTTGAACCAGGCAGACGGAGACTGAAGTGGGCCAAGTTTGCACCACTGCACTCCAGCCTGGGCATCAGAGTGAGACTCCATCTCAAAAAAAAAAAAAGAAACAATAAAGAAAATTTTATATGAAAACCTAATAGCCACATAAATAGGATACTTTAAGTTAGGCAACTGTTAACAAAACCAGAATCAGTGTTGGTTTTTTTGAGACGGAGTTTCACTCTTGTTGCCCAGGCTACAGTGCAATGGCGCAGTCTCGGCTCATTGCGATCACCGCCTCCTGGGTTCAAGCAATTCTCCTGCCTCAGCCTCCCAAGTAGCTGGGATTACAGGCAGACACCACCACACTTGGTGAATTTTGTACTTTTAGTAGAGACGGGGTTTTGCCATGTTGCTCAGGCTGGTCTTGAACTCCTGATCTCAGGTGATCCACGCACCTTGGCTTCCCCAAGTGCTGGGATTACAGGCATGAGCCACCGTGCCCAGCCCAGAATCAGTTTTTAAATGTACCTTCCCCCCCTGAAATGCATTAATGTCTTTTCAAAGATAAAAGAGAGAAAATTTATTTATGTTTGGAGAAGAGGTCCTTTCTGCTTTGGAAACAGTATAAATTAATAAAGGCTTCAATTATTTTTGTTTCTTTCCCCTGTGTATAAGCAGATGAAAAATATTTTTTTCTAAAATAATTGCTGGGTGTAGTGGCTCACACCTGTAATCCTAGCACTCTGGGAGGCTGAGGCAGGTGGATCACCTGAGGTCGGGAGTTTGAGACCAGCCTGGCCAACATGGTGAAACCCCGTCTCTACTAAAAATACAAAAAATTAGCCGGGCATGGTGGCAGGCACCTGTAATCCCAACTACTTGGGAGGCTGAGGTAGGAGAATCACTTGAACCCGGGAGGCGGAGGTTGCAGTGAGCCGAGATCGCAGTATTGCACTCCAGCCTGCGCGATAAAAGCGAAACTCCGTCTAAAAAAAAAAAAAAGAAGAAGGCTGGGCGCGGTGGCTCACGCCTGTAATCTCAGCACTTTGGGAGGCTGAGGTGGGTGGATCTCCTGAGGCCGGGAGTTCAAGTCCAGCCTGACCAACATGGAGAAAACCCATCTCTACTAAAAATACAAAATTAGCTGGCGTGGTGGCACACGCCTGTGATCCCATCTACTTGGGAGGCTGAGGCAGGAGAATGGCTTGAACCCAGGAGGCAGAGGTTGCGGTGAGCCGAGATCACGCCATTGCACTCCAGCCTGGGCAACAAGAGCTAGACTCCGCCTCAAAAAAAAAAAAAAAAAAATCAAGAAAAAAAGTTTCTATTTTCTTTCAGAAGACAATAAAATTCAGTACAACCAGAATACTAAATAGAAATTATGTTTTGGTACAAAATAATAAAAAATACAGACATAAAGCAAAAACAACTATAGTAGCAGCAAAAGTCAACTTCACATTGTATGAAAGCTGACCCACTTGAAGACAGAGGCAGAAATATAAACAATCACCTTTCTTTACAATGCTGATTAATGTTCATTAATCACTTTTAATCTGAAAATTCAGAGCACACATCAATTTCCAAGTCTAAAATAGGCCTACTCATACCTTTATTTGCTCACCCTATCTTTTACTGAATTGCAAATTTAAATTCAAGTTCATAAACAGATCTATGAATCATAACAAACTCTGTAACTATAATTTATAAAAATGCAAGCAATCAAATTTTATGTAGCAATTTACATAAAGTAAAAGCAACATGCACATGGAGCATACTTTTATAAACTATTTCTTAAATAAAATTATAAAAGAAGAGGAAGAACAGCCTATTACCCACCAAACGGGGTTACTACTGTAATATGAGAGGTAATATTGGTAGCTGAGGAATCCCAGGCAGTGATGGCTGCTAACTGTTGTCCTGGGTTGCAAAAGCATTAAATAGAAAGAAAATCAACCCTCTGAACAATGGACAGATTTGTTAAGATACGAAATAAATGCAATAGCCAGGTAACAAGACTATACAAAATAATATTGGGCATACATTTGAAATTCACTTTCCATCAGACTCATATTTAATGACACTTTTGGATAACGGGAAATGAAAAAACTAATGTATAGCAGTCAACAATGGAGAAAAAATCTCTGATTTACTAAAAATCATTTACTTCATCATGTGAACAGAGTGCAAATAGCCCACAAAAAACCATTAAGTGCCCGGGCACGGTGGCTCACACCTGTAATCCCAGCCCTTTGGGAGGCCGAGGCAGGTGGATCACCTGAGGTCAGGAGTTCAAGACCAGCCTGGCCAACATGGCAAAACCCTGTCTCTACCAAAAATATAAAAATTAGCCGGGCGTGGTGGTGGGCATCTATAATCCCAGCTACTGGGGAGGCTGAGGCAGAAGAATCGCTTGAACCTGGAAGGCAGAGGTTGCAGTGAGCCAAGATTGTGCCACTGCACTCCAGCCTGGGCAACAAGAGGGGGACTCCATCTCAAAAAAAAACAAAAAACAAACAAACAAAAAAAAACACCAATAAGTGTAAAATCGCTTTTTCTATTTTTTATTTTGAAAACTGACATTTTGGGGTGATACAATAAGACAAAGACTTGAAGAGTATGATGCCACACTCCTGTTGATACAATTCCACATTACGTTAAATATAAGGTAGATTAATTTTAAGAAACTGGCAGTTCTTAAAAAATTAGCTCACAGAAGTTTAAAAGTAAAATCCCTCTCTTCAAAATGCATAAATTAAAAAGAACTATGTTCACTAAGTGTTGCTGAGTTCCTCGTTATAAATAGGCAGGCACTAAAATACTCCTGTTCCCCTGGCTTAAACACTTTTTCCTCATCTTGTTTACTTTGTCTAACTCCCATTCATCACAAAGTGCAAACAGACTTCACCTGCTCCAAGATCTTCTCCTGATACCACTACCATTTTGGCTAAGTTAGGTGTCACCATAACCCTCATATTTATCTCCTCAGAACGCTTAGTATGCTGAAGGGTACTAGTCTCTTCTTGCTCTCCCTAACTAAACTATCAACAGCCAACTTGACAGTAAGGGCAGGTCCTAATGGTCTTTGTATCCAGTGTCTATCACAGTGCCTCATGTGCAAGACACATCCACTCTCACAGGACTTCTGTGGGGATTAAATGAAACAACATTTATAAAGTGCCTACCCACAGTATGGAACATGGTATATGCTCAATTAATTTTTTTATAGACAGATAGATAGCAAATGTTAACCAAGCAAATAAGGCTTAATTAAATAGAATTCTTAAATAAACAAACTTGAAAAAATAAAATGAAACTTTTGCTTCATTTTGTAATATTAAGATATCTTAGCTCAGTTGATAAAAGACTGATTGTTAATGAAAATAATAGAAAATACTATTATTTTCCACTTTATTGATGGAAACTTCTAAAATAATATTGTTTATTATATTATTTAGAACTTTGTAGAAAGGAGGGGGCTACATAATTTTTTTTTTTTTTGAGATAGGGTCTCACTCAGGGTCACCCAGGCTGAAGTGCAGTGGCACAATCATGGTTCACTGCAGCCTCGACCTCCCAGGCTCAAGCAATCTCCCCATCTCAGCCTCCCAAGTAGCAGGGACCACAGGCACGTGCCACCACACCAGGCTGAGGGCTACATAGTTTTAAAGATGACTACTTATAACATTTCCAAAATTTTTTCAAGAAAAGACAATAAAATTTAAAGAAAGTATACTGTGGATAGCATGACTTCAATTAATTATGAAAAGTATGTAGGCAAAGCTAAAGACTACTGATAAACCTTAACTAATCTGATACGATTTCTAAAAACTGAAATACCATCAGTAAACATGAAGAGAAAGACTTTCCCAAGTACTTAAACATATGTTCCAAAACACTCAGCAATAACAAAGGCTAATGAAATATTAGATTTAAGAGAAAGCTCCAATACGAGAAATTCTCTTTACCTATAGGTAATCGATTCTTTTTATTTGCTGGAGTGGTTGCTGGAGATAGCTGAGGTGTATTGTAGGGAGTCATTTCTAAACTGCTACTTTTTCCTGGCTTGGCCGGGGGTAGGTTTGCCAATAAATTGTCAAGAGCCATTCTATCTTCTCTCAGTTGATCTCCAGACATCACACTCTTCATAAAATTCACCTGGCAAAAGCAAAGAACATTAGCTAATGAAATCACTTTTTCAAATACAATATGTATTTCCCACACAATGTACTCATGTATGTTTTTGCTCACGCTTAGCTAAAAGACTTTCGAGAAATTCTCTTAAACAATGAAGCCATTACCAGAGTAATAAGCTGACTGTAGGTTATATAAACCACAGTTCTGCTCAATCCTTCCAGAAGATTGACGGAAGACAATGGAGGGGTCTCCACTGCACGGCCCCCAATCACAACATCAAGGAAAGCGGCAACACAGCTCTGTTAAAACAGGAAAAAAACAGTGAAACATTTCCCTTTAAAATACTGGAACGAAATTTCTCATTAAGGTGGACAAGCATGAAAAAATTTAAACATCTTAAAAATCATATTTTTTTAAGATGTTGAATTTTTTTTTTTTTTTTTGAGACAAAGTTTCACTCTTTTACCCAGGCTGGAATGAAATAGCACCATCTCAGCTCACTGCAACCTCTGCACACCTCCTCCCCCACTGTGATTCTCCTGCCTCAGCCTCCCGAGTAGCTGGGATTATAGGTGCCACGACCATGCCCGGCTAATTTTTGTATATTTAGTAGAGATGGGGTTTTGCCATGTTGGACAGGCTGGTCTTGAACTCCTGACCTCAGGTGATCCACCCGCCTCGGCCTCCCAAAGTGCCAAAAATACAAATGTGAGCCACCCCGCCTGACCTAATTTTTGTATTTTTTGTAGAGATGGGGTTTCACCATGTTGCCCAGACTGGTCTCAAACTTCTGAGTTCAAGTGATCCGTCCACCTCAGCTTCCCAAAGTGCGCTCAGCACTAGGATTACCAGCATGAGCCACTGCACCCAACCTAAAAAAATTAAACTCTTTTTGTACTGATATAGTCTAAGATCTTGGAGCTGGGTGTGGTAGTGCATGCCTGCAATCCCAGCACTTTGGGAGGCCAAGGTGGGTGGACTGCTTGAGCTCGGAAGTTCAAAACCACTTGGGGCAACAGGGCAAAACCTTGTCTCTATGAAAAATACCAAAATTAGCCAGGTGTGGTGGCGCGCACCTGCAGTCCCAGCTACTTGGGAAGCTGAGGTGGGAGGACTGCTTGCGCCAGGGAGGTCGAGGCTGCAGTGAGCTGAGATGGCATCACTGGGTGACAAAGTGAGACCCTGTCTCAAAAAAAAAAGAAAATAACAATAAGATGTTGGAGACAAACATAACACAACACAGAACAGTATACACATTGTGCTACTATTTCTGAAAGGGAAAGGAAGGGATGGTTGGAAGTATATAGTGTACGTAGGAATTTGCCTGTAAACATATGGACCTCTAGAAGGAAAAACAACCTAATAACATCAAGAATCTTTTGGGGGCCAGGCGTGGTGGCTCACGCCTATAATCCCAGCTACTCGGAGGCTGAGGCAGGAGAATTGCTTGAACCTGGGAGGCAGAGTTAACAGTGAGCCGAGATCACGCCACTGCACTCCAGCCTGGGTGACAACAGCGAACCTCTGTGACAAGAAGGAAACTCTGTCTCAAAAAAAAAAAGAATGTTTTGTGGGGGCAGGGAATGAAGACTAGAGATGAGACGTGGAAGGGAAATTTTACTCAAATATCCTTGAATTTTCATTGGTTGAATGTACAGCTTAATCAAAGTAAGACTGATTAAAATTTTATTTAACTATATTAATTGAACAATGTCATAGATGTTAACTTATAAACTACACTTAAAATTAAACAATTATCGACCAGGCATGGTGGCTGACATCTGTAATCCTAGCACGCTGGAATGCTGAGGCAGGAGGATCACTTGAGGCCAGGAGTCAAGACCAGTCTGGGCAACATAACAAGACCTCGTCTCTATAACAATAAAAACACTTAGCCGGGCATGGTGGTGTGCCCCTATAGCCCAGGTACTTGGGAGGCTAAGGTGCAAGGACTGCATGAGCCCAGGAGTTTGAGCCATGATCACACCACTGCACTCCAGCCTGGGCAACAGAGTGAGACACTGACTCGAAAATTTAAAAGTTGGCCAGGCGCGGTGGCTCACGCCTGTAATCCTAGCACTTTGGGAGGCCGAGGCAGGTGGATCACGAGGCCATGAGTTCAAGACCAGCCTGGCCAAGAAGGTGAAACCCCGTCTCTACTAAAAATACAAAAATTAGCCGGGTGTAGTGGCAGGCACCTGTGATCCCAGTTACTGGGGAGGCTGAGGCAGAGAGTTGCTTGAACCCGGAGGCAGAGGTTGCAGTGAGCCAAGATCATGCCACTGCACTCCGCCTGGGCGACGGAGCGAGACTCCATCTCAAAAAAAAAAAAAAAAAAAACTTTTTAAAATAAAATAATCTTAACAGCTCTTTGATTCTCTTACGACGGCATCTCCTCAATACATCTGTGGGAATTAATCATCTTTAAATGCTGCTGATCCAATACTGTAGCTAATTAAAAGAACATTTAATTTAGATATCACCTAAGGACAAGATTTAATAAAGAGAACAGTTAGGCTCACTAATACTTCAGAATTTTCTATAAATCATATTTATTCTTACTTTGTCAAACTTTCCAAGGCTGCTCTTTGTTCGGGGATCTCCCTCTTCAGAGCCAGTCATTGCTAACTGCTGCAAAAGGCGGCCTACCTGCAACCCAAAGCAGTGGTAGGGAGACATAAGCTACAGACAGATACTCACAAATACGTCTCTATGAAAGCAAGCACGTCTATTCTGTTCTAAAAATCTGTTTCATAATACTATTCATATCACCTGACCAGGCATATGAAATAGTATCCCCCAAAAAATGTGTACCTTATGTCAGCTTTTACTATTTTTAGATTAAGAGTTAGAGAAAGTATAAATTTTTGCTTTAATTTCTCTTTAACACATAAGATATCAACATTAGGGAAAAAAAGCACAATACATTTGTTTCTGACATTGTACTTTTCATTTGTTTAGAGCTTTTTAAATTAATTTGTAAAAGCTGACTCATTCATTAAATTGCCTTAAGTTAATATTAAGAACATTACCTTATAGCGTTCACAAAGCAATCAAGGTATAATTTTTTCCCTAGATTTAAAAGCAAATGATTCCTAACATAAGCTGGTTTGATAAAGTAAATACTAATTCATAGAACAAGTACCTTACTGGCAAAATTTGTTACTGCACTCTTTTTAAAGGCTAATGATGAAAGTTATTACAACATCCTCTTCTTAATATCTGGGACAAGCCCCCTTTTTACTGATTCTGAAAATATGTAATTTGATCTCTACTGGAATGACAAAAAAAACAAACAAAAAAAACTACAAATACATTATCTACCATAAGAATAAATTTAAGTGTTTCATGGGCCAGGCACAGTAGCTTACGCCTATGATCCCAGCACTTTGAGAGGCCAAAATAGGAGGATTACCTGAGGCCAGGAGTTCAAGACCAGCCTGGACAACAAAGCAAGACCCTGTCTCTACAAAAACATTTTTTAAATGAGCGAGGTGTGCTGGTACACACCTGTAGTCCCAGCTACTCAGGAGGGTGAGGCAGAAGGGTCACTTGAGCTCAGGAGTTCAAAGGCTACAGAGAGCTAAGATGGCACCACTGTACTCCAGCCTGGGTGACAGAGTGAGACTATCTCAAAACAAACAGACAAACAAAAAAAAACCTACTGTTTCATGTCAAAAATTTTGTGCTCGCTTCAGAAGCACATATACTAAAATTGGAACTCTACAGAGAAGATTAGCATGGCACCTGTGCAAGGATGACACACAAATTTGTGAAGTGTTCCATATTATAATTTTTTTAAATTTATAAACATTAAAAAAAGTTAAAAATTTTATTTCAGGCATTTCTATACAGTGAATTGCTAAACATCCCAAGGTGATATAACTGATCATTAAAAACAGCTAATCATTTTTTCTGATTTTTTTTTTTTTTTTGAGACGGAGTTTCGCTCTTGTTGCCCAGGCTGGAGTGCAACGGTGCAATCTCAGCTCATCGCAACCTCTGTCTCCCGGGTTCAAGCAATTCTCCTGCCTCAGCCTCCCAAGTAACTGGGATTACAGGCATGTGACACCACACCTGGCTAATTTTGTATTTTTAGTAGAGATGGGGTTTCTCCATGTTGGTCAGGTTGGTCTCAAACTCTGGACATCAGGTGATCCGCCCGCCTCGGCCTCCCAAAGTGCTGGGATTACAGGCGTAAGCCACCGCACCCGGCCAATTTTTTTTTTTTTTAATAGATATGGGGCAGTTGGGGGTCTCACTATGTTGCTGAGGCTGGTCTCAAATTCCTGATGTCAAACGATCTACCCACCTTGGCCTCCCAAAGTGCTGGGATTACAGGTGAGAGCCACCACACCCAGCTTGAGCTAATCATTTTTTAACAATCACCCAAGGCCAGGAGTGGTGGCTCACGCCTGTAATCCCAGCACTTTGGGAAGCCGAGGTGGGCGGATCATCTGAGGTCAGGAGTTTAAGACCAGCCTGACCTAAATTTTAACCCCATGGCTAAAAATACAAAAATTAGCCAGGGCGGTGGTGTGCGCCTGTAATCCCAGCTACTCAGGAGGCTGAAGCAGGAGAATTGCTTGAACCCGGGAGGCGGAGGTTGCAGTGAGCTGAGATTGCGCCACTGCACTCCAGCCTGGGCAACAGAGTGAGACCCTGTCTCAAAAAACAGACAAAGACAAAATGTTTTGTGACCGCAATAATTTTAAATCCCAGTATTACTGCTTTTATTTAATAAGATGCAAATACTTAGGACTGGTTGAGAAAAAGTTGTAAGAATATACAAATACTGTCATCGTATTATTTGTTCCCACCCCCACAGCCCAATCAACTGAATTTTAAACTAAATGCCACGTTAATAATAATAGCAAAAGCATACCTGCATCAGATTAAATCGTGCTACTTCATTAATAGGAGCATCGGAAATTATTCCATATTGTTCTGGATTGACAACTGCAGGACAAATGAAGCAGGCCAACAGGAGATCAGTACACATTGCCCTGACCTCCCCAACTTCCAGCCTATCTACACAGGAGAGGGTTTTGTACATCTGAGACACGATCCACCTTAAACTATGTGGAAAACAATATGTGTTCTGTTTGAGATAACCAATAAATTTGTTCACCAAAGCCACTAGCTTTGCTTCATTGGACTCCACCATTTCTTGAACTTTTTGCCTGAATCTATCTGAGCCCTTCTCTCCAAAGAGTTTTTCCTGCTGAGATGGAGAGAACCTCTCAATTAGCTTGTTTGGATCTGTTTCCAGGTGATCTTCATCTTCAACAAGCAGTTGCATAATTGGCTCATGTAAAGTGGCTGTGAGGAAAAGTTTGGCAGAAAACAGTCCTTCAGAAAAAAGTTTAAATAAGATGCTGAAGGCACAAGTTCCTCTCCTCAAAAGTCGCCTAGGGTTGTCACTTTCTTTAAGTTCAAATTCAATCAAGTATCGCAAAACCTGAAGGAGGTAGCTTTCATCTTCTTGCATGATGCAATTGCCATACAGGGAGGTAAAAACTGTGTAAATAACACTTTGTGTGTTCTCCTGATTAAGTTTCTCTCCAGCAACCAAAGAGGAGGCAATAAGACGAGGATTTTCCCTCAATCGACTCAAGAATTCTCCATAAGCAGTCTCCTGAAATCCCAATTGCTTATACCCATCAACAAATTGTGTATCTTCCAAAATTTTGGCATGTTGGCAACATTCAGCAGGGGAAGCTTCAGCACTAAAAAAAAAAAAAAAAAGAGCAAACAAGCAAAATAATAGTATTAATAATAATAACACATATACTATATCCAAACATGGATATGTGAGTTGATTATGGTCCCAACAATGAGGTCACTCTGAATTGCTAAAATTTTTTAAACTAACAGCAACTCAATGAGTAAAGGACAACAAAACTAAAAAGTACAAAGGACAATTTCCTCTTATCAAATCAGAATCAATGAAAAGTATTGGGGCTGGGTGCGGTGGCTCAGACCTGTAATCCCAGCACTTTGTGAGGCCGAGGCGGGCAAATCACTTGAGGCCAGGAGGTCGAGACCAGCCTGGCCAACACGGCGAAACTCCCATTTCTTCTAAAAATACAAAAATTAGCCAGGCATGGTGGCAGGCACCTATAATCCCAGCTACTTGGAAAATTGAGGCAGGAGAATCACTTGAACCCAGAAGGTAGAGGTTGCAGTGAGCTGCAATCATGCCACCGCACTCCACCCTGGCCAACAAAGCAAGACTCTGTCTGGAAAAAAAAAAAGAAAGAAAGAAAGAAAATTATCAGTTTGTAGATCCTAAAAACTGTCCAGAGCTGCCCTCTTATGGATTAAATTAAAATTAGCTACAGGAAGGACACAGTGGCTCACACCTGTAATCCCAGACTTTGGGAGGCCAAGGTGGGAGGATCACTTGAGCCCAGGAGTTCAAGACCAGCCTGGAAAATATGGTGAAACCCCATCTCTACAAAAAAATATGAAAATTAGCTAGATGTGGTGGCGTGTGCCTGTAGGCCCAGCACTCAGGAGGCTGAGGTGGGAAAATCGCTTGAGCTCAGGAGCTTGAGACAGCAGTGACTCAAGATCATACCACTGCATTTCAGCCTGGGCGACACAGCCAGATCCTGTCTGAAAAAAAAAAAAATCAGCTACAGTTAAACTGCTTATGCTTATTTATGGACATAAGAAAGTTTACAAATACTCAAGTACTAAAAAATAATAAAAATGAAGTCGATATCAGCATATTGCTCAACCATTCTCAACAGCAACATGCCAGTATGTAATGACCTGCAGAATCACATCCTTTAACTAGGCTTTTTGCTTCTGGAAACAAATCCAAATAAAATAAGCCTAAAAGATGTGGGGAAAAAACCACAATGCCCACAACAGCACTGTTCTTTTTTTTTTTTAAACTCATTTTTATTGAGGTAAAATACAGTAAAGTGCACAAATGTCAAGTGTTCAGCTTGAACAATTTTTACACATACATGCACCCAGTAATCACCACTCAGATTAAGACATGGAACATTTTAAAAACCCAAGAACGCTTTCACGTGCCCTTTCCCAGTCAATACCACCCTCTCAAGCCCAAAAAGTAACCATTATTCTGATTTCTGTCATCAAAGATCAGTCCTGTCTCTTTTTGAACTTCATACAAATAGAATCATACAGTATGTATTCTTTTGCATCTGGCTTATATTCTCAACAGCACTGATATTCTTAGAGTTAAAAACTGTTCTTGGCCAGGCAGGGTGGCTCATACCTATAATCCCAGCACTTTGGGAGGCCGAGGGGGCAGACTGCGAGGTCAGAAGTTCAAGACCAGTCTGACCAACATGGTGAAACCCCGTCTCTACTAAAAATACAAAAATTAGCCAGGCATGGTGGCACAAGTCTGTAATCCCAGCTACTCAGGAGGCTGAGGCAGGAGAATCTCTTGAACCCAGGAGGCAGAGGTTGCAGTGAGCTGAGATTGTGCCACTGCACTCCAGCCTGGGGGACAGAGCGAGACTCCAACTCAAAAAAAAAAAAAAATAAAATAAATGTTCTTCGTAGGTATTAAGACAATAAAATGTGGTTTCTAAACCCGAAAAATAGCTATACAATATCAAAACATGGAAATACATATATATATATATATATATATATATATATATATATATATATATATATATATATATTTTTTTTTTTTTTTTCTTTTGAGACAGAGTCTCACTCTGTCACCCAGGCTAGAGTGCAGTGGTGCGATTTTGGCTCACTGCAACCTCCACCTCCCGGGTTCAAGCCATTCTCCTGCCTCAGCCTCCCGAGTAGCTGGGATTACAGGCGTATGCCACCATGCCCCGCTAATTTTTGTATTTTTAGTAGAGATGGGGTTTCATCATCTTGGCCTGGCTGGTCTTGAACTCCTGACCTCGTGATCCACCCACCTCGGCCTCCCAAAGTGCTAGGATTACAGGTGTCAGCCACCACACCCAGCTGGAAACCTATATATTAAATAATATTAGGAGAAAAGCAGAACAGATAATTTACTCTCTACAACAACATTTTTTTTTTCTTTTGAGGAGACAGAGTCTCGCTCTATGGCCCAGGCTGGAGTGCAGTGGCACAATCTCGGCCCACTGCAACCTCCACCTCCCGGGTTCAAGCAATTCTCTGCCTCAGCCTCCCGAGTAGCTGGGATTACAGGCGCCTACCACAATGCCCAGATAATTGTTGTATTTTTAGTAGAGACGGAGTTTCACCATCTTGGCCAGGCTGGTCTTAAACTCCTGCCCTCATGATCCACCCGCCTTGGCCTCCCAAAGTGCTGGGATTATAGGTGTGAGCCACCACGCCCAGCCAACAATAACATTTTATATAGACAAAGACACAAAACCAATTGGTGTGATATAAAATGTCAATGCTTAAGTTACAATTTTCTATAAAAGTGCCTAAGTTACTTAATAATCCAAATAAACTGTATTATAAGCAAAGACTCACCTTAACATTGATGTAAATTATCTTAAATAATGCACTTTGTTGGAAACAGATTCATTTATTTATAGTTACTAATTTATTTACAGAATCATAGTGGTTCACAAAACTTAAAACCTGAAAATCATCTCTTTACCTGGTTATGATAAGCCGATCCAAATTGATTCTCTGTTGCTTCGCAATCCATGCTGTACGATACAACTTTTCAGCTGTCTTAAGTACATCTGCATTGAGCCTCTGAATGAGCTGTTTCTCAGAGTTTACATATAAGCGTTCCTGCTTGAGGTGATGAGCCAGAGTATGAATATCTAGTTTCACCATCTTCAATGTGGGAAAGGCTCAAAGGCTGATCACTAAGAGTAAAAAGATAAAGATTTAAAGTTTATGTATGTCACTTAAGTTCTTTTCTAAAATCAAAAGGGACAGGAGAATACTTTAAGAATTCAGTTACATTTGGGCAGGCGCGGTGGCTCATGCCTATAATCCCAGCACTTTGGGAGGCCAAGGCGGGCGGATTACAAGATCAAGAGATCGAGACCACCCTGGCCAACATGGTGAAACCCCTGTCTCTACTAAAACACAAAAAATTAGCCAGGTGCGGTGGGGCGCGCCTGTAGTCCCGGCTACTCAGAAGGCTGAGGCAGGGGGATTCCTTGAACCCGGGAGACAGAGGTTGCAGTGAGCTGAGATTGCATCACTGCACCCCAGCCTGATAACAGAGCAAGAATCGTTCTCAAAAAAAAAAAAAAAAAAAAAAAAAATTAGGTTACATTTGATGCCACTTTTAACTCTAATTTTCAAATAATCTCTATCTTTTTATTACAGAAGTATTACAGGTTCAGCATAGAAAAATTGGTAAATACAGATAAGCAAAAAGAAAAAAAAGCTCACTGCTAAGGCCACCGCTTAGAGACAGGTGCTGTAAACCCTGTGTATATCCTCAAATACAATGTCTATTTGTTAACCCCAGAGTTATCCTTGACTGTGCTCTTTCTAATCACAATCAAAATATCCTGTTGATTCTATCTTCAAAATATATTTAAAATCTGACTACTTATTCCCCCCTCCATTGCTAATCACATCAATTCTCACTAGGAGGTGCATAATCACCACATCCTAAGTGATCTCGCTGCTTCCTTTCTTGTACTTCTAGAGTCTGTTCTCTACATAGCATAGTGAATTAAAAAGTCAGATCACAGCCGGGCGCGGTGGCTCACGCATGTAATCCCAGCACTTTGGGAGGCCAAGGCAGGTGGATCACCTGAGGTCAGGAGTTCGAGACCAGCCTGGTTAACATGATGAAACCCCGTTTCTACTAAAAATACAAAAATTAGTTGGGTGTGGTGGTGTACACCTGTAGTCCTAGCTACTCGGGAGGCTGAGGCAGGAGAATTGTTTGAACCTGGTAGGCGGAGGTTGCAGTGAGGTGAGATCATGCCACTGCACTCCAGCCTGGGCAATAGAGTGAGACTCTATCTCAAAAAACAAAACAAAACAAAACTTAAGTCAGATCACTTCATTCCCCTACTGGAAACCATCCACAGGCTTTATTTCATGATAGAATGAAATCTGAAGGTCCTATATGATCTACCCCTGGCTACTTCTCCAATTTCCTCTCCTACAATCCCACCCTAGTTCACACAGCTCCAGAACATCTGCCTTCTTGCTGTTCCTTGAACAGGCCAAGCATGTCCCTCTCTCAAAGTGTCCACATTTGCTGACCTCTCTGTCTGGAAGGTTATCCAGTATCTTCATTCCATTCAGATCTCTCCACTCAAACGTGTATTTAGAAAGGCCTTCTCAGACAACTCCTTCTAAAATAGAAAATATAACTTCCTAATCCCTCTTCTGGCCTTTTAAAAAAGCACTGCCCCTATCTAGCATTATATTACAGATATCTACCTGCATGTTAATCGTGCTTATTGTGAGGCTTCCCCACTAGAAGGTAAGTGACAGCAGGGCCAAGCCTTGTTTGCTTTGTTCATTCACAGCTGTAATTTCAGGGACTAGGAGACGGCCTAGTTCACAGCAGGAGTTGAATAAATATTTGCCAAAGGAATAAATGAAATCTCACTACTCTTATTTATCTAGCAGCTAAACAAACTGATACAAATAGCACACATATTTTAAAGCATTATTATTTAAGCTATGCCCTTGAATCTAGAATTTGTGCCAGATCACAAATGTTAAATCAACAACAGAAATACCTGTGGCACAGATAACAAAACATAATATTGTGTGTCTGGGCAGCAGACAGTCATCAAGTTAGCAAAAAATTTCTTGGGTTGGGCACGGTGGCTCACACCTGTAATCCTAGCACTCTGGGAGGCCAAGGCAGGTGGCTCACTTGAGGTCAGGAGTTTGAGACCAGCCTGGCCAACATGGTGAGACCCTGTCTCTACTAAAAATACAAAAATTCACCAGGCGTGGTGGCAGGTGGCTGCAATCCCAGCTACTCAGGAGGCTGAGACAGGAGAAACTTGAACCCAGGAGGCAGAGGTTGCAGTGAGCTGAAATCGCACCACTGCACTCCAGCATGGGCAACAGAACGAGACTGTCTCCAAAAAAATAGGAGAAAAAAAAAAAAAAGGCCAGGCACAGTGGCTCACACCTGTAATCCCAGCACTTTGGGAGGCCAAGGCAAGGGGATCACCTGAGATCAGGAGTTCAAGACCAGCCTGACCATCATGGAGAAACCTGGTCTCTACCAAAAACACAAAATTAGCCGGGCATGGTGGCACATGCCTGTAATCCCAGTTACTCAGGAGACTGAGGCAAGAGCATTGCTTGAACCCAGGAGGCAGAGGTTGCAGTGAGCTGAGATCGCGCCACTGCACTCCAGTCTGGTGACAGAGTAAGACTCCATCTCAAAAAAAAAAAAAAACCTAAGAACTATATGTGGCCGGGTGTGGTGGCTCACACCTGTAATCCCAGCACTTTGGGAGGCTGAGGCAGAGAATTGCTTGAACCCGGGAGGTGGAGGTTGCAGTGGGCCGAGATTGTGCCACTGCACTCCAGCCTGGGCAACAAAGCAAGACTCTCTCTCAAAAAAAAAAAAAAAGGAAGAAAGAAAGAAAGTGTTAGGATGTCTGCAACTTGTACATGGTTCAGCAAAAACATTAAGAGAATTTTTTTAAATATAGCTAAATATAAACTGTTGAACTGAGGTGGTAGGTATATAATGATCGCTGTGCTATCTTTCAATGGTTTTTGTATGTTAGAAATTTTTCATAATTAAAAAATGGGGTAAAATACTTTAGAAATTCTCAAACTGTGCCTTTCTTGCTGCTTAATTCAATGTAATTGAACAAATATATGACTGAGTTTCGCTGGAGCCTAGCCAAATCGCCTAATCTCAAGGAGCTCACAACCTAATTACAATTGAAATATTGTTCAAGATAGAAAGAGAACATAAAATGTTTTCAATGACACAGCAAAATATGAGCCAATTCATGCAATTTAGAAATTAAAGTCTTCAAACACAACTTTACGTTAAAAAATTAACACATGAGGCTGGGCATGGTGGCTCATACCTGTAATCCCAGCACTTTGGGAGGCTAATGTGGGCGGATCACTTGAGCTCAGGAGTTCAAGATCAGTCTGGCCAACATGGTGAAACCCCGTCTCTACTAAAAATACAAAAACTAGCCGGGTGTGGTGGCGCATACCTGAATGCCAGCTACTTGGGAGGGTCAGATGGGAGGATCGCTTGAACCCGGGAGGCGGAGGTTACAGTGAGCTGAGATCGTGTCACTGCACTCCAGCCTGGGTGACAGAGCCAGACCCTGTCCCAAAAAAAAAAAAAAAAAAAAAGATTGAGGAAAAGGGTTTGATAATTTAAAAAGTATACCAATTTGTTCTGCTTTTCTAAGACACCACTATAATATCAGAGGAGTTCAGGGTCACCAGGAATAGCTTAAATAAAATTTAGACATGAATAACTAAAAGTAGGAAAATTTTTACAATACTGAAGACAACAGAAAAGTACAGACATTAGGAAATAAATCAGTTTGTTTCCTGAAAAGTAACAATAACATGACCATCAAACTAACAATAATAATATTAATATCAAACTAGCATTTATTTAGGAGTTATGCCAAGTACTCTGCTATTCTTTTTCCTAATTGAACTCTTACAACCCTGTGACAGGTGTACTCTCATTATCCTCATTTGACAGTTGAGAAAAGTATTGACATATCTAGTATGTAGCTAAGTCAAGATTCAAACAAACTCAGTTCTGTCTGACTCGAAAGAAGCACTTGCTCTCAATCAACTAATCTAAACATTTTGTCAGTAACATCTACTTTAATTTCTAGTTCTGTTAAAAATTTACTCCTTAAAGTTCCTGTTACCTATTGGTTTTTATAGAACTTTATTTGGCTTCTGATGACATCTACTTCATTTGAGTTTACACCCAAATACCACACAAAACATAGTGTCTCCAGCCCTTATCTCTTGACTGAGCTTAAATTCTTTATTTCCTCTACCTGCAAAACATCTGAATATCAAGACAGAATTTCAGAATTGAAAAGTTTATTAAAAGCCATTTCTCTCAGCACCATAGGAAAGTTTGAAAAAAAAAAAAAAAAACCATTTTAGCTGGGTACGGTGGCTCACGCCTGTAATCCCAGCATTTTGGGAGGCTGAGGCAGGTGGATCACAACGTCTGGAGTTTGAGACCAGCCTGACCAACATGGTGAAACCCCGTCTCTACTAAAAAATTCAAAAATTAGCCGGGCATGGTGACACGCGCCTGTAGTCCCAGCTACTCAGGAGGCTGAGGCAGAAGAATTGCTCAAACCCAAGAGGTGAAGGTTGCAGTGAGCCGAGATCACGCGCTGCACTCCAGCCTGGGCGACAGAGCGAGATTCCGTCTCAAAAAAAAAAAAAAAAAGCCATTTTGGCCGGGCGCAGTGGCTCATGCCTGTAATCCCAGCACTTTGGGAGGTGGAGGCGGGTGGATCACTTGAGATCAGGAGTTCGAGACCAGCCTGACCAACACTGTGAAACCCTGTCTCTACTAAAAATATAAAAATTGGCCAGGCACAGTGGCTCACGCCTGTAATCCCAGCACTTTCAGAGGCCGAGGTGGGCGGATCACGAGGTCAAGAGATTGAGATCACCAACATGGTGAAACCCTATCTCCACTTAAAAACACAAAAATTAGCTGGGCATGGTGGTGCACACCCGTAGTCCCAGCTACTAGGGAGGCTAGGGCAGAAGAATCGCTTGAAGCCAGGAGGCGGAGGTTGCAGTGAGCTGAGACTGTACCACTGCACTCCAGACTGGCAACAGAGTGAGACGCCATCTCAAAAAAACAAAAACAGAAACAAAAACTTATATATATATATATATATATATATATATATATATATATATATATATATATAAAATATATTTTTATATATATATTTTTTTATATTTCATATATAAATATAAAAATTTTTATATATTTTATTTTATATTATATATAATATAAAAATGTATATATTTTATAAAAACATAAAATATATATTTATATAAAATATAAAAATATATATTTAATATAAATATATAATATATATATTTTTATATTATATATATAATATATATATTTTTATATTATATATATATAATATATATAAAATTAGCTGGGCATGGTGGCAGCTGCCTGTCATCCCAGCTACTCGGGAGGCTGAAGCAGAAGAATCGCTTGAACCCGGGTGGCAGAGGTTAGAGTCAACTGAGATCACACCAATGCACTCCAGCCTGGCCAACAAGCAAAACTCTATCTCAAAAAAAAAAAAAGCCATTTCTCTACTTTAATTCAGCAATTATTTCTGAAATGTATTCACTGTGCCAGGCACTGACAATACAGAACAAAACAGACACAATCTCTGTCCTCATAAAGCTTAGTCAACTGTGAAGCTAAGAACAAGGAAATTACAAGTCACTACAGGTATGATGAAAGGAGACCTAAGAGTCCAATCACCCAAGATTCAAACATATCCTAGAGCATAGCAATCTCCCTTCTAAAACCAGCAACTCTTTCAGACTTTTCTATTTCTGTCATGGCACAAACAGGTTCCTAGACTCCAAACTCAGGAACCATCCTCTCCTCAGCAAGGTCTGTCACCAAGTTCTACTCTCACATTGGTCCTTTCCTTTTGAATTGTTCTGCAAATAACCAAATTCCATATCATAAATCCATGACAACTGGAAAAATTTCCTAACATGTTCCTATACTTCAAGTTTCTTCTCTCTCCAACCTACCCTACACTGTCAGATTGGTATTTCCAAAGCAACAGTTAATATAATCCTTCCCAATCCCTCCAGAATTCCTTTTGAAAGCCATTAATGATTTCCCAATAGTGCCAGAATATATTAAAACATCTGCAGAAGTCAGGAGAGCCTGTGTGCTCAATTAAGACTCCCCTTAATTAATACTCCATACTTCCAGTATCAGAAGCCAAATGGAAGCCCCAGAAAATCCTGCATGTATTTGGCAAGAAGATCTTCTCCTCTCCATTCCCTCAGCCCTTACTGCCAACCCCATCAAAATCTACCCTGGACCAGCCGGGCGTGGTGGTTCACGCCTGTAATCCTAGCACTTTGGGAGGCCAAGGCAGGCAGATCACTTGAGGTCAGGAGTTCAAGACCTGCCTGGCCAACATGGTGAAATCCCTCTAGTAAAAATACAAAAATTAGCCGGGCTTGGTGGTGCACACCTGTAATCCCAGCTACTCAGGAGGCTGAGGCAAGAAAATCACTTGAACCCGAGAGGCAGAGGTTGCAGTGAGCTGAGATCACAACACTGCACTCCAGCCTGGGTGACAGGGCAAGAGTGTCTAAAAAAAAAAAAATCTACCCTGGACCACCAAGTCTTAGTTTAGTCTGCCCTTTATTTCTGTTCATGTCAATCATAATAAAGTCAGAACTTCCAGGTCATCCTTTATCCTGCAAAACCAAATCTCTAAACAGCTTTGTGTTTCTTTTGTTGTTGTTGTCTTATGGTTTTGTTTTGTTTGCTGAGACAGGGTCTTGCTGTCATCCAAGCGGAGTGCAGTGGCGGTATCATGGCTCACTGCAGCCTCTATCTCCCAGACTCAAGCAATCCTCTCACCTCCGCCTCCCGAGTAGCTGTAGTTATATGACACTACAGCCAGCTAATTTTTAAAATTTGCTTTTTGTGGAGACAGAGTCTCACCATGTTGCTCAGGTCTCAAACTCTTGGGCTCAAGCAATCCTCCCACCTCAGCCTCCTAAAGTGCTGGGATAACAGGTGTGAGTCACCGTGCCTGGCACCTGGATAGCTTTGTACATCACCTCTTCCTATCTCACCTCCTGCTCCTCCTTACCTCTTCAATCCTTTTCACAGTGGCTCCTGGAACACAAGTTCAATTATCAGAAAATCTGTAACTTGAACCTTTTCTGGAGAGGTTCTCTTTACCTTCCTGCCTTAACTAAAATCTGGCTTTCCCATGGGAACATGGCTTCCTCTATAGACCTCTTAGGTAAGGCTGTTTTCTCTCCCATATCCTTCACACTATGGGTCCACTTTCACACCACTCTTCCTCCCTCCACCATTAAAAACCCCAGCTTTGAATCTCATTTCATTAAACCATACCACCTATCATCCTCCCTCTCTTGCAGGCACATACTACAGTCTTTTCTTACTTCTCCAACACCACACAACTCCAACAATCATATGACCCCACAACAAGACTTTCAAGCCATTGATCTTACCACCTTTTTAACTAACCTTCACCTGCTTCCTGTTTTTGCTTCCCTCCTTACCTAGCTAGTGTAAATCCCATGGCCAATCATTATAATCACTTCCTTGAATGCACCCTCAACCTGCCCTCCTCACTAGACTAAACCGCAATCCCAGTTAAATCAAATGTTCTGCCTCATCCACACATGTAGCTGGGGAAACACACACACATGACAACGCTAGTATCCTTTTTTTTCTTCCCTTAGATAAGGTCTTTCTCTGATGCCCACACTGGAGTGCAGTGGCATGATCACAGCACTGTAGCCACAACCTCCCAGGCTCAAGCAATCCTCCCTCCTCAGCCTCCTGAGTAGCTGGGACTACAGGTGTGTGCCATCACACCCAGCTATCTTCTTCTATTTTTCTTGAGAGATGAGGTCTCCCTATGTTGCCTAGGCTGGTCCCAAACTCCTGGGCTCAAGTGAGCCTCTTGCCTTGGCCTCCCAAAGTTCTGGGATGAAGCCATTATGCCCAGTCTTTTTTTTTTTTTTTTTTACTTTGAGACAGGGTCTTGCTGTTGCCCAGGCTGGAGTGTAGTAATGT
The DNA here is from genome assembly GCF_000001405.40 of Homo sapiens. Classification (NCBI taxonomy): domain Eukaryota; kingdom Metazoa; phylum Chordata; class Mammalia; order Primates; family Hominidae; genus Homo; species Homo sapiens. The sequence goes on along the minus strand of NC_000009.12, from coordinate 125,290,946 downwards.
GATCACGGCTCAATGCAGCCTTGACCTCCCCAGCTCAAGCAATCCTTCTACCTCAGCATCCAGAGGCTGGGACCACAGGCATGCACCACCACATCCAGCTAAATTTTTATTTTGTAGAGATGGGGTCTGATTGTGTTACCTAGGCTGGTCTCAAACTCCTGGGCTCAAGTGATATTCCTGGCTTTGGCTGGGATTACAAGTGTGAGCCACCATGTCTGGCTATTATCACTTTAACCCCATTATCACAAACCCTAGATGGACGCTTACTGTTGTGACACATGCACACTGTATTTTCCCAATCCATCCCCCACTGTCCCACTCTCCAAGGCAGCTAATTCATATCATTTCCTCTTCTCAAACTTCCAACACCTCTTCCCTTATCCTTATTCGGCTCCGCGCTTTTGTCTTCATTGAGAAAAATGAAGCAATGAGAAAGAGACTTTCCACAAGCTCACAGTATCATACTTACATTGACTTATCTACATCTATGCTCTTTCTACTTGCTTTTACTTTGAATGAACTGCTTTTCTACTGGTCATTGCCAATCCTCACTTGAACACTGGCTTCCTCCCTTCATATTTACTTAAAAGCAATGCTAAAGAAATCCAGCCACCCTTTCCCCACGTTCATATTTTTCTCTCTACTGGATCATTTTCACCAACATATAGACTTGCTGTCATTTTTCATCTTATACAAAAAGAAATCTCTCTACTTCACTTTCCCCTCTCAGCTTCCATACCATTTTTTCTCCTTCCCTTTACAACAAAACTCTTTCAAAGAGGTGTCTTGCCTCTCATCCACTCCTAAACCCGCACTCATCAGTTTTGCTCCACTACTCAAAACTACTAGTGTTCAACAATAAACATGCTACTAAATCCATGGTAAATATCATTCCTCCTCTTCCTGACCTAACAGAAGCATTTGAGATGGTTGACCTCTCTCCTCTTTAAGAAACTTTCTTTGACTTCTAGGACACCCACATTCTCATGGGTTTGCTCCTGTCCTTCTCCACTCAGTCTATCTCCTTTGTTAGTTCCCTTATCTCCCTGATTTTGAAACACTGGATAAATTACCCCAAGGCTCAATCTTCAGACCTTTTTCTTTTCTAACTAAACTCACTTCCTAGGCAATCTCATTCAGTCTCAATCATTTTTAAGTACCATCAAAGTGATAACAGTTCCCAAATTAATATCTCCAGTCTGTCCCTTTCCCCTGAATGCCAAATCCATATATGCAACTGCCTAGTCAACATCTCCCTTGGGTTGTCTAATACGCATCTCAAAATTAAAACATGTCCAAAACTGACCTCATCTTCCCCTAAAAAACACCTGCTTCCCTCCCCACAAAAAGACGGCCTTTCCCATCTCAATCAATGGCAATTCCATCCTTCCAACTGCTCAGGCCAAAAACTCTATCATTCTTGACTCCCTTCTTTCTCGTAAATCCTATACCCAATCCATATCAAATCCTGATGTGTATCTTCAAAACACATCCAGAATCTATCTACTTCTCAACACTTTTACTGCTACCATCCTGTCCCAAAGCACCACATATCTCACCTGGATTACTGCAATAGTTTCCTAACTAACTATGCTTCAGTCTTTGCTCCTAGTCTACTATGAACACAGCAGCCAGAGTAAGCCTGTAAAGCATGAGTCAAATCATAGGGCTCCCGTGTTCAAAATCCTGCAAATGTTCATCTCAGCTCTCCATTATCTGCTCCTCACCACCTTACCTCTCCTACCTCACCTCCTATTACCAGGAGACCATATAATTCATCACTCAATATCTGGACTCTATTGGGAGTAAAAGTAGGCAGTATCAATAATTTCAAGACAACAGACATAAACAAGAACATATAGTCACTCTATTACTCTCTCCCTCATTCATTCTGCTCCAGCCGTATTGTCAGACGTGCCAGACACACTTCTACCTTAGTACCTTTGCACTTGCTCACCATCCCAGACCTCTTACTTCCTTTAGGTCTTTACCAAAGTATCATGTTCTTCAGTGAGTTTGGCCACCCTATGTAAGATTTCAGCCTCTACTATGCCACACACTTTCCCTGCATTGTTTTTTCTCCTTAGCACTGAGCATACTATACATTTTACTTATTTATCTCATGTATTGACCATCTCTGTAAGAAAATCTGAACTCCATAAGAAAAGAGATTTTTGCCTAATTGGTTCCCTTGCAGTCATCACTGACCATAAGAGAGCCTGGCACATCACAAGACTTCAGTATGTACTTGCTAAATGAATGTAAGAATGGGCCGGGCCTGGTGGCTCACGCTTGTAATCCCAGCACTTTGGGAAGTTGAGGCGGGAGGATCATGTGAGCCCAAGAATTCAAGACCACCCTGGGGAACATAGTGAGACCTCTGTCTCTTAAAAAAATGAAAAGGAGGTATTTCAATGACATATTCTTATTAGAGGCTTCAAAACAAAAGGTAGAAATAACACAGAACAAGGATGTAGTCCTTTGGTGGATGGGAAAAGAAGATGTGAACAATATAAATTGTCATTAAATATTAACAAGGCCGGGTGCAGTGGCTCAAGCCTGTAATCCCAGCACTTTGGGAGGCTGAGGCGGGTGGATCATGAAGTCAGGAGTTTGAGACCAGCCTGACCAGCATTGTGAAACCCCATCTCTACTAACAATACAAAAATGAGCCAGGTGTGGTGGTGCGCGCCTATAAATCCAGTTACTCAGGAGGCTGAGGCAGGAGAATCGCTTGAACCCAGGAAGAGGAGGTTGCAGTGAGCCGAGATCGCGCCACTGCACTCCAGCCTGGGCGACAGAGTGAGACTCCGTCTCAAAAAAAAAAAAAAAAATTAACTAAAATAAACACACTGCACCAAAAACATTAAAAACAACATCTGGAAGTTTCATATAAGACTTAAAGTAGGCCAGAAACGGTGGCTCACACATGTAATTCCAGCATTTTGGGAGGCCAAGACAGGCGGATCACTTGAGGTCAGGAGTTCGAGACCAGCCTCGTCAACATGGTGAAACCCGTCTCTACTAAAAATACAAAAACTAGCTGGACATGGTGGCACATACCTGTAATCCCAGCTACTCAAGAGGCTGAGGCAGGAGAATTGTTTGAACCTGGGAGGCAGAGGTTGCAGTGAGCCGTGATCACACCAATGCACTCCAGCCTAGGTGACAGAGCAAGACTCCATCTCAAAAGATATAAAATAAAATAAAATAAGTAAATAAATAAGTGACTTAAAGTAGGAATAAAGGTACAAAGTTGCTCACAATTTTCAGTTATTCTTTACCCCTCAGAGATAATTTCCAAACTCCTTGGTTTAATATTCAAAGCACAATCTTGCTTCAATCCACCCCTCCAATCCTAATTTATGCTATTTCCCTACATAAACTTTCCTGCTCCTGCCAAACTGGCCTTCCCATTTTTCTTTTATTTTTTATTTTTGAGACAAGGTCTTGCTCTGTCGCCAGGCTGGCTGGAGTGCAGCGGCACCATCATGGCTCTGTGCCTCCCCAGCTCAAGCAATCCTCCCTCTACAGGCATGCACCACCATGCCCAGCTAATTTTTGCATTTTTTGTAGAGACAAAGTTTAGCCATGTTGTAGAAGCTGGTCTCAAACTCCTGAGCTCAAGTGATCCACCTGCCTTTGCCTCCCAAAATGCTAGGATTACAGGCATGAGCCACTGCGCCCGGCCCATTTTTACTTTGAGTTCATCGTCATGTTTCTATATTTATATCTGGCCCCCTCTCATGCAGATGTTCCAATTTCCAAGACCAGACTCAATAAAACCTTCCTTTCCAACCATACAGTATGCACATGGCAATAAATCTCAACTCTGAACTCCTGACACACTGATTTTTTTTTTGAAATGGAGTTTCACTTTTGTTGCCCAGACTGGAGTGCAATGGCACAATCTCAGCTCACTGCAACTTCTGCCTCCTGGGTTCAAGCGATTGTCCTGCCTCAGCCTCCCGAGTAGCTAGGATTACAGGCACCCCCGACCACGTCCAGCTAATTTTTGTATTTTTAGTAGAGACGGGGTTTTGCCACGTTGGCCAGGCTGGTCTCAAACTCATGACCTCAGGTGATTCACCCACCTCAGCCTCCCAAAGTGCTAGGATTACAGGCGTGAGCCACCGAGCCCGGTGAAACTTTTGATACCACCAATTTGAAACCATTTTTTGTACTTTCATCTTTAATGTCTATATCCTGTCTTTCCGTGTCCTCAAAGGCATAGGGCATCTCTTAGGCCTATGTATCCCCAGCCCCCAAACCATGGCCAAACATAAGCAGCTCTCAATATTTTATCTTTGCTAATATTTGCATTGTCACCAGTTGCTCTATGAATAAGAACATAAGTAAAATCAAAGAATTTTTAAATTAACATTAGGCATACCTAAAATAACAAATATAATTTTTTCCTGAAATTCACGAGCAGTTTCTAAGTTAGTTTCTCTGTAGTAAAAAAAAAAAACTAGACTTTGAAAACCTGTAAGGTCAAGAGCTGGCCAGGAGTGGTGGTTCATGCCTGTAATTCCAGCACTTTGGGAAGCCAAGGCAGGCAGATTGCTTAAGCCCAAGAGTTTAAGATCAGCCTAGGCAACATGGCAAAACTCCATCTCTATCAAAAAATAAATAAAAAACAAAGAAAACAACAACAATAAAAAAATTTGCTGGGCATGGTGGCGCACAGCTGTTATCTCAGCTGCTTGGGAGGCTGAAGTGGAAGGATTGATTGAGCCCAGGAGGCAGACGTTGCAGTGAGCTATAATTGCGCCACTGCACTCCAGCCTGGGTGACAGAGCAAGGTCCATCTCAAAACACGTATATTAATATATATATGGCCAGGTGAAGTGGCTCACATCTATGGACCCGGCACTTTGGCAGGCCAAAGCAGGTGGATCACTTGAGCCCAGGATTTTGAGACCAGCCTGGGAAACATGGCAAAACCCTGTCTCTACAGAGAACACGAAAATTATCTGAGTGTGATCGCGCATGCCTGTAGTCTCAGCTACTCAGGAGGCTGAAGTAGGAGGATCACTTGAGCAGGGAGGTCAATGCTGCAGTAAGCCAAGACTGAGCCACTGCACTCCAGCCTGACCAACAGAATGAGACCCTGTCTCAAAAAATAAATAAAATAAAATAAGTTCAACAGCATTACCATATTTTCTATAAAAACGAAACAGATGGGCCAGGTGCAGTGGCTCACACCTGTAATCCCAGCACTTTGGGAGGCCGAGGCAGGTGGATCACCTGAGGTCAGGAGTTTGAGACCAGCCTGGCCAACATGGCAAAACACCATCTCTAACCAAAAATAGAAAAATTAGCCGGGTGTGGTGGCGGATGCCTGTAATCCCAGCTATTCGGGAGGCTGAGGCAAGAGAACCACTTGAACCCAGAAGGCAGGAGAATCACTTGAACCCGAGATCGGGCCACTACACTCCAGCTTGGACAACAGAGGAAGACTCTACCTCAAAAAAAAAAAAAAAAAAAAAACAAAGAAAAAAGAAATAGATTATGCCCATGCATATTAATCAGATTTTGAGAAGTTCAAGTTTTTCAACTCATGTTTTAACACTTATCACTGAGAGCACAGTAAGGAGATTTTAGTGGCAAGAGTGAAGCACACTGGATTTCTATATCTTTCCATAATGGTATAGAGGAGGGGCCAGCAAAATATGACTTTCAGGTCATATTTAGCCTGCTGCCTGTTTGTATAAATAAAAGTTGTATTGGAATGAAGCCATACTCACTTGTTTATATATTATCTATGGCTGGTTTCATGCCACAATGGCAGAGCTGAATAGTTGCCAGAGTCCTCCACAGTCCATGTGGCCCACAAGTCCAAAATATCTGCTATCTAGCCCTTCACAGAAAAACTCTGCCAACCCCTGATAAGCAAGCATATCTACTCTAACGCAAAGCACAGAGAGGAGGCACTGTCCGATAAGGTGAAATTTATGAATTACAAAATACAGTCATGCGCCACATAAAGACCTTTCAGTCAACCATGGTGAAACTCCAGTGGGCCCATGAGATTATAATGGAGCTTTTATACAATATTCTTACTGTACTATTTTTCTTGTTTAGATACACAAACACTTACTATTATGTTATAATTGCCTAGAGTATTCAGTACAGTAACATGCTATACAGGTTTGTAGCCCAGAAGAAAATAGGCTATGCCATATAGCTTAGGAGAGTAGGGGACTATGCCACCTAAGTTTGTGTAAACACACTCTATAATGTTTACACAATGACACTGCCTAATGACACATTTCTCAGAATGTATCCCTCTCATTAAGGACCCATGACTGCACATTAAAATTCTGAAGGAGGCCAGAGGTGTGGTGTCTCAAGCCTGTCAGTCAGTGCTTTGGGAGGCTGAGGAGGGAGGATCACTTGAGGCCAGGAGTTCGAGAACAGCCTGGGCAACATAACGAGACCCTGTCTCTTTAAAAAAAAAAAAAGTTGCCAGGCGCGGTGGCTCACGCCTGTAATCCCAGCACTTTGGGAAGCCGAGGTGAGCGGATCATGAGGTCAGGAGATCGAGACCACCCTGGCCAGCATGGTGAAATCCCATCTCTACTAAAAATACAAAAAATTAGCTGGGCATGGTGGTGTGCACCACCAGCTACTCAGGAGGTTAAGGCAGGAGAACTGCTTGAACCTGGGAGGTGGAAGTTCCAGCAAGCTGAGATCGCACCACTGCACTTCGGCCTGGGTGTCAAGAGTGAGTCTCCATCTCAAAAAAAAAAAAAAAAAAAAAGTTCTGGCGGGGCTCAGTGACTCACGCCTGTAATCCCAGCACTTTGGGAGGCCAAGGCGGGTGGATCACTTGAGGTCAGGAGTTCAAGACCAGCCTGGCCAACATGGCAAAACCCCATCTCTACTAAAAATTCAAAAAAATTAGCCAGGCATGGTGGCACGTACCTGTAGTCCTGGCTACTTGGGAAGCCTGACGCAGGAGAATCACTTGAACCCGGGAGGCAGAGGCTGCAGTGAGCTGAGATCATGCCACTGCACTCCAGCCTGGGTGACAGAGCGAGACTCCATATCAAAAAAAGAAAAAAAAAAGTTTCAAGGAAAATACATATATTACAAATGTTAACAACTATATCTAAATGAACTCCTCTGACTAAAGAGAAGGTCTCTAAGGTAGGAAAAAAAATATTTCCAACTTTTTATGGGATAAGAATCACATTTCAAGTTTTTGCTATTGAGAATTTCTAATTAATGGTATCCCAAATTAATGATATGTATCTAGCAATTCAAAACTCAAAGTAAGGCCAGGTGTGGTGTCTCAGACCTATAATCCCAACACTTCAGGAGGCCAAGGTGAGAGGACCACTTGAGCCCAGGAGTTTGGGACCAGCCTGGTCAATACAGGGAGACCCCATCTCTACAAATAATAATAATAATAAATAGCCAGGTGGAGGGATGTACGCCTGTGGTGTCAGCTATTCCAGAGGCTGAAGGCAGAGGATCACTTGAGCCGGGGATGTCAAGGCTGCAGTGAGCCAAGACTGCGCCACACTGCACTTCAGCCTGGGCAACACAGCACGACCCTGTCTAAAAAATAAAAATAATAAGCTGGGTGCGGTGGCTCACACCTGTAATCCCAGCACTTTGGGAGGCCGAGGTGGATGGATCATCTGAGGTCAGGAGTTCGAGACCAGCCTGACCAACATGGTGAAACCCAGTCTCGACTAAAAATACAAAATTAGCTGGGTGTGGTGGTGCATGCCTGTAATCCCAGCTACTCAGAAGGCTGAGGCAGGAGAATTGCTTGAACCTGGGAGGCGGAGGCTGTGGTGAGCCAAGATCACGCCATTGCACTCCAGCCTGGGCGACAGAGCAAAACTCCCTCTCAAACATAAATAAATAAATAAATAAATAAATAAATAAATAAATAAATAAAAATAAAAATAAACTTTAAGTAACAGCTAGAATTCAGGTAAACAAATGAATCACCTCTTTATTAACCCAATAATTTCAGAAATAATGTTGTTAGAAAGTCATTAAAAAAAGACCATTTCCTACTTTCTTAATTTCTACAAAGACTATTTTAATTAACATAGGCGAAAGAATACTAAAACTGGAATCAGAAGATCTGATGAATTTAAGACTGAACTCTGACACCTATTGGCAACGTGACTTGTGGCTAGGCACTTCACCAAAGTTTATTTCCTCATCTTCAAAATTGGGATGATGCCCTTATCTATCTCAGATGGTATACTGTAAGATAACTAAAGTATAAATTGCTGCAGAGTGTAGGATATCATTATTCTTATCAATTAAAAGGTAGGGTAACTTTTTATCATTTCCTAGGGGCAATGAGACAAGACGCCATATCCATCACATAACAAAATTGACCAAAATGACCTTTTCATCAAAGTAAGTGGGAAATATCAAAGTCGTAACTAAAGAGGTAAAACAGACTACCTGCTAACATTATGAAACCTACATGTGTAAAAGACTTAACTAAAAGTAAAAGTAAAAGCCGACTATCAGGCCAGGAGTGGTGGCTCATGCTTGTAATCCCACCACTTTGGGACGCCAAGGCAGGTGGATTGCTTGAGGCCAGGAGTTCAAGACCAGCCTGACCAACATGGTGAAACCCCGTTTTTACTAAAAATAAAAATTAAAACTTTTTATTTATTTTATTTTTTGAGACGGAGTCTCGCTCTGTTGCCAGGCTGGAGTGCAGTGGCGTGATCTCAGCTCACTGCAACCTCCGCCTCCTGGGTTCAAGTGATTCTCCTGCCTCAGCCTCCCGAGTAGCTGGGACTACAGGCATACGCCACTATGCCCAGCTAATTTTTGTATTTTTGGTAGAGACGGGGTTTCACCACGTTGGCCAGGATGGTCTCAATCTCTTGATCTTGTGATCCGCCCACCTTGGCGTTCCAAAGTGTTGGGATTACAGGCATGAGCCACTAAAATTAAAATTTTTTAAAAATTAGCCAGGTGTAGCGGCAGGTGCCTATTGTAATCCCAGCTACTTGGGAGGCTGAGGCAGAAGAATCGCTTGAACCAGCGAGGAGGCAGAGATTGCAGTGAGCCCAGATCCCACCACTGTATTCCAGCCTGGGTGACAGAGCGAGACTCCATCAAAAAAAAAAAGCCAATTATCTTTAAGAGCATTATGAGTAATATAGTGTGCTTCATCCACACACATACATTAATGTATCTAATTCAAGACAATCTAATTAAAAATTACACAATAACATCTAAATGTAATATAGTATGCTGAATGGGATCCTGAACAGAAAAAGGACACTAGGTAAAAACTGAGGAAATTGGAACAAAGTATGAACCTTATTTAATGATAATGTATCAATATTAGTTCACAATATTGTAACAAACTGTCATAATTGAAACAAATGTACTATGCTAATATAAGATGTTAATAATATGAAGAATTGATCTTGATGCTGTCTCTGTACCATCATCTCAATTTTTCTGTAAAGCTAAAATTGATCTAAAAAATAAACTCTAGGTTGGGCACAGTGGCTCCCACCTGTGATCCCAGCACTTTGGGAGGCTGAGGCAGGAGGACTGCTTGAGGTCAGGAGTTCATAACCAGCCTGAACAATATAGCAAGACTGTTCTCTACAAAAATAAAAAAAATTTAAGTCTACCTTTTAAATTAAACAAATAATATACTTCTAAATTCAAGTATCTGAGTTAGCAACTTTTTTCAGTAAAAAAAATTATACAAACTTGAGAGCAGTATTCGAACACTGTAATTATCACAATCTCTAACCACCACGGCCTAGAAAAGGGAACGGCTCCCATATGACATTCCAGAACCCATTAACATCTGTTAACACATTATGGTGTTTATCACACTAAAAATATTTTTTCTTTCAGTTCACTGTGATCACAAATGAAACACAGAAACTTCATGAAACAAAATTTCCATAGCTATATTACATTTGCACTAATTTCTGATCAATCGAAGCAAAGGAAATATATTTTCCAGCCAGAATAGTTTAAGAAAAGCTACTTTTTATATTGACTTCCACCTAATAGCAAATCTTTTTTTAGGTTATTAGAAGTAGTAACAGTTGGCTGGGCACGTTGACTCACGCCTGTAATCCCAGCACTTTGGAAGGCCGAGACAGGCGGATCACAAGGTCAGGAGATTGACACCATCCTGGCTAACACAGTGAAACCCCATCTCTACTAAAAATACAAAAAATTAGCTGGGCGTGGTGGCAGGCGCATGTAATCCCAGTCACTCGAGAGGCTGAGGTGGGAGAATGGCGTGAACCCAGGAGGCGGAGTTTGCAGTGAGCCAAGATTGCGCCACTGCACTCCAGTCTGGACAACACAGTGAGACTCTGACTCAAAAAAAAAAAAAAAAAAGTAGTAGTAACAGTTGAGCTTGAAGAGTTTTAACTGATCAGCAGTAAAGAATAAGGGTGCTTAGGAAATAAAAACAGTAATAACTACCACACATTTCAGGCCTGCCAGGTGCTAGACACCAACTACGGGCTTTTCATGGATGGTCTCATTTATTCTTTTTTTTTTTTTTTTTTTTTTTTGAGATGGACTTTTGCTCTTGTTGCCCAAGCTGGAGCGCAATGGCGCAATCTCGGCTCACCACAACCTCCGCCTCCTGGGTTCAAGCGATTCTCCTGCCTCAGCCTCCCAAGTAGCTGGGATTACAGGCATGCACCACCATGCCTGACTGATTTTGTATTTTTAGTGGAGACGGGGTTTCTCCATGTTGGTCAGGCTGGTCTTGAACTCCTGACCTCAGGTGAGCCACCCGCCTTGGAGTCCCAAAGTGCTGGGATTACAGGCGTGAGCCACTGTGCCCGGCTCTTCTCATTTATTCTATATAACATTCCTGAAATAGTTGTAATAACTATGTTTTGGCCAGCGCAGCGGCTCACGCCTGTAATCCCAGCACTTTGGGAGGCCGAGGTTGAGTGGATCACCTGACGTCGGGAGTTCAAGACCAGCCTGGCCAACATGGTGAAACCCCCATCTCTACTAAAAATACAAAAATGAGCCAGGCATGGTGGTGCGTACCTGTAATCCCAACTACTCAGGAGGCTGAGGCAGAAGAATCGCTTGAACTCAGGAAGCATAGGTTGCAGGGAGCCAAGATCTCGCCATTGTACTCCAGCCTGAACATCGCACCAAGACTCCGTATCAAAAAAAAAAAAAAGTCACTGAATAAATAATAGTTCAAATAGTAAGCACATTTGGGAAAAACCATGATGTTATCTGAAGATTATGTATGGGAAAGATTTTTATATACCGATGCCTACACTTTGGCAGAACTATTTTTTTTTATTGTGCACATACTTTTCCTCAGTGTTTTTTTTTTATTTTTGATTTTTAATTTTTTTTTTTTTTTTTGAGATGAAGTCTCACTCTGTCGCCTAGGCTGGAGTACAATGGCACGATCTCGGCTCACTGCAACCTCCGCCTCCTGGGTTCAAGTGATTCTCCTGTCTCAGCCTCCATAGTAGCTGGGATTACAGGCGTGTGCCACCACACCCAGATAATTTTTTTGTATTTTTGTAGAGACAGGGTTTCACCATTTGGCCAGGCTGTTCTCAAACTCCTGACCTCAAGTGATCCACCTGCCTCAGCTTCCCAAGGTGCTGCGATTACAGGCGTGAGCCATTGCGGCCGGCCTTCCTCATAGTATTTATGTAATATTCACATTAATGTAATAGGGCAAAAGAGTACATGACTGTCTTTTTTTTTTTTTTTTAAGATGGAGTCTTGTTCTGTCTCCCAGACGAGTGCAGTGGTGTGATCTCGGCTCACTGCAGCCTCTGCCTCCCAGGTTCCAGTGATTACCCTGCTTCAGCCTCTTGAGTAGCTGGGATTACAGGCACCCACCACCACACCTGGCTAATTTCTGTATTTTCAGTAGATACGGGGTTTCACCATATTGGCCAGGCTGGTCTCAAACTCCTGACCTCAGATGATCTGCCCTCCTGGGCCTCCCAAAGTGCTAGGATTACAGGCATGAGTCACTGTGCCCAGCCATGACTGCCATTTTTAAAATGACCTGCTATAATGTTATCCCTTGCATTTTATCAATCAAATAATTTTAATGTGAGTTTTGTTGTTTTTTTTTTTCCAGACAGCATCTTGCTCTGTCACCCAGGCTGGAGTACTGTGGCATGATAATGGCTCACTGCAGCCTTGATGTCCCAAGCTCAAGCAATCTTCCCACTTCAGCCTCCCAAGCAGCTGGGACTACAAGCATGTACTACCGCATCCAGCTAATGTTTGTATTTTGTGTAGAGATGAGGTTTCACCACATTGCCCAGACTGGTCTCGAACTCCTGAGCTCAAGCAATCTTTCTGCCTCGGCCTCCCAAAGTGCTGGGATTACAGGCATGAACCACCTTGCCTGGCCTAATGTGAACATTTTACTTATTTATTTGTTTTGAGATGGAGTCTCGCTCTGTCGCCCAGGCTGGAGGGTAGTGGCATGATCTTGGCTCACTGCAACCTCCGCCTCCCAGGTTCAAGTGATTCTCCTGCCTCAGCCTCCCGAGTACCTGGGATTACCAGCACCCACTACCACGTCCGGCTAATTTTTGTATTTTTAGTAGAGACAGGGTTTCACCATGTTGGCCAGACTGGTCTCCAACTCCTGGCCTCAGGTGATCCGCCGGACTAGGCCTCCCAAAGTGCTGGGATTACAGCCATAAGCCACCGCACCCAGCCTAATGTGAGCATTTTAAATTATCCACCACTTTTCAGGGACTTAACCAATCCATACAATAGATGAGTGTCTCTTGCAAATATTTTTTACAAATATCATGTTGAATCACGACGATTTATTTACATTTACTTCTCCTTACAGAACTTACTCCCTTCAGTGCAGGAGCAGTTTCTTGCTCATTTTATGTTTTGTGAAATTACATGATCTAAAAATTGTCAGGCATTAATAATATACTAAAATAATGGGTTCATTCTCGTTCCAAAAAATTGACAAGTTCAGGTACAGTGGCTCACGCTTATAATCCCAACACTTCGGGAGGCTGAGGCAGGAGGATCACTTGAGTACAGTAGTTCAAGACCAGCCTGGGCAACATAGTGAGACTCTGTTTCTATAAAAAAATTTAAAAATTAGCTGGGTGTGGCATGCACCTGAAGTCCCAGGTACTTGGGAGGCTGAGGTAGGAGGACTGCTTGAGCCTGGGAGGTCAAGGCTGCAGTAAGCTGTACTCCAGCCTAGGAGACAAAGCAAGACCCTGTCTCAAAAAAAAAAAAAAAACAGACAAGCATAGTATGCTTTACTTAACACACTTCCTTCACTCATTCATTCAACAGATGTTAATTATTAAATACCTCCTATGTGCTAAGCACTGATGAACAAGACAGGCAAGGTCTGATCTTGATGGAGGGCATATTACCTTAGGGATACTGAAGGATACACAATATATTAGGGATACATGACTTTCCAGTGACAATTTCTACTAGTTTTCACAAACTACACTTCTATACATTCTGTTTTTAGAGCCCTGTGTCCACTCCTTTCATTGGCCAGTTAAATCACACTTAGGTATCAGGGTGTAGCTCAAACCAAGTACAGTCCCTTGACTCAGATATTTCCTCATTTGGGTTCATCTCTCCCACAGCACTTTACATTGTCTGCAACAAAATGTTGTTTTTACAACAAAACTCCAAGTTCCCTGAAGTAAGGACATTGTCATGCCGGTATCCCCATTACTTAGCACAGTGACTGGCATTTAGCAGGTGCTGAATGAATGTTTGAATTTATAATTAATTTTAAAAATGACTGACTGATAAAGAGCAATGCTCCAATTAGGAATCAGTCAAGCTGCTACTTAGTTCCAAAATTATTAGAAAACATTATTAGAAAACTGTAATTAAGGCTGGGCATGGTAGCTCACACCTATAATCACAGCACTTTGGGAGGCCAAAGTGGGAGGATCGCCTGAGGCCAGGAATTCAAAAGACCAGCCTGGACAACATAGGGAGACTCCATATTTACGAAAAAAAAATTTAGAAAATTAGCTAGGCGTGGTGGCATGCACCTGTAGTCCTAGGTTCTCAGGAGGCTGATATGAGAACACTGCTTGAGCCCATGAGTTTGAGGCTGCTGTGAGCTATGATGGTCCCACTGCTCTTCATCTCAGGCAAGAGCGAGGCCCTGTCTCAAAACAAAACAAAAAAACCTGCAACTAAATTTAGTTGAAAATATCTTCTCACATTCCAATGAGCATATCTGAAATTTCTTTGTGTGTTTTGAGACAGGGTCTCACTCTGTTCTCCAGGCTAGAGTGCAATGGTGCACTCTCGGCTCACTGCAACCTCCGCCTCCCAGGCTCAAGCAATCCTCCTGCCTCAGCGTACTGAGTAGCTGGGACTACAGGCGTACACCATCACGCTCAGCTAATTTTTGTATTTTTTGTAGAGATGGGGTTTCACCATGTTGCTCAGGCTGGTCTCAAACTCCTGAGCTCAAGTGATCCGCCTGTGTAATCCCAAAGTGCTGGGATTACAGGTGTAACATTTTTATTAAAGACTGGAAAGATATTTCTTCAAAATTAGGCAGTAAATATTAAATGAGAAAAAATTTGAAACAAGTGACATTTTAGTATCTTTAGTCAGTATTATTTGGTTTTTCGTATGTTTTGTTTTGTTTTGAACTCTGGCCTACAGAATAGTTGGTATATTTGAAGCAAGAGTGAAACATTGTAGAAAAAAGAATGGGCTTACTACCAACTAACGCTGCCTGGCACAAGTACAAGGAATTGAAAGGCAAATTACTTTGAAAATACAGGTAATATAATGTCAGATAGTATTCACAGTTCAAATCAACACAACAGACTTCTTGTGACGACAACAGAATTCTGGAAGATGTCAAAAGTAAACGAAATCCAAACAGATTATTGATTTTACCCTCAATACACTAATTTTCCAGAGCTAAAGAAGACAGAATAACTACAAAAATAATTAAACTCATTCGTAATAAATGGTTTGTGGGTTAAGCTCGGATTTTATTATACAACTCAACTGAGACAATATCAATACACATGAATAGCTAATATGCATTACTTAGGAAATACTAATGTTCCATGACTATTCCAATTCAAAAACCTTGACTTTTTATATAACTTGAAATCATTACTAATGAAATTGGCAATGTTAAACAAGATTGTCTTTTTATTTTTTCTTTTGAGAAAGAGTCTCGCTCTGTCCCCCAGGCTAGAGTGCAGTGGCTAGATCACAGCTTACTGCAACCTCAACCTCCTCGGGTTCAGGTGATCGTCCTACCTCCTCAGCCTCCCACCGAGCAGCTGGGACTACACGTATGTGCCACCATGCCCAACTAACTCTTGTATTTTTTGCAGAAACAGGGTTTTGCCATGTTGGCCAGGCTGGCCTCAAACTCCTGGGCTCAAGCAATCCACCCACCTTGGTCTCCCAAAGTGCTGGGACTATAGGCCTGAGTCACCATGCCTGGCAACAAGATTAAGTTTGAAAGGCATTAAGTTAAATAAGTAATGGTACACTCAAACCATGTAGAAAGATGTCCATCAAAAAAATAAACAATTTAGGTTGGGTGTGGTGGCTTACGCCTGTAATCCCAGCATTTTGGGAGGCCCAGGTGGGTGGATCACCTGAGGTCAGGAGTTCAAGACCAGCCTGGCCAACATAGTGAAACCCCGTCTCTACTAAAAATATAAAAATTATCCGGGCATGGTGGCAGGCGCCTGTAATCCAAGGTACTTGGGAGGCTGAGGCAGAAGAATCACTTGAAGCCAGGAGGCAGAGGTTGCAGTGAGCCGAGATCACACTATTACACTCCAGCCTGGGTGACAAGATGTCTCAAAGAAAAATTTTTTTTAATTTAAAAATTGAAAAAAATTAAAACGAAAAACAGCAACAACAACAAAAAAGAAAGATGTCCATCAGACATCATTAAGCGAAAAGAGCAAACTGCAGAACAATATGCCTAAGATCCCGGAGGCAGTCTAGGAGTTAAACGCTGGAGCAAGAGTACCTGGGCTCAAGTCTCAGGTTTGCCACTCCCTAGCTGTGCAATCTTTGGCTAGTTACTTTACTTCTCTATGACTCAGTTTCTTCATCTGCAAACACATACACCAGAACCTACTTCATAGGGTATGTTCACAGGCTTTTGAAAGTTAAATGAATTAAAATGAATAAAGCGGCCAGGCACAGTGGCTCACGCCTATAATCCCAGCACTTTGGGAGGCCAAGGTGGGTGGATTACCTTAGGTTGGGGGTTCAAGACCAGCCTGACCAACACAGAGAAACCCGTCTCTACTAAAAATACAAAATTAGCCAGGCGTGGTGGTGCATGCCTGTAATCCCAGCTACTCGGGAGGCTGAGGCAGGAGAATCGCTTGAACCCGGGAGGCAGAGGTTGCAGTGAGCCGAGATTGCACCATTGCACTCCAGCCTGGGCAACAAGAGTGAAACTCCAACTCAAAAAAAAAAAAAAAAAGTACAAAGCGCTTATTATATATAATGTTAACTATAATTTTGGGGGAAAATAATTCAAATCAAATGGTAAGTGCATGCATATGTGAGAAAGAAAACCCTTCATTTTTTTTCCATTGTTTTTAGTTTTTTTTAAAAAAACAAAGAACAGGCCCAGGATAGTGGCTCACACCTGTAATCCCAACACTTTGAGAGGCCGAGGCCGGCAGATCACTTTAGGTCAGGAGTTCAAGACCAGGCTCGCCAACATGGTGAAACCCCGTCTCTACTAAAAATACAAAAATTAGCTGGACGTGGTGGCGTTAGCCTGTAATCACAGCTACTTGGGAGGCTGAGGCAGGAAAATCGCTTGAACCGGGGAGGCAGAGGTTGCAGTGAGCCAAGATTGCGCCACTGCACTCCAGCCTGGCCAAGTGCAGGCTCCTGAGCTCAAGTGACGGAGCACTACTCCATCTCAAGATAATAATAATAATAAATAAATAAAAATAAAAATAAAAAACAAAGAATATTTATTACTTTAGTAATTTTTTTTTAAAAAAAAGAAAAGAGCTCTCAGCCTTAGCGCCATTTTCTTGGAAACCTCTGTGCCATGACAGCCAAGTGGAGGAAGAAGTGAATACGCAAAAGAAGAAAGATAAGGCAGAGGTCCAAGAAAACCACTAGCTTGTTGCACCGTGGAGGCCACAGGAGCAGAAACATGGAATGCCAGATGCTGGGGATGCTGGTACAAGTTGTGGGACTGCATGCTACTGTCTAGAGCTTGTCTCAATGGATCTAGAACTTCATCGCCCTCTGATCACCGATCACCTGAGACCCACCTCGCTCATAACAAAAACTGCCCATGTTGGTCCTCTGCCCTGGACCTGTGACATTCTGCACTATTTCTGTGTTTCCTTGTGGCCAAGTATAACATCCATACAATAAATCACCTCTTCTGCAGTCTTAGCTGAAGAATTAAAAAAAAAAAAAAAGAAAAGAAAAACAATAAAAATTTGGCACCAAGCTCTTCCCTGCTGAAGACCTACTAGTGCAATTACTGAAACACTCAAGACAAGACAAATTCTGTAAAAATGAGAAAATTTTTAAGTGCCACAAAAAGGGCATAGTACTAAACTTCAAAATAAGACATAGTTCAACAATAACAAGCTGCACACTAATAAGCAGAACTGCAATGGCATTAAAATTATACCCCATTATTTCCCAGAGGAAGCAAATAACATAGAAGTATCCAACCAATCTAGAAATGGGTGCCTATCTGGAACTTTCACAATTAGATAAACCTCCATTAATTGTATGAGTGTGAAATTAAATACCACCAAATCTAATTTAACAATCTCTAATGACAACTCAGTAAGATATATATAAATCTGGAGATCAAGATAAACCAAGTAACTAAGAACAATCTGAAATCCTTAGAACACTGTAAACTTAGAGGAAGTTTTCACAACCCCCATGCTTTGAGGAAGCTTTGGTTCCCTGGATAAACTAAGCTGCTTCCATAAATACAGCGGGTACACAAAACAACCGAATGAAGGAGCAGAAAGAGAACTTTGAGCCTCAGCTGCATTTTTGCTGAGCTGTAATACTGGTAAAGCCTGTTTCAAGATCCAAGAGTCCACCCTCAAAATTAAAGAATGTAAACAGAGGGCTGTCATGTACATTTCATCACATTTACCAGAGTGGTGTTTCATAAAAAGTATACATATTCATTATCAAACTCCAAACAGCGTTACCATCATTACTGTGGTTCTACCCAAAAGAAACCTCCTAGTCAACAATATTATCCAGTTTGTTAAAATAGGTTTTCAAAAAGAAATCAATCATTAAGATGTCTCTATAGAATTATGGAATTCATAATTTCAAATAATGTGCATAATGCCTAAGAAAAAGAGAACGAATCCAATAAATGTCAGCTATTACCATTACTATTATCATGGTAATGTTTTCAAACTAAGGAACAGAAACTTATTCATAGAGAGGCCTTAATAAGAAGTTACTTTGTCAGAATCCAAGTTGGCCTATCACAACCTGCAATAGTTAGATATTAAAAGGACTTTGTTTTAGAGGAATCAAAGTTAGATTCCTCGGGTTCCAAAGGAGTTAGTAAAGATGAAATCATCTCTGCATAAAGAATTAATGTATTTTTGGCTGGGCGCGGAGGTTCACGCCTGTAATCCCAGCACTTTGGGAGGCCGAGGCGGGTGGATCACGAGGTCAGGAGTTCAAGACCAGCCTGGCCAAGATGGTGAAACCCCTTCTCTATTAAAAATACAGAAATTAGCCAGGCAGGGTGGCAGGCGCCTGTAATCCCAGCTACTCAGGTGGCTGAGGCAGGAGAATCGCTTGAACTCAGGCAGCAGAGGTTGAAGTGAGCCGAGATCATGCCACTGCACTTCAGCCTGGGAGACAGAGTGAAACTCCATCTCAAAAAAAAAGAATTAATGTAGTTTTTCCAAAGTTTTTCTGGTACAGAAATCTATATTTTTAAACATTTGGCAATTCAGCCTTAAATGTTATAACTTTTAGACCTAATGCATTTTTGTAAAGTAGCCAAGATAATGGAAGTAAGTAAATATAAATAACACAAGTAAAACAAAGGGATAGATTAGAATTCTGCATTAGAAAGTGAAAGGAGGGCCAGGTGCGGTGGGTAAGCCCAGCACTCGAGGCAGGTGGATCACTTGAGGTCAGGAGTTCAAGACTAGCACGGCTAACACGGTGAAACAACGTCTCTACTAAAAATACAAAAATTAGCCAGGTGTGGTGGTGGGTGCCTGTAATCCCAGCTACTCGGGAGGCTGAGGCAGGAGAATCGCTTGAACCCGGGAGGCAGAGGTTGCAGTGAGCCAAGATCAGGTCACTGGACTCCAGCCTGGGCAAGAGAGCAAGAGTCTGTCTCAAAAAATAAAAAATAAAAAAATAAGTTAATCTAAGTCCGAAAAATATAAGTATTTGTTAAAATTAAGATTGGCAGGATATTACTACACTCTGATCCTAGGAAAAAGGAAAAAGACTAATATGCCTTGACTAATTTTGTTTTGTCTTTTTTCTGATAGAAAAACCACGTGGGTTTAATCCTTCCAAAGATTCACAGAAAATAAATAACAACACATAAGTTGGTAAGGAAAAAAAAAAGAACTAAACACGTCTGACAACATGCTTTCTACTAGTCTCCAGCGTGGGTGTACCGGCATTATAAGGGAGCAAGACCAAGCAAGCACCTTTTCGGACAGACATCTTAGATTAACAAGCAGACACAGTATCTGTTTATACACTTCCAAGAGTATGTTTAAAGCCTGTATTTTTTAAATGGCTTACAAAAAAAGGTATACAAAAACATAATTTTGGCCACACACACACACAAAGAGTATTAGAATTAAATTATACTTTTATACTTTTCTTTCAGACACAAGCATTTATCAGGTATCTGGTTCATCTTCAAACTCAAAAAAAAAAATTTATAGAAACCCCTATGTAGTCTGTTAAGTCCTTCACTCAACCATTCTTTTTTATTTTTTGAGATGGAGTTTCGCTCTTGTTGCCCAGGCTGGAGTGCAATGGCACGATCTCGGCTCATCGCAACCTCTGCCTCCCACTCCCAGGTTCAAGCGATTCTCCTGCCTCAGCCTCCTGAGTAGCTGGGATTACAGGCATGTGCCACTACACCTGGCTAATTTTGTACTTTTACCAGAAACGGGGTTTCTCCATGTTGGTCACGCTGGTCTCAAACTCCTGACCTCAGGTGATCCACCCGCCTCAGCCTCCCAAAGTGCTGGGATTACAGGCGTGAGCCACTGCGCCCGGCCTCAACCATTCACTTATATATATATTAAATATTAGAAACTGAAGTATCAAGATATTCACCACTTCCTCTGACCACTGTATTAGAGTTTTAAACTGGGTTTCAGCTTTGAAACAAAAAATAACCACCCTTCTGAAATTTTTTACAAAATCATAATACATATTGAAACATA
The DNA here is from genome assembly GCF_000001405.40 of Homo sapiens. NCBI lineage: Eukaryota > Metazoa > Chordata > Mammalia > Primates > Hominidae > Homo > Homo sapiens. The sequence continues at coordinate 125,270,493 of NC_000009.12, read as the reverse complement.
TCCAGAAAAGTTAGAAAATATAGGTAAGCATAAAGAAGGAAAGATTCTTTTGTTTTTGTTTTTTTGAGACAGACTCTAGCTCTGTCACCCAGGCTGGAGTGCAGGGGCACAATCTCAGCTCACTGCAAACTCTGCCTCCCAGGTTCAAGCAATTCTCCTGCCTCAGCCTCCCAAGTAGCTGGGACTACAGGTGTGCGCCACCACACCCAGCTAATTTTTGTATTTTTAGTAGAGACGGGGTTTCTCCATGTTGGCCAGGCTGGACTCAAACTCCTGACCTCAAGTGATTCGCCCACCTCGGCCTCCCAAAGTGCTAGGATTACAGGCATGAGCCACCATGCCTGGCCAGCAGTAAAGTTTAACTGACTATAATCTTAGTTACCAGAAATCAAACAGCTAGGTGCCTAAAACTTATTCTAAAATGTGTATACAGTAAAAAAAATTATTGGTCCTAGTTCCTTTACAAATTAAAACATCTGCCCAAGCATGGTGGCTTGCACCTATCCCAGCACTTCCAGAGGCCAAGGCGGGCAGATCACTTGAGAGTAGGAGTTCAAGACCAGCCTGGCCAACATGGTAAAACCCCGTCTCTACTAAAAATAAAAAAAATTAGCTGGACATGGTGGCAGCCACCTGTAATCCCAGCTACCAGGGAGGCTGAGGCAGGAGAATCACTTGAACCTGGAAGGCAGAGGTTGCAGTAAGCAGAGATCATGCCACTGTACTCCAGCCTGGGCAACAGAGTGAGACTCTGCCTCCAAAAAAAAAAAAAAAAAAAAAAAAGCCAGGCATGGTAGCTCATGCCTGTAATCCCAGCACAGCGGGTGGATCACCAGAGGTCACGAGTTCAAGACCAGCCTAGCCAACATGGTGAAACCTTGTCTCTACTAAAAATATAAAAAATGAGCAGGGCATGGTAGCACCTGTAATCCCAGCTACTCGGGAGGCTGCACTCCAGCCTGGGCGACAGAACGAGACTCCAACTCAAAAAAAAAACAAGAACAAAAACTAAAATATCCTGAAAACGATTACTTAAGGAGTTAAAGTTGAAAATAATTCTATGCAAGCACAAGTTTAGGTAGTTCAAGTGTAAAAAATACATAACTGAAATCCTTCTTGCTTAACAGAAAATTAACTCCAGAGAAGGAAATATGTATGACAAAAAAACAGCCTCCCAAAAGTTGAAGGAAAAAAAAACACTCAACTAAACATTTGAAAATTATTTTTTCAAGTACTAGTCTGTCCAAAGCAAATAAGAAGGACTCAGCTGGGCAAAGTAGCATGCTCCTGTATTCCCAGCTACTCAGGAGGCTGAGGCAGGAGGATCGCCCTGTTCAGGCCAGGAGTTTGAGGCTTCAGTGAGCTATGATGGCACCACTGCACTCTGATGACAGAGTGAGAATATGTCTCAAAAAAAAAGGATTCCACTTACATAAAACTTAAAAATTTGTAGCTGTAGGCAAACTTAAAAAAATTATTTTAAAAAAATATTTTTAAATCATACTTTACCTTTGAGATTCCTAGAATGTATAACCAACTCTCTCCAGTACACTTACCCCTAAAGAAAAAAAAAAGGAAAAAGGAAAAAATAATAAACTGAATGTCTTATCACTGGAATGTACCTACTTTCGCTATTAAACTACCTACAAACATTACAAGTAGCTGGGCGCAGTGGTTCATGCCTGTAATCCCAGTACTTTGGGAGGCCGAGGCAGATGAACTACTTGAACTCAGGAGTTTGAGACCAGTGTGGGCACCTCTACAAAAACTACAAAACTTGTATTTAAAACTCGTCTGGTCAAACAAAAATAAAATACAAAATACAAGTTAGCCAAGCATGGTGTCATGTGCCTGTGGTCCCAGCTACTCAGAAGGCTGAGGCAGGGGAATCTCTTGAGACAGGGAGGTGGAGGCTGCAGTGAGCTGTGATAGCGTTACTGCACTCCAGCCTGCATGACAGACCAAGACCTTGTCTCGAAAAAAAAAAAAAAAAAAAAACAATGTTAGGGGTAATTATTCCAAATAAACTAATGAAACTGAAGCATACATTTACAGAGCAGCAACTTTTGTATTGTTAGTTGCACCAACAAAAGATCAGTACATATTGTCACAATTTCCAGAACGCCATGATCAGGTAGTGTTACCATGTAAGGTAATAAGAACTATGTGCCATCACTGGAGACCAGCTCACAAACCCTCAGTGGAGCCAGCTGCGTAAAGTGAGAAGTGACAACATTGTGACGGTGGCTAAGAAAGCACCAGTAGAATAAAGTTCTTGGTTTTTTTTTGGGGGGGGGGGTTGTTTGTTTGTTTGTTGTTGTTTTTTTTTGAGACAGAGTTTTGTTCTTGTTGCTCAAGCTGGAGTGCAGTGGCGTGATCTCGGCTCACTACAACCCCAGCCTCCTGGGTTCAAGCGATTCTCCTGCCTCAGCCTCCTGAGTAGCTGGGATTACAGGCGCGAGCCACCACGCCCAGCTAATTTTTTGTATTTTTAGTAGAGATGGGATTTCATCATGTCGGCCAGGCTGGTCTCAAACTCCTGACCTCAGGTGATCCACCCGCCTCGGTCTCCCAAAATGCAGGGATCACAGGTGTGAGCCACTGTGCCTGGCCGAATAAAGTTTATTTTAAATTCTAGCAGCTAGGCATAGTGGCTCACGCCTGTAATCCCAAAGCTTTGGGAGGTCAAGGTGGGAGGATTGCTTGAGCCCAGGAGTTTGAGACCAGCCTGAGGAACATAGGGAGATCCTGTCTTCCCAATAAAAAAAAAATTCTTTTTTTAATTGGTCAGGCATGGTAGCTCACCCCTGTAATCCCAGCACTTTGGGAGGCCGAAGCGGGCAGTTCACCTGAGGTCAGGAGTTCAAGACCAGCCTGATCAACATGGTGAAACCCCGTCTCTACTAAAAATACAAAATTAGCTGGGCATGGTGGCACATGCCTGTAATCCCAGCTACTCGCGAGGCTGAGGCAGGAGAATCAGAAGGCAGAAACTGCGATGAGCTGAGATTGTGCCATTGTACTCCAGCCTGGGCAACAAGAGTGAAACTCCATCTCAAAAAATAAAAAACTAAAATTAATTAACCGGGTGTGGTAGCACATCCCAACCTACTCAGGAGACTGAAGTGGGAGGACAGCTTGAGCCCAGGAGGTCGAGACTGCAATGATCCCTGATAGCGCAACTGAACTCCAACCTAGACAACAGAGCAAGACCTTGCCTCAAAATTCAAATTCCTAGGCTCAAGTAATCTGACCGTCTCGGATTCCCAAAGTAAAATGTGCATCTTCTATGTGTAAAGTAAACATGGCAAAATGTTAACAGCAAATCTAGGTGAAGGGTATATGAATGTTTACTGAACAACCCTTCTGTAGGCTTACAATTTTTCAAAGAGTTGCAAAAACAATATTTAGAAGTTATGGATTACAAAAAAACAAAGCCTGCCGGGTACAGTGGCTCATGCCTGTAATCCCAGCCCTTTGGGGAGGCCGAGGCAGGCGGATCACAGGAGTTCAAGACCAGGCTTGCCAACATGGTGAAACCCCATCTCCACTAAAAATACAAAAAATTAGCCAGGTGTGGTGGCACGTGCCCATAGTACCAGTTACTCAGGAGGCTGAGGCAGGAGAATCTCTTGAACCCAGGAGGGGGAAGTTGCAGTGACTTGAGATGGCGCCACTGCACTCCAGCCTGGACCACAGAGCAAGACTCTGTCTCAAAAAACAAACAAAAAGAAAAAAACAAAACGAACAGCAGAAAATAGGGAAAGATACAAATAATAATTTAGCACGTATATTCTGCCTCCCAGAATTAGCTGTTGTCACAGTAGTGTCTAGTCTCAAAAAAAAAGTATAGATATCCTCAAAAGAAATTATAGATAACGGGCTGCGCGCGGTGGCTCACGCCTGTAATCCCAGCACTTTGGGAGGCCGAGGCAGGTGGATCACAAGGTCAGGAGATCAAGACCATCCTGGATAACATGGTGAAACCCCGTCTCTACTGAAAATACAAAAAATTAGCTGGGCATGGTGGCGGGCGCCTGTAGTCCCAGCTACTTGGGAGGCTGAGGCAGGAGAATGGCGTGAACTCGGGAGGCAGAGCTTGCAGTGAGCCAAGATCACGCCACTGCACTCCAGCCTGGGCGACAGAGCGAGACTCCGTCTAAAAAAAAAAAAATAAAATAAAATAAAATAAAATAAAAATTAGCCGGGCATAGTGGTGCATGCCTATAATCCCAGCTGCTCGGGAAGCTGAGGCAGGAGAAATGCTGGAACCCGGGAGACGGAGATTGCAGTGAGCCGAGATCGCGCATTTGCACTCCAGCCTGGGCAACAAGAGCAAAACTCCACCTCAAAAAAAAAAAAAAAATTATAGATATCATCCCCTTTGCCACTACCTCCCATTCATAATCCCTTATAGACGTGAAATTATAGAGTACGCCTATCTTCAACTTTACTAAGGGCTGCAAATACTGTCTTCAAAAGCAGCTATACCAGTTTACACTCAACCAACAGTTTTTTTTTCCTCCTCCTAACAGTAACCGGTAGCAGTTTCTTTTTTTTTTTTTTTTTATAAATTTTTTCTTTTTTAATAGAGACAGGGGTCTCACTTTGAGGCCCAGGCTGGTCTTGAACTCCCGGGTTCAAGGACTCAAGTGGCCCTCAAACTCCAAAAGTGCTAAAATTATAGGCATGAGCTACCACGCCTGGCCAGTAGTTTCAAAATTACCATTTTTGCCACATCTTCACCAACATTTGATATCGTCAGACATGAAATTTTTTTTTTGGCCGGGCGCGGTGGCTCACACTTGTAATCCCAGCACTATGGGAGGCCGAGGTGGGCAGATCACGAGGTCAGGAGTTCAAGACCAGCCTGGCCAATATGGTGAAACCCCGTCTCTACAAAAAAATACAAAAATTAGCCAGCCATCGTGGCACCCGCCTGTAGTCCCAGCCCAGGAGGGAGACTGAGGCAGGAGAATCGCTGGAACCCGGGAGGCAGAGGTTTCAGTGAGCCAAGATTACACCACTGCACTCCAGCCTGGGAGACAAGTAAGACTCCCTCTCAGAAAGAAGAACAGAAAAAGAAACAATGCCAGGTGTGGTGGTGCCGACCTATAGTCCTAGCTACTTGGTAAGGCTGAGGCAGGAGGATCACTCAAGTCCAGGAGTTCAAGTCCAGCCTGGGCAATGCAGCAAGACCTTGTTTCAAAAAAAAAGAAGGAAGAAGAAAGAAGGAAGAAGAATGAAGAGAAATAAAACAACCTAGGATCACACAGTAAAAGGTAAAAGAACCTCAGCAAAACAAGAACTTCACTTACAGACTTTCCCTTTTATTACCTCATACAAAATGATGAATAATCAAACCTATATGGCAGCATGTACTAAGAATGATTAGTCCCCATATGAAACCAAATGCTCACAAAAGCACAACATAGTGCTGGGAAATAATTTTTTGTCTTTTAAAAAATGTAAGATGGCCAGGCGCGGTGGCTCACGCCAATAATCCTAGCACTCTGGGGGGCCAAGGCGGGCAGATCACTTAAGGTCAGGAGGTTCGAGGCCAGCCTGACCAACATGGTGAAACCCCGTTTCTACTAAAAATACAAAAATTAGCCAGGCATGGTGGCAGCACCTGTAGTCCCAGCTACCTGGGAGGCTGAGGCAGGAGAATGGCATGAACCCGGTAGGCAGAGCTTGCAGTGAGCTGAGATCGCGCCACTGCACTCCAGCCTGGGCGACAGCCTGAGACTCCATCTCAGAAAAAAAAAAAAAAAATCCACCTCCATGATTTAAAGAAAACCAGCAAACAGTAAAATTTCTTTTCTCAGGCTTACATTAGAGCTTACAGAGCTGCAATCCCTTGGAAGTGGGGAGGTGCCTTAATACAAAAATTTAAAGGCCAACATATTCACTTTTCTTTCTTCTTCCGATTATTTTGTTCATTCCCCATTACCCTGAATGAAATATCTATGGTCTATTCTTTCAAAATGACTACTCTGGGCAGGACGCGGTGGCTCACATCAGTAATCCCAGCACTTTGGGAGTCCGAGGCAGGCAGATCACCTGAGGTCAGGACTTTGAGACCAGCCTGACCAACATGGTGAAACCTTGCCTCTACTAAAAATATAAAAATTATCCAGGCGTGGTGGCTGGTGTCTGTAGTCCCAGCTACTCAGGAAGCTGAGGCACAAGAATCGCTTGAACCCAGGAAGCTGAGGTCGCAGTGAGCGGAGATCATGCCACTGCACTCCAGCCTAGGCAACAGAGCCAGACTCCGTCTCAAAACAAAACAAAACAAAAGACTACCCTGATCCCATCCAAATTTTTTATCTCCCTGATTATGAAATTCTCTTTCGTCTACACTGTCATCCTGTCTGCCTTCAATGATTCAAATGTTCTTCTAAAGAACCAGATTGCCATTTATGAACTCCTTTTTAAGGAGGGAGTCATGGTGGCCAAGAAGGATGTCCACATGCCTAAGCACCCAGAGCTGGCAGACAAGAACGTGCCCAACCTTCATGTCATGAAGGCCATGCAGTCTCTCAAGTCTCAAGGCTACATGAAGGAACAGTTTGCCTGGAGACATTTCTACTGGTACCTTACCAATGAGGGTATCCAGTATCTCCGGGATTACCTTCATCTGCCCCCCGGAGACTGTACCTGCTACCCTACGCCATAGCTGTCCAGAGACCGGCAGGCCTCAGCCTAAAGGTCTGGAGGGTGAGTGACCTGCGAGACTCACAAGAGGGGAAGCTGACAGACATACCTACAGATGGAGTGCTGACAGACATACCTACAGATGGAGTGCTGTGCCACTTAGTGCCGACAAGAAAGCTGAGGCTGGGGCTGGGTCAGCAGCCAAATTCCAGTTGAGACGGATTTGGTCGTGGACGTGGTCAGCCACCTCAGTAAAATTGGAGAGGATTCTTTTGCATTGAATAAACTTACAACCAAAAAAAAAAAAACAACAGTTCTTCTAAGTAGACTTATAAATCCAAAAAACCTTATTTCTATTTCAGGAGTTTTTTTGTTTTGTTTTGTTTTTTGAGACGGAGTCTCGCTCTGTTGCCAGGCTGGAGTGCAGTGGCGTGATCTTGGCTCACTGCAATATCCACCTCCCGGGCTCAAGTGATTCTCTTGCCTCAGCCTCCCAAGTAGCTGGGATTACAGGCATGGGCCACCACACCCAACTAATTTTTGTATTTTTAGTAGAGATGGGGTTTCACCATGTTGGCCAGGATGGTCTCGATCTCTTGACCTCAATGATCCGCCCGCCTCGGCCTCCCAAATTATTTCAGGAGTTCTTAATCTTTTTGTGCACGGACCTCATTGGCAGTTTGGTGAAGCCTATGGTCCCTTTCTCAGATTTCTTTTAAGTGCATAATTAAATACATGTGATTACAAGGGAAACCAATTATATGGAAATATTAGCAAAACAACAAACTAATATGGTCATAATATATGTACAGCCTTATTATCACATTAAATAACAATGTCTAACGGCGGGTCTAGTAACACCAGAAATTCAAAGAAGTGTTAACCATAAATGATATTCTGAGCTATCTGCAACTGTAAACATGATGCAAAAATATCCGTAATTTTTATTGATCACAAAGTCATAGGCGCTGCTAATGCTACTCTGGCTTGTTGTCCACATTCGTAACTGAAGGAAATAATAAGTTTCAGTTAGCAGTCAATAAAAATAATGATGTCATTTTATCCTCCTTCTAGTGAAAGGACCCTTCTAATTCTATCCATCAATGAACTCCAGTTTAAAACCCCTCTCTAGTTCAAAGTCCTGCTCAGAACTGATTTTCGTCATAAATTTAAAAATAAAAACACTGATTCCTCCTTTGACCTAGTTCTCATCTGAACCTATCACTATGTCTCCCTGTTTTTATGCACATTTATACACAGAACCCTGGGTGTACTTCTGTGGTTTGCCTAGCCAGCACTCACTACAATTTTGCCAGTCAATAAAAGGTGAAGTTAAAAGAAAAGGGATGGAAACAACCAACAGCTCCCTCACTTTCAGACCTCCGACAGCAAGTGGAAAGATGCCAAGTACAGTGAGTGTCTGTGTTAGGTGGGCTGCCCCCAGACCCGTGTGTCCAGCTTGTCAAGCTTCCCTGCAGCACGATATCTTTATCAGCGACACTCAGAAGACATTCCATTTCGTTCTCGCCTCCTATACTCAGTTCCCTACCTGCCGGGCCTCTCGTCTCTGGCCCCCACCCGAGGCCGCCCCGCGGTCCTCCTGTCCCTTCCCATCCCATCCCCCACGCGTCTCTCCCTCTCCTCAGCCCCAGGCCGCCCTGGCTCCTGCGCGCCGCCACATCTCTCCCCTGGGTCTAACCCAGTGTCCCCCGACCCCCACCTCGCCCGACACTGACGGGAAGAGCCCAGGACCCCGGGGTCAGTTGGACCTGACGGCCGGGCAGTCAGAGACAGGCTGCGGCCCTAGGCCGGAGCAACCCGGCCGCGAGGCAGGGAGCCGCTCACAGCCCGCGGACTAAATCGGGACGCGTACTCACCAAGGGGGTCATGCGGGGGAGGACACGGAGGACTCTGTCGGACCGCCACTCGGCCTCGGAGCCGTCGCCCTAGCCGGTGACTGCCCCCGCCGCCGCTGCCGCCACCTTCGCCACTCGCCTGTTGGCTTCCCTGCGTCCTGCAGCGGCGCTGCCGCCACGCCAGCGCGCGTGCGCAGCGCCGCGGGGGCCTCTGGGAGCTGTAGTTCCGCCCGGGCGGCTAGGGGCTCCCACTTCCGCCTTAGGCAGCCCTAGGTCAGCTGCCCCCTGAGGCTGTCGTGGGTGTCCGGGTCCGGAATCGTCTTCCGGAAGGCTGTTCACCAGGCCTGGGCCCTGGTTTCCGCCTGCAGTAATGCTGGACGTGAAGAATCCGACTGAGCAAGTATGTGTAAAGCAAAAATGTAGAGCGTTTTATGCTTTCTGTGACAACGCTCAGTTGCCCAGGACACATTATTCGCATGAATGACTCTCTCTCTTCTCTGTTTCTCTCTCACACGTACGCACACACTACTTACAAACCTCCCTTCCCTTTTTTTTTTTTTTTCGAGACGGAGTCTGGCTCTGTCGCCCAGGCTGGAGTGCAGTGGCTCAATCTCGGCTCACTGCAAGCTCCGCCTCCCGGGTTCACGCCATTCTCCCGCCTCAGCCTCCCAAGTAGCTGGAACTACAAGCGCCCGCCACCACGCCCGGCTAATTTTTTGATTTTTAGTAGAGACGAGGTTTCACCGTGTTAGCCAGGATGGTCTCGATCTCCTGACCTCGTGATCCGCCCGCCTCGGCCTCCCAAAGTGCTGGGATTACAGGCGTGAGCCACCGCTGCCGGCCCCTCCCTTCCCTTTTGTTCTAAGTGCCATTAATTGGTTTGGATGGTATCTGGATTTTCAGTGTAAAACCTGCCTTCCCACTTCTCAGTTTCTAAAATCTTGCTTATCATAAACTTCACCATGCAGTTATTTTAGGTAAGTCAATAAATGAACTGTCTAATAATTTTTGTAACACCATAACTCATATATTCAGAGGTCAAGTTAGCTGAGTTGAACAGTCTAGAAACCTTAAAATTGGAAGATACCTGCTTAAAGGTCACTAGTGCAACTGTTGCCCAGGCAGGAATTCCCTCCTGTACATTCAGCCAGATGGTCATCTTCCTGTTCAACAGTTCAAATTTCAGGGAGCTCACTCCCTCAAGTAATGCAGCCTGCTCCACTGTTGGACAGCTCTAAATGTTAGAAAGTTCTGCCTCCTGCTGAGCTGAAATCTGTTTCCCTTTATTTCCTTCCATTGCTGGTAGTTAGGCTGCCTGGAGCAATACAGAATGTCTTCCACTTGACAGATCTTCAAAAAATTGAGAACAATGATTATATCCTCCAATACTGGGAGTCTCCAGGCAAAAAAAGGAAAAAAGTAATAATCATTTCCCCAGCTATTTCAAATGTCAATCAACTCCCAAACTGCTTTCTATCTACTCACCTCTCTTGATGTCACCTTTAGGGGCATGGTGGCATATGCCTATAATCCTAGCACTTTGCGAGGCCAAGGCAGGAGGATTGCTTGAGCCCAGAAGTTCAAGACCAGCCTGAGCAACATAGTGAAACCCCAACTCTACAAAAAATACAAAAATCAGCGAGGCATGGTGGCTTGCACCTGTAGTCCCAGCTACTAGGGAGGCTGAAGTGGGAGGATCACCAAGCCCAAAAAGGTCAAGGCTGCAGTGAGCTGTGATCATGCCACTGAACTCCATCCTGGGCAGCAGAGTGAAACCTGTCTCAAAACAAAACAGCAACAACAACATTGACAGAATTGCTTCATATTTATTGCCTTGTTTTATGACTACATAGGTAGTAATAGAACCACCTATGGTAGGCTGGTCAGATGTTATTGCTATCGTGCTGCCATTCAACTCATTCAGGAATTCAATCAGCTCTGTTACAAGACATTACTCAATGCACCGCTGGCATGAAATAAGCAAGAGGAGGCCGGGCGCAGTGGCTCACGCCTGTAATCCCAGCACTTTGGGAGGCCGAGGTGGGCGGATCATGAGGTCAGGAGATCGAGACCATCCTGGCTAACACGGTAGAAACCTGTCTCTACTAAAAATACAAAAAATTAGCCGGGCATGGTGGCAGGCGCCTGTAGTCCCAGCTACACGGGAGGCTGAGGCAGGAGAATGGCGTGAACCCGGGAGACGGAGCTTGCAGTGAGTGGAGATCGTGCCACTGCACTCCAGCCTGGGCGACAGAGCGAGACTCTGTCTCAAGAAAAAAAAAAAAAGAAAAGAAATAAGCAAGAGGATACAATTTACAATCTAGGGTAGGATGAAACTGCCACAGATTAAGGATCATCATAATAAGCCAAGGTACAAAGCATTCTGAGATTCTCAGAGAGAATGGCCTTTTCAAGTTGAGGGTTCATGACCTTATGGAAGAGGTGACAGTTAGGAGTTACTGGATGGCTGGATTTCAAGACAAGAGATGGCATTCGTGGACTGCTAAGGAAGAACTCAGCCTTAGCAAAACCACATTCACAGTGGGCTCTGGAACACTGCGTCTGGGTAGGCTGGAGCACCCAGGCCAGGGAGGAAGGGAAGGAGAGGCCCCAAAAGTTGCAAAAGAATCTTCAGGGAAGCTGCATTGCATGTGAGAAGTAAAAAAGGAACTAGAATGGTCAGTTAATCTTCTGAGCCCTGTTCTGTCACCTACAAATGAAGAACTTGAACTAACAAGCAATTTTCTTTTTTTTTTCCAGTCAGCACACTCAAGGAATTCAAATCTCCTGCTAGAACTATGGATCACTACAACAGTGATTCTTGGGAAATATGGAATAGGTATTATTTTCATCCCTTTTACAAATGGGAAAGTAAACTCAAGAGGTGAAAATTTGCTCAAAATCAATAAGTAGTACTCACTGAGGGCAGATCACTGTCTCCCTAGAACCTGGCATACTGCCTAGAATGTAATGTTTGTTTTTTGTTTTTTAAATGAATGGATGAATACACAGTAAACTCTGTCCAAAGCCCCTTTCTTTCCATACACAACTCAGTCTTCCCTGACATAGAAGGATATGAAGTTACTTGTTCATGGTCACAAAATTCATACTGGACCTTGTGTAGAGTTTAGTTCTTCAGCCTCCCAACTCCATACTCTATTAAACTACTCTGCCTTAGAATCGCAAAACATTTTTTTTAATGTTCTTTTTCCTTCTATGTGTACACAGCCAGTCTTAGAAGTAAGCCAAGAAAGCAGATGCTATGGCCAAGTGATTTAAGGGGCCTCTGGCAAGTATTTCTGGACAAAAAAACACTTTATCCCCAGGTCCCTCAAAGGCCCCCAAACTTCATCACTTATATTGAATCACAAATGTTAACTTGAGGTGAAAATTTAAACCAACACATAGTCCCTGAGGGCGCAGACTCCATCTTATTCACCACTGGGCGTACTGCCTAGAATGTAATAATTTGTCTACATTTTTATTTTAGAAATAGGTCTTGCTATGTTGCCCAGGCTAGAATGCAGTAACTATTCACAGGTGCTATCGTGAGGGCTCAAGGGATCCTCATGCCTCAGCTTCCTGAGTACCTGGGACCACAGGCTTGCACCGCTGTGCTGGGCTCGCCTGTTTGTTTTTTGTTTTGTTTTGTTTTGTTTTGTTTGAGATGGAGTCTCACTCTGTTGCCCAGGCTGGAGTGCAGTGGAATGATCTCAACTCACTGCAACCTCCACCTCCTGGGATCAAGCAGTTCTCATGCCTAATCCTCAGCTGGGATTACAGGTGCACGCCACCATGCCTGGCTAATTTTTCTTTTTCTTTTTCTTTTTTGAGACAGAGTTTCGCTCTTATTGCCCAGGCTGGAGTACAATGGCACGATCTCGGCTTACCACAACCTCCGCCTCCCAGGTTCAAGCAATTCTCATGCCTCAGCCTCCCGAACAGCTGGGATTACAGTTCGGGCCACCATGCCCGGCTAATTTTTTTTTTTTTTTTTATGGAGTTTCGCTCTTGTTGCCCAGGCTGGAGTGCCATGGCGCGATATCAGCTCACCATAACCTCCGCCTCCCAGGTTCAAGTGATTCTCCTGCCTCAACCTCCAGAGTAGCTGAGACTACAAGCGCACGCCACCATCCCTGGCTAATTTTTGTATTTTTAGTTCAGACAGGGTTTCACTATGTTGGCCAGGCTGGTCTTGAACTCCTGACCTCGTGATCTGCCCGCCTCGGCCTCCCAAAGTGCTGGGATTACAGGTGTGAGCTACTGCGCCAGCAAATTTTGTATTTTTAGTAGAGACGGGGTTTCTCCATGTTGGTCAGGCTGGTCTCGAACTCCCAACCTCAGGTGATCTGCCCACCTCAGCCTCCCAAAGTGCTGGAATTACAGGTGTGAGCCATCCATCAAGACCAAAAAGTAACATTGTTTAAGTTACAATACATCTACACTTAAGAAAGAAATATGAGAGTTAAGTGAGACCAAACCATACCAGAAAGAAAAACAGGCCATAAGAAATAAAGATTACAGAGAAAGAGGAAGACAAAAGGGAAGAAACAAGGACTTCACCTATGACATGATTTTATTTCAGCAGTCCCTAACCTTTTTGGCACCAGGGACTGGTTTTGTGGAAGACAGTTTTTCCAGGAAATGGTGGTAGGGGGTGGAGGAGGTCGGGGGGATGGTTTCGGGATGAAATTGTTACACCTCAGATAATTAGGCATTAGATTCCCATAAGGAGTGGACAACCTAGACCCCTTGCATACGCAGTTCACAATAGGGTTCGCACTCCTATGATAATCTAATGCCATTGCTGATCTGACAGGAGGCAGAGCTCAGGTGGTAATGCTCACTTACCCACCACTCACTTCATCCTGTGCTGCTCCATTCCTAACAAGCCACAGACGGGTACCAGTTCACGGCTCTGGGGTTGGAGACCCCGATTTATTTGGCACACAGTTTGGAAAGGAAAATGCTGTGAAATAGTAGTACACGCTTGACTGTGGAAAGATTAGGGCCACATCTGGAAGAGTCAAGCAAATTATAAACTAGGCAGTAAGTAAATACAGCAATAACATGAATAGAAATCATAATTTTACCATTAAAAAACTCTAAAATAGTTTTCATCGTTTATTTACTTTTTGAGACAGGATCTCGCTCTTTCACCCAGGCTAAAGCTCAGTGACACCATCACTGCTTACTGCAGCCTCAACCTCCCTGGCTCAAGCCATCCTCCCACTTCAGCCTCCAGAGTACCTGGAACTTCACACATGCGAAGTCCCTTCACTGTGCCTGGCTAATTTTTTTATTTTTTATACAGACAAGATCTCACTGTGTTGCCCAGGCTGGTCTCAAACTCCTGGACTCAAGTAATCTTCCTGCCTCGTCCTCCTAAAGTGCTGGGATTACAGGCAGGAACCACCACACCCAGCTTTTTTTTTTTTTTTTTAATTCTGAGACAGGGTCTCTCTCTGTCACCCAGGCTAGAGTGCAGTGATGTAATCACAGCCCACTGCAACCTCTACTTTCTGGGCAGGGCTCAAGCAATCCTCCTGCCTCAGCCTCCTGAGTACCTGGGATCATATGCACGCACCACCATGCCTGGCTAACTTTTTTATTTTTTGTAGAGATGAGGTTTTGCTGTGTTTCCCAGGTTAGAGCTCTAGGAATCCTGCAAGCAAAAAAATCCAGTAAGACCCAGGTGGTAGAAAGTATTCCTTAAAAAAATACTTTTCACTTTGGAGCAATTAATTTGTTCCCGTCATAGCCACAGTCCATGTTCTGGGTCATTGGTGGTCCTACACTGGCCCCCACTGGCAGGCTCAGAAATAATAATACTGAGATCCATGAAGCTGATGGAGCTTATGATTTAGGGCCCCTCACTTGCCTGGAGACTCTTCAAAGATCCTAGCAATGTATTCACAGTCATATGGCTTTGCAACATTTAGCAAGGAGTTAAAATTATCAGCTGGCCGAGTGCACTGGTTCTCACCTGTAATCCCAGCTATTCAAGATGCTGACTCAGGAGAATTGCTTGAGCCCAGGAGCTTGAAGCTACAGTGAGCTATGATTTTACCACTGCACTCCATCCTGGGCAAAAGAGCAAGACTTAGTCTCTAAAAAAATTTCTAAATAAAAAAATTTTAAAAAAAACCTGAGAAAACTGAAAATGAGGAAAGTGGCTCCTATAGAACAGGCTTATGAATCCTGCAACTCAAAGACTTCAGCCAAATGAAGTCTACTGTAATCCTTATTTTTCTACAAGTACCAGGGACATCCAAACTGATAGGAGCTGTAATTCTTTGTTGTTTTTTAGAGAGAGGGTCTCACTGTGTCACCCAGGCTGGAGTGCAGTGGCACAATCATAGCTAACTGCAACCTCAAACTCCTGGGCTCCAGTGATCTTCCTGCCTCATGCTCCCAAGTAGCTGGAACTAGAGGCACTCTCCATACACGTGGCTAATTTTTTAACTTTTTGTAGAGACAGGGTGTTGCTATGTTGCCCAGGCTGGTCTTGAACTCCTGGGCTCCAGCAATACTGATGGCTCACACTCCACACTGCTGGGATTACAGGTATGAACCACCATGTCTGGCCCAGGAGCTGTAATGTTAATGCAACATAAAAGTGGTATATTACAGCCGGGCGCGGCGGCTCACACCTGTAATCCCAGCACTTTGGGAGGCCGAGGCGGGCGGATCACGAGGTCAGGAGATCAAGACCATCCTGGCTAACACGGTGAAACCCCGTCTCTACTAAAAATACAAAAAATCAGCTGGGCGCGGTGGCGGGCGCCTGTAGTCCCAGCTACTCGGGAGGCTGAGGCGAGAGAATGGCGTGAACCCGGGAGGCGGAGTTTGCAATGAGCCGAGATCGCGCCACTGAACTCCAGCCTGGTCGATAGAGCAAGACTCCGTCTCAAAAAAAAAAAAAAAAGTGGTATATTACTTGTATTTGAATTTAACCCATCGTTCATTATAACATATGAAATATCTTACCTTGGCCGGGTACAGTGGCTCACGCCTGTAATCCCAGCAATTTGGGAGGCCAAGGCAGACAGATCACTTGAGGTCAGGAGTTCAAGAACAGCCTGGCCAACATGGTGAAACTCTGTCTCTACTAAAAATACAAAAATTAGCCGGGCATGGTGGTGGGCACCTGTAATCCCAGCTACTCAGGAGGCTGAGGCAGGAGAATCGCTTGAACCTGGGAGACGGAGATTTCAGTGAGCTGAGATGGTGCCACTGCACTCCAGCCTGGGTGAAAGAGAGAGACTCTGTCTCAAAAAAAAAAAGGAAAGGAAAAAAAAAGTCTTACCTTAATGCAATTATATATCTTTCACTGACAATCTTTTTGTTCTCTTGCATTACTTTTACTTTTCTTTTTAAAGATCTTCAAGCTTGATAAGGTCCTAATAGATAAACAGATGTTTAAATAAAAAGAAGATGTAGATGAAAAAACTAACAATTTACTTTTTTTTTTTAAGGCTATTCAAGTGAAGCAGTGGAGTGGACATAATTTACTTTTTGAAAAACATAAAAATCAGCAATTTTTTCCTCCATCCCCTCCTATCCAAAAATCAGCAATTTTAATGGTTCCTGAATATTTTATCATACTGATGTACTGATGTATCCTTCTTTTTTATTTTTTTATTTATTTATTTTTGGTTTAGACAGAGTATCTCTCTGTTGCCCAGGCTGGAGTGCAATGGAGTGATCTTGGCTCACTGCAACCTCTGCCTCCCAGGTTAAAGTGATTCTCCTGCCTCAGCCCCCCGAGTACCTGGGATTTCAGGCACGCACCACCATGCCTGGCCAATTTTTGTAGTTTTAGTAGAGACAGGGTTTCACCATATTGGCCACACTGGTATTGAACTCCTGACCTCAAGTGATCTGCCTGCCTCGGCCTCCCAAATTGCCAGCATTACAGGCATGAGCCACTGCGCCCAGCCATACTGAAGTATCCTAATTTTTCACTTCAAAATGGAAATTTTTTATTTCTGATGACAAAACTCCATCTCTACTAAAAATACAAAAAAATCAGCCGGATGTGGTGGTGCATGCCTGTAATTCCAGCTACTTGGGAGGCTGAGGCAGGAGAATCGCTTGAACCCAGGAGGCTGAGGTTGTGGTGAGCTGAGATCATGCCATTGCACTCCAGCCTGGGCAACAAGAGTGAAACTCCGTCTCAAAAAAAGAAAAAAAAGGAAAAAATAATAAAGCAGATTACTCAAAAGTATGATAGTACTATACCATTTATTATTTATTTATTTTTTTTTGAGACAGGGTTTTCGTCTTCCACCCAGGCTGAAGTGCAGTGGTGTGATTGTAGCTCATTGCAGCCTCAAACTGCTGAGCTCAACTGATACTCCCGCCTCAGTCTACTAGCTGGGACTACTGGTGTGCACCACTGTGCTTGGTTAATTCTATTATTATTATTATTTTATTTTTATATTTTTGTAGAGATGGCGTCTCGCTATTTGCCCAGGCTGCTCTCAAACTCCTGGCCCCAAGTGATCCTCACACCTTGGCATCATAAAGCACTGGGAACACACCTTGCCCAGCCTACAATATTTTTTTCTTTTTTTTGAGACGGAGTCTCGTTCTGTTGCCCAGGCTGGAGTGCAGTGACAAGATCTTGGCTCACGGCAAGATCTTGGCTCACTCCAACCTCCGCCTCCTGGGTTCAAGTGACTCTTCTGCCTCAGCCTCCTGAATAGCTGGGACTACAGGTGCCTGCCACCATGCCTGGCTAATACTTTGTATTTTTAGTAGAGATAGGGGTTTCACCGTGTTAGCCAGGGTGGTCTTGATCTCCTGACCTCGTGATCTGCCCGCCTCGGCCTCCCAAAGTGCTGGGATTACAGGCATGAGCCACTGCGCCAGGCCCTGCTTTTTTTTTTTTTCTAACTTAACAATATGTAACAGGTTTGGTTTGTGAACTTGATAGACTGATTCTAAAACTTACATGGAAATACAAAACGCCAAGAATAGTCAGAAACATTCCTGAAGAAGAAGAGCAATGTGGAAGCACTTGTTCTAAACGATATCAAGACATCATAAAGCACTCTGAGTATACAGATTTAAAAAATAAGTAAGTAAATAAATAAATACATCAGAAAGCTATAGTGAGACAAAGTTTGGCTGGGCATGGTCCTGATTACAAAGTCCTGTAATCCCAGCACTTTGGGAGGCCAATGTGGGCAGATCACATGAGGTCAGGAGTTCGAGACTAGCCTGACCAACATGGTGAAATCTCATCTCTAACAAAAATACAAAAAAATTAGCCGGGTGTAGTGGCACACACCTGTAGTCCCAGCTATTCGGGAGGCTGAGGCAGGAGAACCGCTTGAACCTGGGAGGCGGGGGTTGCAGTGAGCTGAGATTGCGCCATTGCACTCCAGCCTGGGTGACAGAGTGAGACTCTGTCTCAAAAAAAAGAATATCTTTTTTTTTCTTTTTTTGAGAAAAGAAAACTACTTGGGAAGCTGAGGCAGGAGATCACTTGAACCCAGGAGGAGAAGGCTGCAGTAAGCTGAGATTACACCACTGTGCTCTGATCCTGTCTCAAAAAAAAAAGGCCGGGCCCAGTGGCTCACACCTGTAATCCCAGCACTTTGGGAGGCCAAGGCGCGTGGATCGCGAGGTCAGGATATTGAGACCATCCTGGCCAACACGGTGAAACCCATCTCTACTAAAAATACAAAAATTAGCTGGGTGTGGTGGCACGTGCCTGTAGTCCCAGCTGGCTAAGGCACAAAAATTGTTTGAACCCAGGAGACAGAGGTTGCAGTGAGCCGAGGTCATGCTACTGCACTCCAGTCTGGTGACAGAGCAAGACTCCATCTCAAAAAAAAAAAAAAAAAAAAATTAAAACATCCAGCGTGGCCAGGCACGGTGGCTCATGCCTGTTATCCTAACACTTTGGGAGGCTGAGGTGGCTAGATCACTTGAGGTCAGGAGTTCAAAACCAACCTGGCCAACATGGTGAAACCAACCCCGTCTCTACTAAAAATACAAAAAAAAAATAAAATAAAATAACCGGGCGTGGTGGCGGGCGTCTGTAATACCAGCTACTCGGGAGGCTGAGGCAGGAGAATCACTTGAACCCAGGAGACAGAGATTGCATTGAGCTGAGGTCATACCACTGCACTCCAGCCTGGGCAATAGAGCGAGATTCCGTCTCAAAAATATATATAATAAAATAAAATTAAAAAATAAAACATCCGGCACATCATACATAAAGGGTAGCTACTCTTTACATATCAACAAAAGGCAGCTCCAGCTGGACGCAGTGGTGCACACCTGTAATCTCAGCCCTTTGAAAGGCCTACGCGGGTGGATTGCTTGAGGTCAGGAGTTCAAGACCAGCCTGGCCAACACAGTGAGACCCCCCCCCCCCCGCCACCGATCTCTACTAAAAATACAAAAATTAGTCGGGCTTGGTGGTGCATACCTGTAATCTCAGCTACATAGGAGGCCGAGGCAGGAGAATTGCTTGAACCCAGGAGGCAGAGGTTGCAGTGAGCCGAGATCACACCATTGCACTCCAGCCTGGGCAACAGAGCAAAACTCCATCTCAAAAAAAAAAAAAAAAGGCAGCTCCACAGGTACTGATTTGTGACAATCTCCAAGAAATGCAGTTAATTGAATAAAGACACAGAACCATATATGCACTATGCTTCAGTGCTCCATCACTGGTTTTAAAACATGGATATGGCCGGGCGCGTGGGCCCACCTGTAATCCCAGCACTTTGGGAGGCCGAGGCAGGTGGATCACCTGAGGTCAGAAGTTCAAGACCAGCCTGGCCAGCATGGTGAAACCCCATCTCTACTAAAAATACAAAATTAGCTGTGTGTAGTGGTGCATGCTTGTTATCCCAGCTACTTGGGAGGCTGAGGCAGGAGAATCACTCAAACTCAGGAGGTGGAGGTTGCAATGAGCCAAGATTGTGCTACTGCACTACAGCCTGGGAGACAAGTGTGAAACTCCATCACAAAAAAAAATTAATTAAAAAAAATTAAAACATGGGTATACTCAGACACACACACACACACGTGTGTGTGTGTGTGTGTGTGTGTGTGTAGATATACATATATAATTTTTTTTTTTTGAGACAGAGTCTTGCTCTGTTGCCCAGACTGGAGTGCAGTGGTGTGATCTTGACTCACTGCAACCTCTGACTCTGAGGTTCAAACAATTCTCCTGTCTCAGCCTCCTGAGTAGCTGGGATTACAGGCGCATGCAACCATGTCTGGCTAATTTTTGTATTTTTAGTAGAGACAGGGTTTCACCATCTTGGCCAGGCTGGTCTGGAACTCCTGACCTCGGGTGATCCGCCCACCTTGGCCTCCCAAAGTGCTGGGATTACAGGCATGAGCCATGGCGCCTGGCCTACATTTTTTGTATGAATAAAACATTTCTAGGCCGAGTAGGGTGGTTCACACCTGTAATCCCAGCACATTAGAAGGCTGAGGCAGGAGGATTGCTTGAGCCTGGGAGTTCGTGATTAGCCTGGGCAACATAGTAAAGCATTTCTACAAAAAATGAAAAAATTATGGCCAGGCACAGAGCCTCATGCCTATAATCCCAGCACTTTGGGAGGCCGAAGCATGCGAACTGCTTCAGCCTAGGAGTTCAAGACCAGCCTGGACAACACGGTGAAACCCTATCTCTACAAAAAATAAAAAAAATTAGCTGGGGGTGATGGCGCATGCCTGTAGTCCCAGCTACTTGGGAGGATCATTTGGGCCCAGGAGATTGAGGCTGCAGTAAGCCATGATCTGGCCACTGCACTCAAGCCTGAGCAACAGAGTGAGATGTTGTCTCTAAATAAATAAAATTTAAAAATTATCTGGCCATGGTAGTGCACACCTGTGGTCCCAGCTACTCAGGAGGCTGAGGCAGGAGGATCACTTGAGCCTAAGAGGTCAAGGCTTCAGTGAGCCGTGATCATTCCAGTGCACTCCATCTCAAAAAATAAAATAGATAGGCCAGGTGTGGTGGCTCATGCCTGTAATCCCAGCACTTCGGGAGGCCAAGGTGGGCAGATCACAAGGTCAAAAGTTCGAGACCAGCCTGGCCAATATGGTGAAACCCCTTCTCTACTAAAAATACAAAAATTAGCTGGGCATGGTGGTGGGCGCCTGTAGTCCCAGCTACTCAGGAGGCTGAGGCAGGAGAATCGCTTGAACCCGGGAGGCAGAGGTTGTGGTGAGCCGAGATAGAGCCACTGCACTCCAGCCTGGGCAACAAAAGTGAAACTCTGTCTCAAAAAATAAAAATAAATAAATAAATAAAATAAATAAAACAGGAAAACACACACACACACACGTATTGTGTGTGAATAAAACATTTCTAAGCTGGCCACAGCAGCTTATGCCTATAATCCCAGCACTTTGGGAGGGTGAAGCAGGGGGACTGTTTAAGGCCAGGAGTTCAAGACCAGCTTGGGCAACATAGCTATACCCTGTCACTACAAAAAATAAATTGCCGGGCATGGTGGCTCACGCCTGTAATCCCAGCACTTTGGGAGGCTGAGGTGGGTGGTTCACAAGGTCAGGAGTTCGAGATCAGCCTGGACAAGATGGTGAAACCCCATCTCTACTAAAAATACAAAAATTAGCCGGATGCGATGGCAGGCACCTGTAATCCCAGCTACAGGTTGGGATCCGGCTGAGGTAGGAGAATCGCTTGAACCCGGGAGACGGAGGTTGCAGTGAGCCAAGATTGTGCCATTGCACTCTAGCCTAGGCGACAGAGCAAGACTCCATCTCAAAAAAAAAAAAAAAATATTAGTGCTGTGTGGTGGCAGACACCTGTAGGCCCAGCTACCCAGAAGGCTGAGACAGAGGATTGCTTGAGTCTGGGAGATGGGGGCTGCAGTGAACTGTGATTGAGCCACTGCTTTCCAGCCTGGGCAACAGAGTGAGATCTGTCTCGAAAAAAATAATCAATTAAAAAGTAAAACATTTCTAGAAGGCTCCACAAGAAAGTGGTTACAGTGGTTCCCTCTATCAGTGTAGGGGAACAGGGCTGAGGACTGAGTGGCAGGGAGACTTATTGGACCCTTTGAATTTTATGCCTTGTATATACATTTACTATTTTAAAAATTTTAAATTTAAGGCCAGGTGCAATGGCTCATGCTTGCAATCCCAGCACTTTGGGAGGCTGTGGCAAGCAGATTGCTTGAGCCCAGGAGTTGGAGACCAGCCTGGACAACATAGTAAAACCCTATCTCTAAAAAAAAAAAAAAAAAAAAAGAGGAAGGAAAGAAATGAGAAAAGAAAAACAATTTAAATTTAAGATATATCAAATATTATCAAATTCTATACAGGTAGCTCGTCATTTTTTTTTTTTTTTTTTTGAGATGGAGTCTCGCTCTGTCACCCAGGCTGGAGTGCAGTGGCATGATCTTGGCTCACTGCAAGCTCCACCTCCCAGGTTCACGCCATTCTCCTGCCTCAGCCTCCTGAGTAGCTGGGACTACAGGTGTCCGCCACCACGCCCGGCTGATTTTTTGTATTTTAGTAGAGACGGGGTTTCACCGTGTTATCCAGGATGGTCTCGATCTCCTGACCTCGTGATCCGCCCGCCTTGGCCTCCCAAAGTGCTGGGGTTACAGGTGTGAGCCACCGCGCCCGGCCAGCTCTTCATATTTTGCAGCTTATTTTACTTCAAAGGAAACTATAAGACAGAAGGAAGAAAAATTAAAAGTAGTATTTTGGCCGCGTGTGGTAGCTCATGCCTGTAATCCTAGCACTTTGGGAGGCTGAGGCAGGAGGATTGCTTGAGGCCAGCAATTCAAGACCAGCCTGGGCAATAGAAGGAGACCCTGTCTCAAGATAAAAGAAAGAAATTTAAAAAATAAAAGTAGCATTTTTTTATATAAAATTAAGTGCTTTCCAGTTAAACACTTTTTGAGACAGTCTTCCTATTTCTCCCAGGGTAGCCTCAAACTCCTAGGCTCAAGCAATCCTCCTACCTCAGCCTCTGGAGTAGCTAGGACTACAGGGGGTGCCATCACACCCAGCTTCACTTTTACTTATATTACCTTATTTCTTTTCTGTTGTTCTTATTTTTCTTTTTAAGTTTACATGGACATCTCTAATACCGTATATTACCTTACTTGATCATGACAACAGTCTTGGCCAGGCACAGTGGCTCACATAATCCCAGCACTTTGGGAGGCCAAGTCAAGCAGATCACTTGAGCCCAGGAGTTCAAGACCAGCCTGGACAACATGGTGAAACCCTGTCTCTACAAAATATACAAAAATTAGTAGGCTGTGGTGGTGTGTGCTTGTAGTCCCAGCTACTCGGGGGGCTGAGGCCAGAGGATGGCTTGAGCCTGGGAGGTTGTGGCTGCAGTGAGCCATAATGGCACCATTGCACTCCAGCCTG
Source organism: Homo sapiens (assembly GCF_000001405.40). Taxonomy (NCBI): domain Eukaryota; kingdom Metazoa; phylum Chordata; class Mammalia; order Primates; family Hominidae; genus Homo; species Homo sapiens. The sequence goes on along the minus strand of NC_000009.12, from coordinate 125,247,586 downwards.
GGTGACAAAGTGAGACACTGTCTCAAACAAACAAAAACCAGCCTTGTTAAGTGGCAGAATTATATCCATTTTACACACTCATAAACAGAGCCTCAGAGAGATTGACTTGCCATAAGTTACACAGCCAGTAAGTAACACAACTGGAACTCAAATAGTTTTAGCGCTTCCAAATCCTATGGTCTTGCCTCTCTTTTACGTTATCTAACACAGTGTGCCCTCCTAAATGCCTTCGGCACACACGCACAAAATGTGATAGAAAATGCACTATTTCTATGTATGTGTGGAGAAGGGAAAGTTCTCTATTATAAATTTACTTTTAGAAACTGAAGACAAGGAAGGAAATTAATTGCATAGCACATTGTACTTTCAGAAGTACCAAAAAAAATAAAATACATGATTTATACCTACTATTGCTTCTGGCTCAGGTGTTAAGGTGACACTTTTGTTTTATTCGAGAGTTGTTTGATGAAGGGTGAATAAATTATTCTTAGCACCTTAATAAAGACATCTATGTGGGCTGGATGCAGATGGCTCACAACTGTAATCCCAGCACTTTGGGAGGCCAAGGCGGGCAGATCACGAGGTCAGGAGTTTGAGACCAGCCTGGCCAACATGGTGAAACCCCTGTCTCTACTAAAAATCCAAAAATTAGCTGGGTGTGGTGCTGTGTGCCTGTAATCCCAGCTACTCGGGAGGCTGAGACAGGAGAATTGTTTGAACCCAGGAGGCGGAGGTTGCAATGAGCCGAGATTGCACCACTGCCCTCCAGCCTGGGCAACAGAGCAAGACTCTGTCTCGAAAGAAAAAAAAAGACATCTATGTGACCAATATAGGATTAATTAGATGTACCATTTATTTTTTATTTTTTGAGAGGTGTTTTCCTTTGTTGTCCAGGCTGGAGTGCAGTGGCACAATCATTGCTCATTGCTGCTTCAAACTCCTGGGCTCAAGTGATCCTCCCACCTCAGCTTTCTGAGTATCTGGAACTACAGGCACGCACCACAATGACTGGCTAATTTTTAAATATTTTCACAGAAGGAGGCGATCTCTCTGTTTTGCCGAGGCTGGTCTCAAACACCTGGCCTCAAGTTTCCTTCCACCTCGCCCTCCCAAAGTGGTGGGACTATGGGCATGAGCCGCTGCACTTGGCCTTACTTCTAAAATTTCTTCTCACGTTATATTTCTATGATTAGCAATGGCATTACCACTGTTCTACAACCTTCACACTACTTTCACATACAATATCTCATTTGATCCTTGAAGCAGTCCAGTAAGACAGGCAGGACAGAAATTCCTGACATTCAATAGATTAAGAATCTGAGCTTGGCTGGGCGTGGTGGCTCACGCCTATAATCCCAGCACTTTGGGAGGCCGAGGCGGGCAGATCACCTGAGGTCAGGAGTTCAAGACCATCCTGGCCAACATGGCAAAACCCCATCTCTACTAAAAATACAAAAATTAGCTGGGCATGATGGTGTACCCCTGTAATCCCAGCTACCAGGAGGCTGAGACAGGATAATCGCTGGAACCGGGGAGGCAGAGGCTGCAGTAAGCCAAGATCATGCCACTGCACTCCAGCCTGGGCAACAGAGCAAGACTCTGTCTCAAAAAAAAAAAAAAAAAAAAAAAAAAAAACTGTGGCTCTGAGAAATTGGTTTTTGTCAAAGTTATGTGCCTTATCACCTAGTTGAATGTTCTCTCTAACAAAACATGTGGAAAATTCTCAATTATCAGGATCTAAATGTTAATATTAAACTTGTAAATTACATAGGTCCTTTCCTTTTTCTTCCTGCTGGATGCTTGTCATTTATTATTAGTCCTCTTTCACAAAGGAAGATTTATTTTTTACTTTTTATTTTTGAGGCAGAGTTTCGCTCTGTCGCCCAGGCTAGAGTGCAGTGGCGCAATCTCAGCTCACTGCAAGCTCCACCTCCTGGGTTCACACCATTCTCCTGCCTCAGCCTCCTGAGTAGCTGGGACTACATGCGCCCGCCACCGTGCCCGGCTAATTTTTTGTATTTTTAGTAGAGACGGGGTTTCACCGTGTTAGCCAGGATGGTCTCGATCTCCTGATCTCGTGATCCACCCGCCTGGGCCTCCCAAAGTGCTGGGATTACAGGCGTGAGCCACCGCGCATGGCCACAAAAGAAGATTTAAGAGCTAAATGACATCCAATCCTAATAAGTCTTACCTCTGCTTAATTAGCTTTCTGAGATCAGGTAGGAAATGGAAAGCAATTTTTTTTTTTTTTGAGAGAGAGTTTCGCTCTTGTTGCCCAGGCTGCAGTGCAATGGCATGATCTCAGCTCACCTCAACCTCCGCCTCCCGGGTTCAAGTGATTCTCCTGCCTCAGCCTCTCGAGTAGCTGGGATTACAGGCATGAGCCACCACGCTGGGCTAATTTTGTATTTTTAGTAGAGACGGGGTTTTCCATTTTGACCAGGCTGGTCTCGAACTCCCGACCTCAGGTTATCCGCCTGCCTCGGCCTCCCATAGTGCTGGGATTACAGGTGTGAGCCACCAGGCCCAGCCTGGAAAGCAATTTTCTTACCCATAGGAGCACAAGTGAAATGGGCTGGTTTAAATTTCTGGATAAAAATTTATATTTGCATATCATCTGTTATCAAAATATTTACAAAATGTGTAACTGGAGCTGGATGTGGTGGCTCATTCCTGTAATTCCCACACTTTGGAAGGCTGAAGTGGGAGGATTGCTTGAGGCCAGGAGTTTGAGACCAACCTGGTTAATGTAGCTAGACCCCATATCTATGAAAATTATAAACTTTAAATTTAAAACCCAAAATATGTGACTACTCTATATCCTAAAACAAAATGTAAGGTTTTTTTTTTTTCTTTTTAGACAGTCTCACCCTGTTGCCCAGGCTGGAGTGCAGTGGTGCGATCTTGGCTCACTGTGACTTTCGCCTCCCAGGTTCGAGTGGTTCTCATGCCTCAGCCTCTCGAGTAGCTGGGATTACAGGCGTGTGCTACCATGCCCAGCAAATTTTGTATTTTTATTAGAGATGGAGTTTTGCCCTGTTGGCCAGGCTGGTCTCGAACTCCTGACCTCAAGTGATTCACCCACCTTGGCCTCCCAAAGTGCTGGGATTACACATCTGAGCCACCATGCCGAAACCCAAAATTAAGTCTTATAAATCTGAAGCTCAAGATGACAACCTATAGAGGTTAAAAATCAAACTGCCAAGGCTCAAATACTGGCTCATTATCTTAGGTGTGCAATCTCCTGGGCAAGTTTCTTTACCTCTTGGGGCTTCAGATTCCTTCACTCTAAAATAGGGGTAAGAAAAAAATGCTTTTTTGTTTGTTTCTTTTTGTTTTTGTTTTTGTTTTTGTTTTGAGACAGAGTCTCGTTCTGTGGCCAGGCTGGAGTGCAGTGGTGCGATCTCAGCTCACTGAACCTCCGCCTCCCAGGTTCAAGCGATTTTCCTGCCTCATCCTCTGAGTAGCAGTAGCTGGGACTATAGGCGCGCGCCACTACACCCAACTGATTTTTGTATTTTTAGTAGAGACTGGGCACCATGTTGGCCGGGATGGTCTCGATCTCTTGACCTCGTGATCCGCCCACCTCGGCCTCCCAAAATACTGGGATTACAAAAAACTGCTTTCTTAAAGATAAAAAGAGATAATGCACGTACGTCTTTAGCACAGTGTCTAACAGTTAAGTATTGATAACTTGACCTGGATATTATTTTTGGCATTTAATGTTCAGCAAGCTAGTTTTGACCATGTACTTTCCTATTCGTAAGTGACTGTGCTTTGGAATATACTAGAAAATGTATGTAAAATGTCTGGTTTTAAAAAGATGAAACCACAATATATTCAATTCCCTTTGGAAGTTAGCCATGTATCGCTTTTCTAAATTTTACAAAAAGGAGAGTTACAAAACGTTACTCTGTTAATCAAGGATAAGGCTGAAATGGAGAGTTTTTTTTTTTAATGGAAATGGACTGCACTATAAAAACATTTGATTGAAATGAAAGAAGCTGTAATGTGGTCAAATGATGATTTCTATCTTAATGCTGGACTGATGCAAGCCAAAGAAGGGTCAATGTTGCCGCAGGATTACAAGCCCTGCTGAAAGAGATGCATGATGCAACCTCTGTAGTGAACAGAGTCAACTCTTGAGTCACCAGTCTAACCTTTGAGAAGCACTAAGGAAAAAGAAAATTCTTGAGTACTGAGTCACAGGCTCAACATCTTAATAAAGTGTGTTTAGGATGTTTTAGTGGTATCTGGACACAGTATACCCATGAATCTCAAATATTTCATATCAGAGCTTTGCCCTTTCCATAGTAGGTCCTCCAAAAACATTCCTCAAACAAATGAATTTTTTTTTTTTTTTTGAGATGGAGTCTAGCTCTGCTGCCCAGGCTGGAGTGTAGTGACGTGATCTCGGCTCACTGCAACCTCCACCTCCCGGGTTCAAGCGATTCTCCTGCCTCAGCCTCCCGAGTAGCTGGGACTACAGGCATGCACCACCACGCCCAGCTAATTTTTGGATTTTTATAGAGATGGGGTTTCATCGTGTTACCCCGGATGGTCTTGATCTCCTGACCCCGTGATCCGCCCACCTCGGCCTCCCAAAGTGTTGGGATTACAGGCGTGAGCCACCACGCCCGGCCACAGATGAATTTTTTGTTTTAAAGTTAAGAGATCAGGCACAGTGTCTCACACCTGTAATCCCAGCACTTTGGGAGGCCGAGGTGGGCAGATCGCTTGAGGTTGGGAGTTCGAAACCAGCCTGGCTAAAATGGTGAAACCTCATCTCCACAAAAAAAAAAAAAAAAAAATTAGCCAGGCATGGTGGTGCGTGCCTGTAATCCCAGCTACTCAGGAGGCTGAGGCAGGAGAATCGCTTGAACCCCGGAAGCGGAGGTTGCAGTGAGCTGAGATTGCACTACTGAACTCCAGCCTGGGCGTGACAGAGTGATACTCCGTCTTGAAAAAAAAAAAAGTATTGGCAATAGAGTGAACTCCACCTGGTTATCAATCCTAACTCCATCACTCACCAGCTCTGTGACTTGTTTAGTTATTTAATCTTTTTCAGTTTCAATGTCCTCATCTGGAAAACGGGAAATGCCTACCGAGTATTGAACTGTCAAGACTAAATGACACATGAAAAGCACACTGAACAATGCTTAATCCACGGTAGGCTTTCAGCAAATAGTGGTCTCTATTATTTTTTGCAACAGGATGTTATATAAGAATAAGGCATTATCAAGACGATTTTCGCCTATCAAATGTGTTGTCTGCGTGTACATCAGACCTTTTCCTGGAATGAAGGTAGAAAAGTATCAACAATAAAGGATGGAGAAAGCCCCGTAAATGATAACCTTTGCCCCAGAGGGAAAGGATGGGCAGCGGAGGGGAAAGTAAAGGGTGGCAAGCTAGAAAAATTAGACATCCAGTGTGGGAGGGCTGGCACTGGAGTGGGTTGCCACAGTAGGGAGGGGACTCAGAGCTGGAGGCAATTCCTTTGGCCGGGCTTGTCCTGCGACTTACCGTGGGGCAGCGCAATGTGGAGAGGCCTGGTAAAATGGCTGGGCAAGGGTGCGGAGGGGACATAACTGGCAGGAAGGAGTCATGATTCGTGGTCGAACAGAGTCCAGACCAGCTCGACCTGTGAGCAACGAACGGCCCTGAGACTCGCATACCCCAATACCGGTAGTGGCCGTGAAGGGCAAAGAAATGTGTTCTGAGGCGATCCCAGCATCTAAGCTGCGACTGGTCTACTCAGAGACTGGATGGAAGCTGGGAAGAGAAAGCTGCTTCCCGCTTCGGGGTGAGGGATGGAGGAAGGGAGAACAAGCAGTAGAGAAGAAAAAGTTTCAGATCCCACAGCCCCGGGGGGTCACTCCTGCTGGACCTACTCCGACCCCCTAGGGCCGGGAGTGAAGGCGGGACTTGTGCGGTTACCAGCGGAAATGCCTCGGGGTCAGAAGTCGCAGGAGAGATAGACAGCTGCTGAACCAATGGGACCAGCGGATGGGGCGGATGTTATCTACCATTGGTGAACGTTAGAAACGAATAGCAGCCAATGAATCAGCTGGGGGGGGCGGAGCAGTGACGTTTATTGCGGAGGGGGCCGCTTCGAATCGGCGGCGGCCAGCTTGGTGGCCTGGGCCAATGAACGGCCTCCAACGAGCAGGGCCTTCACCAATCGGCGGCCTCCACGACGGGGCTGGGGGAGGGTATATAAGCCGAGTAGGCGACGGTGAGGTCGACGCCGGCCAAGACAGCACAGACAGATTGACCTATTGGGGTGTTTCGCGAGTGTGAGAGGGAAGCGCCGCGGCCTGTATTTCTAGACCTGCCCTTCGCCTGGTTCGTGGCGCCTTGTGACCCCGGGCCCCTGCCGCCTGCAAGTCGGAAATTGCGCTGTGCTCCTGTGCTACGGCCTGTGGCTGGACTGCCTGCTGCTGCCCAACTGGCTGGCAAGATGAAGCTCTCCCTGGTGGCCGCGATGCTGCTGCTGCTCAGCGCGGCGCGGGCCGAGGAGGAGGACAAGAAGGAGGACGTGGGCACGGTGGTCGGCATCGACCTGGGGACCACCTACTCCTGGTAAGTGGGGTTGCGGATGCAGGGGGACGGGGCGTGGCCGCCTGGCCTGGCGTGAGAAGTGCGGTGCTGATGTCCCTCTGTCGGGTTTTTCTGCCAGCGTCGGCGTGTTCAAGAACGGCCGCGTGGAGATCATCGCCAACGATCAGGGCAACCGCATCACGCCGTCCTATGTCGCCTTCACTCCTGAAGGGGAACGTCTGATTGGCGATGCCGCCAAGAACCAGCTCACCTCCAACCCCGAGAACACGGTCTTTGACGCCAAGCGGCTCATCGGCCGCACGTGGAATGACCCGTCTGTGCAGCAGGACATCAAGTTCTTGCCGTTCAAGGTTCGACCGGGTTTTTCTCATCCAGTTAGAGAACGGGTGGGTGGTGGGAGTATTTAGAGTTATAAGTCTCTGGAAAAGTGTTGAGACAACAGTTGAAGGTTATAGACATGATGTATGTAATAACTTTAATACTATTAGTATGTTACAAAACTTAAGACAGTTGCTGTCGTACTGTCTACGATAGTTTAGGAATAAAAGACCGATTAAAACTGAACTTTGTAAGACACCTATACTCCCTGAAGTATTTCTAGTCAATTTGCAGCCCCAAGGGACCAAAATAAACCAAATTGTGGGGATGGTAGTGGGTCTTTTAAACTTTGAGATGTCATTGTATCTGTGTCTGAAAACAATAATTCTTTAAAATAGGTGGTTGAAAAGAAAACTAAACCATACATTCAAGTTGATATTGGAGGTGGGCAAACAAAGACATTTGCTCCTGAAGAAATTTCTGCCATGGTTCTCACTAAAATGAAAGAAACCGCTGAGGCTTATTTGGGAAAGAAGGTAAATATTTCTAGAACAATGTTAAGTATTTTTTGATCATTAGTATTCTCGGTTGGCTGTTATGTATAGAAGCCTTCGTGAAGGGTTTCAAAAATTTTAATCAGAATGGTATTCATGCTTGTCAGGTTTAATTATTGAGTCCCTTACTATAAGCCAAACAAAATAGACTTTTCATGTATTATTTAATGCTTACAATTCCAGGGACATAAAATTTTATATGTTGTATTCATCAATAAGTTGGCTTAAAAACTAAAGTGATGGTTTGACTGTAATTTTTTTTTTTTGAGATGGAGTCTTGCTCTGTTGCCCAGGCTGGACTGCAGTGGCACGATCTCAGCTCACTGCAACCTCTGCCTCCCGGGTTCAAGCAGCTCTCCTGCCTCAGCCTCCCAAGTAACTGGAACTACAGGCACACCACCACACCTGGCTAATTTTTTTTTTTTTTTTTAATTTTCAGTAGAGACAGGGTTTCTCCACATTGCCCAGGCTGGTCTTGAAATCCTGCCCTCAGGTGATCCTCCTGCCTCAGCCTCCCAAAGTGCTGGGATTATAGGCAGAAGCCACCGCCTGGCCAGACTGTAATTTAAATAAGGGTTAAACTATGTGACAATACACTTAATTATCTTTTATCCTTTTAGGTTACCCATGCAGTTGTTACTGTACCAGCCTATTTTAATGATGCCCAACGCCAAGCAACCAAAGACGCTGGAACTATTGCTGGCCTAAATGTTATGAGGATCATCAACGAGCCGTAAGTATGAAATTCAGGGATACGGCATATTTGCCAAATAGTGGAAATGTGAAGTACTGACAAAACTTTTCCCTTTTTCAATCTAATAGTACGGCAGCTGCTATTGCTTATGGCCTGGATAAGAGGGAGGGGGAGAAGAACATCCTGGTGTTTGACCTGGGTGGCGGAACCTTCGATGTGTCTCTTCTCACCATTGACAATGGTGTCTTCGAAGTTGTGGCCACTAATGGAGATACTCATCTGGGTGGAGAAGACTTTGACCAGCGTGTCATGGAACACTTCATCAAACTGTACAAAAAGAAGACGGGCAAAGATGTCAGGAAAGACAATAGAGCTGTGCAGAAACTCCGGCGCGAGGTAGAAAAGGCCAAACGGGCCCTGTCTTCTCAGCATCAAGCAAGAATTGAAATTGAGTCCTTCTATGAAGGAGAAGACTTTTCTGAGACCCTGACTCGGGCCAAATTTGAAGAGCTCAACATGGTATGTTCCTTGTTTTCTGCTTTGCTAATGAGATCTCCTTAGACTCTGAATTCAGGACATTGCATCTAGATACTTAGATAACAGACATCACAGTAACCATGTCTTTTTTCTAGGATCTGTTCCGGTCTACTATGAAGCCCGTCCAGAAAGTGTTGGAAGATTCTGATTTGAAGAAGTCTGATATTGATGAAATTGTTCTTGTTGGTGGCTCGACTCGAATTCCAAAGATTCAGCAACTGGTTAAAGAGTTCTTCAATGGCAAGGAACCATCCCGTGGCATAAACCCAGATGAAGCTGTAGCGTATGGTGCTGCTGTCCAGGCTGGTGTGCTCTCTGGTGATCAAGATACAGGTAGGTCATCATCGCAGCATCTTTCTTAGTGATTCAGTAGCTTGATGGAAGACTCATTAGCTATTGCTTTAGAAAATACCAGAATATGAGCAACAAGGTCACACAGCTAGTAAAGGGTATAAGTGAAGACAAGACTGGGGTAGTCTCAAGATCATTAGCAACTGTTTAATTCACTGCCTTTAAAATGTGTGTGTTAGAACCTAACCAAATGTTAGAGAGATAAACTTTACATAGCTCATAGGGAGAACTTGAATTAAAAGTTAAATAACTTATCCTTACAGGTGACCTGGTACTGCTTGATGTATGTCCCCTTACACTTGGTATTGAAACTGTGGGAGGTGTCATGACCAAACTGATTCCAAGGAACACAGTGGTGCCTACCAAGAAGTCTCAGATCTTTTCTACAGCTTCTGATAATCAACCAACTGTTACAATCAAGGTCTATGAAGGTAATTACTTAAGTTTGTTAATATCATGGCTTTTTTTTTGAGATGAAGTCTTGCTCTGTTGCCCAGGCTGGACTGCAGTGGCACGATCTCGGCTCACTGCAAATTCTGTCTCCCGGGTTCAAGTGATTCTCCTGCCTCAGCCTCCAGAGTAGCTGGGATTACAGGCGTGGACCACCACACCTGGCTAATTTCTGTATTTTTAGTAGAGATGGGGTTTCACCATGTTTCCCAGGCTGGTCTCCAACTCCTGACCTCAGGTCATCTGCCTGCCTCCACCTCCCAAAGTGCTGGGATTATAGGCGTGAGCCACCACGCCAGATCTATCTATCATGGCATATTTTAAAAGAACATGACTTAATATGTCCTATTGAAATGGCTAGGGAACTAAGTAACTGCTGTTTTCAGATGGAGGTCTTAATTTGAATAATGTTGATATTAGATATTTAGCATTCTTTTTTTTTTTTTTTTAATGGAGTCTTGCTCTGTCGCCTAGGCTGGGGTGCAGTGGCATGACTTGCAACCTCTGCCTCCCGAATAGCTGGGATTACAGGTGCCCACCATCACGCCCGGCTAAGTTTTGTATTTTTAGTAGAGGCGGAGTTTCGCCATGTTGGCCAGGCTGGTCTTGAACCCCTAACCTCAGGTGATCCACCGACCTCGGCCTCCCAAAGTACTGGGATTATTACAGGTGTGAGCCACTGTACCCAGCCAATGATTAGCATTCTCACTAATAATAGCATCTGAGCTGGCTCCTAGAGTACAAGAAAAAGGAGTTCACAGTACTTTAAAATAGATAAAATTCAGTTGAGTTAGTAACCTAACTCATTGTTAGTACTAGTTGCTGCTCCTTGTAGACCAATATGAAATTACTTTTAGCTCGATAAAACCAAAAGTGTCACTTTATGCTTCAGACTGAAATGCGGGGATCTAGATGTGCTAATGCTTGTCAGTAACAACTAACAAGTTTTTCTGTATGTAACTTCTAGGTGAAAGACCCCTGACAAAAGACAATCATCTTCTGGGTACATTTGATCTGACTGGAATTCCTCCTGCTCCTCGTGGGGTCCCACAGATTGAAGTCACCTTTGAGATAGATGTGAATGGTATTCTTCGAGTGACAGCTGAAGACAAGGGTACAGGGAACAAAAATAAGATCACAATCACCAATGACCAGAATCGCCTGACACCTGAAGAAATCGAAAGGATGGTTAATGATGCTGAGAAGTTTGCTGAGGAAGACAAAAAGCTCAAGGAGCGCATTGATACTAGAAATGAGTTGGAAAGCTATGCCTATTCTCTAAAGAATCAGATTGGAGATAAAGAAAAGCTGGGAGGTAAACTTTCCTCTGAAGATAAGGAGACCATGGAAAAAGCTGTAGAAGAAAAGATTGAATGGCTGGAAAGCCACCAAGATGCTGACATTGAAGACTTCAAAGCTAAGAAGAAGGAACTGGAAGAAATTGTTCAACCAATTATCAGCAAACTCTATGGAAGTGCAGGCCCTCCCCCAACTGGTGAAGAGGATACAGCAGAAAAAGATGAGTTGTAGACACTGATCTGCTAGTGCTGTAATATTGTAAATACTGGACTCAGGAACTTTTGTTAGGAAAAAATTGAAAGAACTTAAGTCTCGAATGTAATTGGAATCTTCACCTCAGAGTGGAGTTGAAACTGCTATAGCCTAAGCGGCTGTTTACTGCTTTTCATTAGCAGTTGCTCACATGTCTTTGGGTGGGGGGGAGAAGAAGAATTGGCCATCTTAAAAAGCGGGTAAAAAACCTGGGTTAGGGTGTGTGTTCACCTTCAAAATGTTCTATTTAACAACTGGGTCATGTGCATCTGGTGTAGGAAGTTTTTTCTACCATAAGTGACACCAATAAATGTTTGTTATTTACACTGGTCTAATGTTTGTGAGAAGCTTCTAATTAGATCAATTACTTATTTTAGGAAATTTAAGACTAGATACTCGTGTGTGGGGTGAGGGGAGGGAGTATTTGGTATGTTGGGATAAGGAAACACTTCTATTTAATGCTTCCAGGGATTTTTTTTTTTTTTTTTAACCCTCCTGGGCCCAAGTGATCCTTCCACCTCAGTCTCCCAGCTAATTGAGACCACAGGCTTGTTACCACCATGCTCGGCTTTTGCATTAATCTAAGAAAAGGGGAGAGAAGTTAATCCACATCTTTACTCAGGCAAGGGGCATTTCACAGTGCCCAAGAGTGGGGTTTTCTTGAACATACTTGGTTTCCTATTTCCCCTTATCTTTCTAAAACTGCCTTTCTGGTGGCTTTTTTTAAAATTATTACTAATGATGCTTTTATAGCTGCTTGGATTCTCTGAGAAATGATGGGGAGTGAGTGATCACTGGTATTAACTTTATACACTTGGATTTCATTTGTAACTTTAGGATGTAAAGGTATATTGTGAACCCTAGCTGTGTCAGAATCTCCATCCCTGAAATTTCTCATTAGTGGTACTGGGGTGGGATCTTGGATGGTGACATTGAAACTACACTAAATCCCCTCACTATGAATGGGTTGTTAAAGGCAATGGTTTGTGTCAAAACTGGTTTAGGATTACTTAGATTGTGTTCCTGAAGAAAAGAGTCCAGGTAAATGGTATGATCAATAAAGGACAGGCTGGTGCTAACATAAAATCCAATATTGTAATCCTAGCACTTTGGGAGGCCAAGGCGGGTGGATCACAAGGTCAAGAGATAGAGACCATCTTTGCCAACATGGTGAAACTCCATCTCTACTGAAAATACAAAAATTAGCTGGGCGTGGTAGTGCAAGCTGAAGGCTGAGGCAGGAGAATCACTCGAACCCGGGAGGCAGAGGTTGCAGTGAGCCGAGATCACACCACTGTACTCCAGCCCGGCACTCCAGCCTGGCGACAAGAGTGAGACTCCACCTCAAAAAAAAAAAAAAGAATCCAATACTGCCCAAGGATAGGTATTTTATAGATGGGCAACTGGCTGAAAGGTTAATTCTCTAGGGCTAGTAGAACTGGATCCCAACACCAAACTCTTAATTAGACCTAGGCCTCAGCTGCACTGCCCGAAAAGCATTTGGGCAGACCCTGAGCAGAATACTGGTCTCAGGCCAAGCCCAATACAGCCATTAAAGATGACCTACAGTGCTGTGTACCCTGGGGCAATAGGGTTAAATGGTAGTTAGCAACTAGGGCTAGTCTTCCCTTACCTCAAAGGCTCTCACTACCGTGGACCACCTAGTCTGTAACTCTTTCTGAGGAGCTGTTACTGAATATTAAAAAGATAGACTTCAACTATGTGTCTGATGTCTATAGTTTGTTGTTTACCAATTATAATTCTGCAACTTCTTTTTTAACCCTAACCATATTGCAACTTTGTGATTAGCATTTAATACACAAATCACACCTACCTAGGTTTGTATTGTTGGCAAAACCTTTTATATATATATATATGTATACATATATATGTGTTTATGTATACATATATAAATACATGTATATATAAATATGTATACATATATATGTATACATATAAATATACTATATATGTATACATATATATGTGTGTATATATGTATATATATATATATTTTTTTTTTTTTTGAGACAGAGTTTCGTTCTTGTCACCCAGGCTGGAGTGCAATGGTGTGATCTCAGCTCACCGCAACCTCCGCCTCCCGGGTTCAAGCGATTCTCCTGTCTCAGCCTCCTGAGTATCTGGGATTACAGGCATGGGCCAGCACACCCGGCTAATTTTGTGTTTTTAGTAGAGACGGAGTTTCTTCATGGTAGTAAGGCTGGTTTTGAACTCCCGACCTCAGGTGATCCACCTCCTCAGCCTCCCAAAGTGTTGGGATTACAGGCGTGAGCCACCAAGCCTGGCCCAAAGCCTTTTATGTTAATGCAGTGGAGGTTTTTGCATTGGGCAAAACTTATCTATCTACCACAGTTTGCAAACCAGTCACTGAAAGTCATTCCCAAGAGCTCTGAGAGGCAATATAGCAAGGTTTAGTGCACATAAGAATTATTTGCATTAGTTTCTTCACCTACCAAAGTAGGAGAAAAACAGATATATAATGCAGAAGATATTTTGGAGGTATAAAACAGCTAATGTTTTACTTAACTATTCTGAAAGTAACTGACAGGTAATAAAAATGTGGGTTTTATTAGTCCACTACAGTCACAATACAATCGTCATAGATTTCCCCTTCTGTATTCATCCCACCAAACACCAAACAGAGCAGTGTAGCAGTCTGGCTTTCCTCATGTGAGTCACCACTGTGGCTCATTACTTTGTCAGCTGAATCCTCTTTCTCAGCTTCATGGTTCAGAGTGAGAGAGTTGGAATCTTCTTTCTCAGAAGCACACGTCACTGGCCATGGAATGATACACATGGAATGGTCCAATCGTCCAGGGGGTAGAAGAGTATCAAATTTAAGCAAGGTCCAATGCTGCTCTTCTATGTTGGGGAGGGAAAAGGCTTCATGTTAAGAAATTTCCAGATAGGCCGGGCACGGTGGCTCACGCCTGTAATCCCAGCACTTTGGGAGGCCGAAGCGGGTGGATCACGAGGTCAGGAGATGGAGACCATCCTGGCTAACACGGTGAAACCCCGTCTCTACCAAAAATACAAAAAAAAAATTAGCTGGGCATGGTGGCGGGCACCTGTAGTCCCAGCTACTCGGGAGGCTGAGGCAGGAGAATGGCGTGAACCCAGGAGGTGGAACTTGCAGTGAGCCAAGATCACGTCACCGCACTACAGCCTGGGCGACAGAGTGAGACTCCATCTCAGACAAAAAAAAAAAAAAAAAAAAAAACAATTTCCAGATAGTGAAAGCCAAAATCTGAATAAAATTTAAAAAGTAATGAAATTTCTAGAAATGCTCAGTGATTTACTGTAGCAGCCGAGTCCTAACAAACAGGAGTAAAAGGAAAAAAACCTTATGGCAGCATTGCTGCTTTCCTGATGTCATCCCCTACAGAGTTTTCATTCTTTTGGATTTAGATATAGAGGAACCAAATTGGAAGCACTGCATCACTTTTTTCTTTCTTTCTTTTTTTTTTTTTTTTGAGACAGAGTCTCGCTCTGTCACCAGGCTGGAGTGCAGTGGTGTGATCTCAGCTCACTGCAACCTCTCTGCCTCCTGGGTTCAAGCAATTCCCCTGCCTCAGCCTCCCGAGTAGCTGGGACTACAGGCGCCCGCCACCACGCCTGGCTAATTTTTTGTATTTTAGTAGAGATGGGGTTTCACCATGTTGGTCAGGATGGTCTCGATCTCCTGACCTCGTGATCTGCCTGCCTCGGCCTCCCAAAGTGCTGGGATTACAGGCGTGAGCCACCGCATCACGTTTCAAAGAATGTTTAGATTTGTTTAAAGATCCCCCATGGACACCTGCTCACCTGTGTGATACTGGTACATTGTGTCCAGTGCTCCTGCAGGAGTCATTCCACCAAAGATGTACACATGTTTTCCCATGGCCACAGCTGAGTGGGCAGCACAGCCTGCTGGAGCAGCCCCAGTGGGATTTAGCTTCTGCCATTTCATGTCACCTGCCAAGAGAAAGAAAGAGCTTTGGCGCAGCATGGGCTAAGATGTGCTTTCAAACTTATCTATCTACTGTAGTTTGCACACCAATCACTGAAAGTCATTCACCAAGAGCTCTGAGAGGTTTAGTGCACATAAGAATTATTTGGGGAACTCTGACATTATGATTGGGTAGTCCAGGGAGGAAGGCAGGGAGGGGCTCAGTGATTCCCAGAATCTCAGGCGATTCTGATGTAGGCAGTCTTTGGATCACACAGAAATGTGATACAACCTTTATAATAACAGTCACCTTCAACCATTCACTATTAACTGCCTCGAATTAGCTCAGTTTCTCTCTCTCTCTCTCTCTGTCTCTGTGTGTGTGTGTGTGTGTGTGTGTGTGTACTTTAAATACAGTTCCTGGGCCGGGCACGGTGGCTCACGCCTGTAATCCCAGCACTTTGGGAGGCCGAGGCGGGCGGATCACCTGAGGTCGGGAGTTCGAGACCAGCCTGACCAACATGGAGAAACCCCGTCTCTACTAAAAATACAAAATTAGCCAGGCATGGTGGTGCATGCCTGTAATCCCAGCTACTCAGGAGGCTGAGGCATGAGAATCGCTTGAACCTGGGAGGCGGAGGTTGCGCTGAGCTGAGATCACACCATTGCACTCCAGCCTGGGCAACAAGAGCGAAGCTCCGTCTCAAAAAAAAAAAAAAAAAAAAAATACAGTTCCTTAGCGATTTTGTAAGTGCTGGCTAAACAACAAATTTTGCTCACTTAATTTTCATAACAGCCCTATGAAATTTCTATTACTTCTGCCTATCCCCTTTCTTATTCTTTTTTTTTCCGCTCTGTTGCCCAGCCTGGAGTGCAGTGGCTTGATCTTGACTCCCAGGTTCAAGCAATTCTCTGCCTCAGCCTCCCGAGTAGCTGGGATTACAGGCACCTGCCACCGGGTCTGGCTAATTTTTTGTATTTTTAGTAGAGACGGTGTTTCACCATCTTGGCCAGGCTGGTCTTGAACTCCTGACCTCGTGATCCACCCACCTCGGCCTCCCAGAGTGCTGGGATTACAGGCGGGAGCCATGGCCTGGTGCCTGGCCTCCCCTTTCTTCTTACAAATGAGCAAACAAGAATAGAGAAGGAAAGAGACTTGTCCGAGACCCTATAGCTTGTAAGTGGCACAGCAAGACTGCACTTAGGTGTGGCTCCAAAGCCTGTGTCTCCAAAATCTCTACACGATAATGTGCTGCCTTAGCGCCTACTTCCCACCTATTTTTGCAGGGAAACTTGCATCTTTTCAAACAAGCATTTTTTTTTCTTTTGAGACAGAGTCTCACTCTGTTACCCAGGCTGGAGTGCAGTGGCGCGATCTCAGCTCACTGCAACCTCCACCTCCCGGATTCAAGCGATGCTCCTGCCTCAGCCTCCAGAGTAGCTGGCACGTGCCGCCACACCCGGCTAATTTTTGCATTTTTAGTAGAGACAGGGTTTCACCATGTTGGCCAGGCTAGTCTCAAACTCCTGACCTCAGGTGATCCGTCCACCTCGGCCTCCCAAAGTGCTGGGATTACAGGGGTGAGCCACTGCTCCCAGCCAAAACAAGCATTTAAATAAGGCAAGCTATCACTGGATTTTAGATTTAGAGAACTACTTGGGTAGGCAGGAAAAATAGTCAACAAGTAGTTCCTAACACCAGAAAAAGGCTCTTTTTAAAAATAAGCATTAAGACCCCATCTGACTGCCCGCAAGGAATGGTTTTGTGTAAATAGTTTCCATCTGTCGGCCGGGCGCAGTGGCTCACACCTGTAATCCCAGCACTTTGGGAGGCCGAGGTGGGCGGATCACAAGGTCAGGAGATTGAGACCATCCTGGCTAACACGGTGAAACCCTGTCTCTACTAAAAATACAAAAAATTAGCCGGGCGTGGTGGTGGACACCTGTAGTCCCAACTACTCAGGAGGCTGAGGCAGGAGAATGGCATGAACCCGGGAGGCAGAGCTTGCAGTGAGCCAAGATTGCACCACTGCACTCCAGCCTGGGCAACAGAGCGAGACTCCATCTCAAAAAAAAAAAAAAATAGTTTCCATCTGTCAATGCAAGGCAGGGGCCCAGCATCTCAGAGTAAGAAGGGAGAATCACCCGGTGTGGCCAAAATTCTAGCCAATGCAAGAATACAAAGCCAGTGTCCCCTGGCCTCAGCTGTCATGGAGCCAGATAATTCAGGGCTTGGGAAGTCAGCCCGATACACTACACAGGACTTCCCATGCCTTCTGCCCATTGTTCCAGTTCTTGTAGTCTGGAGCAATGCAGAACATGTTCATTTCTTCATCCCTCCACTCAATAACAGGTATGAGCCGGGAGCAGTGGTTCACGCCTATAATCCCAGCACTTTGAGAGGCCAAGGCGGGTGGATCCCTTGAGTCCTGGAGTTGGAGACCAGCCTGGGCAACATGGTGAAACCTCATCTCTACAGAAAATAAAAAAATTATCTGGGTGTTGTAGCACGTGCCTGTTGTCCCAGCTACCCGGGAGGCTGAGGCAGGAGAATCACTTGACCTGAGAGGCAGAGGCTGCCATGAGCTAAGATCGCATCAGTGCATTCCAGCCTGGGCAACCAAGTGAGACACTATCTCAAAAAAAAGAAAGTACCTGTCACCCACTATCTGCCAGACACTGTGCTAAGTGCTAGAAATGTACTGGAGAACAAAATAGACAAGTTCCCTACCATAATGGACCTCACAGCTTGAAGGAATTGCCCAGAATGAGTCCAGGGTCTCTCCACAGCATATCAGCCCTTCAGATACTTAAAGGATATTTCTCATGTTCTCTCTAACCTTCCTCTTCCCACTGTTTTCAACCATTTAACATGAAAAGCATGAAACTCTAGTCATCTACATCCACATTATCCAGATCCTTCATGGGTTAATGGCTAACACCAGAAAGAAATCCAGTAGGCCAACACAAAGCATAATGGGTTGTAATGAAAGGAGAGCACTGTTGGAAGGTTAAGAGACAATAAATGGCTGGGTCCATAGTAAGCACTCAGGAGATTATTTAGTGCTATGATTTTTTATTATTAGTATTCTGTCCAGAGGTAACAGAATCTGATGAAGATTCTGCCAGCTGGTCAAGTTACCTACACATAAGAGCAAGGCTATATTTTCTTTTTCTTTTTTCTTTTCTTTGAGACGGAGTCTCACTCTGTCGTCTAGGCTGGAGTGCAGGGGTGCAATCAGCTCACGGCAACCTCCACCTCCCAGGTTCCAGCGATTCTCCTGCCTCAGCCTCCCACGTAGCCAGGACTACAGGTGCCTGTCACCAAGCCTGGCTGATTTTTTTTTTCTTTTTTTCTTTTTTTTTTGGAGACGGAGTCTTGCTGTGTCGCCCAGGATGAAGTGCAGTGGCATGATCTTGGATCACTGCAACCTCTGCCTCCTGGGCTCAAGCAATTCTCCTGCCTCAGCCTCCCGAGTAGCTGGGATTACAGGCATGCACCACCACGCCTGGCTAATTTTTATATTTTTAGTAGAGATGGGGTTTCACCATGTTGGCCAGGCTGGTCTCGAACTCCTGACCTCAGATGATCCACCTGCCTTGGCCTCCCAAAGTGCTGGGATTACAGGCATGAGCCACTGTGCCCAGCTCTTTTTTCTGAGATGGAGTCTCACTCTGTCACCCAGGCTGGAGTGCAATGGTGTGGTCTCGGCTCACTGCAACCTCTGCCTCCCGGGTTCAAGCAATTCTCCTGCCTCAGCCTCCCAAGTAGCTAGGACTAGAGGCGAGTGCCACCACACTTGGCTAATTTTTTTTATTTTTAGTAGAGATGGGGTTTCACTATGTTGGCCAGGCTGGTCTCGACCTCCTTACCTCATGATCCCCCAGCCTCAGCCTCCCAAAGTGCTGGGATTACAGGTGTGAGTCACCAAGCCCGGCTTTTTTTTTTTTTTCTTTTTTTTGGAGATGGAGTCTTGCTCTGTGGCCCAGGCTGGAGTGCAGTGGCGTAATCTTAGCTCACCACAACCTCCACCTCCTGGGTTCAAGCGATTCTCCTGACTCAGGCACCAACGTAGCTGGGATTACAGGCACATGTGCCATGACAATAGGCTAATTTTTGTATTTTTAGTAGACACGGGGTTTCACCATGTTGGCCAGGCTGGTCTCAAACTCCTGATCTCAGGTGATATGCCTGCCTCAGCCTCCCAAGGTGCTAAGATTACAGGCATGAGCCATTGCACCTGGCCAAGCAAGGCCATATTCTTTCAAAGCACACTAAAAAATCACTTGAGCACAGAAGTTTGAGATCAGCCTGGGCAACATGGTGAGACCCCATCTCTACCAAAATAAAATTTTATATTAGCCAAGCATGGTGGCACACACCTGTAGCTCCAGCTACTGCGGAGGATGAGGTAGGAGGATTACTTGAGTCCTGGAGGCTGAGGCTACTGAGATCATGCCACCGCACTCCAGCCTGAGTGACAGACAGAGATCCTGTCTAAAAATAAATAAATAAATAAAAATAACAATTTTAAACAGACAAGCCCCCATGCCCTGCTTACTTATATCAATGCAGTGGAGGTCATCATAGAATCTGTCCCCCGCCAAGCCTCCGTGGATGAAGAGCTTTGTCCCTGCTGCCACCATCACATGACCATGCCGGGGAGATGGAGGATTTCCAAGTGTCTCTGGCTGTGACCAGGTCAGAGTGTCTAGAAAAGTAAATTCAATAACATCAAATGGCAAAACTATTAAAAAAGAACACGAGAAACAGGCCCAAGCCTCTGTAGCACCTCCTAGCAAGCGGAGCTGTCCCATGCAGGAAGCAACCCTGGGGTCATTCACTCCAACTCCCCCAGCCAATCCAGGCATCCCTCCTTTTACATCCTATAGGCTGCTGCGGTGGCTCACAGTTGTAATCCCAGCACTTTGGGAGGCCGAGACAGGTGGATCACCTGAGGTCAGGAGTTCGAGGCCAGCCTGGCCAACATGGTGAAACACTGTCTCTACTAAAAATACAAAAAAAAAAAAATTAGCCAGGTGTGGTGGCAGGTGCCTAGTAATCCCAGCTACTTGGGAGGCTGAGGCAGGAGAATTGCTTGAACCCGAGAGGTGGAGGTTGAAGTGAGCCGAGATTGCGCCATTGCATTCCAGCCTGGGCGACAGAGCAAGACTCTGTCTTAAAAAAAAGAAAAAAAAAAGTCCTACAGAGGCTCTGCGTGCATGCTTCTAGGGCTGGAGAGCCCACTACCAAACATGCCTGCCCCTTCTACTCAGCACCCGGAAGCCATTTCTCGCTATGAAATAAAAACGATCTCCTCTTTAGCTTCAAACTAAAACTGCCACAAAGTCAAAATGAATGAGTCTGTTTCTGTGACAGCCCTTCAGAGTCATCTTCTTGTTATTCATTTATTTAATGTATTATTATTATCATTATTATTATTATTATTTGAGACAAAGTTTCGGTCTTGTCGCCCAGGCTGGAGTGCAATGGCATGATCTCAGCTTACTGCAACCTCTGCCTCCCAGGTTCAAGCGATTCTCCTGCCTCAGCCTCCAGAGTAGCTGGGATTACAGGCATGCAACACCACATGCAGCTAATTTTTGTATTTTTAGTAGAGACAGGGTTTCTCCATGTTGGTCAGGCTGGTCTCGAACTCCTGACTTTAGGTGATCTGCCCACCTTGGCCTCCCAAAGTGCTGGGATTACAGGCGTGAGTCACCACGCCTGGCTTCTATTTATTATTATTATTTTTTGCAGACAGAGTCTCGCTCTGTCGCCCAGGCTGGAGTGCAGTGGCACAATCTCGGCTTACTGTAACCTCCGCCTCCCCGGTTCAAGCAATTCTCCTGCCTCAGCCTCCCGAGTAGCTGGGACTACAGCCACATGCCACCACCCCCAGCTAATTTTTCTATTTTTAATTGAGACGCGGTATCACCATGTTGGCCAGACTGGTCTTGATCTCTTGACCTCGTGATTCGCCCACCTTGGCCTCCCAAAGTGCTGGGATTACAGACGTGAGCCACCGTGCCCGGCCCCATCTAATATTTTGTATTTTCATAGAGACGGGGTTTCACCATGTTGCCCAGACTGGTCTCAAACTCCTGAGCTCAGGCAATCTGCCCACCTCGGCATCCCAAAGTGCTAGGATATAGGTGTGAGCCACTGTGCCCAGCCTTGTTATTTATTTATTTTATAAGTAATGTTTCAATAACAATTTCATCCCTTAATGACTAATATTTGGACAAGTTACTTGTCTATGTCAGTGGCACTCAACTTTTTTTTTTTTTTTGCAGGGGGTCGGGGGACAGAGTTTTGCTCTGTTGCTCAGGCTAGGATGCACAAGTGCGATCTTCGCCCACTGCAACCTCCACCTCCCAGGTTCAAGTGATTCTCCTGCCTCAGCCTCCTGAGTAGGTGGGATTACAGGCACCCAAAACCACACCCAGCTAATTTTTTTTTTTTTTTTTTGAGACAAAGTCTTACTCTCTTACCCAGGCTGGAGTGCAGTGGTGCGATCTTGGCTTGCTGCAACCTCTGCCTTCCAGGTTCAAGCGATTCTCCTGCCTCAGCCTCCTGAGTAGCTGGGATTACAAGTGTGCACCACCACGCCCAGCTAAATTTTTTTTTTTTCTTTTTCTTTTTCTTTTTTTTTTTTGAAACAGAGTCTTCCTCTGTCACCCAGGCTGGAGTGTAATGGTGCAATCTCAGCTCACTGCAACCTCCGCCTCCCAGGTTCAAGTGAGTCAACTGCCTCAGCCTCCCAAGTAGCTGGGATTACAGGTGCCTACCACCAAGCCCGGCTAATTTTTTGTATGTTTTTTAGTAGATACGGGGTTTCACCGTGTTAGCCAGGATGGTCTCGATCTCCTGACCTCGTGATCTGCCCGCCTCGGCCTCCCAAAGTGCTGGGATTACAGGCGTTAGCCACCACTCCTGGCCCTTAATTTTTGTATTTTTAGTAGAGACGGGGTTTCACCATGTTGGCCAACCTGGTCTCAAACTCTTGACCTAAAATGATCCACCTGTCTCAGCCTCCCAAAGTGTTGGGATTATAGGCATGAGCCACTGCGCCCATCCTAAATTTTTTCATATTTGTAGTAAAGCTGAGGTTTTGCCATGTTGGCTAGGCTAGTCTCAAACTCCTGACCATAAGAGATCCACCCCCCTGGGCCTCCCAAAGTGCTGGGATTACAGGCATGAGCCACTGCATCCAGCCATTTTTTTTTTTTTGAGATGGAGTTGTGCTCTTGTTGCCTAGGCTGGAGTGCAATGGCACGATCTTGGCTCTCACTGCAACCTCTGCCTCGCAGGTTCAAGCAATTCTCCTGCCTCAGCCTTTCAAATAGCTGGGATTATAGGTGCACACCATCATGCCTGGCTAATTTTTGTATTTTTAGTAGAGATAGGGATTGACCATGTTGCCCAGGCTGGTCTTGAACTCCTGGGCTCAAGTGATCCACCCACCTCAGCCTCCCAAAGTGCTGGGATTGCAGGTGTCAGCCACCACACCCAGTCTTATTATTATTTTTAGAGATGGGGTCTTGCTATGTTGTCCAGGCTGGACTGGAACTCCTAGGCTCAAGTGGTCCTCCCACCTCAGCCTCCCAAGTAGCTGGGACTATAGGCACACACCACTGCATCCTGCTAGACTTAATTGATTTGCTGAAGGGGTTGGGGAAAAAAACAGACTAGTCTTAAATAAAAGTTAGCAGGGACTCCTGATGTGGCAGTATAGGATAATGGTTAGAATATGGGATTTGGAGCTGAAACCAGGTTATCTCACTATATAACTATGTGGCCTTTCACCAATTACTTCTCTAAGCTGCAGTTTCTATGGCTGTAAAATAAGGATACAGACAATACTGGCCGGGCGCAGTGGCTTATGACTGTAATCCCAGCACTTTGGGAGGCCAAGATGGGCGGATCACGAGGTCAGGAGATCGAGACCATCCTGACTAACACAGTAAAACCCCATCTCTACTAAGAATATTTTAAAAATTAGCCAGGCGTGGTGGCATGTGCCTGCAGTCCAAGCTACTCGGGAGGCTGAGGCAGGAGAATTGCTTGAACCCGGGAGGTGGAGGTTGCAGTGAGCCAAGATTGTGTCATTGCACTCCAGCCTGGGCAACAGAGCGTGACTTCATCTCAAAAAAAAAAAAAAAAGACAATACCTACTTTTAAGAGCTGAGGTATGAATTAAATGAGATAATATACATAAAGCATGAAGGAAAAAAAAGTACCCAATACATGAGAGTTATGAATATGATGATTATTACGTTTTACTACAGGCAACCCTTCTTATCTTCAAAGCTGTACATATATAGAATTCTGGAAAATTAATCATTTCTATATACCAGAAAAGTCTTAAAGGAGTACTGCAAAAACTCTGTTGTTTTTTTTTTTTGTTTTGTTTTTGTTTTTTGAGATAGAGTGTTGCTCTGTTGCCCAGGCTGGAGTGCAGTGGTGCGATCTTGGCTCACTGCAACCTCTGCCTCCTCCAGGAGAAGCGATTCTCCTGCCTCAGCCTCCCGAGTAGCTGGGATTATAGGCACCTGCCGCCATGCCTGGATAATTTTTTGTATTTTCAGTTGAAACAGGGTTTCATCATGTTGTCAAGGCTAGTTTTGAACTCCTGACCTCAAGGGATCCACCTGCTTTGGTGTCCCAAAGTGGCCTCCCAAAGGATTACGGGCATGAGCCACTGCGCCCAGCCTGCAAAAACTCTTTGAAACAAAGGTCTGCCAAACAATTTGTCTTTGAATTACTGTTTATGGTATGCCTGCTGGTTGTTCAAGGAGTCCCCAGTGTCCCAAGGAATTTAATTTAAAATTACCTGAAATGGTTTCTGCATAAATATGTTCCTTATAGCATTTTTTTTTTTTTTTTTTTTTTAGAGTCAGGGTCTCGCTCTACTGCAAAGGCTGGAGTGCAGTGGTGCAATTATGGCTCACTACATCCTCAAACTCCTGGGCCCAAGCGGTCCTCCAGCCTCCTGAGCCGATGGGATTATAGGCATGAGTCAGCATACCTGGCTTGTTCATTACAGTATTGTTTATAATAGACAAAAATTGGAAATAGCCTAAGTGTCCATGAGCAGGTTTAATTATTAGTATAGCCATGAGGAAATATTACACACTTTTTAAAAAATTTATTTATTTTTTTGAGACAGAGCCTTGCTCTGTCACCCAGGCTAGAGTGCAGTGGCGTGATCTTAGCTCACTGCTACCTCCACCTCCCAGGTTCAAGGGATTCTCCTGCCTCAGCCTCCCTAGTAGCTGGGATTGCAGCAGAGGGTGGCAGGCAGGCACCTGCCACCACGTCCAGCTAATTTTTTGTATTTTTAGTAGAGACAGGGTTTCACCATGTTGCCCAGGATTACCTGACCTCAGGTAATCCACCCACCTCTGCCTCCTGGGTTCAAGCAATTCTGCTGCCTCAGCCTCCTGAGTAGCTGGGATTATAGGCGCCCGCCACCATTCCTGGCTGATTTTTGTATTTTTAGTAGAGACAGGGTTTCACCATCTTGGCCAGGCTGGTCTCGAACTCCTGACCTCATGATCCACCCGCCTCTGCCTCCCAAAGTGCTGGGATTACAGGCGTGAGCCACCGCGCCTGGCCTAAGCACTTATTAAAAATGATGGTGAAGGCCGGGTGGTGTGGCTCAATGCCTGTAATCCCAGCACTTTGAGGGACCAAAGCTGAAGGATCACTTGAGGCTAGGAGTTTGAGACCAGCCTTGGCAATGCAGTGAGACCCTGACTCTAATATTTATATAATAATCATCATTTCAAAATGCTGGTGAAGACTTTCTGATTGCATGGAACAATGCTTAAGTGAAAAATATAGGATGCAAATGTAACATATAGAATTATCTCTGTCCTTTTTTTTTTTTTTTTTTTTTTTTGATACAGAGTCTTGCTCCCTCACCCAGGCTGGAGTGCAGTGGCAAGATCTCGGCTCATTGCAACCTCCGCCTCCGGGGTTCAAGTGATTCTCATGCCTCAGCCTCCCAAGTAGCTGGGATTACAGGTGTGCGTCACCACGCCCAGTTAATTTTTTGTATTTTTAGTAGCAACGAGGTTTCACTATGTTGGTCAGGCTGCTCTTGAACTCCTGACCTCAAGTAATCTGCCCTCCTCAGCCTCCCAAAGTCCTGGCATTACAGGCGTGAGCCACCACATCTGGTTTGAATTATCTCTGTTCTTAAAAAAAAAAGATTGATAATACACTGAGATGTTAACAGTAATTTAATTTTGGGGTGATAGTACATACACATGTACACACACACACACATATACACATACATATGTTTTTTTTCTTGTTCCTTATAGTTTTATATATTCAAAACCAATATTATTTAAACTTTTAAAACTGCTTTAAAAGAATCACAAAGCCCATTCTTTCTGGAAAGAGAAAAGTCACACTGTGATGTGTCTTTTTTTTTTTTTTTCCCAAATACTCTGGCTTGGGAATGTGCTATCTCTTAATTTTCCCAATTTTACTTTGCAAGGTAAAAATTTTGGCTGAGTGTGGTGGCAGAGGTGGGCAGGCAGAGGCAGGCAGATTGCTTGAGCTCATGAGTTTGAGACCAGCCTGGGCAACATGGCAAAACTGCATCTCTACAATAAAAATACAAAAATCTGGCCGGGTGCAGTGGCTCAAGCCTGTAATCCCAGCACTTTGGGAGGCTGAAGTGGGCAGATTACCTGAGGTCAGGCTTCAAGACCAGCCTGGCCAACATGGTGAAACCCTGTCTCTACTAAAAACGCAAAAAATTAGATGGACATGTTGGTGCATGCTGGTAATCCCAGCTAGTTGGGAGGCCGAGGCAGGAGAATCGCTTGAACCCGGGAGGCGGAGGTTGCAGTGAGCCGAGATCGGGCAACTGCACTCCAGCCTGGGCAACAGAGCGAGACTCCATCTCAAAAAAAAAAAAAGAAAAAGAAAAAAAATCACCCAGGCATGTACCTGAGGCGGGGAAAGGAAAGGCTGAAGGGGAATCTTTTACTTCTGTTTGTTTTTTGTCTTTCTTATTCTTTCTTTTACTTTTTTACTTTATAAATTGTATGGTTTAAACTTTTTAACTTGATCATTATACCTTTTTATTTTTTTATTTAGTTTTTGAGAGAGTCTCGCTCTGTTGCCAAGGCTGGAGTGCAATGGCACGATCTTGGTTCATTGCCACCTCCGCCTCCCGGGTTCAAGTGATTCTCCTGCCTCAGCCTCCCGAGTAGCTGGGATTACAGGCACCCACCGCTGCACCCGGCCAATTTTTGTATTTTTAGTAGAGATGGGGTTTTGCCATGATGGCCAGGCTGGTTTCAAACTCCTGACCTCAGGTGATCCTCCCACCTGGGCGTCACAAAGTGCTGGGATCACAGACGTGAGCCACCGTTCCCGGCCTACCTTTTTAGTTTTATTTATTTATTTATTTATTTATTTATTTATTTATTTATTTGAGATGGAGTATTGCTCTGTTGCCCAGGCTGAGTGCAGTGGCCCAATCTTGGCTCACTGAAACTTCCTCCTCCTGGGTTTAAGCGATTCTCCTGCCTCAGCCTCCTGAGTAACTGGGATTACAGGTGCATACCATCATGCCCGGATAATTTTTGTGTTTTTAGTAGAGAAAAGGTATGTTGGCCAGGCTGTTCTCGAACTCCTGACCTTAAGCGGTCCACCTGCCTCAGCCTTCCAAAGCTCTGGGATTACAGGTGTGAGCCACCATGCCAGGCCTCACTATCCCTTTTTAAATGCCAATTTTGCTGTGGGAAAAAGATATCAGCTAAGAGATATAACAAAGAAGTCTAGAAGTGAGACACTTAGTCAGGCTTTCCTTTTCTAACTTCTGCTTCCTATATTAGGTAATGTGTAAACTGGGATGGCCCTGACCAGCCCCAAGGTGCCCACCAGTCCATACTTGCGTCAAACACATGCAGCTTCGTGTCCTGCACGGGCTGGGCACCTCTCTCTCCGCCCCCAAAGACATATAGCTGGTTTCCAATGGCTGCCGATGATGTGTGGAATGTTCTTGGGGATGGTGGGGGGCTGGTCACTTCTGGCGTGGTCCACGTCCTGGTTTCTGGGCCAGAGAGAATGCAGGCACTTAAAATATCCAGGTAGAGGGGCTTCTGACCTTGACTCTGGGGCTGAGTGAAGTCAGTTTCCAAACTCCAATCCCCAGGGGGGCCAGCATAGTTTTGGGCAGGGATCTCATACTCACAAACATCAAGGAAGAATGAAGATGATACTTAGGATTTGCCAAGACAGTCCAAAATCCCCAAGATTTAAAAGCTGTAAGCACAAGAATGGAGTCAGGCTGGGTGCAGTGTGGCTCATGCCTGTAATCCCAGCACTTTGGGAGGCCAAGGCGGGCGGATCACTTGAGGTCAGGAGTTCGAAACCAGCCTGGCCAACATGGGGTAAAACCCCATCTCTACTAAAAATCTGAAAAATTAGCCGGGTATGGTGGTGGGGACCTGTAATCCCAGCTCCTCAGGAGGTTGAGGCAGGAGAATCGCTTGAACCCAGGAGGTGAAGGTTGCAGTGAGCTGAGATTGCACCACTGCACTCCAGCCTGGGTGACAGAGCAAGGCTCCATATTAAAAAAAAAGAAGAAAAAAAAGAGGTCAATTTGTTTTGGAGGCCTTCAAATATCCTCTCTGAACCCTCTTCTACTTTGCTCACTATCGCTCCCCCTAACATCTGCTAACATTCATTCCCACTAGATGCCAGAGTCCAGGTGTGCCAGATTTCCCAGAAAATGTGGCCAATAAAAGAAAGTAGGCAGGCCATGTGCAGCAGCTAACACCTGTAACCTCAGCAGTTTGGGAAATCGAGGTAGGAGGATTGCTTGAGCCCAGGAGTTTGTGACCAGACTGGGAAACAAAGCAATATCCTGTCTCTACAAAAAATCAGCCAGGGGTGCAGTGGCTCACGCTTGTAATCCCAGCACTTTGGGAGACCAAGGTGGGTGGATCACTTGAGGGTAGGAGTTCTAGACCAGCCTGGCCAACATGGTGAAATCCCATCTCTACTAAAAATAAATAAATAAATAAATAAAGCCAGGTGTCGTGGTGGGGACCTATAATCCCAGCTACTCAGGAGGCTGAGACAGGAGAATCACTTGAACCAGGAGGCGGAGGATGCAGTGAGCTGAGATCATGCCACTGCACTCCAGCCTGGTTGACAAAGCGAGACTTCATCTTAAAAAATAATAATAATAAAATAAAATAAATTAAAAATTAAAAAAAATTAGGCTGAGCACAGTGGCTGTAAGGCCTGTAACCCTAGCACTTTGGGAAGCCAAGGCAGGAGGATTGCTTGAGCCCAGGAGTTTGAGGCTGCAATGAACTATGATCGTGCCATTGCACTCTAGCCTGGGTAAAAGAGTAAGACCATATCTTGAAAAAAAAAAAAAAGAAAGAAAGAAATGAAAAAAAAAAAAAGACAATACTATTACATTTCAGTAGCAGTAATAACAGTCCCTACTAAACAGTAAATGCTAAACAAATATTAATTTCCGCATTTTACAGGTAAGAGAATTGAAGTAGGGATGGATTAAGTAACTTTTTAAAAGAGACATGGCTAGCCAGGCTCGGTGGCTCATGCCTGTAATCCCAACACTTTAGCAGGCTGGGGCAGGTGGATTGCTTGAGCCCAGGAGTTTGAGACCAGCCTGGGCAACATGGCAAAACCCTGTCTCTACAAAAAAATACAAAAAAAAATTAGTCGGGTGTGGTGGCGTATGCCTATAGTCCCAGCTACCTGAGAAGCTTAGGTGGGAGGATATACTGAGCCTGCAGCGGTTGAGGTTGCAGTGAGTCAAGATCACACCACTGCAACTCCAGCCTGGGTTACAGAATAAGGCAAAGAAAGAGAGAGAGAAAGAGAGAGAGAGAGAGACAGATAAAGTGACATGCCTAAGAAATGGCTGAGTTGGAATTTAAACTCTTTCAGTAACACCAAGATCTTTCTAATTCCCACTCCTCTGACTGGAGAATAAAATTTCACCACCTAGATAGATGTATAGAAGCTTATTTCTTTTAAGGATGAACCTGGGTTTTATAGAAGCAGATGCATTAATTGAGCACCCTCAATGGGCAGCATCATTGCCCTGGGCACTGCCATCCCTGGTGTCTTCACTCAAGCTTGGGAAGTGAGCGGAAGTATCTCTACTTTTAGATGAGGAAACTGAAGCTCTGCACATTTAAATCCTTTCCTGCAGGTTATAGCATATGTGCGTAGCAGAGCAGGAGTTTGAACTCAGTTCTTTTTTTTTTTTTTTTTTTTTTTTTTTGAGACGGAGTCTCGCTGTGGCTCCCAGCCCAGAGTGCAGTGGCGCGATCTCGGCTCACTTTGCAAGCTCCGCCTCCCGGGTTCACGCCATTCTCCTGCTTCAGCCTCCCGAGCAGCTGGGACTACAGGCATCCGCCACCATGCCCGGCTAATTTTTTGTATTTTTTTTTTTTTTAGTAGAGACGGAGTTTCACCGTGTTAGCCAGGATGGTCTCGAGCTCCTGACCTCCTGATCTGCCCGCCTCGGCCTCCCAAAGTGCTGAGATTACAGGCGTGAGCTACCGCGCCGGGCCTGAACTCAGTTCTATCAGAGTCCCACACTTGCTCTACCATAACACACCAAGAAATTCTGTCTTTTGTAAAAGGTCTACATCCAATATATAAAATGCTACAGGAAACATCTGTAATATGTGTGGGACTCAAATGGGGACCTGGAGACTGAAAAAGTCTCAGCCTATATCCAAAGCAAAATGTAGCTGTCTCTATAGTTACAGATGTTGGAGAGCTTTTGGATCTTAGAGGGAGCTAGAAAGGTATACATGTCACCTCCAGGCCCAGAAGACCCTAGGGCTGTATTCCTGCCAACTCAAACACCAGCACAAAGAATCACAAAGGAGTCCTGAGCATTTGAGGGACTTGCCTTGGTAACAAATGCAACTAAGTACATATTTCATATTTCTTGGGCATGATGTCAAATTATATTTTCTAGGAGAGAAAAGGGATATGATAGAAAATCACCCTCTTTAATATAAAAATTAGCTGGGCATGGTGGCATGTGCCTGTAATCCCAGCTACTCGAGAGGCTGAGGCTGGAGAATCATTTGAACCCAAGAGGTGGAGGATGCAGTGAGCTGAGATTGCGCCACTGCACTCCAGCCTTGGCAACACAGTGAGACACTGTCTCAAAAATAAAAATAAATAAATAAATAAATAAAATAAAATCACCCTCTTTGACAGCTTTCCAAATTCTCACTTTATTTTATTTCAATGGATACCATTGTTGAAAATCAAAAGGCCAGGGTTCCAGAACTGATTTCCCTTTGCCAAACCTTAACTACATCAACTACCACAACAATTACTGAGCATTAATTATGTGCCAGATACTGAGTTTATTTAAATCCTTGACAAATTAACAAGGTAGAAACTATTACTATCCAATGTGACAGAAAACAGAGGCAGAGAGAGGTTAAATCACTAGTCCAAGGTCATAGTTAGTGCATAGCAAAACAGAGACCCTCATCTGTGCCCTTAAGCACCATATTATACTGCTAGTCCTCCAAGCAAATTGGCTTCACAATTAGCCAAATGGTCTGCCAAGTGTCTACTCTATCACTTTCTTCTTTTTTTTTTTTTTTTGAGACGGTGTCTCACTCTGTCACCCAGGCTGGAGTGCAGTGGCGCGATCTCGGCTCACTGCAACCTCCACCTCCCAGGTTCAAGCGATTCTCCTGCCTCAGCCTCCCAAGTAGCTGGGACCACAGGCACCTGCCACCAAGCCCAGCTAATTTTTTCTTTTGTATTTTTAGTAGAGACGGGCTTTCAGTATGTTGGCCAGGCTGGTCTGGAACTCCTGACCTTTTGATCCGCCCTCCTCGTCCTCCCAAAGTGTTGGGATTATAGGCATGAGCCACCATGCCCGGCCGTGTCTACTTTATTTCGGACAGTGTTCTGTACCCTGAGTATTCAACAATAAACAAACTCTTCCCTTCAAAGCGCTTATGTTCCACAGAGGGAGGGCATGGAAGAGGAGGGAAGACAGGAAATAAATACCCAAACAAATAAATCAAATTAAAAGATAACATACTGTCTAAATGTGCTGAAGGAATTTAAATACTTGACATATAAGAAAATTTGGTCCTAGTTCCTGAACTCTGACCAACTATTGTACAATAGTTTTTTTTTTTAATTTTAATTTTTTTATCGGGCAATACTCAACAAATGTAGTAGGTGGGCAACACCCCAAATATATTGTTGATAGAGGGAACTGAGCAAGAGTTGGCTGACATGTGAAAAATGTCCAGGTCAAAAAATGCTTTTTTGAGAGAGAGTCTCACTCATTGCTCAGGCTGTGGCATGATCTCGGCACATTGCAACCTCTGCCTCCAGGGTTCAAGCGATCCTCCTGCCTCGCCCTCCTCAGCAGCTGGGACTACAGGCATGCACCACCATGCCTGGCTAATTTTTGTATTTTTAGTAGTGACAGGGTTTCACCATGTTGGCCAGGCTGCTCTGGAACTCCTGACCTCAGGTGATCTGTACACCTCAGCCTCCCAAAGTGCTGGGATTACAGGTGTGAGCCACCGCACCGGCCCAAAATGCATATTTAAACTATGTACAAGTTTTTTTGCCTATCAAATTAGCAATGTTTAAAACTGATAAATTCAGTGCTGGTCAGTAATGAAAGAAACACTGTTAAACACAGTTGGAGAGAGGATAAACCGGAAAAATCTTTCTGGAGAGCAATTTGGTAGTATGTATCAAAACCTTGAAAAGGTTCACAGTATTTTACCTAGCCTTTTTATTTCTTGGCAGGAACCCTAAGAAAATAATTTGAAATACAGTCTATGACTTCTGAATGAAGATGTTCACTGCTTTGTTAATTATAATGGTAAAAACCTGAAAAGAACTAAATGTTCATAAATGGAGAAGTTATGATATTATGGAGTATTTTATATATAATGGAGTATGATACAGCCATTAAAAATGATGTTGGCCAGGTGCAGTGGCTCATGTCTGTAATCCCAACACTTCAGGAGGCCGAGGCAGGAAAATTGCTTGAGCCCAGGAGTTTGAGACCACCTTGGGCAACATGGCAAAACTCTGTCTCTACAAAAAATACAAAAAAATTAGCTAGGCATGGTGGCAAGCGCCTGTAGTCCCAGCTACCTGGGAGGCTGAGGTAGGAGGTTCACCTGAGCCTGGGTGGTCGAGGCTGCAGTGAGCTGTGATCATACCACTGCATCCCAGCCTGGGCAACAGAGTGAGACCCTGCCTCGAAAAAAAAAAAAGTTACCAACAATAAAAAAACCCAAAAAAAACAAACAAATGATATTATATTAACAAAGCATTGTTATTAATAACAAATCAATTATTTTTGCTAAAGCCAAAAAAAAAAAACCCACCTATTTCTCCTGGGATTATGAAATTAAAAGGAAAAAGTTATGAATGTGTAAATATAGTATGATCTCAGGCTTGTAAAAACAGAGAAAAGACAGGAAAAAGACAGAAAGCTGGGCCGGTCACATTGGCTGATGCCTGTAATCCCAGCATTTTGGGAGGCTGAGGTGGGCGGATCACCTGAGATCAAGAATTTGAGACCAGCCTGGCTAACATGGAGAAACCCCATCTCTGCTAAAAATACAAAATTAGCCAGGCATGGTGGCGCATGCCTGTAATCCCAGCTACTTGGGAGGCTGAGGCAGGAGAATCACTTGAACCCGGGAGGCAGAGGTTGTGGTGAGCCGAGATCACACCACTGCACTCCAGCCTGTGCAACAAGAGTGAAACTCCGTCACAAAAAAAAAAAAAAAGACAGAAAATTGGTAATAGCCTTAATATAATAATGGATTGTGGATGACTTTTTCCACTTATTTGTACTTTTCAAATATTTTACAATGAACATAAATAATATTTGTAAAGAGAAAAACAAAAACAAACAAACAAAAGGCAAAAAGACAAGTCCACTTCCCCACAGGTGGTTTAGCAACCTCCTCTCAGTAGCGACGTTCCCAAACTGCTTCCTCTATAATAAAACTGCCAGTGATGGAAACAGCAAGATATGAAAAACAAAAACAAACAAACAAAACGAACAAACAAAATGTCTTGCCAGTGAGACAAGTTAGGAACTTTGTACTTTTGGCTAAAAGAAACATACTAGGAGGATCCAGGTCAGTGTTTCTTAACTTTGGCACTACTGACATTTTAGACCAGACAATTCTTCCCTGTGATGGCTGTCTTAGGCACGACAGGATATATATACAGCATATCTGGCCTCTACCCCCTAGAAGCCAGTAGCCCACGCTACCCCCAGTTGTGATAACCCAAAATGTTTCCAGATATGGCCAAATGTCCCCCGGGGGCACAATCGCCTTTACTGGAGGACTACTAATCTAGGTGACTTGGGTTCTAAGCCTGGCTCAGTCACTGACTCTCTTGTGACTTTATTTTTAAAAAAATTTTTTTTTCTTTTTCTTTTTTTTTTGAGACAGAGTCTCACTCTGTCGCCCAGGCTGGAGTGCAGTGGCATGATCCCAGCTCACTGCAATCTCCGCCTCCCGGGTTCAAGCGATTCTCCTGCCTCAGCCTCTTGAGTAGCTGGGATTATAGGCGCCCACCACTACACCCAGCTAATTTTTCTATTTTTAATAGAGATGGGGGTTTTACCATGCTGGCCAGGCCAATCTCAAACTCCTGACCTCAAGTGATCTGCCTTCTTCAGCCTCCCAAAGTACTGGGATTACAGGCATGGGCCACCATGCCCGGCCTCTTGTGACTTTAGGAAAGTCACTTTGCCCTTGATAAACCTGAGTAGCCCACTTGATATAGCTGTTCTCTGAAGTCCCTTCCAGCTTTGACATTTAACAAGTTAAAAATTGTATGTGTTACCAACAATTGTTTTTATTCTGTTGTTTTCAGATTATGCTACAAGTTAAAATTCCTATTTTCTATGTCAGCAAAGTTAAATGGTAATTAGTATAATCCAAATGTACTGGAATTATAATTGGATTTATATATATGTGTGTGTGTGTGCATGAAAGTTTATTTGTATGTACGTAAATAAAATAACCTTTGGCTACTTACCAGGATTCAGGACTTGTAGACAATTTCGATTTCCTGATTGGTTGGCACCTCCAAATACCCAGATACGGTCAGGTGTGCAGGAGGGAATGAAGCTAGCATGTTCATACCGGGGCAAGAGGCCCTTGCAGGTATCTAAGTCCCACTGGTGTTTTCCTGGAAAACATTTCACCCAGTTCCTAGATTGGGGCTGCCAATTATTATATTGGTTGGCACACTTGAGGAGGGTCATGAGAAGAGGGCCATAAACATAAATGAAAACCACTGAATCACTTAAAGGGCATGTTGTCAACCTCCAGAAAATTCTATAATAGATACTTAGGGGGCTGTCTGCCTAGTCCATAGACCCCGTTCTATGGAAACTGTCCCCACTTTGTCAACCACAAGGATAGATCCCAGATGACATGTTTGTACTATGCTTTGACTTTGTAGCTTTAGCTGATTGGGTTGAAGGTAGCCAATGAAACCAGAATGAGCCAACCAGATCAAGTGCTTCCACTTTCTCATGATCCTGGGCTCTACTTCCTGTCCTTGAATTCTTTGAAACACGCCTGTATTGGCCAGGTGCAGTGGCTCACGCCTGTAATCCGAGCACTTTGGGAGGCCCAGGTGGGCGGATCACGAGGTCAGGAGATCGAATCCATCCTGGCCAACATGGTGAAACCTCATCTCTACTAAAATACAAAAAATTAGCCAAGCATAGTGGCACGTGCCTGTAGTCCCAGCTACTCGGGAGGCTGAGGTAGGGGACTCGCTTGAACCCAGGGTTATTTTACTTGGTAAACCAAGCGGAGGTTGCAGCAAGCCAAGATTGTGCCACTGTACTCCAGTCTGGGAACACAGCAACACTCTGTCTCAAAAAAAAAAAAAAGAAAGAAAGAAAGAAACACGCCTGTATCTGACTAAATAAATTCCCCCTTTTTCCTCTGGTTTAAGTGAGATTCTGTTACTTGCAAATAAATGATGGCTGGCTAAGACAAGTTCACAGAATAGTAATACCTAACCTTGGTCAGGCGCTGTGGCTCATGCCTGTAATCCCAGCACTTTGGGAGGCCGAGGTGGGCGGATCATGAGGTCAGGAGATCAAGACCATCCTGGCTAACATGGTGAAACCCTGTCTCTACTAAAAATACAAAAAATTAGCTGGGCGCGATGGCAGGCGCCTGTAGTCCCAGCTGCTTGGGAGGCTGAGGCAGGAGAATGGCATTAACCCGGGAGGTGGAGCTTGCAGTGAGCTGAGATTGCGCTCCAGCCTGGGTGACACAGTAAGACTCCGTCTCAAAAAACAAACAAACAAACAAAAAACCCTAACCTTTATTATTAACAATTATTTTACTTGGTTAACCAATTACACAAGACCTTTACAGGCATTATCTTGTTAGATCTGAAGCAAGTTATTATCCCTACTTTATAGAGCACTGAGGTCCAGATGGTTGAGATGGTGTAGCCAGGGTCACAAAGCTATTAATAGGTTGCAATAAAGATGTAAGTTGAACTAATTTAATGTAATTGAGGGCTAGAAGTGATTTAATTTACCTTTGAATTTTTTTTTTTTTTGAGATGGAGTCTTGCTCTGTTGCCCAGGCTGGAGCGCACTGGCGCGATCTCGGCTCACTGCAACCTCTGCCTCCCAGGTTCAAGCAATTCTCCTGCCTCAGCCTCCCAAGTAGCTGGGATTAAAAGTGTGAGCTACTATGCCTGGCTAATTTTTGTATTTTTAGTAGAGATGGGGGTTTCACCATATTGGCCGGGCTGGCCTCAAACTCCTGACCTCAAGTGACCCACCCGCCTTGGCCTCCCAAGGTGCTGGGGGATTACACCTCGTCCAGCCTACCTTTGATTTTTTTAGTGCAGGGAGTAGAAATTCAAATGCCTAGGTGGGAGTAACAAAAACTGTGGCAAACTGGAGAATAAGAGCCCTCTTGATAGGTGGCAGCTCAGTTCCAAATAATTGTTGCCATGTAGACAGGGAGGCCTACTGACATTAGATTTTCCAACATTATCAAGAGAAGCCAAACCATTTAAATTTTTATATGTAGATTTCTGCATAATTGGTTGGTAAACAATTTAAGATTATGCTGGGCGTGGTGGCTCACGCATGTAATCCCAGCACTTGGGGAGGCCGAGGTGGGTGGATCACTTGAGGTTAGGAGTTCAAGACCCTCCTGGCCAACATGGTGAAAACCCATCTCTACTAAAAATACAAAAATTAGCGGGGCATGGTGGCACGTGCCTGTAGTTCCAGCTACTTGGGAGTATGAGGCAGGAGAATCACTTTCTTTTTTTTTTGAGATGGCGTCTCGCCCTATCACCCAGGCTGGAGTGCAGTGGCGCGATCTCGGCTCACTGCAAGCTCTGCCTCCCGGGTTCATGCCATTCTCCTGCCTCAGCCTCCCGAGTAGCTGGGACTACAGGCGCCCGCCACCACGCCTGGCTAATTTTTTTTTTTATTTTTAGTAGAGATGGGTTTTCACCGTGTTAGCCAGGATGGTCTCAATCTCCTGACCTCGTGATCCGCCCACCTCGGCCTCCCAAAGTGCTGGGATTACAGCATGGTGAGCCACCATGCCCGGCCCAGGAGAATCACTTTAACCCAGGAGGCAGAGGTTGCAGTGAGCCAAGATCGTGCCTCTGCACTCCAGCCTGGGTGACAGTTTGAGACTCCATTTCAAAAAAAAAAACAAAACTTAAGATTAAAACAATAGGGAAATGTTACATGGACCTAACAAAATACGTAAGTGGGTCACCATTGTTCAACTTCTGCCCTTGTGTAGAGCAAAGAATAATCGTTTCTTTTATTTTCTTTTTTTTTTTTTTTTGAGACGGAGTCTTGCTCTGTTGCCAGACTGGAGTGCAGTGGCATAATCTTGGCTCACTGCAACCTCTGCCTCCCAGATGCAAGCAATTCTCCTGCCTCAGCTGGGACTACGGGCACAAGCCATCATGCCCAGCTAATTTTTTTGTATTTTTAGTAGAGACAGGGTTTCACCATGTTGGCCAGGATGGTCTCGATCTCCTGACCTTGTGATTTGCCTGCCTCGGCCTCCCAAAGTGCTGGGATTACAGGCGTGAGTCACCACGCCCAGCTAATAATCATTTCCTTTTTTTTTTTTTTTTTTTTTGAGACGGAGACTTGCTCTGTCACCCAGGCTGGAGTGCAGTGGCACGATCTCCACTCACTGCAAGCTCCGCCTCCCGGATTCACGCCATTCTCCTGCCTCAGCCTCCCCGAGTAGCTGGGACTATAGGTGCCCGCCACCACGCCTGGCTAATTTTTTGTATTTTTAGTAGAGACAGGGTTTCACCGTGTTAGCCAGGATGGTCTCGATCTCTTGACCTAGCGATCCGCCCGCCTCAGCCTCCCAAAGTGCTGGGATTAGAGGCGTGAGCCACTGCGCCCAGATCCAATTGTTTCTTATTAGCAGGTTCATTCATTCATTCATTTAAATACTTATAGAGCACCCACTCTGTACTAAGCCCTGTGGTAGTGTCTGGGATACAATGATGAGGAAAATATGCTATCTGTTTCTGAGGAGCTTATGTTCTTGTGGGGCAGACGGACAAGAAACAATCACATGTGATAGGGCTGTGAAGGCAGACAGGATGGAAGAGCACATGAGACTACGGACATACAGAGTCATGTAGTGCCTGAACGAGTCCAGAGGTAACAGGAAAGGTTCCTGGTAGAAGTGACATTTAATCTGAAATCTGAAAGATATAGAGAAGCCAGATGATAAGAAAAGGGAAAAACATTCCTAGCAGAGGGATCTGTGTGTGCAAAGGCATGGAGGCCAGAGAGCTCAAGCTGTGTTCAAGGAACTGAAGGATATCCAGTGCAGCAAATGTGGGTTGGAGAGAGCCAAGAAATGAGGTTGGGGCCGGGCTCGGTGGCTCACGCCTGTAATCCCAGCACTTTGGGAGACTGATGCAAGCAGATCACTTGAGGTCAGAAGTTTGAGACCAGCCTGGCCAACATGGTGAAACCCCCATCTCTACTAAAAATACAAAAATTAGCCAGGCTGGTGGCACGCGCCTGTAATCCCAGCTATTCAGGAGGCTGAGGCAGGAGAATCGCTTGAACCCAGTAGGCAGAGGTTGCAGTGAGCCAAGATTGTGCCACTGCACTCCAGCCTGGGTGACAGAGCGACACGCTGCCTCAAAAAAAAAAGGCTGGTGTGGTGACTCACATGCATAATCCCAGCACTTTGGGAGGATGAGGCGGGAGGATCACCAGGTCAGGATTTGAAGACCAGCCTGATCAACATCGTGAAACCCCATCTCTACTAAAAATACAAAAATTAGCAGGGCATGGTGGCGCACACCTGTAATCCCAGCTATTTAGGAGGCTGAGGCAGGAGAATTGCTTGAACCCAGGAGGCAGAGGTTGCAGTAAGCCGAGTTTGCAGCACCACTGCACTCCAGCCTGGGCAACAGAGCAAGACTTGGTCTCAAAAAAAAAAAAAAAAAAGGGAGGTTGAGAAAAGTCTGAAATAGGGAGTGACATGGTTAGATTTGTATTTTAGATGATATTCGCTGGCTAGGTAGAGAAAATGCACTGTATAGGGGGTAAACTTGGAAGCAGGGAGGCTGGTGAGGAGGCTCTTGTAAGTCTAGTTGAGAGATAACAGTGGCTTGGACTACAGTAGTAGTAGTGGAAATGGACAGACATGGATAAAGATAAGAGATATGTAGGCTGGGCGTGGTGGCTCATACCTGTAATCCCAGCACTTTGGGAGGCCAAGAAGGGTGAATCATGAGGTCTGGAGTTCGAGACCATCCTGGCCAACATGGTGAAACTCAGTCTCTACTAAAAATACAAAAGATTAGCTGGGTGTAGTGGTGGGCGCCTGTAATCCCAGCTTCTCAGGAGGCTGAGGCAGGAGAATCGCTTGAACCTGGAAGGCACAGGTTGCGGTCAGCTGAGGTCGTGCCACTGCACTCCAGCCTTGGCAACAGAGTGGGACTCCGTCTAAAAAAAAAAAAAATTAGCTGGGCATGGTGGCACATGCCTGTAATCCCAAGTACTTGGGGAGGCTGAGGCAGGAGAATCTCTTGAACCTGGGAGGCAGAGGTTGCAATGAGTGAAGATCGCGCCATTGCACTCCAGCCTGGGCAATAAGAGCGAAACTCCATCTCAAAAAAACAAAAACAAAAAACAAAGAAAAGAGATATGTAGGGCTTAGTGATATATTGGATATGTGAATAGAATGAGTGGTGGTAGTCATCAATGTATCCT
Organism: Homo sapiens; assembly: GCF_000001405.40. Classification (NCBI taxonomy): domain Eukaryota; kingdom Metazoa; phylum Chordata; class Mammalia; order Primates; family Hominidae; genus Homo; species Homo sapiens. Next base: position 125,208,289 of record NC_000009.12, on the reverse strand, counting down.
ACAGAAATATTTGATGAATAAATGGCTGGACAACCAGGGCTCCATAAGGGTTCTCTCCCGCTAAACAAGGAGGTACTGGTCAGATGAATGTGTGCCAGGGGCCTACTAAGAAACCTGAGGGATCTGTCAGTGATGCTGACTTTTTCTTTTTTCTTTTTTTTTGAGACAGAGTCTTGCTCTGTCACCCAGGCCGGAGTACAGTGGCATGATCCTGGCTTACTTTAACTTCCATCTCCCCAGTTCAAAGTAATTCTCCTGTCTCAGCCTCCCGAGTAGCTGGGACTACAGGTGCCCACTACCACACCCGGCTAATTTTTTTGTATTTTTAGTAGAGACAGGGTTTCATCATATTGGTCAGGCTGGTCTCGAACTCTAACCTCAGGTGATCCACCTGCCTTGGCCTCCCAAAGTGCTGGGATTAGAGGCGTGAGCCACCACACCTGGTCCTGGCCATGTTTTCTTATAGGAAAACCCTGCTGGTGTTTTTAGGAATGCCCTGCTCATGGCTAGCAGCACACAGCCCTGTTCTCTGGCCATAGGGCATGTACTCTGCAGCTGCTGATCTTACCCAGATCCATGGTGTGCACGTCTGAGAAGCTTCTGTTTGGATTTGCTCCCCCAACAATGAAGACCTTCCCTCTCTTGGCATTACCAACTGGGGGTAAATATGAACAGCTGTGGCCAACTCGAGCACAGGGGCTGTCTCCAGGGACAGTCAAGGTGTACCTGCCAAAGGAAGGATGTATTCAGGAGGCCTGAGCAGAGAATAAATGCAGTAGTGTGCTCTTTCCATTCCTCATGAAATATTCACCAGAATGAAGAGCCTTATGCAGACACTTTAAATTGTACCCAATAAAGCAGCACTTCTCTGATTAATAATAGTACCTCCCCTTTGCACACAGTCTTTGGCTTTTCAATTTTGTCACTGTCTTCATCTCACAGTAATCTGGTAGGAATGCACTGGGCTTATTTTTCCCCATTTGGTAGATAGGGAAACTGACCTCCAGAAATGTTCAGTGATGGGTCTTGGCACAGGATGGTGGCTGTGAGCATGGTGTATGAATTCAGACAGATCTGGTTCAAATTCGAGCTCAGGTACTTCCTAGATGTGTGACCTTTTGGAAGTCACTTAACCTTTCTGAACTTTAGTTTACTCATTTGTGAAATGAGGACAGCAATGGTTCTTTTTTTTTTTTTTTTAAGATGGAGTTTTGCTCTTGTTGCCCAGGCTGGAGTGCAATGGCGTGATCTCGGCTCACTACAACCTCCGCCTCCCGGGTTCAAGCGATTCTCCTGCCTCAGCCTCCCTAGCAGCTGGGATTACAGGCATGTGCCACCACACCTGGCTAATTTTATATTTTTAGTAGAGATGGGATTTCTCCATGTTGGTCAGGCTGGTCTCGAACTCCCGACCTCAGGTGATCCGCCCGCCTCGGCTTCCCAAATTGCTGGGATTACAGGCGTGAGCCACCGTGCCTGGCTGGACAGCAACAGTTCTTACTGCAAAAGATGATTGTGAAGACTGAGACAAGACGTCAAAACAGGGCAGGGAAGGACTCAATAAATGGTGGCGAGAGCTTTATGTGCCACCACATGGTAATCAACAGCCCTGGGGCTCTTGCCACTAGCCAGTGATTCCTCTCCATCAAAAAAATTATCCAGAATTTACTGATTTCAGAGCTTTTCCAGATTACCCCCAAAGCTCAATCTGATGGAAGCCAAAGCTAGCACTCTGAAAAATCACATACAGAATTCGGTCATTCCACTATCTCTCTCTCTCTTTTTTTTTTTTGAGACGGAGTCTCGCTCTGTTGCCCAGGCTGGAGTGCAGTGGTGCAATCTTGGCTCACCATAACCTCCACTTCCAGGCTTCAAGTGATTCTCCTGCCTCAGCCTCCCGAGTAGCTGGGACTACAGGCGCGCACCACCATGCCTGGCTAATTTTTGTATTTTTAGTAGAGATGGGGTTTCACTATGTTGGCCAGCCTTGAACTCCCAGCCTCAAGCAATCCTTCTGCCCTGGTCTCCCTAAGTGCTAGGGACGCGCCCACCACGCCCAGCCCATTCCACTCTCCACAGTGATTCTGAATGCTGACTGAGAAAACACACTTGAAGCTTCCTGATTGGAAAAGAAAATTCTGTAGCTGTTTTTCAGGCCCTGTCTTATTTGACCTCTCTGGTGTTTGAGACTCCTGACCTCTCCTCGCTTCTTGTGCCTTTCTCCCAGCCAGGCTTTCCCACATCCCTTCCTTTGGTTCTGCACTCACTTTTCTGGTTGTCCTTTCTGCTTCCTTCTCCGACTCCTTTCCTACCAGCCACCTCCTGACTCTCCGTCATTCTCAATTCTCTTTTCCTCACTTTACATTTGCTTACCTGATTAATGTTATCTGTAGTGATAACTTCAATTATCACTCATCTATATATTCATCAGTGGTTGCCAAATTTGTTTCCCATTCAGAGCTCTATTCTGATGTCACTTAATCTACATAAAACCCCTTTGAGGGCCGGGCGCAGTGGCTCACGCCTGTAATCCCAGCACATTGGGAGGCCGAGGCAGGCAGATCATGAGGTCAAGAGATTGAGACCATCCTGGGCAACATGATGAAACCCCGTCTCTACTAAAAATACAAAAATTACCTGGGTGTGGTGGCATGCACCTATAGTCCCAGCTACTTGGGAGGCTGAGGCAGGATCGCTTGAACCCGGGAGGCGGAAGTTGCAGTGAGCCGAGATTGTGCCACTGCACTCCAACCTGCCAACAGAGTGAGACTCCGTTTCAAAGACAAACAAAAACTAAAAAAACGCTTTGAGGATAACAGCTGTTACCATCATCTGAGTTCTACAACGGAGGAACTGAAGCTAAGAAAGGTTAAGTAATTTACCAAAAGCACACAGCCATCCAGAGATGGTGGATATAACAAAAAAAAGTCCCTGCCTTGATAGCCCTTACAGACTAGTTGGGAAAAGAAACATTCAACAGTTTCACAACTATCTGTTTCACTTCAATTGTGGTAGAAAGGAGTACAGAATATATAGTATGAGGACATGCATGTCTTAGGAGGGTCTCACCCTGTAAGGAGCCAGGGAGATAGGGTGGTCAGAGAAGGCTTCCTGAAGAAGCACCATTTGGAGAGAGATCTGAAGTATGAGTAGAAATTAGCTGGGTAGGCCAGGTGTGGTGGCTCACACCTGTAATCTCAGCACTTTGGGAGGCTAGAGTGGGAGGATCGCCTGAGCCCAGGAGTTTGAGACCAGCCTGGGCAACATAGCGAGACTGGGTCTCTAAAAAAAAAAATTAGCTGGGCATGGTAGTACACACCAACAGTCCCAGTTACTTGGGAGATGGAGATGGGAAGGTTACTTGAGGCCAGGAGGTCGAGGCTATAATGAGCCACAATTGTACCACCGCATTCCAGCCTGGGTGGCCAGCCACAGAGGAAGAACTTGTCTCAAAAATAAAATAAAATAAGCTGGGAAAAGAGAGGGACAAAAAGTGGAGGGAAAGAGCACTCCAGGCAGAAAGAGCAGTCCAGGCAAAGAGACCAGCATGAACAGCTCCTGAGTGGAACAGTGCAAAGGGCACAATAAAGAAGAGAAAGAGAACAAAGGAACAAGTCATGGGATTTGAGGTTGGAAATACAGGCAGAAACATTTTGCAGGGACCATTGGGCCAGTTTAAGAAGTCTAATTTGTTTGTTTGTTTGTTTGAGACGGAGTCTCCCTCTGTTGCGCCCAGGCTGGAGTGCAGTGGCACCATCTCGGCTTGCTGCAACCTCCACCTCCCAGGTTCAAGAATTGTCCTGCCTCAGCCTCCCGAGTGGCCAGGATTACAGGCATGCACCACCACTCCCGGTTAATTTTTGTATTTTTAGTAGAGACGGGGTTTTGCCATGTTGGCCAGACTGGTCTCAAACTCCTGGCTTCAAGTGATCCACCCACCTCAGCCTCCCAAAGTGCTAGGATTATAGGCATGAGCTATTGCGCCCGGTCAGGAGTCTGATTTTTCTTTTTTTTTGAGATGGAGTCTCGCTCTGTCGCCCAGGCTGGAGTGCCTCAGCCTCCAGAGTAGCTGGGACTACAGATGCCCGCCACCACGCCCGGCTAATTTTTTGTATTTTTAGTAGAGACAGGGTTTCACCATGTTAGCCAGAGTGGTCTCGATCTCCTGACCTCGTGATCCGCCCACCTCGGCCTCCCAAAGTGCTGGGATTACAGGCATGAGCCACCGTGCCCGGCCTTTTTTTTTTTTTTTTTTTTTGAAACGGATTCTTGCTCTGTGGCCCATGCTGGAGTACAGTGGCATGATCTCAGCTCACTGCAACCTCTGCCTCCCAGATTCAAGCAATTCTCCTGTCTTAGCCTCCCTAGTAGCTGGGACTACAGTTGCACAACACCATGCCAGCTAATTTTTGTATTTTTAGTAGAGATGGGGTTTCACCATATTGGTCAGGCTGGTCTCAAACTCCTGACCTCAGGAGATCCACCCGCCTTGGCCTCCCAAAGTGCTGGGATTACAGGCATGAGCCACCGTGCCCAGCCCAGGAGTCTGATTTTTATCCCAACACCAACAGGGAGGCACAAAAGGGTTTTAAACTAGGAAATGCCATGATTGGCTGTATTCTGGGTACAGAGCAAGACAGATGCATGGAAGCCAGTCTGGAGTCTCTCCTTCAAGGTCCTGTTGAAGAACTGCCACCTCTCTACAACCTTCTGTGGGCCCTGACTCAGAGCAGATCACATTTTATCACCATCACCTGCTTAGTCTGTAGTCCCCAGTACACAGAGACTATTTACAATTCTACCTCCAGCACCCACAGAGCAGCTGCCCCCATCAGGCCAATGTTAGTTGTTGAATAAAGGGTTGTTTGAACAAACAGCCAAGAAACAGTGAAGCCAGTTTAATCCAAATCTAATTTCCTAAAAATCTTAAAAATGAGTCAGAGCTCGGGGGAAGACACAGCATTGGAGCTGAGGATGCCAGATGGTCAGTGCCTTACTCTTTCTGGTAAATGGATTTTAATAAAATTAACATCTGCTCTGTGATAATTACTGCCCCCCTATCTTTCCTCTGAAGACTTTCTCAGACAGTTTGAGTCTAATTACCAGAAACTGCAGACAGTTTCATCTCTACCCCTTTTTGTTGATGATCAAATATGTAAATAAACTACTTATAAATGAAACAAAAACTCATGCTTTTCTGTGTCTGGATCCTTCCTTACAGACCATGTTGCTTTCCTGGGCTTGTCTCCAGGTTCCAAGACTGGCAGTTGCTTCATGGTGTCCTATGCATAAGAAAGAAAGGCACTTTTTAGACACTTATGATTATCATCTTAATCAATTCAACCTCCTTTTTAAACCTTTCCTGTTGAATGTACTAATTTCTAGGCCTGATTGATTTGAATAAGAATCACCAACTTTTCATCTTTATTTTTATTATTTATTTATTTATTTATTTATTTGAGATGGAGTTTAGCTCTCGTTGCCCAGGCTGGAGTGCAATGGCAAGATCTCAGCTCATGGCAACCTCTGCCTCCCAGGTTCAAACGATTCTCCTCCCTCAGCCTCCCGAGTAGCTTGGATTACAGGCATGTGCCACTACGCCCAGCTAATTTTTCTATTTTTAGTAGAGATGGAGTTTCACCATGTTGGTCAGGCTGGTCTCGAACTCCTGACCTCAGCTGATCCACCCGCCTCAGCCTCCCAAAGTGCTGGGATTACAGGTGTGAGCCACCGTGCCTGGCCTATGTATTTATCTTTATTATTATTTTTAGATAGAGTCTCACTCTGTTGCACAGGTTGGAGTGCAGTGGTGCAATCTCCACTCACTGCAACCTTCCCCTCCCAGGTTTAAATGATTCTCCTTTCTCAGCCTCCTGAGTAGCTGAGATTACAGGTGCCCACCCACGCCCAGCTCATTTTTCTAGCTTTTCTAGTAGAGACGGGGTTTTACCACACTGGCCAGGCTGGTCACTAACTCCTGACCTCAGGTGATTTGCCCGCCTCAGCCTCCCAAAGTGCTGGGATTACAGGCATGAGCCACCGTGCCTGGCTTTATTTTTTATTTTTATTTTTTCTGAGATGGAGTCTCACTCTGTCACCCAGGCTGGAGTGCAGTGGCAGGATCTCAGCTCACTGCAACCTCTGCCTCCCGGGTTCAAGCTATTCTCCTGCCTCAGCCTCCAGAGTAAGCTGGGACTACAGGCAAGTGCCACCACACCTGGCTAATTTTTTTTGTATTTTTCGTAGGGATGGGGTTTCACTATGTTCGCCAGGCTGGTCTTGAACTTGGCTCGCCTCGGCCTCCCAAAGTGCTGGGATTACAGGCGTGAGCCACTGAGCCCGGCCATTTATTTATTTTTTAATTAAAAATAGAAACGGGGCTGGGAGCAGTGGCTCACGCCTGTAATCCCAGCACTTTGGGAGGCCGAGGCAGGCGGATCATGAGGTCAGATCGATACCATCCTGGCCAACATGGTGAAACCCTGTCTTTACTAAAAATACAAAAAAAATTAGCTGGGCGTTGTGGCCCACGCCTGTAGTCCCAGCTACTCAGGAGGCTGAGGCGTGAGAATTGCTTGAACCCAAGAGGCGGAGGTTGCAGTGAGCCGAAATTGCGCCACTTGCACTCCAGCCTGGCGACAGAGCAAGACTCCTCCTCAAAAAAAGAAAAAAAAATAGAAATGGAGGTTTCGCTTTGTTGTCCAGGCTGGTCTCGAACTCCTAGCCTCAGGCAATTCTTCCACCTCAGCCTCCTAAAAAGCTGGGATTACAGGTGTGAGCCACTGCTCTCCGCTCAAAGGACAAAATATTTAAAGAAGCTGAGAAATACTGAGCTCTGGGATAAATCTTGGCCTCAACATAGCATAGAAAGTAAGGCCTTCTGCTGTTGAGCTTTTTTCCCGTGAACTCACCTCCACAATCTCTTGCATTATTGGTTTTTTTGCTGTTCTTGTAATATGGCAGGCCTTTTCATAATTTTGCAGCCTGTTCTGCTTCCCCTATTTGGAATGTCGCTTCCCTTCTGGGAAATTTGCAAACTCCTAGTTAACCTTCAAAGCCCAGTTCAAAAGTCCCTTCCCTGGTGAAACCTTCCCTGATTTGCCCTTTTCTCTTCCACCCACATCCAAGTTACTTCCTTCTTCCACCCACTGGGCTCTGAAGGTATTAGCCATCACCATTGCAGGAATCATTTGGAATGTTTATCTATTTAAGGCTTCTAGACTAGATTCTAGATTAAATTCCACTAGACTAAGTTCCTAGAGGGCTGGGCCTGTCAGATCCATTCCGAGAACCTACCAATGGACCTGGCATGGAGTAGAAGTGGGGGAGTGGCTAGTGAATGAAGAAAGAAAATAGATTGAGAGATGAATGGATAAATCTCACCTGCGGCCTAGGCCACTGACAGCTGTCCCCAAAGTCCAGAGCTCAGTTAGGCTGGCTTCACGTGGGCGGGACCTCCCGCAGCAGCCGCCGCTACCAGCCCAGCAAATCTCATCCCCACGTGGCAGTTCTAGGGGATAGGAGACGGGGTCGGGAAAGAACAGGCTGATTCGGTCAAAGTGGCCGGGACGGAGCCAGGGAAGGCCCTTCCCCGTTCTTTGCACCCGGCTTGGGCCCACTCCCCTAAAAGATTCAGACTCCCTGCCCGAGACCGTGATAGACCCGGTATCCGGGGACCCTCGCCCCTACCCTCCAGCCCCGGACTGCAATACCTGCGGCGACTTAGGCCAGTCGCGAGCCGTGACTCCACCCCGGAGGGGCGGGGCTTAGGTCCGGGCCCTCCTCCCAGGACCCGGAAGAGCGTCCGGGCCAACCGCTCCCTCTTCCCTGCTCCGCCCCGAGGGCCCGGCGCTGACTTCCTGGGCTGGCGGTGGAGGGGTCCCCCAGACCGGGAGTGGACGCCAGGCTCTGCATTTCTCGGGAACCAAGTGGGGTGGGCCTTCCCTGGGTCCCTCCCTCCCGGACGGGATAAATAAGCCGGGGCTACTTGGAAACGATTTGCGCAATGCCGGGTTCGGGCGTCCGTTTGGGGAACTCAGATGCCTGCGGCAGCTGATCTACTCTGTAAGGGGCTAACAGGGCTGGGCGCCACCACACTCCAGCTTGGGCAACAGCGCAAAAACTCCCTCTCAAAAAAATAAATAAATAAAAGGGGGGGAGGGTATAACAGTTACATTTCCAGTTACAACGATTGTTTTTTTTTTTTTTTTTTGAGACGGAGTCTCGCTCTGTCGCCCAGGCGGGACTGCGGACTGCAGTGGCGCAATCTCGGCTCACTGCAAGCTCCGCTTCCCGGGTTCACGCCATTCTCCTGCCTCAGCCTCCCGAGTAGCTGGGACTACAGGCGCCCGCCACCGCGCCCGGCTAATTTTTTTTGTATTTTTAGTAGAGACGGGGTTTCACCTTGTTAGCCAGGATGGTCTCGATCTCCTGACCTCATGATCCACCCGCCTCGGCCTCCCAAAGTGCTGGGATTACAGGCGTGAGCCACCGCGCCCGGCCACAACGATTGTTAACAGTTTCTAAAGGGGAGAGTTGAGCATGCAATCCTCCTGCGCAGTCTTCGGGCCAGCTCAAGATTTGGTGCTTTAAACAGCTGATTCATTCCATAATTGCCATTTGTAATTATGGCAGGTGCTATGCTGAGCCAGACACCACCACGCTTTGCCTCCAGGAGCAAGTCTTAACTAGAGAGAGATCAAAGAAAAAGACAACTAGGGACGACTGCCAAGAGTGCAATAAATATAAAGTTCAGCCAGGAGAGTATCTGTTCTGAAGTTACTTTCCTCCAGGCCTCAGGGTTGTCTGTTTGTAACCATGGAGCTAATAAGATTTCTATCATAGGCTGGGCGCGGTGGCTCACGCCTATAAGTCCAGCACTTTGGGAGGCCGAGGCGGGCGGATCACGAGGTCAGGAGTTCGAGACCAGCCTGGCCTACATGGTGAACGCCCCCGCCCCCCCCCCCAACTAAAAACACAAAAATTAGCTAGGCGTGGTGGTGGGCGCCTGTAATCCCTGCTACTCAGGAGGCTGAGGCAGGAAAATTGCTTGAATCTGGGAGGCGGAGGTTGCAGTGAGCCGAGATAGTGCCACTGCACTCCAGCCTGGGTGACAGAGCCAGACTCCGTCTCAAGAAAAAAAAAAAAAAAAGAGAGATGTATGTAGTAGTTGTGGTGGGGAATACATGACATAATGTAAATAAAAGTGCTCAGCACCCAGCAGCTGGCACAGAGTTCTCTGTCAAGGGTAAAGCTATTCCTGACTATAAATGAACAATGTCTCTAGACATATTCAGAATCTACATTATCTTTGTTTTAGTTCATAACCATAGGTTCTCTGTGTCTTTCCTGAAAATAGAGAGGTGGCTTGCTCTCTTATGTCTGTTTCAAAGAACTCCAGTCTCTGAAACTGTCGCTGTGTCCTAGAAAATAGAGAAAACAGCTCAGGTTAGAAACAGGAGCTCCTGGAGTATAGAGCTATGGTAGCTTAGTGGGAAGAGATCAAACATACTTGGGTTAAAATCCAAGCTCCAGGCTGGGTGTGGTGGCTCATGCCTGTAATCCCAGCACTATGGGAGGCCAAGGAGGGCAGATCACGAGGTCAGGAGTTCAAGACCAGCCTGGCCAACATAGTGAAACCCCATCTCTACTAAAAATACAAAAATTAGCCAGGCACGGTGATGCGCACCTATAGTCCCAGCTACTCGGGAGGCTGAGGCAGGAGAATTGCTTGAATCGGGAGGCAGAGGTTGTGGTGAGCCAAGATCATGCCACTGCACTCCAGCTTGGGCAACAGAGCAAGACTCTGTCTAAAAAAAAATCAGCCAGGCGTTTGCCTGTAATCCCAGCTACTCAGGAGGCTGAGGCAGAAGAATCACTTGAACCCAGGAGGTGGAGGTTGCAGTGAGCCGAGATCGTGCCACTGCACTCCAGCCGGGGCAACAGAGCAAGACTCTGTCAAAAAAAAAAAATCCAGGGTCCAGCACTAACCATCTAACTCTGACATTTGGCAAGTTACCCACTCTGAACCCTAGTTCCTCATCTATAGAATGATGATAGTATTACCTGCTGTGCAGACAGAACTGTTCAGAGGATGTGCTAATACAGGTGAAAGGCCAGGTTGGTGAAAGGAATATTTTAGCTACTTGAAACCATAACCAAAATTTATTGACAAAATGGAATTCAAGGTCTGCGGCTCTTTCAAACATATGGAGTCTTTGTGAGTTCCCACTTTAGTGGAAAAATCCCCATTGACTGTCTGCCAAAGAGAAGTTTAGGGATATTCAGTCATTCTGCTCTCCTTCAGGAAAGAAAACCAAGTCCAGGTTAGCTCTGCCATATGTCCATGTGCATCTCCACGTACATTTCTGCTCACAGCTGCAGAATGCTCTGATGTCCCCGGTGTTTTCTGGCTAGCTCTGTTTCAAGGTGCCATGCTGGAGTGGCACATCAACAAGAAAAATTGGAAGAGGTTTGTGGGCAAAATAGCAGCCAGTTTTCACTGCGGGACCTATTTATTTATTTATTTACAGACGGAGTCTCGATTTGTCGCCCAGGATGGAATGCAGTGGCGCCCTCAGTTCACTGCAACCTCCGCCTCCTGGGTTCAAGCAATTGTCCTGCCTCAGCCTCCCAAGTAGCTGGGATTATAGGCGTGGCCACCACGTATGGTTAATTTTTGTACTTTTAGTAGAGACGGCATTTCACCATGTTGGCCAGGCTGGTCTTGAACTCCTAGCCTCAGATGATCCACCTGCCTTGGCCACCCAAAGTGCTGGCATTACAGGCATGAGCCACCGTGCCTGCTGAACCTATGCTTTTAGACTAGAAATCACATTTGAGAATGTGGAATGCCTGAGATCTATTTTCTTTTTTTTTTTTTGAGACAGTCTTGCTCTGTCGCCCAAGCTGGGGGAGTGCAGTGGCATGATCTCGGCTCACTGCAACATCCGCCTCCCGGGTTCAAGCAATTCTCTGCATCATCCTCCCAAGTAGCTGGGATTACAGGTACCCGCCACCACACCCAGCTAATTTTTTTTTTGCATTTTTAGTAGAGACGGGGTTTCACCATCTTGGCCAGGCTGGTCTTGAACTCCTGACCTCGTGATCCACCCACCTCGGTCTCCCAAAGTTCTGGGATTACAGGCGTGAGCCACTGCGCCAGGCTGCCTGAGATGTATTTTCTATTTCTATTTTTATTTATTTACTTATTTTGAGATGGAATCTTGTTCTGTCGCCCAGCCTGGAGTGCAGTGTCATGATCTCAGGTTACTGCAACCTCCGCCTCCCAGGTTCAAGCAATTCTCTTGCCTCAGCCTCCTGAGTACCTGGGACTACAGGTGCGCACCACCATGCCTGGCTAATTTTTGTATTTTTCGTAGAGACAGGGTTTCACCATGTTGGCCAGGTTGGTCTTGAATTCCTGACCTCAAATGATTCACCCACCTCTGCCTCCAAAAGTGCTGGGATTACAGGTGTGAGCCACTGTGCCTGGCAAGAGATGTATTTTTAAAAATGGAAATCAAGGCCCAGAGAAGTTAAAATAACTACCCCACATAAAATGGCAGAACCAGGAACCCAGGAACCCAGATCTCTTATTTCTTGCAAGGAAGACTAAGAATGCATTCCAGTCATCAAGCTCTGTTACCCCATCTCCATACCAAACCACTGGAAGTGTCTAACACCTCTCCTAAAAGCTTGCCCAACACTCTGACGCACGCTTTCTTCTTTTCTCTCTGCTGTGGATGTGAAGAATGATGTTCACTCAATGAGGTGGGTCTGCAGGAGGGAGCTTCCTCCTGTCAGATAGTGTGGTCATGTGAGGACTGCCACCTATTTTCACTGGAACAGCACACCACTGACCTCTTTACTGATGCATCAGCAAGGGAAGTAATGAATGCCGGTGAGACCTTCCTTTTAAGCACTTTACAGTTTATGAAGAACATTCACATCCATCTCCCTATTTGTCTTCCTTCCCACTTCTGAGAAGGTATCTTGAATAGGATTTATTCCCAATTACTGAGGTTCAGAGATTAAGAGTGAATTGTGGCTGGGCGCAGTGGCTCATGCCTGTAATCCCAACACTTTGGGAGGCCGAGGTGGGCCAATCAACTGAGGTCAGGAGTTTGAGACCAGACTGACCAACATGGTGAAACCCCGTCTCTACTAAAAATACAAAAATTACCCAGGTGTGGAGATGCATGCCTGTAATCCCAGCTACTTGGAAGGCTGAGGTGGGAGGACTGCTTGAGCCTAGGAGGCAGAGGTTGCAGTGAGCCGAGATTGTGCCACTGCACTCCAGCCTAGGTGACAGAAAAAAAAAAAAAGGCGACAGCCTGTCTCAAAAAAAAAAAAAAAAAAAAGAAAGAAAGAAAGAAAGAAAAACAGCCAGTTTTCTATGCTACCCACAGAGGGGTCCATATGGGGTTGTTATGGATTCCCATCATAACTTAAAGGGAAACTTTCACAATGTCCAGAGCCCTTGCTGTCCTGCAAATGAAGGAGGAGGATGTCCTTAAGTTCCTTGCAGTAGGAACCCACTTAGTGGCACCAATCTTGACTTCTAGATGGAACAGTACATCTATAAAAGGAAAAGTGATGGCATCTACATCATAAATCTGAAGAGGACCTGGGAGAAGCTTCTGCTGGCAGCTCATGCCATTGTTGCCATTGAAAACCCTGCTGATGCCAGTGTTATATCCCCTAGGAATACTGGCCAGAGGGTTGTGCTGAAGTTTGCTGCTGCCACCAGAGCCACTCCAGTTGCTGGCCACTTCACTCCTGGAACCTTCACTAACCAGATCCAGGCTCCTTCCGGGAGCCACAGCTTTTTGTGGTTACTGACCCCAGGGCTGACCACCAGCCTCAAACAGAGGCATCTTATGTTAACCTACCTACCATTGCTCTGTGTAATACAGATTCTCCTCTGCAGTATGTGGACATTGCCATCCCATGCAACAACAAGGGAGCTCACTCAGTGGGTTTGATGTGGTGGATGCTGGCTCAGGAAGTTCTGCACAAAGGTGGCACCATTTCCTGTGAACACCTGTGGGAGCTCATGCCTGATCTCTACTTCTTTTTTTTTTTTTATTTGAGACGCAGTCTCGCTCTGTCGCCCAGGCTGGAGTGCAGTGGCGCAATCTCGGCTCACTGCAACCTCTGCCTCCTGGGTCCACACCATTCTCCTGCCTCAGCCTCCCAGGTAGCTGGGACTACAGGCGCCTGCCACCATGCCCGGCTAATTTTTTTGTATTTTTAGTAGAGACGGGGTTTCACCGTGTTAGCCAGGATGGTCTCAATCTCCTGACCTCATGATCTGCCCGCCTTGGCCTCCCAAAGTGCTGGGATTACAGGCGTGAGATACTGCGCCCGGCCTGCCTAATCTCTACTTCTACAGAGATCCTGAAGAGATTGAAAAAGAAGAGCAAGCTGCTACTGAAAAGGCTGTGACAAAGGAGGAATTTCAGGGTGAATGGACTGCTCCAGCTCCTGAGTTCACTGTTACTCAGCCTGAGGTTGCAGACTGGTCTGAAGGGTGCAGGTATCCTCTGTGCCTATTCAGCAGTTCCCTACTGAAGACTGGAGCACTCAGCCTGCCACGGAAGACTGGTCTGCAGCTCCCACTGTTCAGACCACTGAATGGTTTTAAATTGTTCTTGCAGGGACTCTTAAGCAACTTGGAAATAAGGTTGATGGAAAATAGGCATCAGTTTCTTTTTTTTTTTTTTTGTTTGAGACAGTCTCGCTCTTTCGCCAGGCTGGAGGGCAGTGGCGCAATCTCGGCTCACTGAAACCTCTGACTCCCTGTTTCAAGCAATTCTCCTGCCTCAGCCTCCTGAGTAGCTGGGATTACAGGCAGGCTAATTTTTGTATTTTTAGTATAGACGGTGTTTCGTCACATTGGCCAGGTTGGTCTCGATCTCCTGACCTCGTCATCCGCCCGCCTTGGCCTCCCAAAGTGTTGGGATTACAGGTGTGTGTGTTTATGGCCACCGTGCCTGGCCATAAACATCAGTTTCTAAAAAAAAAAAAAAAGAAAAATATCTAAACAAGAACAGCATCTTCTTCCATTTGAATTTTTTTCTCCAAGAAATTCTGAGCAGATTATCCCTTTACCTTTTTTTCCTTTTTTTTTTTTGAGACAGGGTCTCACTCTGTTGCCTAGGCTGGAGTGCAGTGGCACAACTTTGGCTCACTGCAACCTCCGCCTCTGGGGCTCAAGCAATCCTCCCGCCTCAGCCTCTTGAGTAGCTGGGACTACAGGCACATGCCAGCATGCCCGGCTAATTTTTATATTTTTTGTAGAGATGGGGTTTTGCCATGTTTCCCAGGCTGGTCTCGAACTCCTGGGCCCAAGCAATCTGCCCACCTCAGCCTCCCAAAGTGCTGGGATTACAGGCATGAGTCATTGCACCTGTCCTGCCTTTTTTTCCTCCCCTCCCCTCCCTCTCTCTCTTTCTCTCTTTCTTTCTTTTTGATGGAGTCTCGCTTTGTCACCCAGTCTGGAGTGCAGTGGCGCAATGTCGGCTCAATGCAACCTCTGCCTCCCGGGTTCAAGCGATTCTCCTGCCTCAGCCTTCCCAGTAGGTGGGATTACAGGCATGCACCACCATGCCTGGCTAATTTTTGTATTTTTAGTAGAGACGGGGTTTCACCATGTTGACCAGGCCTGTCTTGAACTCCTGACCTCAAGTGATCTGCCCGCCTGGGCCTCCCAAAGTGCTGTGATTACAGGCGTGAGCCACCATGCCCAGCCTCCTACATTTTTTTTTCTGAAGTCTTACATGTTACACCTTCAGAAATGCCTTTCCTGCCCACCTAATACTCAGAGTTAACACTCATATTGCACTCACTCTGTGCTAGACAATGTTTTTTTGTCTTTGTTTTTTGTTTTGAGACAGAGTCTCACTGTCACCCTGATGTAGTACAGTGACACAATCACAGCTCACTGCAGCCTTGGCCTCCTGGGCTCAAGTGATCCTCCCACATCAGTCTTTAGAGTAGCTGGGTCTACAGGTATGTGCCAGCACCAAACCTGGCTAATTTTAATTTTTTTTTTTTTTTGGTAGAGATGAGGTCTCACTATGTTGCCCAGTCTGGTCTTGAACTCCTTGGCTCAAGTGATCCTCCTGCCTTGGCCTCTCAAAGTGTTGGAATCACAAGTATGAGCCACTGTGCCCGGCCCAGACATTGTTTTAAGCCATTTTCATATACCAACTCTGTTAAACCTTTGTACAAGCCTATGAGGTAAGTAGTATTCTTACAATCTCCAGAGGAGGTAAGCATTATTATTATCTCCATATTGGAGCTGAGAAAACTGGAGTACAGAAAGGATAAATAACTTCTCCAAACCAAAATCACACAATAAGTGGTAGAGCCTGTATTTGAACTCTGCCCACATGGTGCTAGAAGCTACATCCTGTACTTTACCTCCTCTGTGTTATCAACCTAAAGTAGGCCTCTTTTTTTTGAGACGGAGTCTCGCTCTGTTGTCCAGGCTGGAGTGCAGTGGTGCGATCTCGGCTCACTGCAACCTCTGCCTCCCAGGTTCAAGTGATTCTCCTGCTTCAGTCTCCTGAGTAGCTGGGATCACAGGCACGTGCCACCACACCAGGCTAAGTTTTTCTTTTTCTTTCTTTCTTTTTTTCTTTTTCTTTTTTTTAAGACGGAGCCTTGCATTGTCACCCGGGCTGGAGTGCAATGACGCTATCTCAGCTCACTGCAACCGCAACCTCCATCTCCCAGGTTCACGCAATTCTCCTGCCTCAGCCTCCCAAGTAGCTGAGATTACAGGCACACACCACCATACCCGGCTAATTTTTTGTATTTTTAGTAGAGACAGGGTTTCACTATATTGACCAGGCTGGTCTCAAACTCCTGACCTCATGATCCGTCCGCCTCGGCCTCCCAAAGTGCTGGGATTACAGGCGTGTGCCACCATGCTGGGCCCTTTTTTTTCCCCCAAAGGACACAAGTACAGGTAAGAAAATGTAGTTTTTTGTTTTTTTTTTTTTTTTAGACAGGGTCTCACTTTCTCTCCCAGGCTAGAGTGCAGTGGTGGGATCTCAGCTGGTCAGGAACTCCTGACCTCAAAAAGACCTGCCCGCCTCGGTCTCCCAAAATGCTGGGATTACAGGCGTGAGCCACTGTGCCCAGCCAAAGGTAGACCTCGTCTACTCCATTTTTCTTGCTTATAGTACCTCCTATTTTCCCTTTTGAGTACTAATCACAATTTGCAATTAAATATTTGCTCACTGCCAGGTATGGTGGCTTACACGTATAATCCCAGCACTTTGGGAGGCCAAAGCAGCGGAATAGCTTGAGGCCAGGAATTTAAAACCAGCCTCAGCAAGACCTCACCTCAACAATTTTTTTTTTTTTTCTGTTGGCCAGGCTGGAGTGCAGTGGCACGACCTCAGCTCCCTGTAACCCCCACCTCAAAGCAATTTTCATGCCTCAGACTCCGGAGTAGCTGGGATTACAGGCATGTGCTACAATGCCCAGCTAATTTTTGTATTTTTAGTAGAGATCAGGTTTCACCATGTTGGCCAGGATGGTCTTGAATTCCTAGCCTCAAGATATCTGCTCACCTTGGCTTCACTACTGGGATTACAAGTTTGAGCCACTGCACCCGGCCTCAACAAAAACAAAAATTTTAATTACCTCACCCTATGCATCTCTTCATTTGTATCCTTTGTAATATCCTTTATATTAATAATAAACCAGTAAATGTAAATAAATAAATAAATACTGTTTGTCTCTTCCCAGCAGATTGTAAGCCTGATTAGGGCAGGGATCATATCTGTTTTATTCACATCATAAGCACTGTGTAACCTCTGGTTTCTTTTCTCTTTGAGATGGAGTTTCACTCTGTGGCCCAGGCTGGAGTACAGTGGCGCCATCTCAGCTCACTGCAACCTCTGCCTCAAGCAATTCAAGTGATCCTCCTGCCTCAGCCTCCCCAGTATTTTGTATTTTTAGTAGAGATGGGGTTTCGGCATGTTGGCCAGGCTGGTCTTGAACTCCTGACGTCAGGTGATCTGCCTGCCTTGGCCTCCCAAAGTGCTGAGATTACAGGCATTAGCCACCGCGGCCTGGCCAATAGGCACTATGTAACTATTAGTTTAATGAATGAAGAAATGAATGCTTGTGGGCATCATTCATTCTGCAACAAACTTCTAAAAATTAATTTTACTTTGAAACAATTTCATACTTTCAGAGGAGTTACAAGAATAATACAAAGAAGTTCACCCAGATATCTCATTCAGGGTTAGCCAATTGTCCACAAAATATACTTTAGAGAGCAAGAGGATTAATTCCAGGGTCTCTTGAGCAACAAATATTTATTGAGCGCCTGCTACTATTGGATTACATAACAGTCTCTTAACTGGTCTCTTAGCTATAGGCATTGCACCCCCACCCCTAGTCCCATACAGCAGCTCCTTTTACTAATTTATTTTTGAGGAGGATCTCGCTCTGTCGCCCAAGCTGGAGTGCAGTGCCGCGATCTCAGCT
Organism: Homo sapiens; assembly: GCF_000001405.40. Taxonomy (NCBI): domain Eukaryota; kingdom Metazoa; phylum Chordata; class Mammalia; order Primates; family Hominidae; genus Homo; species Homo sapiens. The sequence continues at coordinate 125,190,775 of NC_000009.12, read as the reverse complement.
CACTGCAACCTCCGCCTCCCAACTCAAGCGGTTCTCCTGCCTCAGCCTCCAGAGTAGCTGGGACCACAAGCACGCACTACCGCGCCAGGCTAATTTTGGTACTTTTTGTAGCTACAGATAGAATAGAGATCTTTGTCTATTTTGTTCACGAAGTACTGCAAGCGCCTTGAGCTGTACCTGGCACATCTTTGTTGCTCAGCAAAGAGTGGTTGGATAAACGAACGCTGAAGGTATGCTAGTACCAGGTACTGTTCTCGGTGCTGGAGTTACAGCAAAAAACTCCCTGCCCTCGTGGGATTCTCACTGGAAGCATGCTTAAGCTTAAGCCATTTTTCAATCTTGACCCCACCATTTTGTTCCCTGTGAGATTTGGGGTGAACTGCAGTTTCCTAGCCTCACTTTCCTATCAATCGTTACGAAGATTAAAAGGAAAAATATCATTTGTATCGCATTTAGCATCAGAAATGCTTTAATAATATTCGTTTCCCTTCCTTTCAGGCTGGAAGACTGGGGCCTGACATCTCTGCCACAGGCTTAGGCGAGGTTTTCACAGGGACTTGGAAAGGTGCAAACGGTTACTACGGCCAGGCTTACCCAATTGTTAAGTGAAGATATTCTGGAGAGTGCTTAAAAGGGTTGGAAAAACAAACCAGTGAGTGGCTAGGACCACCTACTCCGCTGTTTTGCCTCGGAAAAGCCTCGCCGGCTGCCGGGAGGTGAAAGTCTGGAGGAACGGGAGGAAAAGAGAGGGGTGGCTGTCCACAACAGAAAACTACACATCCCAGCACCCCCGCGGCAGACGACTACGGGTCCCAGCAGGTTTCGCGGGGTGGACCGAAGCGGGCTCTCTTGGGGCCTGCAGTCGGGGTTCAGCCAGAGGGGGCGCCGGGCGTACCGACGTAGCGGGGAGAAACGGGTCGCGCTTTAACGGCGCTGCGCAGGCGCCACTCACGGGCCGGACGTGACGCAGGGAAAGTTCCGGCTTCGGCCTCCGCCGCTGCCGCCGCCGCTGCTACAGCCGCCGCCGCCGCTGTTGCCGCGGCTTGTTATTCTTAAAATGGCGCCGCTAGACCTGGACAAGTATGTGGAAATAGCGCGGCTGTGCAAGTACCTGCCAGAGAACGACCTGAAGGTGAGCCCTATTTGCGGGCTCGCCCCTTCCGGCTGTGGGGCGCCCGCCGGCCGGCCCTTCCTTTCTCCAGGACCCCCGCCGGGTATCCAGTCCAGTCGCGGTGGAGGGCCTCCCCCATTGCCAGTCGACCCGGTCCTACCCGGCGTCACGCCGAGGGTCTCGCGAGCCGAGTCGTCGAATGCTGTCCCGGTTGCCTCAGTGGGGATCCCGAGGGATGTCGCGGCCTCTGTCCCAGGGTCGCCCCTTCTGGCCTTCGGGCTGCCCCAGGACCCGCAGCTGTAACAGCTTTATTTAGAAGGCTCGGCTCCCCACCCCATCCCTGGGTCTCCCGCAGTCGGAGCCGAGCCCCCGCGGCAGTGCCCTCGGGATGGGGTCGCCTCCACCGGAGGTGACAGGAGCGCGGAGTGGCCGGCGTCTGACAGGAGATGCCACCGGCTACCGGAACGCGGCCTCAGTGTGTTTAGGTCTCTGAGGAAGGGGAAGGCGGTGGGCCCGAGTGGTTTGGTACTGGCGGGAGCGAACGTCAGGTCGTCCCTCTTCATTGCCACTCCTCCAAATTGCTTTTTAGGATCGTCGGTTTTGCTAATTCAGAGGTGAATCCCGTTTCTGAGTATGTTGTTGAGCTTACTGAAGTGGATAAAGTAGTTGGTTCTCAATAAATACAAATACTTTCTCCTTAACCCCTTCTTAACTCAGTATTTCATTTTCTTCGTTTTCTAAAGGAGGTGAGTTCCTTGTTACTCCTGAGTCCAAGTAAGAGTAAATGTATGTATGGGTAAAGGAATGACTTTGGTATACTGCTTTTCTTTTTTAAAACTTTTTAATTATTATTATTATTATTATTATTATTGTTTTTAACTGAGATAGAGTCTCACTCTGTCACCCAGGCTGGAGTGCAGCGGTGCGATCTTGGCTCACTGCAACCTCCACTTCCCGGGTTCAAGCGATTCTCCTGCCTCAGCCTCCCGACTAGGTGGAATTACAGGCGCCCGTCACGACGCCCGGCTGTTTTGTATTTTTAGTAGAGACGGGGTTTCGCCATGTTGGCCAGGCTGGTCTTGAACTCCTGACCTCAAGTGATCCGCCCGCTTCGGCCTACCAAAGTGCTGGTATTACAGGCGTGAGCCACCGCGCCGGCCTAGGTATACTGCTTCTTTGAAAAGTGTTTCTATGCATTTGCTGAAATCAGAGCTTAGGTTTCTAGCAGTGCTTATCAGCTCGTGCTAGTATTTAACCGACTCAGTGTATTCTTTTTTTTTGAGACGGAGTCTCGCTCTGTCGCCCAGGCCGGAGTGCGGTGGCACCATCTCGGCTCACTGCAACCTCCGCCTCCCGGGTTCACGCCATTCTCCTGCCTCAGTCTCCCGAGTAGCTGGGACTACAGGTGCCCGCCACCACGCCTGGCTAATTTTTTGTATTTTTAGTAGAGACGGGGTTTCACCGTGTTAGCCAGGATGGTCTCGATCTCCTGAACTCGTGATCCGCCCGCCTCGGCCTCCCAAAGTGCTGGGATTACAGGCGTAAGCCACCGTGCCCAGCCCCGACTCAGTGTATTCTTAAGGAAATATATTACTGTGGGTTTTGTTTTATTTCTTCTTTGTACAGTAAGTTGATACTTAACATCAGTCAACAAGTATGCATAATATTTGAGGCCACACGTGCTGTTGTGAATGTGACTGAATTGTACTTACCTGTTAATTTTATGTGGCATATGATAGGGGAGTCATTCTTGTGCATTTTCCCGTTTTTAATAGAATAATTTCAAATAAGGACAGCCTTCGTTAGTAGTAATGTAGCATTTGTGCTCATCTGAGTCCTTCAGACATTCCTTTTGTGGCTTCTTTCTGCTATGTGGTTTTTTTAAGGGAATAAGAATACAACTAGCATTGGGACCCAATTCATGGAAAACTAACCAGACCTCTTAGTAGCATTATTAATCCCATAGGTGAGGTTGACTATTGCATGTCAGTGAATTGACATGGAATTTTTTCTTCTTATTTATCATGCATAAAGCTTTTTTGAACTTTGTGTTTATGATGAATAAAATGTTGCTTTTTATGAAAATGTGTCTAGGGCACAGTGGCGTAATCTCAGTACTTGGGGAGGCTGAGGTGGGCAGATCATTTGAGATCAGGAGTTTGAGACCAGACTGACCGACTTGGTGAAACCCCCTCTCTACTAAAAACACAGAAATTAGCCGAGCATGGTGGTAGGTGCCTGTAATCCCAGTTTACTTACTTGGGAGGCTGAGGCAGGGAGAATGGCTTGAACCCGGGAGAATTGCTTGCAGTGAGCCGGGATCACACCACTGTACTCCAGCCTGGGAGACAGAGCAAGACTCTGTCTCAAAAAAAAAGAAAAGGAAATTGGGCACTGAAATGATTTGAAAGATAATCTGGCCAGGTGCAGTGGCTCACGCCTGTAATCCCAGCACTTTGGGTGGCTGAGGCAGGTGGATCACTTGAGGTCAGGAGCTCGAGACCAGCCTGGCCAACATGGTGAAACCCCGTCTGTACTAAAAATACAAAAATAAACTGGAGGTGGTGGCAGGTGCTTGGAATCCCAGCTACTTGGGAGGCTGAGGCAGGAGAATCGCTTGAACCAGGGAGGCGGAGGTTGCAGTGAGCCAAGATTGCGCCACTGCAGTCCAGCCTGGGTGACAGAGGGAGACTCCGTCTCACCAAAAAAAAAAAAAAAAAAAAAAAGAAAGAAAAATCTGTTGGACTTCTTTGTACCTCTTAGTTTGATAAACATTAGATTTCCTTCTTACCTTAAGGAAGTACAATTTTTAGACCATTTTATTTCTTGTTGAAACATAGCTGCATTGTACTTGACTTGTATTTGTTTCTTTTTTTTTCTTAAAAAAATTTTTAATCTTTTTTTTGGTGGGGGAGCGGGGACATGGTCTCACTCTCACCCATGCTGTAGTGTGGTGGCACAATCATGGCTCATTGCAGCCTCGACCTCCTGGGCTCAGGCAGTCCTCCCACCTTAGCCTCCTGAGAAGCTGGGACCACAGGCACATGCCCCCATGACCAGCTAATTTTTATTTATTTTTTTGGTAGAGACAGGGTCTTGCTATGTTACCCAGGCCAGTCTTGAACTCCTGGGCTCAAGCGATCCTCCCACCTTGGCTTCCCAAAATGCTGGGATAACAGGCATGAGCCACTATACTTGGCCTGTATCCATTTCTTAATAAACTTAAAAATATATGTTTTGGGCAACCAAGACAAAAGTATTCTGAATTTTTCTTTATAGGTAGAGACTTTTTTTTCTGTCTTGGAAATGCTTTTATCAGATTAATTTGTTGTGTTGCTCATCTCTGGTGTATTTAAAGAAATTTAATTTTTTTCTGTTTCTTGGCATGAAGTGCAACCTAAAATTAGGCCAAGAAAGTATGCCAGGAGTACTTTTTCTGAGGCTGTAAAGGCAAAATAAAACATTCTATTAAGAAAAGTAATCATTGAGGCCACTTAATGAGCAAGATGGAAAAGATTTGTTCTGTAGAAAAGAAGACAGAAATTTACTTGTGTTTTAAATTGATTAGAAGATAAAATACTAAATGCATACGATGTTCCAGATTTAATCACAATTTCTGTTTCGCTAAGTTGGAAATGGTCACATCACTAGTACTGGATCAAATCTACATAACTGTTTTTGTTTGTTTGTTCGCTCTTGTTGCTCAGGGTGGAGTGCAATGGCGTGAGCTTGGCTCACTGCAACCTCTGCCTCCCGGGTTCAAGCGATTCTCCTGCCTCAGCCTTCCTGAGTAGCTGTGATTACAGGCATGTGCCACCACGCCCAGTTAATTTTGTATTTTTAGTAGAGACCAGGTTTCCCCATGTTGTTCAGGCTGGTCTCGAACTCCTCACCTCAGATGATGCACCCACCTCGGCCTCCCAAAGTGCTGGGATTATAGGTGTGAGCCTGGCCTGTTAGTTTGTTTTTTTGAGACGGAGTCTTGCTCTGTTGCCCAGGCTAGAGTGCAGGTGCACGTTCTCAGCTCACTGCAACCTCCGCCTCCCGGATTCAAGCGATTCTCCTGCCTCAGCCTCCTGAGTAGCTGGGATTACAGGCACCCACCACCACTCCTGGCTAATTTTTGTATTTTTAGTAGAGATGGGGTTTCACCATGTTGGCCAGGCTGGTCTCAAACTCCTGACCTCAGGTGATCCACCCTTCTCAGCCTCCCAAAGTGCTGGGATTACAGGCGTGAGCCACCATGCCTGGCATACATAACAGTTTTGAAGGAATAAGAATGACATATGTGGGCCGGGAGGCTGAGGCAGGAGAATTGCTTGAGCCTGGGAGATGGAGGTTGCAGTGAGCCGAGATCATGCCACTGCACTCCAGCCTGGCCAACAGAGCGAGACCCTGTCTCAAAAAAAAAAAAAAATGACATATGTGAAAGTAAATGGACCACAGTGTAACCTTTCTTATAAAGAGCTCATGTGATTTTATCCACAAGAAAGATTTCAGAGAGATTAATAAAAGATACAGATTCCATACCTGGCTAAATGGAAGAATTAATGATAAAGGCAGGTTTACTGAATACTTATATTTAAGTATTAATATTTTTGGGGAGCAGGGGTTCTATAACTTGGAGGTTGTCTAATCTCTTGGACAGTTCTTAAGGGTGACATGTTTACCTGAGGTTTTTTTTTTTTTTTTTTTTTTGAGACTGAATCTAACTCTATTGCCCAGGCTGGAGTACAGTGGTACCATCTCAGCTCACTGCAGTCTCCACCTCCTGGGTTCAAGCAGTTCTGCCTCAGCTGGGATTACAGGTGCGCACTACCACACCCAGCTAATTTTTGTATATATATATTTTTTGGTAGAGATGGGGTTTCACCATGTTGGCCAGGCTGGTCTCGAACTTCTGGCCTCAGGTGATCCGCCCACCTCGGCCTCCCAAAGTGTTGGGATTACAGATGTGAGCCACTGTGTTTGGCCATTCCTTATTTGTGTTTTCCACAATTTTAGAACACTGCCCTGTATGTGATAATCAGTAAAGGTTTATTGACTCAAACTGTTTACTGCTTTATGACAAATACTTGTTTCTTCTTCTTCTTTTTTTTTTTTTCTTTGAGGTAGGGTCTCAGTCTGCTGCCCAGGGTGGAGTGCAGTGGTGCAGTTGTAGCTTGCTGCAACCTCAAACTCCTGGGCTCAATTGATCCTTCTGCCTCAGCCTCAAAAGTAGCTGGGAGTACAGGTGTGCAATAGTGTGCCCAGCTGATTAATTATTATTTTTATTTTTGAGATGGAGTCTCACTCTGTCACCAGGCTGGAGTGTAATGGCGCGATCTCGGCTCACTGCAACCTCTGCCTCCTGGGTTCAAACAATTCTCCTGCCTCAGCCTCCCAAGTAGCTGGGACTACAGATGCATGCCACCATGCCTGGCTAGTTTTTTGGTATTTTTGGTAAAGATGGGGTTTCACTGTGTTTGCCAGGATGGTCTCAATCTCCTGACCTCGTGATCCACCCGCCTTGGCCTCCCAAAGTGCAGGGATTATAGGCGTTAGCCACCGCGCCTGGCAAAAAAAAAATTTTTTTAAGGGATAGCGTCTTGCTATGCTGTCCAGGCTGGTCCCAAATGCTTCAGGTGATTCTCCTGCCTTGGCCTCCCAAAATGCTGAGATTATAGGTGTGAGCCACTGTGCCCAGCCAACAAACACTTATTTACATGGTTCCTTGTGTTGAGTACTGTTCCCTGTGGGTGCCAGGGGCAGAATTGGATACTTGTGTCTGCCTTTGAGGGGCTTTCAATATAGTAAGGGAGGTAAGGAGGTAAACAAAGACTGTAATAGAGGCTGACCAGGGTGTTGGCAAACAGAAGAAGCAGTATGTAACTTTAGAGTCAGAGATGATTTCATAAAGGAGCAGTTACGAGGGGCAGAGTTCAGGTAGACAAAATGAGAAGGAAAGAACATGCAAACAGAATAAACACCATGTGCAATAGTATAATGTAATTTGCAAGAACATGGCTGGTTCGGGGAACTTGAAGTGGTTTGGTATGGCTGGAGGTGGTACTGGAAAGAAAGATGCCAAATCATAGAAGAGTAGGCTGTTAAACTTAGATTGTTATTTTTTAGGTGGTGCATGAACACTATGAAATGTTTTTATATTTTAGGGAAAAATCATACTGTGATTCGTGATACTGTTTAAAATGTAGCTAACTAAAAATAAAAGTAGATTCAAAGAAAATTATTACAGGGATACACTGTTGTATGTGGTAGGAATATGACAAAATAATGAAAATGGTATTTGGTGTTTGGGAAACACTGCCATAAATGGAGGAATACGCTTGAGGAGTTTTTAAGAAGGAGAATGACAGTAGGCTTTTGAAATGTTTATTCTGGCAGCATTGTGGACCATGGATTGGAATGCAGGAAAAATGTCATAGAAGCAGTAGGCCCGGTGATATGAGAGTCTGAGATAAGGCAATGATAAGTGATTGTTGTGTTGGAAAGGAAATGAAGAAGGTATAGTGGCACCTGTTAACAGATTTGGTCTAGGTTATGATGAAGAGAGTTTAGCATAATTTTTTAGTTTCTGGCAAGGATTACTTAGTACTATAACTAGATTAAGGAATACGGGAAGTTTGGTTTGGGCCATATTGAGTTTGAGATGCTGCCAAGCTAAGACATTGAGATAGAGGTGTCCAGAATTACTCTTGGATACTTATGTTACTTAGATAACAACTACTTGTTGATTGCCAAATGTGCTCTAAACACTGTTCTAATAGTATTAAACGCAGGAGAAAGATCTAGACCAGTCGTTCTCAACTGGGGGCAATTTTGCCCCCCAAAGAATTTTTGGCAGTGTCTGGAGACATTTTTGGTTGTCACAGCTGGGTCAGGGGAGGGGTGGGAAGTTACTATGGGTATCTAGTAGGCGTAGATGTCGGAGATTTTGCTAAACATCCACAAGACAGCAAGCAGTCCCCTGCAATGAATAATTAGTAGTGCCATGGTTGAGAAACTCTGATCTGGCCTGAGGATACAGATACTACCTTCTGGATCATAAGCGTGTGAATATCATGGTCATTCCAGATTTCTAACTTCTCATTCCCAGTGATCTGTATTATAGTAGAGACTTTATATAAAGACTGTGTGAAATATAATGTTAGCTAGATATTTATTTAGTTAGTTACTTAGCTAGCTAGTTGAGATGAGGTTTTGCTATGTTGCCCAAGCTAGTCTTGAGCTCTGGGCCTCCAGCCATCTTCTTGCCTTGGCCTCCCAAAATGCTCATTTTACAGGTGTGAGCCACCACACCTGGCAGTGAGATCTTTTTTTTTAAAGCTAAGAGTGTTTTATAAATACCAGTATGTAAAAGTAGATAAAGGAAGTAGTATGTTTTAGATAACAAGATCAACTAAACAAGTAATTTTAAAAGTTTAGAACCCAGTGTTTGTGAGGGCAAGAGGGAACTGGGAGACAGAACAGAGAATAGAATGGAACTGTGAACAAATGTCTTGAGGAAAAGGTAGAGAAGAGACATAGAGGTCTGCTAAGAATGATGGCTATGAACCCCTTCCTGTTCAAGGATTAGAAAGTAGTTGGGCACCAAACATATGAAAAAGAGCACTGGTCATTAAAGAAATGCAAATCAAAACCGCAATGAGATACCATCTCACGCCAGTTAGAATGGCAATCATTAAAAAGTTAGGAAACAACAGGTGCTGGAGACGATTTGGAGAAATAGGAACACTTTTACACTGTTGGTGGGAGTGCAAATTAGTTCAACTGTTGTGGAAGACAGTGTAGCGATTCCTCAAGGATCTAGAACTAGAAATGCCATTTGGCCCAGCAATCCCATTACTGGGTATATACCCAAAGGATTATAAATCATTCTACTATAAAGATGCATGCACTTGCATGTTTACTGCAGCACTATTCACAATAGCAAAGACTTGGAACTAGCTCAAATGCCCATCGATGATAGACTGGTTAAAGAAAATGTGGCACATATACACCATGGAATACTTTGCAGGGACATGGATGAAGCTGGAAACCATCATTCTCAGCAAACTAACACAGGAACAGAAAACGAAACACCGCATGTTCTCACTCGTAAGCGGGAGTTGAACAATGAGAACATATGGGCAGAGGGGAGGGGAACATCACATGCTGGGGCCTGTCAGGGGGTCCGGGGTAAAGGGAGGGATATCATTAGGAGAAATACCGATTGTAGATGATGGGTTGATGGGTGCAGGAAACCACCATGGCACGTGGATACCTAAGTAACAAACCTGCACGTTCTGCACATGTGTCCCAGAACTTAAGTATAATAAAAAATAAATAAATAGAAAACAGAACACAAAAAAAGAAAGAAAAAATATTTGGGCACGATGAGGAGAAAGGGGTATAGTTTACCCTAAATTTGGGATAAAGCTGTAAAGGGTTTGGGAGGAGAGGAGCATGTGTCTTTACTATGATGACAAGGCAGGGCTCTTTGAGGCCGCTGTGAGTGTAGTTGATTGAGTCACGTAGCGTTTATAGTGAGATTGCATAGACTTCTTATTTTTGTGTGCGCGTGATAGCGATTTGTAAGCTACTGCCAAACTAGAGATGAGAGGCAATAGCTTTGGCTTAGAGACATAGCTCTCTAAATCCTCAGTTGGGGTCAGCAGAGGTGGCAGTCGTAGGACGCAGCTGTAATTTTACTCTAGTTAGTGTGCCTGGGCCCTGGTTGAAGGCTGCTGCTAGGTAGTTTACACGTGTTCTCCAGACACTCAATCTTTCAGATTGACAGAGTTTCACAGCGATGTTCTTCAGTTTATAGTCCACTGTTATTTTCAGGCTAGCACATAGTGTATGGGGTGATAACCAGGGATGACTTCAAGTTTAGGAGGCCTTATGGACTAGGAGAACCAGTTACATGTCAGCGAAAATTCTGGCACATTGAAATATGGGAACCGGCCAGACACAGTGGCTCACGCCTGTAACCCCAGCACTTTGGGAGGCTAAGGTGGGTGTATCACCTGAGGTCAGGAGTTTGAGACCAGCCTGGCCAACATGGCGAAACCCTGTCTCTACTAAAAATACAAAAATTAACCAGGCATGGTGGCGTGTGCCGTAATCCCAGCTACTGGGGGGCTGAGGCAGGAGAATCGCTTGAACCTGGGAGGCGGAGGGTGTAGTGAGCCAAGATCACGCCATTGCACTGCAGCCTGGGTGACAAGAGCGAAACTCCATCTCAAAAAAAGAAAAAATTACAGGCCAAACTTAGAATCATTCATCAGTTCCTGGCATATTTGTTCTTTAATGCAAATAGGTTGCAAACTTTGGATGCTAATTATTATAAAAATAAATATGTATCATAGGTCTAATGGATTATTAATAGAAGTAGGATGCTGTGCAACACTGATATTTTGAAATTGACTGGAAAGACAGCCGTCTATCCACAAGGACTAACTGGATTGAGTGGTTGTGGTCAAGGTTGTGATTATTATTATTTATGAGGTAATACATAGGGCTGTGGGGTGTTGGTATGGGGATGAGGGGAGTGACTGCTAATGTGTATATGGTTTCTTTTTGGGGTGATGAAAGTGTCCTAAAATTGATTATGGTGATGGTTGCCACCACTGTGAATATAATGAAAACCATTGACTCTTACCCTTCAAAGGGATGCATTTTATGTAGGTGAATTATGTTGCAATAGTTGTTTTAAAAAATTATATTCGGGCTGGGTGTGATGCTCACACTTGTAATCCTAGCACTTTGGGAGGCTGAGGCGGGTGGATCACCTGAGGTCAGGAGCTCGAGACCAGCCTGGCCAACGTGGTGAAACCCCATCTCTACTAAAAATATAAAAATTAGCTGGGTGTGGTGGCAGGTGCCTGTAATCCCAGATACTTGGGAGGCTGAGGCAGGAGAATCGCTTGAATCTGGGAGGTGGAGGTTGCAGTGAGCCAATATCACGCCATTGCACTCCAGCCTGAACGACAAAGCAAGACTTTGTTTCCAAAAAAAAAAAAAAAAAGAGAGAGAGAAAAGGAAAGCTGGATGAAGAGAGATAGCCAAGCCCATGTCTAGGGAAAAGCATTCTTGACTGAGTGAACAGAAAGTACAAAGCCTCAGAGGAGGGAGCATGCCTAGGTAGCCACCCAGACCTGGTGAGGCTGGTGTGTGGGGCAGCCTCCATGGAGAGGAGTTAGAACAAAACTCTGTCTAATAAATAAAAATAAAAAATTATATTCATAGTTCCCCACCCTCCAAACCAAACCTAAACAAATCAAAACAATCTGCTCTTGAAAGAAATAGTTGATAAGCCAGACTTCATTAAAATTAAAAGCTTTTGCTTTGTGAAAGACCCTATCAAGAGAATGAGATGATGATCCATGTACTGGGAGAAAATATTTGTGAAAGACGTGTCTGATAAAGTATTGTTATCCAAAATATGCAGATAATTCTTTTTTTTTTGAGATGGAGTTTCGCTCTTGTTGCTTAGGCTGGAGTGCAGTGGCGCGATCTCAGCTCACCGCAACCTCTGCCTCCCGCATTCAAGCAATTCTCCTGCCTCTGCCTTTCGAGTAGCTGGGATTATAGGCATGCGCCACCACACCCGGCTAATTTTGTATTTTTTAGTAGAGATGGGGTTTCTCTGCGTTGGTCATGCTGGTCTCGAACTCCTGACCTCAGGTGATCTGACCTCCTCGGCCTCCCAAAGTGCTGGGATTACAGACGTGAGCCACCATGCCTGGCCTGCAGATAACTCTTAAAACTCAATAAGAAAATGAACAATCTGATTAAAAAATGGACAAAAGTTGCTGTCAGATCATGCCAGTTTTTCAGAATGGTTGTGCTAAATTACACTTTCACCACCAGTAGAAACTGTCTAGAAGAAGCTGGCTGCAGGAGGGCTAAGGGATTTATTGGGCCTCAGTGAAGCTTGGTGATACGTGGGTGGCTTTGCAGAAATGTTTCCTTTGTTGGTGCATTATTACAAAGATTCAAATGGGGATTTGCTGCATTTGTGGTAGCTGTAGGAGCTGAATATTACTTGGAGTCCCAGAATAAAGATAAACATCACTGAAGATAATACCTGGAAGTATCATAGTGGTTTCTTAACTAAGATTTCCTCACTGTAGCCTACTTGCCTGGTTTGTCCCTTAAAGAATATTAGTAAGATATAATAAAGTAAATACAGATATGCCAAAAAAATGGACAAAAGACACCTCATCAAAGAAGATACAGTGATGACAAATAAGCGTATGAAAAGATGCTCTACCTTCCGTGTCATTAGGGAAATGCAAAGTGAAACAACCATGAGATAACCACTATATACCTATTAGAATGGCCAAAATCCAGAACACCAACAGTACCAAATGCTGATGAAGATGTGGAGCAACAGGAACTCTCATTCATTGCTGGTGGGAATGCAAAATGGTACAGCCACTTTGGAAGACGGTTTGGCAGTTTCTTATAAAACTAAACAAACTCTTCATATAATCCAGCAGTCCTGCTCCTTGATATTTACCCAAATGAGTTGTAAACTTATGTCCATACAAAAACCTGTACATAGATTTTTATAGCCACTTTATTCATAATTGCCAAAACTTGGAAGGAACCAAGATGTCCTTCACTAGGTGGATGGATAAACAAACTGTAATACACCCAGACAATGAAATATTATGCAGTGCTAAGAAGAAATGAGCTATCAAGCCATAAAAAGACATGGAAGAACCTTAAATACATATTACTAAATGAAAGAAACCAACCTGAAAAGGCTACATATATATGATTCCAACTATATGACATTTTGGGAAAGGCAAAACTATAGAGACAGTAAAAAGATCAGTGGTTTTCAGAGGTTGGAGGGAGGTGAATTTGAATAGGTGAAACTATTCTGTATGATACTATAATGGTAGGTACATGTCATTATACAATTGTCAAAACTTATAGAATGTGCAGTAGGAGTGACCCTAATTTAAACAAACTATGGCCTTTGGATGATAATGATATGTCAGTGTATGCTCATCATCTGTAACAAACGTACCACTCAAGTGTGAGATGTTGATGCGGGGAGGCTGTGGGGAGGGGCAGGGGGTATATGGGAACTCTGCACTTTTTTCTTTTTTTCTTTTTCTTTTTTTCCCTTTATATGGAGAACGAAGTCTCTCTATATTGCTGAGGGCGGTCTTGAACTCCTGGGCTCAAGGGATCCTCCTGTCTTTGCCTCCCTAAGTGGTGGGATTACAGGCGCGAGCCACTGTGCCCAGCAGGGGAACTCTGTACTTTAAGATTTTTTTTGTTTGTTTGTTTTGAGACAGAGTCTTGCTGTCACCCCAGGCTGGAGTGCAGTGGCGCCATCTCTGCTCACTGCAAGTTCGGCCTCCCGGGTTCACGCCATTCTCCTGCCTCAGCCTTTCAAGTAGCTGAGACTACAGGCGCCCGCCACCACGCCCGGCTAATTTTTTGTATTTTTAGTAGAGATGGGGTTTCATTGTGTTAGCCAGGATGGTCTCACTCTCCTGACCTCGTGATCCGCCTGCCTCGACCCCCCAAAGTGCTGGGATTACAGGCGTGAGCCACCGCGCCCGGCCGGGAATTCTCTGTACTTTTCTGCTCAATTTTGCTGTGAAGCTAAAACTGCTCTAAAAAATAGTCTATTTACAGGGGTAAAAAAACACAATAAAAAAATCTACTTTCCCTGGAGTTGTAACTGTCTCAGTAATGATTATTTCCAGCCTTCTAATTGTTTAAGCCAGAAATCCCGCGTCATCCTTGATTCTTTACTTTCTCTTAACACCCTGTATCCAGCTGGTCATAAATCTAGCAGATGCTACATTCAGATAACATCTGGAATCTATTTTCCCTATTTTCTACTTCTACTACCCTGTCCAAGCCAGTTAACTTTTACCTAGATTATTATAGAAGACACTTAACTGATCTCCCTGCTTACTCCTTTGTCCCAATTCCAACCCCAGCCCAGCCACCCCTCCACCACCATCAATCCATTTTCTCTTTTCTTGTTATTTTGAGAAAGGGTCTCGCTCTGTGACCCAGGCTGGAGTGCAGTGGCACAGTCTCACCTCACTGCAGCTTTGACCTCCCGGGCTCAAGCGATCCTTGCACCTCAGCCTTCCAAGTATCTGGGACTTCAGGCACATGCCACCACGCCCAGCTAGTTTTTGTATTTTTTGTAGAGACTGGGTTTTGCCATTGTTGCCCAGGCAGGTCTCGAACTCCTGAGCTCAAGTGATACGCTCACCTCGGCCTCCCAAAGTGCTGGGATGATAGGTGTGAGCCACCACGCCTGGCCAGTTTGTTTTCAAAACAGCTGACTTAATATCATGTCAGTCTTCTGCTCTAGAACTTCTAATGGCTTCCCGTTACACTCAGTAGAAGCCCAGGTCCTTATTTTCACCACCAGTGACCTAAATAATTCTGTGATGCTCTCCTGTTTTTCTTCTCATTCAGTTTACTCTAAACACACCAGCCTTGATGATGTTTCTTAGACACAAGCATGCTTCACATCAGGACTTTTGGTCTTTATTTCTCTGCCTGTAGTATTGTGTCCCCATAGCCTTACCTCCTTTAGAGTTTTGCTCAAAATTCACTTTATCAGTAAGGCTTCCATACTCTCCCTGTTTAAAATAACAGCACCTACTCTCCACCCCAGCACCCCATCCCTCTTCTAGTGTGTCTGTTTGCTCTATACTTCCTTGATATTACTATGTGACAAATTACTGTTATATATTTTACTTATTTATTGTCTGTCTCATTCTATTAGAATGTAAGCCCCTTGAGAGCAGAGCTTTTAGTCTGTTTTGGTTGTTGCTATTTACTTTGTATCTAGAACAATACCTGGTAACATACCAGGCACTCCATAAATATTTGTTGCATTGAACAACTAAATATTCAATATAATGTAGTGGAAAGTGGTAGGAAACTTGGATTCTAGATCTGTTGCTAAGATTAAGTAACATCTTTTATTATCTAAGTCAAGTGAGAAATTTGGTGTAGGTAATTTCTTTTTTTTTTTTTTTTTTTGAGACGGAGTCTCGCTGTGTCGACCAGGCTGGAGTGCAGTGGTGCGATCTCTGCTCACTGCAAGCTCCGCCTCCCGGGTTCATGCCATTCTCCTGCCTCAGCCTCCCTAGTAGCTGGGACTACAGGCGCCTGCCACCATGCCCCGCTAATTTTTTTGTATTTTTTTTTAGTAGAGACGGGGTTTCACTGTGTTAGCCAGGATGGTCTCGATCTCCTGACCTCGTGATCCACCCGCCTCGGCCTCCCAAAGTGCTGGGATTACAGGCGTGAGCCACCGCGCCCGGCCGGCGTAGGTAATTTCTAATGCAAACCAGAATTTTATAATTCTGATGGAACCTTCGAGAACATCTTTCAGTATAAAGTTTAAGGCTCAAAGTTCAGAAACATTGTTTCACTCACCAGCATCTATTTTTTGCTTTTGTTTTTGTTTTTTTTTGAAACAGAGTCTCACTCTGTCACCCAGGCTGGAGTGCAATGGCGTGATCTTGGCTCACTGCAAACTCTGCTCCTGGGTTCAAGCAATTCTCCTGCCTCAGCCTCCCAAGTACAGGATTACCAGCGCCCTGCCACCACGCCCAGCTAAGTATTTGTATTTTTAGTAGAGATGAGGTTTCACCATGTTGGCCAGGCTGATCTTGAACTCCTGACCTCAGGTGATCCACCTGCCTCGGCCTCCCAAAGTGCTGGGATTACAGATGTGAGCCACACACCTGGCCTGTTTTTCTTTTTTTTAGATAGGTTCTCACTCTGTCGCCCAGACTGGAGTGCAGTGGCGCGATCTCGGCACACTGCAACCTCTGCCTCCAAGGCTCAAGCGATTCTCCTGTCTCAACCTCCCAAGTAGCTGAGATTACAGGTACGTGCCTCTACTGACCAGCTTATTTTTGTATTTTTTAGTATAGACAGGGTTTTGCTATGTTGGCTAGGCTGGTCTCGAACTCCTGACCTCAAATGATCCACCTGCCTGAGCCTCCTAAAGTGCTGGAATTATAGGTGTGAGCCACCACGGCTGGCCTGTTTTTGTTATTTTTTTTAATGAGTGATGGATGTACTATATGGCAGGACCATGGATTGATTTGTTGAAGCATATAGGTGTGGAAAATTCAACACAAACAGGAGCTAGCTACCCAGGGACTCAAGGCCAGAAGGATTCCAGGCCAAAAAGAAGATCTTGCCTTTGAGGTGCTATTTTAAGATCAGGAACTTACCCTAGGAATGAAGGCAAATCATTTTATTTTGAAGTTTTCTGATTTTTTGTATAATGTTTAGGAAATTAACAACTCTATTTCCCCTCATTGTCTTTTGGGAGCCCTTTTTTCCCCCCTCCCACTCCCATTGAGTTCTGTTCTTGCTACTGTGTAGCTATTGTTGTAGCTGTAACTGTTAAAGTGTTTCTCATATATTAATGAGATTATAGCATTTAGATTCCTTAATTAATGTTTAAGTGATTTCATTATGCTTGTTAGTTTAATTTCTCCTTTCTTGGCAGACCTATCGTAAAATCCAATAAGCCTTTGGCAATAGTACAAACTGGTCTCAGGTAGGAAGGAAGGTTCCACCTGAGACCTCCAGTTCCCTGTATATAGCAGGGATGTATACTTCCTTTTCCAGAACGTTGGTGTGAGAATCATATGCTTTCTATGACATTTTTTGGTTTGATTACTTTCAGTGGACAAATATTTTTGAAGTGCAAACATTTAGAGTTCCTTTAACAAAAAGAATGGCTTGGCTGGGTGCGGTGGCTCACGCCTGTAATCCCAGCACTTTGGGAGGCCGAGGCGGGTGGATCATGAGGTCAGGAGAGCGAGACCATCCTGGCCAACATGGTGAAACCTTGTCTCTACTAAAAATCCAAAAATGAGCTGGGTATGATGACTCATGCCTGTAATCCCAGCTACTCGGGAGGCTGAGGCAGGAGAATGGCTTGAACCTGGGAGGCAGAGATTGCAGTGAGCTGAGATTGCGCCACTGCACTCCAGCCTGGCAACAGAGCGAGATTCTGTCTCAAAAAAATAAAATTAAAAAAGGCTCATCTTTTTTGTTGTTGTTGTTGTTTGTTTGTTTTGAGAAAGAGTCTCACCCTGTTTCCCAAGCTGGAGTGCAGTGGCGCGACCTCGGTTTTCGGCAACCTCTGTCTCCTGGGTTCAAGCGATTCTCTTGCCTCATCCTCCCGAGTAGCTGGGATTACAGCTGTGCACCCCACGCCTGGCTACTTTTTTTTTTTTTTTTTTTTTTTTTGAGAGGGAGTCTCTCTGCTGCCCAGGCTGGAGTGCAATGGGTGCAATCTCGGCTCACTGCAACCTTTGCCTCCCAGATTCAAGTGATTCTCCTGCCTCAGCCTCAGCTGAGGATTACAGGCACCTGCCACCACGCCCAGCTAATTTTTGTATTTTTAATAGAGACGGGGTTTCACTACGTTGGCCAGGCTGGTCCTGAACTCCTGACCTTGTGATCCACCCACCTCAGCCTCCCAAAGTTCTGGGATTACAGGCGTGATTCACCATGCCCAGCCTAATTTTTATATTTAGTAGAGATAGGGGGTTTTGCCATGTTGGTCAGGCTGGTCTTGAACTCCTGACCTCAAATGATCCACCCACTTTGGCCTCCCAAAATGCTGGGATTACAGGCGAGAGCCGCCGTGCCCAGCTGGCTCCTCAGTTTTAGATTTGAATTTTATAATTAATTATAGTTAGCCTTTTTATTTCAAAATAACCCAGTTTTCCCCAGTGGTAACATTTTGTAGAACTATAGTGTAATGCCACAACCAATACAACATCAGCCAACATTGACACTGATACAACTCATGATCTTTAGGTACAACCCAAGATCATCACCTCATGATGTTCAGATTTCTTCAGTTTTACTTGTGTTTGTGTGTGTGTGTGTGTGTTTGTGTGTGTGTGTGTGTGTGTGTGTGTGTGTTTGTGTGTATTCAGTTCTTTGCAGTTTTATTGGGTAAGGGCTCATGTATCCAACTCTATAGTCAAAATACAGAACAGGTCCATCATCACAAGAATTCCTCATGTTGCCCTTTTATAGCCACACCCACTTCCTTCCTGCAACTGCTGGACCCCTGACAACAACTAATCCGTTCTCCATTTCTTTAATTTTGTCATTTCAAGAATGTGTAAACACGGCCGAGTGCAGTGGCTCAATGCCTGTAATCCCACCACTTTGGGAGGCCGAAGCGGGCAGATCACCTGAGGTTGGGAGTTTGAGACCAGCCTGACCAACATGGTGAAACTACTAAGAATACAAAAATTAGCTGGGCATGATGGTGTGTGCCTGTAATCCCAGGTACTTGTGAGACTGAGGCAAGGGAATCACTTGAACTGGGAGGCAGTTTGCAGTGAACTGAAATTGTGCTACTGGACTCCAGCCTGGGCAACAGACCAAGACTCTGTCTCAAAAAAAAAGGGAAAAAAAGAAGGTTATATAAATGGAATTATACAGTATATAACCTTTTGGGACAGTTTTCTGTTGTTTCATTTTTTTCACTCAACATAAATGCCTTGAGATGAATCCAGGTTGTTGTGTGGCAGTATTCGTTTCTTTTTATTGCTGAGTAGTATTACATGGTGTGGATGTACCAAAATGTGTTTAACCATTCACTCATTGAAGGATATCTGATTTGTTTTTAGTTTTGGGCTATGATGCATTAGGCTTCTGCGAGTATTTATATACAGATTTTGAACATGTTTTTATTGCCAAGACTACAGTTGCTGGGTCAAATGGTAAGTGTGTGGTTTGCAATTTATTTTTTAAATTACCAGATAAAAATCTTTTACTGGCTGGGCACGGTGGCTGACGCCTGTAATCCCAGCACTTTGGGAGGCTGAGGTGGGTGGATCACCTGAGGTCAGGAGTTCAAGACCAGCCTGGCCAACATGGTAAAACCCTGTGTCTACTAAAAATACAAAAATTAGCCGGGTGTGGTGGCACATGCCTGTAACCCCAGCTACTTGGGAGGCTGAGGCAGGAAAATTGCTTGAATCTGGGAGATGGAGGTAGAAGTGAGCCGAGATCGTGTCACTGCATTTCAGCCTGGGAGACAGAGTGAGACTCCGTTTAAAAAAAAAAAAAACAAAAAAACCCAAAAACCTTTTACTGTTAAAATTATTTCTTCATATATATATATATATATATATATATATATATATATATGTGTGTGTGTGTGTGTGTATATGTGTGTGTGTGTTTGGTGAAAAACATCATTTTACAGTTCTTGTAAAGCTGTCTGTCTCCTAGAACCTTAGTGTCTCTGTAGGTAGTTTGCATTGCATTAAGAATTCTGTGTGACAGCTGACAGAAATCCAACCCCCGAATTATCACAGGGTACTTTCCTATCAAAAAGTATACTTGGGTTTTGTAAGTATTAGACCTGGTATTTTTCTTTTTTGGTATTTTATCTTTAGTTTTAATGTTGTAGTAAATGTTTACCTTTTATTTTCTCTTTTTATAGCGGCTATGTGACTACGTTTGTGACCTCCTCTTAGAAGAGTCAAATGTTCAGCCAGTATCAACACCAGTAACAGTGTGTGGAGATATCCATGGACAGGTAAAATTTCATGAGCAGATTTTTAAGTTTTGTACTGTCCATGATCCATGTGTGTTTTCACATGTGCTGCAAAATTAAAACAACAACAACATCAACAAACACAACTGGTGGTAAGCTAGGTTGCCTCAGTCTCTGTGACACAAATGATTCCTGGTTTACATTTTTGGTGAATAAAAGCAGTGGTCAAATTAGTGATGGAATTTGTTGATAATTACATTTGTGAAGTGAATAATGCAGCATTAGTTTTCTGTGGAATGGTGGGGTTGGGGGTAGGTAGAAGATATAAAGTACAAACACATACTGCTCATAATAACTATGATTAACAGGAGATGTTTTGGTGTTAGGCACTTTTTTCATTCAGTTCATTTCTGTTCTCCTGTCATATATTGTTGAAAATTTATCATTTCTTTAGTGGGAATGAGAATAGCAAAGGTACAGAAAAATAAAATTGTTGGTCCATGATGTCACAGCAAATCACTGATGAATGAGCTAGAAAATATTTAGCTCAATTTTTCATCTGCTGGGTGTTTGTAAGAATTTCAAAGCAGTGCCGGGCGTGGTGGCTCACACCTGTAGTCCCAGCACTTTGGGTGGCTGAGGCGGGTGGATCGTGAGGTCAGGAGTTTGAGACCAGCCTGACCAACATGGTGAAACCCCGTCTCTACTGAAAATACAAAAAAATTAGCTGGGCATGGTGGTGCGTGCCTGTAATCCCAGCTACTCAGGAGGCTGAGGCAGGAGAATCTCTTGAACCCGGGAGGTGAAGGTTGCAGTGAGCCGAGACCGCACCACTGCACTCCAGCCTGGGCAACAGAGCAAGACTCTGTCTAAAAAAAAAAAAAAGAATTTCAAAGCAGTAACAGGAGGGGCATACCTCATATTTAGATTCTGTTGTCAGTGTTTAGTCTCATGTATATTTGTAGAATTTTTTCACTGGGAAATGAAAGCTGAACAGATTACTCATAGAGTGCTATATGCATACAGTGTAGTTGGGGCCATAAGACTTAATAATACATTGCAAACAATGTAGTCTTTAAAGGATGCCAACAGGACTTACTGTCACCTGTGCAATTTCCCTGCTTTAAATATGACTGTGTAAATGAGCAGAAATGTGTGTAAATTGACTCTGATTAGGGGCTGCTCCATGAGTAAAGTCTTGTTTTGGCTACTTACTTACAGGCTGATTTTCTTTTGGTTTTTCAAGGTGTTTTCTGGATTTTTTAGATTATAAAAAAATCTGACACTTGCATGTCATCACCTCCTAGATGGAGGTCCCATTATGTCATCTTTGATTGTTAAAATTACAGTTCTTTAGAGTAGACTTTAGGAATTGATTTCCTAAAATTTCCATGTAACTTCTCTCTCAAACATTTGTATTTTGCTAACATAAAGGATATTAATATAAGCAGTGTCTTAAGACATTCCTGAAAACTGGAATAAACCAAGTCATGTTTTCCCCCAGTGTAGTGTAGAAGTTTCTATGTAACTTCTCTCTCAAAGTAAACATTTGTATTTTGCTAACATAAAGGATATTAATATAAGCAGTGTCTTAACACATTCCTGAAAACTGGAATAAACCAAGTCATGTTTTCCCCCAGTGTAGTGTTTCCCCCAGTTGTAGACTTTTTAAGATGTGAAGTACAGCCATGATCAAAGGTCAGAAAGTTAGAGACCAACCTCGAACTACTAAAATTGGAAGCATAAAATTGAACTTTTGTATTATATATACCTTCAGTCAAATGTGCAGTTCTTGCTAACATATATCTTGTGTTTTGAGGTTAACAAAGTACTTTTTCACATATTCTGTGTCAGTTTTTTCCCAAAGTCCTGTGAGATAGGATTATTTTGTAGACAATGAAAGGGAGACTGAAAGATTGAAGAGAAATAGCCCAAACTCACACACAGCTACTACAGGGCAGATTGAGATTTGAAACTAATTTGGGTTTCTTTTGTACATGTTATTTTAAGACCACCACCAAACCGTGAACAATTGTTTATGTTGTATGTGTTCCTTAAAAAACAATTGTTCCAGGTGCAGTGGCTCACGCCTGTAATCCCAGCACTTTGGGAGGCTGAGGCAGGCAGATCAGAAGGTCAGGAGTTCAAGACCAGCCTAGCCAACATGGTGAAACCCTGTCTCTACGAAAAATACAAAAATTAGCCAGGTGTGGTGGTGCGTGCCTGTAATCCCAGCTACTTGGGAGGCTGAGGCAGGAGAATCGCTAGAACCCGGGAGGCAGAGGTTGCAGTGAACCGAGATCATGCATTGCACCCCAGCCTGGGCAATAGAGTGAGACTCTGTCTCGAAAAAATAAAAAATAAAAAATAAGCCGGGTGTGGTGGCTCATGCCTGTAATCCCAGCACTTTGGGAGGCTGAGGTGGGTGGATCACGAGGGCAAGAGATCGAGACCATCCTGGCAAATATGGTGAAACCCCGTCTCTACTAAAAATACAAAAATTAGCCAGGTGTGGTGACAGGCGCCTGTAATCCCAGCTCCTTAGGAGGCTGAGGCAGGAGAATTGCTTGAACCTGGGAGACGGAGGTTGTGGTGAGCCGAGATCGCGCCATTGCACTCCAGCCTGGGCAACAAGAGCGAAACTCCGTCTCAAAAAAATGAAAAACAGAAGATTGCTAATCAGAAACATGGGATTTGAGCCTCTAAATAGCTATTGACTGATTAAATACAATGTAAAATGTATCCTTTGGGACTTATCTTCCTCTGGGGCCTGTTCTGGAATTGCAGGATTGGGTTATGAGTATGAATAAACATGTTAGCAAGCATGTTGTGCTGAGAAGTATTGAAGCTGTGTAATATAGTGAGGAGTTATAGATTTCAGTGTCAGATACAACTTGGTTTAAATCCTGGCTTGGCTATATATTAGTTGTTTAAGAAGCCATTTCAGCTAGCTCACAAATTCGTTAAGTGTGGCCTGTGGACCCTTGGGTCTCTAAGGTGGTACAGAGGCAATGGAGGGTAAAACTGCTCGTGCCTTAGCATGAACCAAGGGAATGACACTAGAATATACTGATTATCATTGAGTTCTTCACCAACATGCCTGCACAGTAAAATAAAATGCCAGTTTCACTTAACTCTCAATCCTTTAGAATATCCATTATTTGAAAAGTCTGGCTGGGCATGATGGCTCATGCCTATAATCCCAGCACTTTGGGAGGCTGAGGTGGGAGGATCGCTTGAAGCCATGGGTTCAAGACCAGCCTGGGCAACCAAATGATACCCCCCCCCCCCCCCCCCATCTCAAACTCCTGACCTCAGGTGATCCACCTGCCTTGGCCTCCCAGAGTGCTGGGATTACAGGCGTGAGCCACTGCGTCCGGCCTGAGACTCCCCATCTCTAAAAAAAAAAAATTTTTTTTTTTTGAGACAGAGTTTCTCTCTTGTTATCCAGGCTGGAGTGCAATGGCACGATCCTGGCTCACTGCAACCTCTGCCTCCCAGGTTCAAGCGATTCTCCTGCCTCAGCCTCCTGAGTAGCTGAGATTACAGGCATGTGCCACCACGCCTGACTAACTTTTTGTATTTTTAGTTGAGATGGGGTTTTTCCATGTTGCTGAGGCTGGTCTTGAACCCCTGACCTCATGTGATCCTCCTGTCTCCTGTCTCGGCCTCCCAAAGTGCTGGGATTACAGGCGTGAGTCACCATGCCCGGCCTTTTTTTTATTTCTTTTTTTTTTTTTTTTTTTTGGACAGGGTCTCGCTCTGTCACCCAAGCTGGAGTGCAGTGGTGTGATCTCAGTTCATTGCAGCCTCTGCCTCCCGGGTTCAAGTGATTCTTGTGCCTCAGCATCCCGAGTAGCTGGGACTACAGGCACGCACCACCACGCCTGGCTGATTTTTGTATTTTTAGTAGGGATGGGATTTTGCCCTGTTGGCCAGGCTGGTCTCGAACTCCTGGCCTCTTGTGATCCACCTGCCTCAGCCTCCCAGAGTGCTGGGACTACAGGTGTGAGCCGCTGCACCTGGCCCCCATCTCTAAAAATATTAAAAAGAAAAAAATTAGCCAGGCTTGGTGGTGTGAGTCTGTAAGTCCTAGCTCCTCAAGAGGCTAAGGTGGAAGCATTGCTTGAGCCCAGGAGTTTGAGGCTATAGTCAGCTATTATTGTGCCACTGCACTCCAGCCTGGGCAGCAGAGTGAGACCCCATCTAAAAAGAAAAAGAAAAAAGTCTGTGTGATGAAATGGGAAGTATGCATAAAGCATATCTACTGCATGCTGAAGAAAGATAGTTTACTCAAGGAAAAGTAGTTGTGGGTTGGGCACGGTGGCTCACACCTGTAATCCCAGCACCAGATCACCTGAGGTCGGGAGTTCAAGATCAGCCTGGCCAACATGGCAAAACCCCATCTTTACTAAAAAATATAAAAAATTGCCAGGTGTGGTGGTGGGTGCCTGTAATCCCAGCTACTCAGGGACTAAGGCAGGGAAAATTACTTGAACCTGGGAGGCGGATGTTGCAGTAAGCTGAGATCTCACCATTGCACTCCAGCCTGGGTGACAGAGTGAGACTCTGCTAAAAAAAAAAAAAAAAAGAAAAAGAAAAATACTTGTGAAATTCTTTGAGTCATGAGTTAAAATAACTGCTTTTTTATGGAACACTATTTTTACTTGAGAATGACTGACAAACTGTGATTATTTAGACTTGGGTATTTGGCAACTATATTTGCAAAAGTGAAGGAAGTGGGCCAGTCACTTCAAGGAGAACAATTGACAGTATTTGTTGCCGATGACAAAATTTGAATTTACTAATGAAAAATTGGAATTTTGGAAAATCTGAGTCCACCACTATGGGGCTAACAGTTTCCGACACTTAAAAGACTTTCCTGAGATGAAATGAGCAGTGATATTAACAAATATGGTTTTTTGATGATATAAAATGCAATGTCATTTTCATTTTTCAAATTACTAGTTTACCATTTACTCAAAGTGTAAGATAACAAATGTAACAGGGTATGAAAGATGACTATTATAGGCCAGGCCTGGTGACTCACACCTGCAATCCCAGCACTTTGGGAGGCCGTGGCAAGCGGATCGCTTGAGCCCAGGAGTTTGAGACCAGCCTGAGCAACATGGTGAAACCCTGTCTCTACTAAAAATACAAAAATTAGCCAGGTGTGGAGGTACGTGCCTGTAATCTCGGCTACTTAGGTGGCTGAGGCATGAGAATTGCTTGAACCTGGGAGGTGGAGGTTGCACTGAGCTGAGAATGTGCCACTGTACTCCAGCCTGGACAACAGGGAGAGATCCTGTCTCCAAAAAAAAAAAAAAAAAAGCAAAAGATTACTGTTATGGTTTCAGATTTCATATTGCGATTAACTTTTAAGTGTCATAAACTGCCACTTGTCAAATTTTGGTACAGTATTTAAAGAGTATGCACAGTTACCTGAAAATGTTATTAAAATACTCCTTCCTTTTGTAACTGCATATCTTTGTGAAGCTGGATTTTCTTCATCTGCTTTACTTAGTATATTCCCAACAGACTGAGTGCAGAGGCAAGTTCTAAGACTAGCCATGTTCTATTTAGCCAGACATTGAAGAGATTTGTGAAAATGTAAAACAATGTGAATTCTCCTCTCACTAAACAATTTTTTTGTTTTGGAAAAGTTAATTTTTCATTAAAATGTGTTTGTGATACTTTTTGATGGGTATGTTATTGATTTGTTTTTTTGAGATGGAATTTCACTCTTGTCACCCAGACTGCAGTGCAATGGTGTGATCTCAGCTCACTGCAACCTCTGCCTCCCGGGTTCAAGCGATTCTTCTGCCTCAGCCTCCCAAGTAGCTGGGATTACAGGTGTGAGTCACCGTGCCTGGCCTATGTTATTAATTTTTAAAAATTCATTTAAATATTTAAAACTTCTGAGTTTTAATCTCTAATATGGTAAATATTGATTTGTAAAACTTACATAAAAGATTTTCAGGACCTCTGGTTTTTAAGATCACAAATGAATCCTGAAACCAAAAAGTTTGAGAACTACTGGGCAGACTGGATGTTTCCTTGCCTCTGATAAAAAAAAAAATTCCACTTCCCAGCCGGGCGCGGTGGCTCACGCCTGTAATCCCAGCACTGTGGGAGGCCGAGGCGGGCGGATCACGAGGTCAAGAGATCAAGACCATCCTGGCCAATGTGGTGAAACCCCGTCTCTACTAAAAATACAAAAATTAGCTGGGCATGGTGGCACATGACTGTAGTCCCAGCTACTCGGGAGGCTGAGGCAGGAGAATGACGTGAACCTGGGAGGTGGAGGTTGCAGTGAGCCGAGATCATGCCACTGCACTCCAGTCTGGGTGACAGAGCGAGACTCCGTCTCAAAAAAAAATCCACTTCCCAGGCTGGGTAAAGTGGTACATATATGTAGTTCCAGCTACTCAGGAGGCTGAGGTGGGAGGATTGCTTGATCCCAAAAGTTTGAGACCAACCTGGGCAATATAGTGAGCCTCCATCTCAAAAATAATGATAATTAAAGAAAAAAATCTACTTCTTAAGATTGTTTTTGGTTTAAAATGGGAGCAGAGTATCTGAAATATGAAAAACAGAGTAGCTGGGTGCAGTGGCTCACGCCTGTAATCCTAGCACTTTGGGAGGCTGAGGCGGGCAGATTACCTGAGGTGAGGGGTTTAAGACCAACCTGGCCAATGTGGCGAAACCCTTTCTGTACAAAAAAGTACAAAAATTAGGCAGGTGTAGTGGCACGTGCCTGTAGTCCCAGCTACTTGGGAGGCTGAGGCAGGAGGATTGCTTGAACCCAGGAGCCAGAGGCAGCAGTGAGCTGAG
The DNA here is from genome assembly GCF_000001405.40 of Homo sapiens. Lineage (NCBI taxonomy): Eukaryota > Metazoa > Chordata > Mammalia > Primates > Hominidae > Homo > Homo sapiens. Next base: position 125,164,292 of record NC_000009.12, on the reverse strand, counting down.
ATTGCACCACTGGACTCCAGGCTGGGTAACAGACTGAGACTCCGTCTCAAAAAAAAAAAAAAAAAAAAAAAAAAGAGAGTGAGGGAGAGACATAGAGTAGATGGTAGATATTATTTGACGATGAGGTAGGTGTCTAGTAATGTAGGATGAAAATAGGGCCGTGTGCTGTGGCTCATGCCTGTAATCCTAGCATTTGGGAAACCGAAGCGGGTGGATCACCTGAGGTCAGGAGTTCAGGATCTGCCTGGCCAACATGGTGAAACCCCGTCTTTAATAAAAATACAAAAATCAGCGGGGGTGCGGTGGCAGATAAGCTACTCGGGAGGCTGAGGCAGGAAAATCACTTGAACCCAGGAGGTGGAGGTTGCAGTGAGCTGAGATCGTGCCATTGCACTCCAGCCTGGACAACAAGAACGAAACTCCGTCTCAAAAAAAAAAAAAAAAGAATTGCCCAAGTTCTCGGGAAATGGGAACCTATGTATCACTGACGCAGAATATTTAATCGTCTACCTGTGTGTCTGGTAAATACAAACTTTAAAAGCTTTTGTTTAAGAACAGATATCTGGCCAGGCGTAGTGGCTCACGCCTGTAATCCCAGCACTTTGAGAGGCCGAGGCGGGCGGATCACAAGGTCAGGAGTTCAGGACCAGCCTGACCAACATGGTGAAACCCCGTCTCTGTTAAAAATACATAAATTAGCTGGGGCTGTTGGCACGCGCCTGTAATCCCAGCTACTCGGGAGGCTGAGGCAGGAGAATCACTTGAACCTGGGAGGCGGAGGATGCAGTGAGCCGAGATCGCACCATTGCATTGCAGCCTGGGCAACAGAGTGAGACTGTCTCAAAAAAACAAAACAAAACAAAAAAACATATCTGTAAACATCAATAGAAAAGTTTAAGGATACTCACTCTTCTACCATATTTTTATTAAAAAACTGACTTACAAAACTTTTTAATGTTCACTTCCTGACTTTGTGTATATAACTACTCAATTTTTTACATAATAGAATTGTGTAGTTATAGGTATAGTTTTGTATTCCATTCTTTTCCCTAATGATTTTTGCATTTTGCTACATGGTTTTCGTCATAATTTTTATTCATGGCCTCATAAGGTCCTTGAGTTGCTAGATCTTAATTTAAGATATTCACTTATGTTAGTCATGAAGGCTGTTTCTTTTGATGTTTTAAATGTTGTCATAACACTTTTTTTTTTTTGAGACAGAGTCTTGCTGTGTCATCCAGGCTGGAATGCAGTGGCACCATCCTGGCTCACTGTAACCTCCGTCTCCCAGGTTCAAGTGATTCTCCTGCCTCAGCCTCCTGAGGTAGCTGGGACTACAGGTGCCCGCCGCCACGCCTGGCTAATTTTTGTATTTTTAGTAGAGACTGGGTTTCGCCATGTTGGCCAGGCTGGTCTCGAACTCCTGACCTCAGGTGATCCACCCGCCTCGGCCTCCCAAAGTGCTGGGATTACAGGCGTGAGCCTCTGTGCTTGGCCCACTTTTTTTTTTTTTTTTTGAGACGGAGTCTTGCTCTGTCACCCAGGCTAGAGTGCAGTGGCGTGATCTTGGCTTACTGCATCCTCCACCTCTCAGGTTCAGGTGATTCTCCTGCCTCAGCCTCCCGAGTAGCAGGGATTGATTACAGGTGCCCACCATGATGCCCAGCTAATTTTTGTATTTTTAGTAGAGACAGGGTTTCACCATGTTGGCCAGTCTGGTCTTGATCTCCTGACCTCATGATCCACCTGCCTCAGCCTCCCACAATGCTGGGATTACAAGTGTGAGCCACTGTGCCCGGACCATAACACTTTTTTTTTTTTTTTTTTTTTTTTTTGAGACAGAATCTTGCTCTGTTGCCCAGGCTGGAGTGCAGTGGCATGATCTTGGCTCACTGCAACCTCTACCTCCTGGGCTCAAGCAATTCTTGTGCCTCAGCCTCCCAGGTAGCTGGGATTACAGGTGCAGGCCACCACCCCTGGATAATTTTTGTATTTTTAGTAGAGATGGGGTTTCACCACATTGGCTAAGCTGGTCTTGAACTCCTGACCTCAAGTGATCTGCCTGCCTGGGACTCCCAAAGTGCTGGGATTACAGGCGTGAGCTCCCAAAGTTCCAGGATTACAGGTGTGAGCAGCTTGGCCTGTTAGCTAATTTTCAGATACATTTTATATTAAGCTTCCTAAAGTTGTTTTTTTTTTTTTGTCTGACTTTTTAGACTTATGGAACATTGTTATAAAAGGTGTTACTTTATTTCTTTCAGTAGTTAACATCTCACTTTCAGTTTTCTTCACTTTGACTAACATTCCTATTAAGTGTTAAAAGTTTAAATGATAATTTTATTTCAAGTGTAAAAGATGAATGTGTTAGAAGTTGTTAGTTGTAATTGGTCCAATGTATTGTAGTCAATTCCCTTAATCCAAAATCGTTTTTCTTCCAGAAAAACTGTAATGCTTTCTTTGGAAATTAGGGCTAGGGTAATAATCTAGTGGACTGAAATTTGACAAATGCACAATTTGCCAGTTACCAAATTTCAGTAAATAGAAATATGATGAAATATCCTTGGGTGTCATGGATCACACTTGTAATCCCAGCACTTTGGGAGACTGAGGTGGGAGGATTGCCTGAAGCCAGTAGTTTGAGACCAGCTTGGGCAAAAAAGCGAGACCCTGTCTCTATAAAAATTTGCTGGGCATGGTGGTGTGTAACTGTGGTCCTAGCTACTGAGGAGGGCAAGGTAGGAGGGTTACTTGAGCCCAGGAATTTGTGGCTGCAGTGAGTTATGATTGCACCACTGCATTCCGGCCTGGGTAACAGAGCCAAACCCTGTCTTAAAACAAAAAACAAAAAATATGATGAAATATATAATTTTTTTTTAACTGATCATTGAGGAGACACTCCATGGCTGTGGAGCCTGAGGGTATATAACTCTAACTGTAGAATGTGGGAAGATCTCTGTATAACACTGGAGTGTCATGTAAGTTCAGTTTGGAAGAAAAAGAGGTATCCACTTGTTTCTGTAATCTTTTGTCTCATTAAAATAGATACAGAATTTGGGTGGGCTGTTAGATTAGCTTACTGAGAAATTAGACAATTGATAAAGGATGTCAGAATTCTCAAGAGATAGATGGGGAGATGTATGAAAGAAAATGAGAAAGGGAATCCTATGATAATAATCTAGGAGTGACTTTATGGTAACTGAGCTTTATTTAGTGCTTTTTTTAGTCTTGAGAACTGTGTGCTTGGCAGTTTGGCTTACACTTTATTTCTTAAAAATGTAAATATTTGGAGTCCTCTTAGCTGCTTCTTTACACATTTCACTCTCAGTTTTGTTGCTTTGCTTCTTAACAGGAATTTGTAATCAGCATGTATTGCATTTCTTTTATAGTTTTATGACCTTTGTGAACTGTTCAGAACTGGAGGTCAGGTTCCTGACACAAACTACATATTTATGGTATGTAAACACCAGTGATATCAAGTGCTTGTTTAAAATGGAAAGGATCTGACTTATTAAATGTAAATTGCATAATAATTCTTTACCATGTGACAGTCCCTATTTCAGTATATTAAAAGATGTGTATTAGTCCGTTTTCACGCCGCTGATAAAGACATACCTGAGACTGGGCAATTTACAAAAGAGGTTTAATGGACTTAACAGTTTCACATGGCTGGAGAGGCCTCACAATCATGCAGAAGGCAAGGAGGACCAAGTCACATCTTATGTGGATGGCGGCAGGCAAAGAGAGAGAGACTGTGCAGGGATCTCTTGTTTTTAAAACCATCAGATCTCATGAGACTTATTGTCATGAGAACAGCACAGGAAAGACTTGCCCCCATGATTCAATTACTTTCCATCGAGTCCCTCCCACAACATGTGGGAATTCAAGATGAGATTTGGGTGGGGACACAGCCAAACCATATCAAGGTGATTGTATACTTTTCTACATTTAACTATGTCCTCTAATTAATTGCCTTAGTAAGCCACTGTAGATAGGGTTGGGTTGTAGCTGTCAGTAATGGTTGGGCATAAAAAATAACCCAGAACCCCTGGTTTAAGGCAAAAATCTTCAATTGACTATTATTTATTCAGACTTTTCGAGCATTCATTTTTATCTCTCGTTAATCTATGGATGGATTAATATACACACATACACATTTGCTATAGATGTTTGCTTTTCTTTTGGAATGTAATGTTACTGTTGAACTTTTTCTGGATCCTTCTCTCATTTTCTTTCCTTCTGAAAGTTTCTGGGTCACTTTCTTATTTTTTTTTTTTGAGACGGAGTCTCTCTCTGTTGCCAGGCTGGAGTGCAGTGGTGCGATTGGCTTACTGCAACCTCTGCCTCTTGGGTTCAAGTGATTCTCTTGCCTCAGCCTCCCGAGTAGCTGGTATTACAGGCGTGCGCCACCACGCCCAGCTAATTTTTGTATTTTTAGTAGAGACAGGATTTCACTATGTTGGCCAGGATGGTCTGGATCTCTTGAACTCGTGATCCGCCCACCTCGGCCCCTGCCTTGGCCTCCCAAAGTGCTGGGATTACAGGGGTGAGCCACCACGCCGGCCACTTTCCTATTCTTTCAGCTGTTTTCCTATTGGTGTAATATTGGCCCAAGTCAGACATTAATGGGAAGTGTAAATAGTATATTATCATATATGGTTGTTAAATGCAAAACTGAGCCTAGAACGCTGTTATAATTATGGTATTTGCTTTTACAAAAAATTTTTTTCTTCAAGTAGGCAACTCTTCCAATACAGTTAAAATGATTCTTAAAATAAAAAATTATTTTACCTGGGCATGGTGGTACATGCCTGTAGTCCCAGCTACTTGGGAGGCTGAGGTGGGATGATTGTTTAAGCTCAGGAGTTCTAGACCAACCTGGGCAACATAGTGAGACCCCATCTCTAAAAAAAAAAAAAAATTGAATTTTTAAAAATTAAATTACTTGGCCGGGCGCAGTGGCTCACGCCTGTAATCCCAGCACTTTGGGAGGCCGAGGCAGGTGGATCACCTGAGGTCAGGAGTTTGAGACCAGCCTGACCAACATGGAGAAACCCCGTCTCTACTAAAAAAAAAAAAAAAATACAAAATTAGCCGGGCTTGGTGGTGCATGCCTGTAATCCCAGCTACTCAGGAAGCTGAGGTGGGAGAATCACTTGAATCCAGGAAGGGGAGGTTGCAGTGAGCCAAGATCACGCCATTGCACTCCAGCCTGGGCAACAAGAGTGAAACTCCATCTAAAAAAAAAAAAAAAAAAAACTTAAAAAATACTGGTTAGCAGATGACCAAATCAACTAATGTAGGTAATAGAGGATTGAAAAAATGGTGGTTTTGCCAGGTGTGGTGGCTCACATCTATAATCCCAGCACTTTGGGAGGCCAACGTGGGTGGATCACAAGGTCAGGAGTTTGAGACCAGCCTGACCAACCTGGTGAAACCCCCGTCTCTACAAAAAATACAAAAATCAGCCGGGTGTGGTGGCGGCTTGTACCTGTAATCCCAGCTACTCAGGAGTCTGAGGCAAGAGAATCGCTTGAACCCGGGAGGCGGAGGTTGCAGTGAACCGAGATTGTGCCACTGCACTCCAGCCTGGGTGACAGAGTGATACTGTCTCAAAAAAAGAAAAAAAAGAAAAAAAAATGGTGGTTTTTTTTTTCAGGGAAAGTTTTTGAGAGAATGGCACAGCAGATTCTTGTAGATTTCCCTGGAATCAAAAATCTTGTTTGTATAAACATTTAATAGAAAAAATTTGTTTACGTGTATTTTATTTTTTTGTTAAAATCAAATTTCCAAATAATTCAGTATGTAACTCTTTATTGTAGTTATAAACTATATGTTTGTACAGTTTGATATAATTTGAAAAGAATATTGTGGCTATTGTATTGTTTGTAACTGTAAACTTTTACTTCACAGGGTGATTTTGTAGACAGAGGTTACTATAGTTTGGAGACCTTCACTTACCTTCTTGCATTAAAGGCTAAATGGCCTGATCGTATTACACTTTTGCGAGGAAATCATGAGAGTAGACAGATAACACAGGTCTATGGATTTTATGGTAAGAATTCCTATTTCTCTGATTCTGAATATTATTTTACTTTCCTCTTTGGAAAACAAAGCTACACAAGTCATACACATGCTTTATGTATATTATTTTCCCCACATCCTCACTCCTTCACTCCTCCCAAACAATTGAAAATCTTATGCTCGAGAGAAGACCACTGTTAACTTTTTGGTGTGCATCTTTCTAGATCTGTGCCTCAAAGTGTAGCTGGAATCACCTGGGTTCTCATTAAAAATGTAGATTGCCGGCCGGGTGGGGTGGCTCACACCTGTAATCTCAGCACTTTGGGAGGCTGAGGCAGGCGGATCACAAGATCAGGAGATCGAGACCATCCTGACCAATATGGTGAAACCCCTTCTCTTCTAAAAATACAAAAATGAGCTGAGCGTGGTGGTGTGTGCATGTAATCCCAGTTACTCGGGAGGCTGAGGCAGGAGAATTGCTTGAACCAAGGAGTCAGAGTTTGTGGTGAGCCGAGATCATGCCACAGCACTCCAGCCTGGCGACATAGGGAGACTCCGTCTCAAAAAAAAAAAAACCAAAAAAAAAAGGAGAATGCTGGGCCTCACCACAGATTTATTAATCAAAATATTTTGGAGTGGGAATCTAGAATCTGCTGAAGGTGAATGTTCTGCACAAATTTGAGAGTCCATTCTCATCCATTTTGTATGTGTGTGTGTGTGTTTATGTGTGTTTATATATGTACAAACACGTGCACACTAAAATGGGGACATACCTGATTTTTTCACTTTATTAATGTTATTTTCATGGCTGCTTCATATACCATATGGATGTAGCATAATTGATGTATCAGTTTTTCCTCTATCGTTGGACTTTAGAGTTGTTTTTAAGCTGCTGTTATACATCCTTTTACATATATCTCTGTATGCTCACTCCAGAGAATGCTAGGACCTCAGGGATCAGAAGCAGAACTTAGTCATAAACAGCAAAATAGGCCAGGCGCAGTGGCTCACCCCTGTAATCCCAGCACTTTGGGAGGCCGAGGCGGGCGGATCACCTGAGGTCAGGAGTTCGAGACCAGCCTGGCCAACTAAACCCTGTCTCTACTAAAAATACAAAAATTAGCCGGGCACTGGTAGGGGGAGGGGGGAGGGATAGCGTTAGGAGACATACCTAATGTAAATGACGAGTTAATGGGTGCAGCACACCAACATGACACATGTATACATATGTAAAAGACCGACACGTTGTGCACATGTACCCTAGAACTTAAAGTTTAATAATAAAAAAAATTTAGCCGGGCATGGTGGTGGGGGCCTGTAATCCCAGCTACTCAGGAGACTGAGGCAGGGAGAATTGATTGAACCCAGGAGGTGGAGGTTGCAGTGAGCCAAGATCGCTCCATTCCACTCCAGCCTGGGCAACTGAGCCAGACTCTGTCTCAAGAAAGGAAAAAAAGCAAACTAGCTAATTCTTTAAAACTTTTATTTGGTTGAAAGAGAGAGAGAGAGAGAGAGAGAGAGAGAGAGCGAGCTTATTAGGAAGCCCCTTCAGGGAAATAGAACTGTCAAGATTATGAATTTGGATTTTCCTTGAGCACAATTAAGACAGATATTGAGAGATTTGGAAACATTAATTGCAGAACCCTTTAGATTTAAATTTTATATTTTGAATTATCTTCTTTCATTATAAAGATAGGCTGGGCCAGGTGTGGTGGCTCATGCCTGTAATCCCAGTACTTTGGGAGGCTGAGGCAGGCAGATCACAAGGTCAGGAGATCGAGACCATCTTGGCCAACATGGTGAAACCCCGTCTCTACTTAAAATACAAAAATTAGCTGGGCATGGTGGCACTTGCCTGTAGTCCCAGCTATTCGGGAGGCTGAGGCAGGAGAATCCCTTGAACCCGGGAGGTGGAGGTTGCAGTGAGCCGAGATTGCACCATTGCACTCCAGCCTGGATGACAGTGAGGCTGTCTCAAAACGAAACAAAGCAAAGATAATCTGAACTCTCTTACTCTTCAGTTTGTCTGCCATTATCAATTAGAGAAATTTTGAGAATTTATTGTTTTTATATAATTTTTTTAATACGTGTAAAGTTAGGTAATATTTATCTCCTTTCTACAGGTGACTTTTTATTTTCATTCACAAAATAAACACCAATTGAAATACAACTTTTGGATTCTTTTGCAAAATAATCAATATTTTGGATAACATACTATGATATTAGCTCAGTGAAAACAGTACTAAAACTAATGTTATAAAAACACACACACCTACTATATATATGTAACTAATGCTACATGTATAATATATAAAATACATATTGTTATATATGGCTAATATATGACTTTTTTTTTTTTTTTTTTTTGAGACGGAGTCTCGCTCTGTCACCCAGGCTGGAGTGCAGTGGTGCGATCTTCGCTCACTGCAAGCTCTGCCTACTGGGTTCACGCCATTCTCCTGCCTCCGCCTCCCAAGTAGCTGGGACTACAGGCGCCCGCCACCATGCCCGGCTAATTTTTTTGTATTTTTTAGTAGAGACAGGGTTTCACCGTGTTAGCCAGGATGGTCTCAATCTCCTGACCTTGTGATCCGCCCGCCTCGGCCTCCCAAAGTGCTGGGATTACAGGCATGAGGCACTGCGTCCAGCCATATGACATATGTTTTGAATAAGATAATTTTAGTTATTATAGGACTTATATTGATTTTCAAGGAATAAAATATCCCTATATGACTTTACACTGGGACTTCAGTTCACACTGATAAACACATACTGGGCAGTTACTATTGAGCCAAGTTCAAGATCCCTGCCTGCAACCTGAGCTCATTGTTAGGGCTCTCTTATGGCAAGTTTACATAACAATCTTGCTTCACGTAGATATATAATTGAGAAAATCTTGGGGATTGGTCATAACCTGCAGACTTCTTTCCTATATCATTTTCAGCTTCACTTAAGGCAATAGTGATATGTCAGGTTTTTTTTTTTCTAAAATTATGGAAGAAGCCAAAGTACAGAGCTTCCATGGTGTTAACAAAAGAAGTGTGTACCCTATTAACTATGTAGACAGTCAGGGTACAGTGGCTCACATCTGTATTCTCAGCACTGTGGGAGGCTGAGGTAGGAGGATTGCTTGAGCTCAGGAGTTCAAGACCAGCCTGGACAACATAGGGAGATCCCCATCTCTACCAGAAATAAAATTAGCCAGGTGTGGTGGCACTTGCCTGTAGTTCCAGCTGTTCAGAAGGCTGAGGTGGTGGGATCGCTTGAACCCAAGTGGTTGAGGTTGCAGTGAGCTGTGATCGCGCCACTGCTGATTGTGCCACTGTATTCCAACTTGGGCAATAGAGTGAGACCTTGTCTCAAAAACAAAAAACTACGTAGGCAGCAGAAAGAGTGTTCAACTGAGAATTTGTAAGAACCTGATTGGCAATCTGTCCTCAGTTTTGATCCACTGAAGCTCAAGTGTTTAGTCGCACGATTTGCAGAAAATCTCAGAAGAGACAACTTAGCCCTGAGAAGAGTTAGGAATTGCTCATGCTCCTATAACTAAGGATCCTCTAATTTGTTTGATCTGTTTATCCTGCTAGAATTGTCTCCTTAAATAAATTTATCTGCTTACCAGAATTGCCTAATATTAACATAACTGTTAAAACATTTGCTTCAGGTTGTGTGAAATTAGTATTTAACTCTTCTAATGATAGCATTTTGGCTAATAATTTCAGCTGCTTCTTAGGTCCATTCCAGGAATGAAGAGCAGTACTACATCCTTAGGAAATACAGTCATGTGCCACATAATGACATTTCAGTCGATGATGGACTGTATATATGACAGTGGTCCCATAGATAAAACGGAGCTGAAAAATTCCTATTGCACAAATACTTACCATTGTGTTACTATTTCCTTATGATATTTAGTACAGTTACATGCTGCACAAATTTATAGCCTATGAGCAATAGGCTATATCATATTGCCTAGGTGTGTAGTAGGCTAGACCATCTAGGTTTATGTAAGGACATCCGATGATGTTCACACAACGATGAAATCACCTAACAATGCATTTTTTAGAATGTATCCCCATGGTTAAGGGACATACAACTGTATGTAGTTAGTCACTAGCGTTCTTTTGGCTCTATGTGGAGGTCCTAGCAGGACTAAATATGTGTCATATCTTGCTATCCTAGTTTAAGCTGAATTTCTGTTGTACTGAAGGCTGCTCTAGTATTGGATATATTGTTTATTTTTATTAGCAGATTCATTAATTAAAACCCTTCTGTTTCTTTCACAGATGAGTGCCAAACCAAATATGGAAATGCTAATGCCTGGAGATACTGTACCAAAGTTTTTGACATGCTCACAGTAGCAGCTGTAAGTTTCTATTTTTAAAGTCTCATGTACGTTCCTGCCAATAACACATTGCATATTTTTATCTAGTTGTCATCTCAATTATATTGATATCTTTAGTATTCACTGATGAGTTTAGATATGCCTGAGGTTATATGTTCAACTCTTTGTTATCCTTTTTTGCTAGTTAATAGATGAGCAGATTTTGTGTGTCCATGGTGGTTTATCTCCTGATATCAAAACACTGGATCAAATTCGAACCATCGAACGGAATCAGGAAATTCCTCATAAAGGAGCATTTTGTGATCTGGTTTGGTCAGATCCTGAAGATGTGGATACCTGGGCTATCAGTCCCCGAGGAGCAGGTTGGCTTTTTGGAGCAAAGGTCACAAATGAGGTAAAGCCAACATTTTTGGAAATGTAATTTGTGGATTGCTAATGGGCTGCATAGAGAACTATGGTGGCCCTAGATAACAAACTTGTAGTCTAGCTTACTCAAAATATGGTGGCTGTGGATATTAAATTTCTAGTTTAGTTATTAACGTATGTCTTTCTTTAATGGTTAAATAAGATGACACAGTGAAAGCACCTACTCCAGCATCCATTTGGTAATAATGTATAAAGTAAATGTTCTTTCCTTTTTTTTTTGTTTTTGAGATGGAGTCTTGCTCTGTCGCCTAGGCTGGAGTGCAGTGGCGTGATCTTGGCTCACTGCAACAACCTCTGCCTCCCAGGTTCAAGCCATTCTCCTGCCTCAGCCTCCTGAGTAGCTGGGACCACAGGTGTGCGCCACCATGCCTGGCTAATTTTTGTATTCTTAGTAGAGATGGGATTTCACCGTGTTGGCTAGGCTGGTCTTGAACTCCTGACCTCAGGTGATCCACCCGCCTCAGCCTCCCAAAGTGCTGGGATTATAGGTGTGAGCCACCGCACCCGGCCAGCCCCTTTCCTTTCAAGTACTGTAGTTAAGTAACAAAATGGCAAGACCAAGATAGGCAATACTTTTTTTTTTTTTTCTCAAAGACCTCAAATCACACAGATACAGACACTTTATTAGTTTCCTCTACAAGAGACAATAACATGAATCTTTTTTTTTTTGAGACAAGAGTTTCGCTCATGTTGCCCAGGCTGGAGTACAATGGTGCAATCTCGGCTCACTGCAACCTCTGCCTCCTGGATTCAAGCGATTCTCCTGTCTCAGCCTCCCGAGTAGCTGGGATTACAGGTGTACACCACCACGCCTGGCTAATTTTGTATTTTTAGTAGAGACGGGGTTTCACCATGTTGGTGAGGCTGGTCTTGAACTCCTGACCTCAGGTCATCTGCCCACCTTGGTCTCCCAAGGTGCTGGGATTACAGGCGTGAGCCACCGCGCCCAGCCTACGTCAAATCTTTTTTTTCTTTTTAACAGAAATCTCTGTTCATTTGAAAAGCCAAATAGATCCAAAGAAAGAAGATGAAAATTAAATACTTAAATTAATCAAAAGGCACTATGATACCACCTAAAACCTACTGCCACAGTGGTAGTAGGCTAAGGAAGATCAAGCTACAGCAAATCATGTAATGTGAATGTTAGCGATTACATAGCAGGAAGCACATTTGCTTTCCAGAAGACTACGGTACAGTGTTCATTTGGGCCCAAGAGGATCTTTGGCCAGGAAAGGATCAAGATGGATGAAGGTAAAGCCAAATCAAAGGAGTAGGTACAAAAGAGAATCCAAGCTACATAGTCAAGCAGATGATGATGGATCAGGCTTCTTCCTCCCAAGAAACATTTGCTGCGCTGTGCTGCCTCCCCCCTCAACCACCCCCCACCCCCTACCCCATGGCTGCTCAAGCCCAACTGCCTACTCCTGCCTTACAGGGTGCTCAGCCACCGGGACTAGGTTTGGGGTTGCCCAGGGCTCTTGCCATAATTTAGCATAGACCTTGGGGAGAACTGCTCACACATGGGTTGGCTTTGCTGCTGGTTGTTCTCAACAAAGAAAACCCTGAAGCATTCACATGCAGAGTAGTCTGAGCTTCTCCAGTCACAGTCAAACACCCCCACACAACATCCTCAAAAGTCTGAAATCTTGTAACAGCTGAGCTATAGTTAAAGCTGCAAGGCTCACAGAATCATCAAGGAAGCCAGAATGAGACAATGCAGATAGGAAGTCCCAGCAGTTAATCTCAATCCTTCTTTCTTCATTTCGGATAAGCTCAGATATACCTGATGTGGGATATAGAAAGCTACACTGGAGCAAGCTGGGTCTTCTGCTGAATTCGTCATCAAATACCAAGGGAAAACAAGGGGTGGGGTGGATTTTATTCTTAAAAAGCCTCAGAAGTTACTGTATTATAAAGGGACATGACTGAATAGGTAAGAAACGGATTCTTCATTGTGAATTTTCCTGATGGCTTCTGCAAGGCTCATAGAGATGTTGATCACCTGTATTTTGGAATGGTGCTTCATCTTGTCCTCCTGGGGTATGTTATTGGTGACTACTACTGCTTTAAAGCATGCGTTGTTGATGTGAGAAATAGCTGGACCAGAGAAGATTCTGTGAGTCAAGATAGCATAAACTTTGGTGACTCCAGCTGAGAGAAGTTTGTCAGCTGCATGGCAGATTGTGCCACAAGTGTCAACCATGTCATCCGCAAGGATGGCCACCAGATCCTTCACATCTCCCACAAGCACCATGCGGTCGACTTCATTGGCCTTCTTTGTGAATCAAGGCAAAGTCCACATTCAGCCTGTCTGCAATGGAGGTCACTCTCTTAGCTCCACCAGCATCAGATGAAACAATAGTGCAGTTCTTCTGCTCAGAGATATTCTCCCTTATCCACTTCAGGACACCTGGCTCTGCATACAGATAGTCCACTGGGTTATCAAAAAAGCCCTGAATTTGAGAAGCATGTAGGTCCATGGTGATAATATGATCTGCGCCTGCCACAGATAGCATGTTTGCAACAAGCTTGGCTGAGATTGTCACCTGACTCTTTATTATCCTGCTGGGCATAAGGGAAGCATGGGATGACTGCAGTAAGCTGGCTCGCTGAAGCAGTCTTGCAGGTATTAGTCATGATCAAAGGCACCATTAAATTGTCATTGATTTTGCCACAACCACTCTGAATGATGTAGACATCCTTTCCACGTACACTTTTGCCAATTTCCACACAGGTCTCCTAGTTGCTGAATTTCTCAATCACTGCCTTGCCGAGCTCCAGGCCCAGGCGATCGGCAGTTTTCTGAGATAAGCCCTGGTGGGAGCTGCCGCTGAAGATTTTGATATTCAGGATCCTGGCCAACTACCCTAAGCACTCTTCACTAAGTGATCACTGCTGCTGCAGAGACTGCAACCAAAGTCGGCCCAGAGACTCAATACTAATCTCTTTGCGATGCTACTCCGCCATCTTCAAGATAGGCAGTACTTTGAACTTTCAACTGTTTTCAGTTAAAACACACACACACACTTTGAACTTTCAACTGTTTTCAATTAAAACACACACACACACACACACACACCCCTTATATTGGGAAGTGCTCCAGCATCATAATGAAGTCAAAAAACTAGATTCTGATCCTGCATCAGTGTATCTTAATTTAGATAAGTTATTTATCTAGTCTGAGCTTTTGTTTCCTTAAGTTGCAAAAGAATAATCTCTTTCAGAATTATTGCAACATCTACATATACTAAACCTTCAGTAAATGGTAGATACTGATAGCAATATCTTTATTATTAAATCAGAAAACACAAAATTTTGTTTCATAGTACCTATTGAATGCTTTTTCTTCCAGAAATTTCTAACTGTTTATGTAGCTGTACAGTTTCCATAGTTGTGCACTTGACTCAGGCCAAAATTGCTGTTTGCCTAAACTTATTAAATTGTTGGAGATAATTATAGAGTGCGTTCTATAATCTTGATGCCTTTAGTAGTAATAGGATTTGGTATTTTATTTAAATGATTATGTAGGCCGATTGTTTTTTAAGTGCTAAGTACTTACAGTGCCTTTCTAAATTGCAGTTTGTTCATATCAACAACTTAAAACTCATCTGCAGAGCACATCAACTAGTGCACGAAGGCTATAAATTTATGTTTGATGAGAAGCTGGTGACAGTATGGTCTGCTCCTAATTACTGCTATCGTTGTGGAAATATTGCTTCGATCATGGTCTTCAAAGATGTAAATACAAGAGAACCAAAGTTATTCCGGGCAGTTCCAGATTCAGAACGTGTTATTCCTCCCAGAACGACAACGCCATATTTCCTTTGAGGCCTTCGCCCATCCTGCTGACCCATTTTTCTGCCCTCTTCTTACCCCAATTTTCTTGTATTACCCTCTACAATATACTTTTTATTGAGCACTTTGCTGCTGAAATGCTGCCTCTTGCCTTTTTTTTTTTAAATTTTAAATTATCTAAATTTATTGTTTGTTGTGGTGTCTATAGCAAAGTTTTTCTATCAATTTTCCCCCATCCCATCCCCACCCTGGACTCATTTGAGAAGACTTGAGAAATGTCTTAATACTCACACTGCTGCATGTAGCTCTTGCTTATTTACTGGTCTGGGAAACAGGATGTGTTTCCTTTTTTTAAAAGCCAATTGACAGATTACACCTAAATACTCCTCCTTTTGTATCATTCAGCCTTTTGTTTTAGTTTGGTAAGTTTTAAGAAATTTCAGCAGCAAAGTTGTTATTCAGTGGGCACGATGGACTCCAAATGCCTCAAGTTATGTATACCTGTCCCAGATGTAAACTTCATTGTCCTTTGTTGGATGATATTTTAAATGGATATAAAATAAATTGGTCTAAAGGGCTGCCCTCCTTGTTGTGTTTTTAAATTTTAGTTAAAAACTGCTACAGCTTATGACTTTGTACTTTAAGATAATTGTATTGATCTTTTTTCAGATTCCTTGTATTTTTTAATAAAGTAATCTTAAATAAAACTCAGATAGGTTAAGTGTTAGAAATTTTAAACAGCTTACATTGTTAGCGTAAAGTTATCTTTTCTTTTTTCCTAATCAGAGTTCTTGACCCTTTGGTTATTGAGTTTAAAACTTCAATTGAAATTCAATAGTATTTATTTTTGAAAAAAATCACTAAACTGTGCCTAAAGAACATAACTGCCATATTAATGTTTTGGTTTATATCCTCTATAGTAATAGAAAAACATTTAATACTTGTAATGCTGATGTGTTAATTTGATACCAGTTGAGTAGAATGTGATCAATCCAGTTTACAATCTATCATGAGTATTATTAACTAAAATCTATGTGCTTTTCAATAGGAATCATTCTTCTCTTGCTGTAACACTTGACCTTAACTTTTAGAAAGTGTTCATTTTTAAACTGCAACTGGAAAGGTTGAAAAGTTAGGACTCTTGTATTTGTGAACTGTAATCTGAAGCAGATTATTTAAAGTGTAGAAAAAGAAACAAGTTCTTCTTTTTTGCAAAGGTCTGTGATACCATATTTCAGCTTTGTGTAAGTAATTTGAATATCCAAAGGGTTGTGATGATCAGTTCTGAATATGCAACTGTCCACTTAATAAGGACAAGTATTCCAGTATCTCTTATGACTGTAGTCATAAATGATGTTGGAATGTACATTTTGTGAAATAGTTGGTATCCCTTTACTATGATTAATTTTTGTTATTCCAGGAAATACTTGTGAAGCCAGCCAATTAATAAAGCACTTTAGCATCTGTTCAGGTAGTTTTGAAAACCCACTTTTCCCCTTCAGGATAAGAACTTCCAGGTTACCTAAAAATGCAATAAAAATCTTTATAGTCTAAGCTTCTTGGCATATAATTTTTCATCAGGGTTTTCTTTTATTAATTGAGCACAATACTGTTTTGATTTAATTTTTTTCCCTCAAACCACCCAGCTCCTTACATAGTTTTTAATTATATAGCTATATGAAAGAGGTGGCTAAGACATTTGCTGCACACACTTGAACTAATGTTGGGTCAGTAGCTTCGTGTTACTGCCCTGATCCCAGTGTAATTCAGGTGGAAAGGTATTTTTATCTCACAGGGATATGTAGCTATGTATTTTACTAATTGTGAAACACTGGAAATTAATGATGCAGACAACTTGGTGTGGTCTTTGAACAGCTCTCTGCAGTATTTTTTTTTTTCCTGTTACCATAAATTGTATTTAAGTGCTTGCTTTCCACTTAAGTTGTACTAATAGAACCGGTAACTCCCAGCCCTCCCTGTTTGACACTCCTTAGCTTAGATTGATGTAGTTGTTTTTGTTATCCCTATAATGTGACTTTTATTTTTAAGTCATTGTGTACTGCATTTGTTTGTCACTAGTTGGGCACGTGCCAATAATATTCTCTCCATTCCTTATCTGCCATCTCTGTTTTGCCTGATTTCTCTTCAACTGAATAATGGCTTTTTGCATGGAAAAAATAGTTTTTACTATTAGACGTGTAAAGGGAAGAGAGAGCTAATGTATTGGACTTTGTGAGCCTACAAGGAATATTTTGGATCCCTCCAATAAATAAGGGCTATGTACTATATGTACTATATAGAGTTATCATGTGGTGGAAGATACTTGCAAGTCATAGATTTATGGGCAGGAGGATTTGTTACTCCCTATATCTAGGCTGAATGTAAAATCCCTTATGTTGTATCAATGGGGGTAAAAACTATTTTTATTTGCCTATGATATACTTGGTTTCTAATAAAGTGCCCTAGGCTCTAGTGAGAACTGTCTACTTTGAATTGCCATTTACTCCCTTTCCTCCTTTGGCCGATATGCTCTTGGCTAGCTTTTTATAAGTTAATGTGTTTCCCCAAAAAGTTTCACTACTTTATATTCATTTGAGTGTGATCCTAAAACACCTGGATCAACAGTACATCTCATATGCAATCTGCATCAGCTCCTATTCTGTCTGGATGTCTAGAACTGTTGGAAGATTTTGACGTCTTAAGCCCTAGGTTTTGCTTTGGGAAATAAGGTTTGAAATATTGTTCATTGCATTAAGATTTGTGTGTGTGTGCTTTGTAAGCCCAGAACCAGGTTTTGGAAAATGCCTGTACTGTGAAAGCAAATTAGGACTCTTTCTGAGCCTCTTTCATTGTCAGAAATAGAATCACTTTCCATCAGCTTCCAGGAAATTGTGTATCTGGAGTCGAAGAGATTTGACATCAAGAATCCAGATTTTTAAATGTAATTGTTTTTTAAATGCTAATGTTTGTAAAGCACCTTCAGTTCTTCGGATGAAAGGTGCTATATTCCCTCAGTGTAAATTAATAAAAAGATTACAGGAAGTTTGTCAAAAAATTCAATGCATAGTCTGTAGTATGTCCTGACAAGAAGTTAGCATTTTATATAAGAAATTAAAAAATGCTTATTCCTCCACTTGGTTGCTTGACTGGTGAACAAAAGTGAAACCTTTTTTTTTTTGTTTTGCATTTGACTCTGAGCTAAGTGTTCCAACTCTTTAAAGGCAATGTTTATTGTTACAACCTCGATCCAGTGCCCAGAACTATGCTTCATGAGATCATCACAACTCTTTAAATTGTATATTTACAGTGTGTAGTGATGCTGACGAAATACACGGTAGTAAACCAAAAAGAAACATTTGGAAAGTCCCCTAGCATGATGCCAGACACACTAGATGCTTGGGGAAGGTTGGTTCTGCATTCCCCTCCTGTTTTCTATTTCCGTATCAATTTATTGGTGAATTTGTGCCCTCATGAGAGTAGGCTTATGCTGGCTTAGATCATTCAAATGTTTTCTTAATTCAAAAATGCATGACATTTATAGATTTGTGTTGTCAACAAAAATACTACATAAGTATATTCCACTCAATCCCTAGGCACCCACTATGCTCAGCAGCACTGTGCTTTTGTATATAAATGGTGGGTTATAAAAGACTGCATGGAGGCATTATGGAATAGCACAGGCTTTGGGATCAGATCTGGGTGAAAACCCCAGCTCTGTCATGCAGTAATAGCAACTAACCTGTATACAGCATATGTGCTAAATTGTTATGTTCTCTATTTTGTGATGCCCTTGCTGTATGGGTCTATGACTATATTACCTTTTATTTTTTTTTTTTCTTGGTAGAGATGGGGTCTCCCTATGTTGCCCGGGCTAGTCTTGAACTCCCGGCTGAAGAGATCCTCCTATCTCGGCCTTCCAAAGCACTGGGATTACAAGCATAAGCTACTGTGCCCAGCCCAAACTTCAAAAAAATTAATAAATCTTGTTCATCCTTCTCTAGAACTTTTCTCCCCCTAGATGAGGAAATAGGCTTAGAGAGGATAGGTGACTTGTCTAACGTTGCACAAGAGAGCTGGAACTTGAATCCCTAGAGGGCACACCAGAGTATTTCTTTAGCGCTCTATTTTAAGCAATATTGGTTATTGTAGTTGTGTGACCCTGAACAGATTGAATTTTCTGAATCTTAAGTTTCTGTGTCTAAAATAAGAGAATATCAGGCAGGGTTAATCTCACTATTAAAAATAGCACACACAAAGCACCCAGTATCTGGTCCAAAGCTGCCTTTTATTAAGGGCTCATACTCATAGGCCATTTGTTCAAATTCATTGTAGTTGGGAAGAATAATCCAAGGCAATGTATAATTGCTAACATAGTGTAGATTTTGTAAGTACAACACATCTGGACAAGGAAATGTTTGATGTAGGATGGAGTAATTGGGGAAGATAAAGAGGAAGTGTGAATTAAGTGTGGACTGGAATGATGGGATTTGTATGTCTTACAGAGTTAAAATAAGCAGAGATCACTTGGACACAATGTGAAGACTCGAGGATCCTTTTTGGGAAGGCGTAAGAAATGAATAGGTCCTGTTTTATTGACAATATCTGCCATATATCAGTGAGGATTGGTCAATTATGGAAGATGCTAAAAAGCAGGCAATGGATTTTTAATAAGGAATATAATAAATGTATTTCAAGATTACTTCCCTAGTGAGTTGATGATCCCCCTTCGTCTGACACAAATTATTCTCGAGTTCTTTCCTCTCTCTGGCTTGATAATATGGGTGGAAACTGTTAGTTGAGATTGAGGTGATTTGTGGTTCTGTGACTTTAGGATTACGTGAAATACTAATTTGGGGGACCAACAGAGATTTGACATTTTTTCAAAGCAATTTTTCAATTCCTACTACAATTTACCGTCAGTATTACTTCATAAATGGAAAGTCATTTTACCATTAAAGATGTAGGTAGGACCATCTCAGAAGAAAAGACAACTCTTTACACCAAATACATTTGGTTTTGTGAAAAACTAGTATCCTAATTTTTGCCGCTTATGGAGATCAATGAGAGATTTTCCCCACCCCAATGTTGACATGTACTACTCGACGCTGTCATATTATTGAGGCATAAAAGATGTTCTAATAAAATGGAAGTGACTTAAGAGAAAGTTTTATGCCTCCTCCCAACTCTGAACAGATGCTGAGAATATACCAAACAAGTTCACACAGGAGTAGAGATTTAGAGAGGCCTTCCCACCTTCAAGAATTTTATAATACGTTAATGAGCTGAGTCTTATTTTCAAGGATGGCTTTGTTAAAGCAGAAGAAGGGTAACTATGCTTATGAAAGGCAGTTTTGCATGCCTGTTTGTCAAAAAATACAGTACAATTTATTTTAAAATTGATTAATTGGTGTAGAACTTGCAATGGTCACACAATCAGGATGGTCAGCTTCCATTCAGGGATCAAATTTGTCCAGGCCTTTCAAAATGGAACACGTTGCTTTTAGTATGGCATTGGTTCTGTTTGTAGTGCTGATTTTTCTTTCATGGTAATTAAAAAAAAATCTTACTTTCTTAAAAGCCTGCACCCAAGCTAGTGAGCTTTTCTGCAGAGGATTGAGCATCCAAACCATGCTTTATTTTGGTGGATTCTTAGAGTTTTCTGGCTGGGTCCTTTTTGAGGGGTAGCTGTGAGCTGTGAGACAATTTCAGCAAGATGTAGGGACAAGGATCGCATTCGAGGTGGCTTAAAAGGAAACACGTTTGTGAGAGTTGCCTCACTGTCTCACCTGCTAGAAGAAATTGGGAGATTTCAGGGCTTGTTTTCGGTCCTGGCGTGGTGCAGAGGTGGAGGGGCGCCAGCAGGTGTGTGGTATGCAGGACGCAGAGCCAGGAGAACCTGGGGCAGGTGTCTGGAGCCGGGGGTGCAGTTCCTACTTTTAGACGCATGGTGGCGCTAGGGTCTCCTCCGGCCCTGCTAGCAATCTCTAAGGCACCTCCGCCGCCACCTGCAGTCTCAACCAAACCTCTGGGTGGGCAGCGCGGGATGTGACGGGCCGAGCGTCCAATCGACTGACAGATTTCCGTCCACACTACTGCTCTAGCCAATGGGAGCCGAGGAGAGGCGCGGAGGAGGCGGGCCCCGCGGCAAGCCTGGCAGAGGCGCGAGGCCCTCCTCCCGCCTCTCCGCCTACTCCAGCCTCCGCCGCCTCAGCTTCCCGAGCGAGCCCTGCGGCCGCCGGAGCAGCTCCCGCGGCGGAGCAGGAGCCGGATGGTCAGAGGAGCCCGGCAGCCCCAGCAGCCGCGGAGTCGCCTGGCCCCCAGGTGCGGGGGCTGGGTGGAGGCCGGGGTTGGGGATGGGGTGGGGGCCAGGGAGCGGGCCCAGGGGCAGCGGCTCGGGGCGGTGGAGCATTCGGGGCGCAGAGACCGGAGGGGCGGGGGGTGCAGGCTGGGGGGACCTTGGGGGCGCCTGCAGGCGGCGGCGCGGGCTGGGCGCGATCGCCTCCTCGAGGCCAGGTGAGAGGGGCGTGTGAGGGAAGGGGCGCCGAGGGGTGAGGCTGGCGGCGCGGGGCCGGGAGGGGCAAGGCGGGCGCGCCCCCGGAGGGGCCGTGGAATGCGGGGGTCGCCGGGCCCGGAGAGGCGGGGCGTGGAGGGGGCAGTGCACGGTCGGGAACGGGTGGGCACAGGAAAGGGGAGGCTAGGGGGGCTTGCGGGGGTGACGAGGCAGACAATGAGTAGGTGGAGGTGGGTGATTTTGGGGAGCTGGGCTGTGACGAGCAGGGGTCGAGGATGGGGTGAGGGACCAGGAAGGTTTGAGCTCAGGGGGAATTGGGGGAACGGTGAGTCCCAGGAATGCTAGGTCTTGGTAAATAGGGGAAACAGGGCATGAGGCGTTTGTAAGGTCAGATCTGGGCTTGGCGAGCCTGTGGTCCCAGAGGGTGGTCTATTTAGTTCTTGACTGGCACGGTAGCGCCGGGAGATGTTTTCTTGTATGTTACTTTTAGTTACCGTCTTATTTGTTTGGTCTGCAGACTGACTGGCACAGTGGAGAAACCGCCTCGAAAACGGAGAAGCAGGTAAGGCAGTGCCTTCCTATTTTGCTTCATGTTTTTCTTTTTGCTTGGCTGCACCTGTGCCGTACTGCATAATTGTATACTGTCAGTAGATGAAGTTTCTTATTTATCCCCCTTTTAAAAGAATATAACCACATGCATGATTTTTCTTTTGAGGACTTCAAATTACTACCTCTACAGTCGATTTTTTTTTTCTTGGTATCTAAGATAATGTGGGAAATCTTGAGAAATCCTACTTTTTTACTTTTTGATGTTGTGTAAGGATCTCAGCTATTTTTTTTTTTAACCTTAGCCATAATTTCATTTTCTCCAGCATCTCTGTTTAAAAAGCTCATCTTGGCTGGGGTGGCTCATGCCTTCAATCCCAGCTCTTTGGGAGGCTGAGGCAGGAGGATCATTTGAGCCTGGGAGTTCAAGACCAGTCTGGGCAACAGAGCAAGACTCCGTCTCTACAAAAAATTGAAAAACTAGCCGGTCCCATAAATATATACACCTACTATGTACCCACAAAAACAAAAAATTAAAAAAACAAAAACCAACTAGCTGAGCGGGTGTTGTGGACCTGTAGTCCCAGCTTCTCAAGAGGCTGAGGTGGGAGGATTGCTTGAGCCCAGGAAGTCAAGGCTGCAGTGATGCAGTGAGCCGTGATCATGCCACTGCACTCCAGTGTGGGGAACACAGCAAGACCCTGCCTCAAAAAATAAACTAATTTTATTGAGCATCTACTATGTGCCAAGTACTGTGTACGAATGCTCTATGTGTATCTTCTCCTGTAATCCTCAAAGAACCCTAAGAGAATATGTAGTGTCACTATTTTACAGAAGAGGGAACTGCGACACAGAGAGGCCAAATATTTACCCAAAATCATGCATCTAGTAAAAGATAAAACCAGGATTTGAATCCAGACAGTCTGACTCCAGAGCTTAAGCTCTTAACTGTTATACCATAATGCTGCTAATAAATATGCAATTGAAAGTAGGTTTTCTTATTGCTTTATCTTTTGTCGTTGGACACTGTGTAGTTAACTCGAATGGTTGAACCTTAGGAAAATAGAAGCAAAGAGTTTAAGTAGTCCACAAACAAAGTGAATTAGTCCTTGAGTAATGGAGATGAAGATATATTTATCACATAAACATTTTTGACTGCATTCCATGTGAGAGGTACTACATAGCAATTCTGTGTAGTCATTAGATGATTCCTTTTTCACAGATGTTGGCATTGACCTAGAGAAAGTAAGCTACTGTAGTTATGTGACCAGTAGGACTACTTTCATAGTTAATATCTGGCAAGTTAATGATGTTAATACACAGAAAACCTCAATAGTAAATAGACACGAAATGCTGATGGTGGAAGTGCCAACAGAGTTTCCTTGTCACACTTTAGGCCTGTACTGTCCAATCCAGTAACCATATGCAGGGTGAGCACTCAAAATGCATCTAGCATGACTGAGGAACTAAATTTTTAATTTTATTTAATTGTAATTAAATTAACTTGAGAAACTGCTACTTGATCAGCTATTGGAAAACGTTCAAGTATGTTTTGAACAACTTGGGTATGTGAGTCTGTATTTTTCATCCGTCATTTTATGAAATCTAAGTATATATCAAATATTTCCAATGAGAATTTAGGGTCTGAAATGAGATAAGTATAAAATACATGCTAGATTTCAAGTTAGTACAAAAATTGAATAAATAAAATTTCTCAGTAACTTTTTATATTGATGACATAGTGAGACAATATTTTAGGTATATTGGAGTAAATACTTTTTTTTTTTTTTGAGACAGGGTCTGGCTCTGTCATCCAGGCTGTAGTGCAGTGGTGCAATCTCAGCATACTGCAACCTCCACCTCCTGGGCTCAAGCCACCCAGCCAATTCAGCCTCTGGAGTAGCTGGGACTACAAGCGCCTGACACCTCACCCAGCTCTTTTTTTTTTTTTTTTTTTTGTAGAGACAAGGTTTGGCCATGTTGCCCAGGCTGGTCTCAAACTCCTGGGCTCAAATGATCCAACCACCTTGGCCTACTAAAGTGCTGTGATTACAAGTGTGAGCTGCCATGCCTGGCTGTAAATAAAATTGTTACTAAAATTATTTTCACTTACTTTTTCCTGAGACAAAGTCTTACTTTGTTGCCCGTACTGGAGTGCAGTGATGTGATCTTGACTCACTGCAATCTCCGCCTCCTGGGTTCAAGCAATTCTCTTTCCTCAGCCTCCCGATTAGCTGGGATTACAGGCGCCTGCCACCATGCCCGGCTAATTTTTGTATTTTTAGTAGAGACGGGGTTTCAACATGTTGGCCAGGCTGGTCTTGAACTCCTGGCCTCAAGTGCTCTGTCTGACTAGGCCTCCCAAAGTGCTGGGATTACAGGTGTGAGCCACCGGGCCTGGCCTTCACTTACTTCTTTTTCCTTTTTATTTTTCTTCTGAGACAGGGCTTGGCTCTGTTGTCAAGGCTGAAGTGAAGTGGTGCAATCACAGCTCACTGCAGCCTCGACCTGGTAATCCTTCCACCTCAGCCTCCCAAGTACCTGGGACTACAGATGTGCACCACCATGCCAGGCTAACTTTTTATTTTTTGTAAGAGACAGGGTCTCACTGTGTTGCTCAGGCTGGTCTCCTGTGCTCAAGTGATGCGCCAGCCTTGGCCTCCCAAAGTGCTAGGATTACAGGCGTGAGCCACCATACCCAGCCTTTCTTTTTATTTTTTCTAATATGGCTACTAGAAAATTAAAAGCTGCATACATTTAACTTGCATTGTATTTCTTTGCATTGTATTTCTTTTGGATAGCTCTCATTTAACTCTCATTACCCCACTGCCAGACTCTTCAGTAGCCTTCTGACTGGTTTCCCTACCTTGAATCTGTAATTCCCTCCCTGTACTGTGCAAATCGATCTTGTAATTCTCATGCTTAGGATCCCTCTGTGCTTCCTCATTGCTTATTGAACATCATTCAGACTTTTAGCCTAATCATATAAAAAAATTGCCTTTATTTTACTTCTTCATACTTTCCCAGCCACGGTTAATACTTTGGCCATATCGATTTTCAATGATGGAACTATTAAATGTCTACTTTTAAATGATTTAACTTTCTGGTGAACCTTCAAGATGAATTAATTGCTGAATGTAACTCCGTGCTCCATTTGCCATTCCCAGAACTTATGTTCCCTCTTTGCTTTGGTTTTTTGTTTTTAGGGTTTTTGTTGTTTTTGTTGTTGTTGTTGTTGTTTTTTAAAGACGGTCTCACTTCAGGGTGGAGTGCAATGGTGTGACAATGGCTCACTGGAGCCTTGACTTCTCGGGCCCAGGTGATTTTCCCACCTCAGCCTCCCAAGTAGCTGGGACTACAGATGTGCATCACTATGCCCAGCTAATTTTTGCATTTTTTGTAGAGGTGGGGTTTTACCATGTTGCTCAGGCTGGTCGTGAACTCCTGGGCTTAAGCTATCTGCCTTCCTCAGACTCTCAAAGTGTTTGAATTATAGGCGTCAGCCACAGTACCTGGTCTGCTTTGGGTTTTTGTATGTGATTTCTTTTTCTTTCTGGAGTACTTTCTCCTTGCTCCTTGACAAGCCCCCTCCTTTAAGACTTTGCTCAGTGAGGGCTTCCCCCCACCCTCCCTCTGCTCCACCTTATTGGGTCCCATCATGGCCTGTACATACACTTACATGAAATGGTCTGGGCTGAATTTGAATTCAGCTCTGTCAAATGTAGTTTGCGAGATCATGTGCAAGTTAATAAGCCTGTCTCTGCCTCAGTTTCCTCATCTATATAGTAGAAATAATAGTTCTGCTGGCGTGGTGGCTCACGCCCGTAATCCCAGCACTTTGGGAGGTCAAGGTGGGCAGATCACCTGAGGTCGGGAGTTTGAGACCAGCCTGACCAACATGGAGAAACCCCATTTCTATTAAAAATACAAAATTGGGCCGGGCACGATGGCTCAATCCTGTAATCCCAGCACTTTGGGAGGCCAAGGCGGGCGGATCACAAGGTCAGGAGATCGAGACCATCCTGGCTAACACAGTGAAACCACGTCTCTACTAAAAACAAAAAAAATCAGCTGGACGTGGTGGCAGGTGCCTGTAGTCCCAGCTACTCAGGAGGCTGAGGCAGGAGAATGACGTGAACCCGGGAGGCAAAGCTTGCAGTGAGCTGAGCTCATACCACTGCACTCCAGCCTGGGCGACAGCGAGACTCCGCCTCAAAAAAAAAAAATTGGCTGGGCGTGGTAGCGCATGTCTGTAATCCCAGCTACTCGGGAGGCTGAGGCAGGAGAATCGCTTGGACCCAGGAAGTGGAGGTTGCAGTGAGCCGAGATTGCACCATTGCACTCCATCCTGGGCAACAAGAGCGAAACTCTGTCTCCAAAAAAAAAAAAAAAAAAAAAAGAAATAATAGTTCGACTTCCCCAAGGTTGTAAGGTGCCTAGGATAGTGCCTGGCACATAGAAGGTACACAATAAATTTTAGGTTAAAAAACACCCATCAAATATCTTTTATTTCCCACTTCTTTTCAAAATGAGAAGATTAAAAATAAAGGCCAAGAAGAAATGAAAGAAGCAGATAAAGCCAGTGGCAGAATTAGTGCATGGACCGGAAAGTCCTGCATCATTGCTAATGGTTGCTTTGGTGTTTGGCTCTGAGTTTTCTGGAGTAAAATGAAGAAGAAAATAAAGTTCAGTTTTCAGATTCATGGTATCTCTAAAATCAAACGTGAGTTTTTAAAGATTGCTTCTTGGCCAAGCGTGGTGGCTCACATCTGTAATCCCAGCACTTTGGGAGGCTGAGGCGGGTGGATCACCTGAGGTCAGGAGTTTGAGACCAGCCTGGCCAACATGACGAAACCCCATCTCTACTAAAAATACAAAAAATTAGCCGGGCATGGTGGCGCGTGCCTGTAATCACAGGTACTCAGGAGGCTGAGGCCAGAGAATCTCTTGAACCTGGGAGGTGGAGGTTGCGGTGAGCTGAGATTGCACCACTGCACTCCAGCCTGGGCAACAGAGTGAGACTCCGTCTTAAATAAATAAATAAAGATTGCTTCTTATACTTCTCAATCCAAGTGAGTTATTGCCAGTGAACAGTCTCCACGGGGCCAAAGCAATGTGGTTTTGGTATATGGCTCTCTGATGGTTTGGCTTGATTCAGAGGTAAAGAGGGATGCGTACACTGTGGGGACTATACGTGTTTTGTTCACTGTTTATCCCCAGCAGCTAGAATAGCATCTGGCACGTAGAGAACAGTTTATTGAATTTTTGAGTGAACAAATCCTTTAGTAATTCTCCAGGAATTTAAGTAAGCATCAGGTTGCAATGAGTTTATTTTCTCAGTCCAGAATCATGAGGCTACATATTCAGCATGCCTGATTTAGGTTAGATCCTGATCATGTCAGCATTTTGACCTGAATGGACAACCAGCACATGTATTTAAAGGTCCTATGGGCAGGACCAAGATTTTCCTCAGAAAACAGTGCAGGGGTTGCTCTAAAACTAGAAAACAAAATGTACAGTTAAGACCCCAAAGATGAATTATAGAATAAGGATGTAATGGTTGTAGCCAGATATTTAAAAAAATAGGTGTTAGGCCGGGCGCGGTGGCTCACACCTGTCATCCCAGCACTTTGGGAGGCCGAGGCGGGTGGATCACAAGGTCAGGAGTTCAAGACCAGCCTGACCAAGATGGTGAAACCCCATCTCTAAAAAATACAAAAATTAGTCAGGCACAATGGCGCATGCCTGTAATCCCAGTTACTTGCGAGGCTGAGGCAGGAGAATCACTTGAACCTGGGAGAAGGTTGCAGTGAGCCGAGATCGCTGCACTCTAGCCTGGGTGACAGAGCAAGACTTCGTCTCAAAAAAAAAAAAAAAAAGTGGTATTAGTTGCCGGGCATGCTGGCTCACACCTGTAATCCCAGCACTTTGGGAGGCCCAGGCTGGCAGATCACGAGGTCAGGAGTTTGAGACCAGTCTGGCCAATGTAGCGAAACCCCGTCTCTACTAAAAGTACAAAAATTAGCCGGGCGTGGTGGCAGGCAGCTGTAATCCTAGCTACTCAGGAGGCTGGGGCGGGAGAATCGCTTCAACCTGGGAGGCAGAGGTTGCAGTGAGCTGAGACCACGCCATTGCACTCCAGCCTGGGCGACAAAGCGAGACTCCATCTCAAAAAAAAAAAAAAAAAAAAAAGAAAGGTATTAGTATCAGTTTTATACTGTGGCTATAGAAATTCTGAATATCAAATGATATAAATTCCTGGTAAACACTTCAAGATGAATTAATTGAGGCAGATGAATGGTGTGAGCCCAGGAGTTCAAGACCAGTCTGGGCAACATGGTGAAACCTCATCTCTACCAAAAATACGAAAATTAGCCAGGTGTGGTGGTACACACCTGTAGTCCCAGCTAGTTGGGAGGCTGAGGTGGGAGGATCAGCTGAGACTGGGAGGTGGAGGCTGCAGTGAGCCATGATTGCACCACTGCACTCCAGCCTGGGCAACAGTGAAAACCTGTCTCAAAAAAAAAAAAAAAGGTAAGTTAATTGTTGAATGTAGCCTTGAGTAACTGATTGAACGGGTCTGCTATGTAGAGTTGTTGACAGTTATATTACATATGTAGTACATTTTAGAAAACAGTTGACAGAATTATGGTTTTTTTTTTGTTTTTTTTTTTTTTGTTTGAGATGGAGTTTTGCTTGTTGACCAGGCTGGAGTGCAATGGTGTGATCTCGGCTCACTGCAGCCTCTGCCTCCTGGGTTCAAGTGATCCTCCTGCCTCAGCCTCCTGAGTAGCTGGGATTACAGACATGCGCCACCACACCCAGCTAATTTTGTATTTTTAGTAGAGATGGGGTTTCTCCATGTTCGTTAGGCTGGTCTTGAATTCCTGACCTCCGGTGATCCGTCCGCCTTGGCCTCCCAAAGTGCTGGGATTACAGGCATGAGCCACCATGCCCAGCCCAGAATTAGGATTTTAAAAATTTTTATTTAGTTTTGAGATGGAGTCTCACTCTGTTTCCCAGACCGGAGTGCAGTCATGCTATCTCGGTTCACAGCAACCTCTGCCTCCTGGGTTCAAGTGGTTCTTGTGCCTCTGCCTCCTGAATACCTGAGATTACAGGGGCGCACCACCATGCCCAGCTAATTTTTTCTGTTTTTAGTAGAGGCGGGGTTTCCCCATGGTGGCTAGGCTGATCTCGAACTCCTGGCCTCAATTGATCCGCCTGCCTTGGCCTCCCAAAGTGCTGGGATTACAGGCGTGAGCCATCGTGCCTGGCCTAAAATTATGATTTTTATTTTAGGATATTGATGTTAAATAATTCTTTTTGATAGGTGTTAGTTAGTGGCTGAGTTATCTTTTGAGAACATTTCTAGTGCAGACCAAACTGTAAGACAGTTTAAGAAAAACAAAGACAGTTTGAGATAAGAACCTCATGCATTATTATTTCTTTGTATCTTTTTCCCCTTAAAACTTTTATTTCCTTATCATAGTTCATCTTTGCACCCTTATAAGGTACTAAGGGGGAGCTCAGTAAAACTAGTGAACCAATAAATGAATTGGTGGCAAGAGGAGTTAGTGTGGGATGGGTTTGGTTGTCCAAAATAATGTGATACTATTTAATGCCCCTGAAAAACTGCAATGGACTGAAAGGAGTTTTAAGATTAGGAAACTGGCCGGGCGTGGTGGCTCATGCCTGTAATCTCAGCATTTTGGGAGGCTGAGGCGGGCGGATCACCTAAGGCTGGAAGTTCAAGACCAGCCTGACCAACATGGAGAAACCCCGTCTCTACTAAAAATACAAAATTAGCCTGGCGTGGTGGCGCATGCCTGTAATCCCAGCTACTCAGGAGGCTGAGGCAGGAGAATCGCTGGAAACTGGGAGGCGGAGGTTGCAGAGAGCCGAGATCGTGCCATTGCACTCTAGCCTGGGCAACAAGAGCGAAACTCCATCTCACACACACACAAAAAAGATTAGGAAACTTGGTCTCTATGTGCTTTTGGAAAATTCTGAAGAGTCCAATATGTCTGTTAATGATGTTTGGGTTATGAGTTGGAGAATCCTTTCTGGTCCTATTAGGAACAAGATCCATTTGTTTGGATAGGATTCACATTGATGAAAGCTTTACTGTATGATTTGGGGGCTTTTGTTGTTGTTGTTGTTGTTACATATTTAAAGCAAAGAGATCCGGGCATTTTGTTGTTGTATGTAATTTGTTTAAGAAACATTTGAATGCTTTCTAGTTCTGGGTTCTAGGGATATAGATATGAGTGAGGTGGCCGTTGTTGGGGAAAATCTCATGTATTAATGGGAAGACAGACACTGAAATATGAGACAGTGTAATGACTTTGTATATATACAAAGGTTTACACAGTACATACAAAGGGTTTATAGGAATTCTGCATAGTGGTAGTGAGGGCAGTTTCTGCAGTCATTTATCTAAGCCCTGAAGGTTTAGAAGGTTAATTTGTTGGTAGTGTGACTATTGAAATGACAAGAGATGACAGCCTAGATGTAGACTGACTAATAATGAGGTCTTGGGTGAACTAAATTCAGGACCTGAACCAAGATAGTGCCAGAAGTGGAAAGAAAGATGTTTTTAAGAGCTTGGGCTGTGGTGTCAGACTAAGGGGTGGTTCTCAACTAAGGGGGTTTTGCCTCCTAAGGGACATTTGAGAATGTCTGGAGACATTTTGGGTTGTTACAACTTGGAGCACCTAGTGAGTAGAGGCCAGATATACTGCTACACATCCTAAAATGCATGGGACAGCATCCTAATCTAAGAGTTCCCCAGCTCAAAATGTCATTAGTTCTGAGGCTGAGAAATCTTGCATTAGAGTTTGAATCCTAGCCCTTCCAAATGTCCTCACCAATACTTGGTCTTGTGATTCTTTCTTTTTTTTTTGTTTTTTGAACAGGTCTGTAGAGGTACAGTTGGCATACAGTGAGCTGTACATATTTGAAGTGTACAATTTGATAAGTTTTGAAATACATGTATACCCTTAAAACCACCACCATTGTTTGCCATTCTGTGGGTGTACACTGGTACGTGTCATTGTGGTTTTCATTTGCCTTTCCCTGATGACTGATAATGTTGAGTATCTTTTCATGTGCTAATTTGCCATTCATATAACTTAGTGAAGTATCCAAATCTTTTGCTCACTTTTTGTCAGTTGTTTGTCTTCTTACATAGTTGTAAGAGTTCTTTATGTATTCTAAAAACAAAATTTAAAAAAGCAAAATCTTTTTTTTTTGTTTTTGAGACGAAGTCTCACTTTATCACCCAGGCTGGAGTGCAGTGGTGTGATCTCATTTCACTGCACCCTCCGCCTCCCAGGTTCAAGTGATTCTCCTGCCTCAGCCTCTGTAGGAGCTGCGATTAAGGCGCCTGCTACCACACCCGGTGAATTTTTGTATTTTTAGTAGAGCTGGGGTTTCGCCATGTTGCCTAGGCTGGTCTCGAACTCCTGACCTCAAGTGATCTGCCCACAGCGGCCTCCCAAAGTGCTAGGATTACAGGTGTCAGCCACTGTGCCTGGCCACAAATTCATTATTAGGTATGTGTTTTGCTTATGTTTTCTCCCATGT
The DNA here is from genome assembly GCF_000001405.40 of Homo sapiens. NCBI lineage: Eukaryota > Metazoa > Chordata > Mammalia > Primates > Hominidae > Homo > Homo sapiens. The sequence continues at coordinate 125,133,060 of NC_000009.12, read as the reverse complement.
ATGGCTTGCCTTTTACTTTTCTCCACAGTATCTTGAGATGCTTGCAGCTTGAATAATAGGTTGGATGGGAATGCTTTTATTTATTTATTTATTTGTGAGATGGAGTCTCACTCTGTTGCCCAGGCTGGAGTGCAGTGGTGCGATCTTGGCTTACTGCAACCTCTGCCTCCCAAGTTCAAGTGATTCTCCTGCCTCAGCCTCCTGAGTAGCTGGGATTACAGGCGCGTGCCACCATGCCTGGCTAATTTGTATTTTTAGTAGAGATGGGGTTTCACCATGTTGGTCAGGCTGCTCTTGAACTCCTGTCCTCGTGATCTGCCTGCCTTGGCCTCCCAAAGTGCTGGGATTACAGGCATGAGCCACCGCACCAGCCTGAGAATGCTTTTAATTGAGACAGCAGACACAGGAGCAAGAGCAAGTTTGGGACGGTAAGAACATGAGTTTATTTTGGCTATATGGAGCGTAAGGTGCTTCAATGAACTGTCTTTAACCAGGCGGTTAAAAATATGGGTGTTTTGCAGAGAAGCAAGATAACGGCTTCAGGTATAGATTTTAAAGCATTCAGCAAACACGTGGTGATCCAAGTCATGCAAATGAATGGAATGGATCATTGGCTCATTGATCCATTGGATCACACCTGTAATCCAATGGCTGGATGCAGTGGCTCACACCTGTAATCCCAGCACTTTGGACGGCCGAGGTGGGTGGGTCATGAGGTCAGGAGTTTGAGACCAGCCTGGCTAACGTGATGAAACCCTTTCTCTACTAGAAATACAAAAACTAGCCAGGCGTGGTGGTACGTGCCTGTAATCCCAGCTACTCAGGAGGCTGAGGCAGGAGAATTGCTTAAACCCAGGAGCTGGTGGTTGCAGTGAGCCAAGATCGTGCCACTGCACCCTAACCTGGGTGACAGAGCATGACGCTGTCTCAAAAAAAAAAAAAAGGAAAAAAGAAAAGAAAATGAATGGGATAACCTAGCGAAAGCATGTTGAGTGAAATGCAAAGAAATAGAACGTACAGTAACACGGTGTAAAAATAGACCAAACTGCTTTCTGTCTTTTGGGTGTTATCTCTTTCTCTGCAGTGTTAATCTGTCCACTGCAGGGTATTTCTGTAGGTAGCCGTCAGACAGGTAGTGTTTATCTCCAGGAGTTTAGATCTCTGTACTCTTTGCTGAGAAACAGGTTCTGAAGGTAGTTTCTTGGAAAACTAGAACATTTTTCTAATCTACACTGAAACACAGGACTATTCTAGAGTTACAGAGCTCATGGTAGGTTTGCCTCAGCAACATCCGTACAGCAAATGCAGTGGTTTTGGTAAAGCCATTTCTTGTAGCATGGTCAGTGAAATCCTAGGGCATAAAGCTAAAATTCAGTTCTGTGAAAGCAGACTCTGCAGGGCCAAGATAGCATGGTCAGTGTATGCAGCATTTTCACGGTAATATTTTACTCAAGAATGAAACCTAGAAGAGTTAAGCAGTGATTTTCAAGGGCATTCAAAAAGAGCTCATAGGTCCTGTGGGACTCATTCAAGGGCTTCCTGGAGGGTAGAGTGCCAGGAGTTGCCAGAGGGAGGTTAACAAGCCTAGCCTCAGGCGCTACTCCTATATTTTATATATGTATATATGTTTATTTTTCTTTTTTTTTTTTTTTTGAGACGGAGTCTTGCTCTGTTGCCCAGGCTGGAGTGCAGTGGCACAATCTCGGCTCACTGCAACCTCCGCCTCCCGGGTTCCAGCGATTCTCCCTCCTCAGCCTCCCAAGTAGCTGGGATTACTGGTATCTCCCATCATGCCTGGCTAATTTTTTTTGTATTTTTGTAGAGATGGGGTTTCACCATGTTGGCCAGGCTGGTGTTGAACTCCTGACCTTAGGTGATCCACCCGCCTCGGCCTCCCAAAGTGTTTGGATTACAGGCGTGAGCCACTGCGCCCAGTGCTAATAATTTTTTAAAAAAATATCTGTTTGTTAGCTGGATGTGGTGTTCTTGCACCTGTAGTCCCAGTCCCAGGTATTTGGGAGGCCGAGGTAGGAGCATCACTTGAGCCCAGGAGTGAGTTAATGCCCAGCCTGCACAATATAGTGAGACCTCTGTCTCCAAAAAAAAAAAAAAAAAAAAAAAAAAGCGGTTCAAACCAAGATCCAGATAAGGTTCATAACTTGTAATTAGTTGAGTAGCTCTTGAAGTCTTTTTTAGTCTATAGCTTTTCCACTCATTTTTTCCTGTACTATTTATTTTTTGAAGAAAGCATGTTCGTTATTAAGAGTTTTCCAGTCTTGGCCGGGCACAGTGGGTCACACCTGTAATCCCAGTACTTTGGGAGGCTGAGGCGGGCAGATCATGAGGTCAGGTCTCTACTAAAAGACAAAAAAAAAAAAAATTAGCCGGGATTGGTGGTGTGCAGCTGTAGTCCTAGCTACCCAGGAGGCTGAGTCAGGGGAATCGCTCCAACCCGGGAGGTAGAGGTTGCAGTGAACTGAGATTGTGCCACTGCACTCCAGCCTGGCAACAGAGCCAGACTCCATCTCAAAGAAAAAAAAAAGAGGTTTTCAGTCTGAATTTTTAATTTTTAAAAAAGTTGGTATATAATTTACATAGGGTGAAATTCACCTGTTTTAGTTCTTTGAATTTTGACGAACCTAGTTGTGTAATCACAACTATAATCATAATATAGAACAGTTCCATCACTCCCCAAAATTCCCTTCTGTCCCCCCGACCAATTGGCAACCACTGACCAGTTTTTCCACAGTCTGAATTTTGCTGACTTTATGACCTCATGGTATCACTTAGCATGCTTCTCTGTTCCGTTTGTGTCTTGTAAATTGATAGAGTTAATTTGCTTTTTTGTTTTAAGAATGCTTTGGCTGGACGTGGTGGCTCATGCCTGTAATCCCAGCACTTTGGAAGGCCGAGGCGGGCGGATCACCTGAGGTCAGGAGTTCGAAACCAGCCTGGCCAACATGGCAAAACCCCGTCTCTACTAAAAATACAAAAATTAGCTGGGCGTGGTGGTGGGCGCCTATAATCCCAGCTACTCGGGTGGCTGAGGCAGGAGAATCGCTTGAACCCAGGAGGTGGAGGTTGCAGTGAGCCGAGATAGCATTACGGCACTCCACCCTGGGCAACAGAGCAAGACTCCATCTCAACAAAAAAAAAGAAAAGAAAAGAAAAACTGCAGCATAGAAGTGATGTGAACTTTCATTAAAGCTTCTCTTTTTTATGTTAGGAACCCATAGTAATCGGTATCTAGATTTATGAATTCATTAGGGTTGCAAATGTTGAAATTCTAATTGTTTTGCCCATGCGTGGTGGCTCACACCTGTAATCCCAGCACTTTGGGAGGCTGAGGCTGGTGGATCACCTGAGGACAGGAGTTCAAGACCAGCCTGGCCAACATGGTGAAACCCCATCTCTATTGAAAATACAAAAATCAGCCAGGTGTGGTGGCACGTGCCTGTAATCCCATCTACTTGGTAGGCTGATGCAGGAGAATCACTTGAACCCGGGAGGTGGAGGTTGCAGTGAGCCAAGATCATGCCACTGCACTCCAGCCTGGGTGACAGAGTGAGGCTCTGTCTCAAAAAAAAAAAAAAAAAAAAAAAAAAAGAAATTCTAATTCTTTCATTCCTTCTTTTTATTTATTTTTTTTAAGTTGGAGTCTGCGTGATCTCGGCTCACTGCAACCTCCGCCCCCTGGGTTCAAGCGATTCTCCTGCCTCAGCCAACTGAGTAGTTAGGATTACAGGCGTGCACCACCACTCCTGGCTAACTTTTGTATTTTTAGTAGAGACGGGGTTTCACCATGTTAACCAGGCTGGTCTGGAACTCCTGACCTCAAGTGATCGGCTCGCCTCAGCCTCTCAAAGTGCTAGGATTACAGGCGTGAGTGCCACTGTGCCTGTCTCATTCCCTCTTCATTATTAGCTGGAATACTTCCAGAAAGAGACATTTCCCTTACTGACTGAAACAATTTTTTGAATTTTATTTATTTATATATGAGAGGGAGTTTTGCTCTTGTTGCTTAGGCTGGAGTGCAATGGCGTGATCTCGGTGCACTGAAGTCTCCGCCTCCTGGATTCAAGCGATTCTCCTGCCTCAGTCTCCCGAATAGCTGGGATTAAAGTTGTGCACCACCACACCCAGCAAATTTTTATATTTTTAGTAAGGATGGGGTTTCTCCATGTTGGCCAGGCTGGTCGTGAACTCCTGACCTCAGGTGATAGACCTGCCTCAGACTCCCAAAATGCTGGGATTACAGGCGTGAGCCACTGTGCCCGGCCTGAATTCAATTATTTATTTTTTTTTTTTGAGACGGAGTTTCGCTCTGTCGCCCAGGCTGGAGTGCAGTGGCACAATCTCGGCTCACTGCAAGCTCTGCCTCCTGGGTTCATGCTATTCTCCTGCCTCAGCCTCCCAAGCAGCTGGGACCACAGGCACACACCACCACACCCGGCTAATTTTTTGTATTTTTAGTAGAGACGGCATTTCACTGTGTTAGCCAGGATGGTCTCGATCTCCTGACCTCGTGATCCACCCGCCTCGGACTCCCAAAGTGCTGGGATTACAGGCGTGAGCCACAGCGCCTGGCCATTTTTGTATTTTTAATAGAGATGGGGTTTCACCATGTTGGCCAGGCTGGTCTCGAACTCCTGACCTAAGGTGATCCACCTGCCTCAGCTCCACAAAGTGCTGGGATTACAAGTGTGGGCCACCGCACCCGGCCAAATTACCCGTATACATTTTAGAGAAGGGGGTCTTGCTCTGTTGCCCAGGCTGGAGGGCAGTGCCACAGTCACAGCTTACAGCACCTTGAACGCCTGGGCTCAAGCAGTCCTCCCACCTCAACCTCCTGAGTAGCTGGTGCCATGTGCCACTGTGCCCGGCAGGTTTTTTATTTTTAAAAATTGTTTGTATTGATGGGTGTCTCACTTTGTTACCCAGGCTGGTTGCAAATTTCTGGCCTCAAGCAATCCTTCTGCCCCAGCCTCCCAAAGTTCTGGAATTATAGCTGTGAGCCACTCACTGCACCTGGCCTAGAATTTTTTTTTTTTTTGAGATGCAGTCTCACTCTGTTGGCCAGGCTGGAGTGCAGTGGTGTGATCTCAGCTCACTGAGACTTCCACCTCCTGGGTTCAAGCAATTCCCCTGTCTCAGCCTCCCGAGTAGCTGGGACTACAGGAACGCACCACCATATCTGGCTAATTTTTGTATTTTTAATAGAGACAGAGTTTTGCCATGTTGGCCAGGCTGGTCTCAAACTCCTGACCTCAGTTGATCCACCCACCTCTGCCTCCCAAAGTGCTGGGATTACAGGCGTGTGCCACCTCGTTCGGCCGGAAAAATCTTAAATGGAGCAGCTTGTTTGGAACTTTCTTTGAAACCACCAATATTACTTATTTGCAAAAGATATCCATAGGTTAGTACATTAATTGACTGTATAGCACATATGAATCTTACCTCATGAAATCAGGTAAGCAAAAAGTATTAACAATATTTTAATTCCTTTAAATGAAATCAAATTCTGCCCTTGGGGGCAGGTGTGGTGGCTCGTACCTGTAACCCCAGCACTTTGGGATTCTGAGGTGAGAGCGTAGTTTGAGCTCAGACTAGCCTGGGCAACATAATGAGAACCCGTCTCAAAAAAAAAAAAAAAAATTCTGCCCTGGGACCTTCTCCCCCTCAATTCTACCAAACTGGTTAGAAATACAATCTCAGTGATTAATAATAGAGATCCACCCCTCCTTAGAGTTATGTGAGACTCTAATAGGCTTTTGAGGTACCAGGAGAAGGGTGGAAGGTTGATTTTCAGCCTGTGCTGGATGTGACTGAGCACATTGTCTAAGAGGATATGAGGCGTTGAAGCCTGGGGATTCTGATGTACAGGCTTCAGCTTTGCTTGGTACAACACATGCCCATTTCTCTCTGAGGACTTGGGCACTGCTAGGACGTGGGGTTGCAGGTTCCCTTTTTGTGGATTCTGAAGGAATTCCTTCTTCTCAGATAAATTGCTCCCATTTTTCTTCTTATTTCTACCTAACCCCCAGCTCCCGCCAAAGGCACTCATTGTTCTACCCTTCTTCCCTCAGTATAATCTCCTCAAGGAGTTCATATTTTCAGAAAACATGCACAAACCTCCCTTGAGGCAAAGAAGCAAATAGGACTATCATCTTGGGGATTGGGAAGTACCATGATAATAAAACATCCATTGATGTCTTAATAACTTATCTGGCTACTTATATTTTCATCAGTAATTCTAGTCCCTGTAGTGGGACTTAATGATCTATCCAAAAATGATTTGATTTTCCCTTCTTTAAAAGATGGAGCTGAATTCTCCTCCCTTGAGTGTGGGCTGGACTTAGCGATGCACTTCTAGTGAATAGAACACAGGAGAAGTGATGAGATGTCTCTTCCCAGATTGGGTTTTTAAAAGACTGGTTTCTGCCTTGCATGTGTGTTCTCTCTCTCTCTCTCACACACACACACACACACACACCCACACCCACCCACCCACCTCACTTTGCGGGAGGCTAGCTGGCTAGCTCAGATTGGGTTTTAAAAAAACTGGCTTCTGCCTTGCATGTGTGTTCTGTCTCTCTCTCTCTGACTTCTGCCTTGCATGTGTGTTCTCTCTCTCTCTCACACACACACACACACACACACACACACACCCCCAACTCACTTTGGGGGAGGCTAACTCCATGGTATGAGGCAGCACTGCATAGAGGGAAGGCACTTGCCATGTTGTGAAGACAGCCACCCAGGCAGCCCATGGGGAGGGCCATGTGGTGAGGAAGTGAGGCCTGCCAGCAACCACAACAGCTAGCTTGGATGTAGATCTTCTGAGGCCTGCTGGCAGCCACATGACTGGCTCAGAAAAGTGAGCTTGAACAGGGATCCTCCTACTCTAGTTGAGCCTTGAGGATGACTATAGTCCAAGCCAACAGCTTGACTCATTGTCCTGGCTTCACAAGGGCTGAGTTATGTGAATCTGTGATTTTCCTTGGAGAGTCTCCTTTCTTCCAGCACTGGCTTCATTGTACCCAAGGGGCTCAATGTCCAGCTAAGATTTCTCTTATCCTGTATAGGTTTCTGATGGACAAAGAGAGAGAATGTGTGTGTGTGTGTGTGTGTGTGTGTGTGTGTGTGTGTGTACGTGTACGCACGCATGCATGAGAGAGAGAATATGTGTGTGTGTTTTGGAAGCAGCTATCTTTTTTTTTTTTTTTTTTGAGACAAAGTCTTTACTCTGTCGCCCAGGCTGGAGTGTAGTGGCGTGATCTTGGCTCACTGCAACCTCCGCCTCCCAGGTTCAAGTGATTCTCCTGCCTGAGCCCCTTGAGTAGCTGGGATTACAGTGCCTGCCACCATGCGTGGCTGATTTTTTTGTATTTTTTGTAGACACAGGGTTTTGTCATGTTGGCCAGGCTGATCTCAAACTCCTGACCTTAGGTGATTCACCCACCTTGGCCTTAAGAAGCAGATATCTTTTGATTAAAGGGCAGTTCAGTTTTATTTTTCTTTCTTTTTTTTTTGGAGATGGAGTATCACTCTGTTGCCCAGACTGGAGTGGAGTGGCACGATCTTGGCTCACTGCAACCTCCACCTCTTGGGTTCAAGCAATTCTCCTCTCTCAGCCACCTGAGTAGCTAGGATTACAGGCATGTGCCACTACACCTGGCTAATTTTGTATCTTTAGTAGAGACAGGGTTTCACCATGTTGGCCAGCCTAGTCTGGATCCTGACCTCATGATCCTCCCACCTCGGCCACTCAAAGTGCTGGGATTACAGGCGTGAGACACCGCGCCTGGCCTTCATTTTTAAATTTAATTTTATTTTTTTTAAGACAGAGTTTCGCTCTGTCTCTCAGGCTGGAGTGCAGTGGCGCCATCTCAGCTCACTGCAACTTCCACCTCCCGGATTTAAGCGATTCTCCTGCCTCAGCCTCCTGAGTAGCTGGGACTACAGGTGTGCGCCACCATGCCTGGTTAATTTTTGTATTTTTTATACAGACGGTGTTTTGCCATGTTGACCAGGCTGGTCTGGAACCCCTGACCTCAGGTGATCTGCCCACCTTGGCCTCCCAAAGTGTTGGGATTACAGGCGTGAGCCTCCCACACAGATTGGGAGGTAGTCCTCTGCTCTTGTTTGCCTTGTTAAGGGAAGGGCCGTAAGGTAGTTATCCAGTGAAGAGTCAGTTTTCTTCTGCCTGCTCTCTCTCACCAGGCTTTAAACTCTTTTTCAACCCCTTTTCTTGGCTTTTTGGGAAGAGTGGGCAAAATAGAGCCAAGTCAGTTATGATGGTTCATTTTATGTGTCAACTTGACTGGGCCACTGAGTGCCCAGACATTTGGTCAAACATTATCTTAGGTGTGTCTGTGAGGATGTTTCTGGATGAAATTAATATTTGAAGTGATTGAGTAAAACGGATACCCTTCCGAGTCTGGGTGAGCCTCATCCAATCATTTGAAGACCTGGCTAGAACAAAAAGACTGAGCAAGAGGGAGCTTCTCCTGCCTGACTCCTTGAGCTGGGACATCAGTGTTTTCCTGCCTTTGGACTTGAACCAAAACTTTGGCTCTTGAGCATGGTAGCTGTTGTATTGGAACTTGCGCCATTGATTCCCTTGGTTCTCAGGCCTTTAGACTTGGACTGCAACTAGACCATAGGCTCTCTTGGGTCTCTAGCTTACTGACTGACAATCTTGGGACTTTTCAGCCTCCATAATTGCATGAGCCAATTCCTTTTAATAAATATCTTTTTAAATATATATACCTCTGTCTCTGTCTCTCTACCTCTACCTCTGTCTCTCTCCTGTTGATTCTGTTTCTCTGGAGAGCCCTGACTAATATATAAGCCTAGTCTTTTATTGCCTTACTTTTGTCTCATTTCAGGTTTTTCAGAGTGCTCCTAATCTCTGAGAACTTCTGCATTACTGGCTTAATTCTCTGCATTGACGCAGTCTGTCATGAAATGGCTATCTTCATGACAAACCAAGCAAAAGGAGAGGTGCTTGGGTTTTCATAAACTTGGCAGCTGTTTTGGAAACATTTTACTCTAAGGCTAGGCACCACTGTTTGTATTCTTATTTTGCATTTGGGGTTTCTTTCTCCTAAGTTCTCTCTCCATATATTCTCCTGGCCTGGAAGGCATGTGTGCCTGTTTGACAGTGTCCTGGAAATTCTTTTCTAGACGGGGAGTGCATGTTGAAGGTGCTCACACGTGGTTTCCTAAAATCCTGCAAAGTGGCAGTTAGGACTTTTGTTTGTTTGTTTGTTTCTTTGTTTCTTTGAGACGGAGTCTCACTCTCGCCCAGGCTGGAGTGCAGTGGCGTGATCTCGGCTCACTGCAACCTCTGCCTCTCGGGTTCAAGCGATTCTCCTGCCTCAGCCTCCCAAGTAGCTGAGATTCCAGGTGCCCGCCACCATGCCCGGCTAATTTTTTGTATTTTTAGTAGAGACGGGGTTTCACGTGTTAGCTAGGATGTTCTCGATCTCCTGACCTCGTGATCCACCTGCCTCGGCCTCCCGAAGTGCTGGGATTACAGGCGTGAGCCACCACACCCGGCCTGCCAGTTAGGACTTTTAAACTCTTAGGATAATTTCCAAACTATAGAGTCATCATGTATAGATTTTCAGAGAACAACTGCCAAAAATAAAGATTTTAGATTTAGAATTGTTGACATAAGCCTTTTTTTTTTTGAGTTGGAGTCTCACTCTCTTGGCCAGTCTGGAGTGTAGTGGTGCAATCTCAGCCCACTGCAACCTCCATCTCCCCAGTTCAGGCAATTCTCCTGCCTCAGCCTCCCGAGTTGCTGGGACTACAGGCACGTGCCACCACACCTGGCTGATTTTTTGTAGTTTTATTAGAGACAGAGTTTTACCATGTCTCTCAGGCTGGTCTTGAACTCCTGAGCACAGGCAATCTGCCTACCTTGGCCTCCCAGAGTGCTAGGATTGCAAGTGTGAGCCACTGAGCCTGTCGTAGCCTGTCTTTCTAACAATAGATAAGCAAGCTGTTTTTCTATTGAGGTAACACCTGGCTGGTGATAATAAAATTGTCATCAAGTAAAAGGATTCTTACTTTTGTATAAAATAGGAATATGCATCTATATGTCCAAAACAGGTTTTTAAAATTTTACTAATTTATTTATTTTTGAGACAGGGTCTCACTCCAGTCACCTGGGCTGCAATGCGGTGGTGCGATCTTGGCTCACTGCAGCCTTGACTTACTGGGATGGAGTAATCCTCCCACCCTAGCCTCTGAAGTAGCTGGGACCACTGTCACATACCACTACGCCCAGAAAATTTTTTGTATTTTTGGTAGAGACAGGGCTTTGCCATGTTGTCCAGGCTGGTCTCGAACTCCTGGGCTCAAGCAATCCACCCGCCTCGGCCTCCCAAAGTGTTGGGATTACTGGCGTGAGCCACTGCACAGTGCACAACCAGCTTTTTTTTTTTTTTTTTTTTTTTTTTGAGATGGAGTCTCACTCTGTTGCCCAGGCTGGAGTGCAGTAGCGCAATCTTGGTTCACTGCAACCTCTGCCTCCTGGGTTCAAGTGATTCTCCTGCCTCAGCCTCCTGAGTAGCTAGGATTACAGGAGTCTGCCACCACACCTGGATACTTTTTGTATTTTTAGTAGAGATGGAGTTTCACCATCTTGGCCAGGCTGGTCTTGAACTCCTGACCTCGTGGTCCACCCGCCTCGACCTCCCAAAGTGCTGGGATCATAGGCATGAGCCACCGTGCCTGGCCCACAACCAGTTTTAAATCATTAAGATATAAGTTAAAAAGAAGAGGAAAATGTTTTAAATAATTTATAAGAGAATTATAGAATCTGTATTGAGAGACTACTCAGTCCAACCGAAAGCATAGTAGGAGAAATCCTAGTGTAATCACATTCCTGAAAATGAAGTCCTTAAAAATTTCTTAGTCTTAGTCTTTTCACATATAGTTCACTTACATATTTACCAATGACATACATGTATTTAGTGTTTCCTAAGAATTTTATCCAAATTGCCTGTCTCATGTACATGCTGTTGTATATAAATGCCCTTGTGACAAAATACAAATAACATTTCGTAGAGGTGTCAGTGAAATTGTGATACTTCTGTCATTGATTTTTTCAATAACTAGATGATAAAATCACAGTTGTCATATAGATGTTCATAGCATTTTTACTCTTTATTTTTTATTTATTTATTTTTTTGAGACTGAGTCTTGCTCTGTTGCCCAGGCTGGAGTGCAGTGGCATGATCTCCCGGCTCATTGCAACCTCTACCTCCCAGGTTCAAGCAATTCTCATGCCTCAGCCTCCCAAGTGGCTGGGACTACAGGGGTGTGCCACCATGCCTGGCTAATTTTTGTGTTCTTTTAGTAGAGATGGGGTTTCACCATGTTGGCCAGGCTGGTCTCAAACTCCTGACCTCAGGTGATCTACCCATCTTGGCCTCTCAAAGTGCTGGGATTACAGGCTTGAGCCACCATGTCCAGCCTGGATTTTTACTCTTAAAAAAAGGTTCTTATGTTTGAAAATGTTGGAAACCACTAGATTAAATTATCTCTGGAGCCAGTTCTAGCCATTTCCAAAGTGGAAAAGGACTTTGGCTTAAGGGTGGAGCCTTTGCATAAGGATGTGTTCAAAGAGGATAGTACAGCATGCTGGTGACACCCCCAGAGCTTTGGCAGGTTTCTAGTCACTACTTTTCTTTGTCTTTCTTTTTAAATTCCTACATGCCCCAGAGGTTTGATTCATCTTTTTTCCAGCATCTCGTATGTCATCTATTGTTCTCTCCACCCATAAACCCTCAACTGAAACAGGATGCAGGTGGCTTAGCTTTTTCTTTACCTTGTTCACGCTGAAACTATTTGACACTATTTCACTTTTAAGGATTTTTACTGCTGTTAACAACAGAGAATGAAATGAATGAATACAAATTTGCACAATTTAGAATTTTATTAAAAATGAGAATTTCTTATCCTTCATTGAAATGTAAACAAAAAAATTTCAGTTTTTTAGTAGTTGCTAGGATAATGGCAGTAGACTAAGTGGTGTCAAAAGTTTCTTCCAACTCTGTATTTAATTTTTAGTGGCAGATTACTCATGTTTCCTTATTTTATCACTCTTTTTTTTCTGGGAAGTCCCTAAATGTCCTCTCTCCTATTTTTCTTTTTCTTTTTTTGAGATGAAGTCTTACTCTGTCACTCAGGCTGGAGTGCAGTGGCATGATCTTGGCACACTGCAGCCTCTACCTCCTGGGTTCAAGCAGTCAAGCGATCCTCCTGCCTTAGCCTCCTGAGTAGCTGGAACTACAGGCGTATGCCACCATGCCAGGCTAATTTTTTATACTTATTTATTTGTTTGTTTGTTTGAGATGGAGTCTTGTTCTGTTGTCCAGGCTAGAGTGCAGTGGTGCGATCTCAGTTCACTGCAACCTCTGCCTCCTGGGTTCAAGTGATTCTCCTGCCTCAGCCTCCCGAGTAGCTGGGATTACAGGCGCCTGCCACCATGTCTGGCTAATTTTTGTATTTTTAGTAGAGACGGGATTTCTCCATGTTGGCCAGGCTGGTCTCGAACTCCTGACCTCAGGTGATTCACCCACCTTGGCCTCCCAAAGTGCTGGGACTGCAGGCGTGAGCCACTGCGCCTGGCTCTTCCTCCTGTTTTTCTTTATCATTTGACTCTGAGGATAATTACTTGTAGGCCATTGAATTCATTTCATCATGGGGAGGAGAAACTCCAGGTTATTGTCTTTAATCTCTTTACTCCTTGTTTTTTACAGGAAAACTCTACTTAATAAAAACCAATAAATACTATTAACAAAAAGTCAACTTTGGTATATTCTGGCATACAACCAATGTATTGGTATGACAGATTGTATTTGCCAAATGTGTCTACAGCAGTATCGTTCATTTTACATGTTCTACCTACAATGTCATCTTCACACTCCTCCCATCTAGTGGTGAAGCCTGTGTCTCAGTCTCTTAACCAGAGCAGACTTTTGTAAATGCCTTTACCAGTAGAGCATGGCTCAAACGACGTGTCACGTTTAGGGCTAGGTTATAAAAATGCCATGGATTTCTAACTTTCTCTCTGGAGTGTCACTTTTGGAATCTGGCTACTATGTGAGGAGCCCAAGCAACTAGGAGTGGCCTGTGTAAGAGGGAAACTGAAGCTCCTGACTCTCAGCCCCAGCTGAGCTCCCAGCTGACATCTGGGATCAGCTTGCCAGCCATGTGAGTGAGCTGTCCTAAAAGCAGATCCTAATCTTCTAGTTCCCCATCACAGTGCCCTAATGAGTGCTTATGTAGTGTTTATATGTAGAGCAGAGATGAGTTGTTCCTGTCAAACTCTACCCAAATTGCAGATTCATGAGCACAATAAAAGATTGTTTTAAGCCACTAAGTTATGTAGCAGGGGATAACTGGATTAGCATTCCATTTTGCCGGAGTTTAGAGATCATACTATACGTTGAACTGTAAGAACAAGAACAAGATGTATTTCTACCTTCAGGAGCACTGTTAGTTTTATAAGAGAAGAAATATGGATTATGTGTCCCCTTCCTTTATAGATTGTTATTTCACTGTCTTTCATTTTACATATTTATTAAATTATTATTTTTTTTAACTAAAGAGCAGTACAAAACAAGAAATCAAATATTGGACAACAATATTGCTGCCTAGATAACTCCATTTTCATGTACTTCTAGTTTAGAAGGTTGTGTGCATGTTAATAAGCAGTGACTTCGGAATGATTCAGACCACATGTGTGACCGTGAAGGCAGTATCCTCTTTGTAAATCAGTTGATCTATAAAATGGTATGTACTTCATGGGTTTGCTTTGAGACTTCAATGATATTACCTGCCACAAAATATTGGCTGTTCATTACTACTGCTCCCCCATCCCCCGCCAACAATAGAGATGGGATCTTGGTCTTGTCATGTTGCCCAGGCTGGTCTTCAATTTGTGGGCTTAGGTAATCCTCCTGCCTTGGCCTCTCAAAGTGCTGGGATTACAGGTGTGTGCCACCACACCCAGCCTGGACTTTTTGATAGTAAGTGATTAGGCAGTGATACAATAGCAAAGACATGGAACCAGTTCAAATGCCCATCAATGATAGACTGGATAAAGAAAATGTGGTGCATATACACCATGGAATACTATGCATCCATAAAAAGGAGTGAGATCATGTCCTTTGCAGGGACATGGATAAAGCTGGAAGCCATCATCCTCAGCAGACTAACACAGGAACAGAAAACCGAACACTGCATGTTCTCACTCATAAGTGGGAGCTGAACAAGGAGAACACATGGACACAGGGAAGGGAACAACACTCATCGAGGCCATGTGGGGTGGGGGTGGTGAGGGGACGAAGAGCATCAGGACACAAATAGCTAATGTATACGGGGCTTAAAACCTAAATGACGGGTTGATAGGTGCAGCAAACCACCAAGGAACATGTATACCTGTGTAACAAACCTGCACATTCTACACATGTGAACTGTATTACCTGTTGTCATTATGCTTTATTTATTTATTTATTTATTTATTGAGACAGGGTCTCTGTCTCCCAGGCTGGAATGCAGTGGCAGGATCATAGCTCACTGTAGTCCTAAACTCTTGGGGTCAAGAGATCTCCTACCTCTGTCTTCCAAGTAGCTGGGACTACAGGTGCATGCCACCATGCCTGGTTAATTTTTTTATTTTTATTTTTTAGAGTTGTGGACTTGCTGTGTTTCTGAGGTTTGTCTTGAACTCTTGGCCTCAAATGATCCTCCTGTGCTGGCCTCTCAAAATGTTGGGATTACAGAATGTTGGGATTACAGAAGTGAGCCACCATGCTTGGCTCCACTATGTTTATTTTTTAACAAGCCTTTTAAATGTATTAATATTTTACATATAATGTGTAGATTTTAAGTGTTTAGTTCACTATGTGTTTTTTAAATCAATTTTTAATTGTTTAGTGATTAGTTGATTACAGGTAGCAGGCACTAAACCAAATGGAAGGAGGAGTCCAAGAGAGGATAACTTTTTTCGCAGAGTGCTAGTGCTTATTAGGGGATAAGGTTTATATATTACCTCATTAGAAGATGGGGGCATTATTCACATTTAGAAAGAGAAACTGAGACTTAGGAAATTAAAGTGATTGACCCAAAGTAACACAGCTAGGAAGTGGCACAGTCAAGACAAAACAGTTTTGTTTTGCTCTGTAAAATTTTTGCTATTACTGACTAGTGACATTGAAATTATTCAGAAAAACAAAACTTGGTAGAGATAATTTCCTGTGAGGGTTTATTGAAGTCCCATAAAATAAATGAAAGCAGCCCATGATAAGGAGGTCTTCTGGTTTCAAATGCTTCAAAGTTCCTCAAGCTTTTTTTTTTTTTTTTTTTTTTTTGAGATGGAGTCTCACTCTGTCGCCCAGACTGGAGTGCAGTGGTGTGATCTCGGCTCACTGCAGCCTCTGCCTCCCAGGCACAAGCATTTCTCCTGTCTCACCCTCCTGAGTAGCTGGGACTACAGGCACGCACCATCATGCCCAGCTAATTTTTGTAGTTTTAGTAGAGATAGGGTTTCACCATGTTGGCCAGGCTGGTCTCGAACTCCTGACCTCAGGTGATCTACCCACCTCAGCCTCCCAAAGTGCTGGAATTACAGGCGTGAGCCAAAGTTCCTCAGGCTTCTAAAACTGAGGTAGTGTAATTTTATCAGGCATTCCTCTATAATGATTGAGGTAATCAGGTAAAAGGAGTTGTTTTCAGTAACCTAGGTACGTTTTTGCTTTTCAGTATGAAAGAATATAAGACTAATAAGAATGAAAATTTTGTTTCTAGGTAGTTTATGCTATTGCATGTGTCTTATATGCAAGATTTAAAGGCTGAAATGTAAGTGATGTTACTTCATTGGATAACAGACAAGCCACATACTTCAGAGGAGATGATGGATAAGTAGTTAATGAAATGTTACTGAGTGAAAAAAAACCTCTTCAGGTGTGTAGGAATGTATTATTTAATTCAGTCAGCATAGAATTCCTGCAGGCCTCAGATTTTTCTTTATTCTCTTATGTTTCATATTCCTTTATCCTTTGCAGCGTGTCAGATACATTGATGTGTTTGAAAATTGACACCAGGTAAAGAATAAATATGATAAGTGAAAGGGTAAATGAGAGTTCAGACATTCTTTATTTTCATAAATTATTCTTAAAATTTTTATTTTATGGAAAATACTAGCTCAAAAAATGGGATAATTAGGACAGATTTTCAAGAGAAAACAATGATTTTTTCAACAGATATTTTTAAAGCATCTAGATAGGTCAGGTACTTTTTTTTGGTTAACATTCTGAAGGCTTCTGATGGAGAGTCTATTTGACATTCTTAAGGTTACTGAAAGCAGAAAATGGTTTTCTCTTAATATATTATTGGTGGGTTTTGTCTCCTAGATTTTTTTCCTAGTTCTTATAAACTGGTAAAAACCTAGAGTTTTTATTTGTAATAAAATTTTACTTGTAATAAAAAATTTAAACATCTTAAAATAAATTCAGTGACTGTTTCATGTTATAGTCTATCCTATATTCCTGGTATCCCTTTTTCTGTTCTACTTCTTATTTTTTAAATAAAAAAGTTTGTGTGTATATATTCTTTTCCCCTCGTTTATTCATTCTAGATTTTGCTTTCTGTCTTCCTTCCTCTGCTCAAATACAAGCCCTGTGAGGGCAGGGATATTTCTTTGTTGATAAAGCACAGAAAATAGTGGAACATAGTAGATGTTCAACAAATTCTTTGTTGAATAAATAATACTTTTAATATTTTAAAGTTAATTCTAATATATACACAAAAGCATATATAACATGTATACTTTTTTTTTAAATTAATTTTTTTTGAGATGGAGTCTCTCTCTGTCACCCAAGCTGGAGTGCAATGGTGCAATCTCGGCTCACTGCAACCTCCGCCTCCCAGGTTCAAGCGATTCTCCTGCCTCAGCCTCCTGAGTAGACAGGCATGTGCCACCATGCTCGGCTAATTGTTTTTTCTGATAGAGATGGGATTTCACGATGTTGGCCAGGCTGGTCTCGAACTCCTGACCTCAGGTTATCCGCCCACCTTGGTCTCCCAAAATGCTGGGATTACAGGCGTGAGGCACTGTGCCTGGCCCAACATATGTGTACTTTAAAGAAGAATTACAAATAAATGTCTTTGTTCTCACTGGTCAACTTAAAAAATAGTGTACTGTCAATACCTTGAAATTCCCTCATATTCCTCTTTTCTATGGCATTTGCCTCCTTCCCTCTCCTATTGGAAGAATAAATTATTTTTATTCATTTGCATTTTTTTCATAATTTTACAACATGAATATAACTATATTATTTAAGTGACTGGATATGACTATAACTGTAAATTGATTTTTTAGTTTCAGATTTGTTAAATTTTATATTCATGAAATGATACTGTATGTATTCTTTAGTTTGCTTTATTCATTCAACATTAGGAGTTTGAGATTCATTTGTGTTGATGCATATTGATATACTCCATTTAAACTGTTACATGGTATTCAGTTACATGACTATGTCACTGTTTATTCTATCTGTGGGCAGTTGGTTTGTGTCTAAATAACAAGCAGTGCAACTACAAACATTTAGAAAGTGTACTCTGGTGTACATGTGCTTCAAGAGTTTTTTTTTTTTTTTTTTTTTTTTGAGGAGAGTCTCGCTCTGTCACCCAGGCTGGAGTGCAATGGCGCGATCTGGGCTCACTGCAAGCTCCGCCTCCCGAGTTCATGTCATTCTCCTGCCTCAGCCTCCCGAGTAGCTGGGACTACAGGTGCCCACCACCACGCCCGGCTAATTTTTTGTATTTTTAGTAGAGACGGGGTTTCATCGTGTTAGCCAGGATGGTCTCAATCTCCTGACCTCGTGATCCGCCCACCTCGGCCTCCTGAAGTGCTGGGATTACAGGCATGAACCACCGCGCCCGGCTGCTTCAAGAGTTTCTTTAGGCCAGGTGCAGAAGCTCAGGCCTGTAATCCCAGCTCTTTGGGAAGCTGAGGTGGACAGATCACCTGAGGTCAGGAGTTCGAGACCAGCCTGGCCATCATGGCAAAACCCGGTCTCTACTAAACATATAAAAATTAGCTGGGCATGGTGTGCATGCCTGTAATCCCAGCTACTTGGGAGGCTGAGGAAGGAGAATTGCTTGAACCTGGGAGATGGAGGTTGCAGTGAGCTGAGATCATGCCACTGTGCTCCAGCCTGGGCAACAGAGCAAGACTCCCTCTCAAAAAAAAAAAAAAAAAAAAAAAGCCGGGTGTGGTGACACGCACCTGTAGCGCCAGCTACTTAGAGGCCAAGGTGAGAGGATCGTTTGAGCCAAGGAGTTCAAGGCTGGTGTGAGCTGTGATCATGCCACTGTGCTACAGCCTGGGCAACAGAGCAAGACCCTATCTCTGGGGGAATAAAAAAAAAGGTCCTTCAGGTTATATAGCTAAAGAAATTCTAGGTCATATAAAATGGGCATTTGTCAACTAAATATGGACAGTTGTTTTCTGAAATGGTTGTACCAGTTTATGCTCCCATCAGGTACTTCAGTGAGAATTCCAGTTTCTTTCCTTGCCAGCACTTGGTATTTTAAAAATTTAGCCATTATACTAGATGTATAATTTTTTTTTAAGGAAAAAACTTTATTTCATTCTTCAATAACTGTAATTACTAGTGGAGTGTATGTTGGGTATTGTACAACTTCTCAAACCTTAGAATCATTATACACCATCAGCTCTTTTCCTGTACCATACAATTTTCACATAGCATTTATTTTTTATGCCAGCGACTACTAACAACCAGCTTCACCAAGATGTGACATTATTGAAAGGAATGTTGAGTGACCTTATGTTAAAGTTGAATTAGCTAGAACTTGTAGTTTGCATAGTATCCGACAGATGTCACCGTATTTACCTTGAAAATTTAAAATATTTTGCAGCATCCTTGTGAATTTGATGTGATACCCCAAGGCACCTGAGCACACAGTTTGGGAACCATTGCCTTGGAATATTAATCATAGTTACCTCCAGAGAGTGAAATTTTGGATAATTAAAAAAATTTCTTTTTTCTTGAGATGGAGTTTTGGTCTTGTTGCCCAGGCTAGAGTGCAATGGCGTGATCTCGGCTCACCGCAGACTCCGCCTCCCGCTTTCAAGCTATTCTCCCGCCTCATCCTCCCAAGTAGCTGGGATTACAGGCATGCACCACCACGCCCGGCTAATTTTGTATTTTTAGTAGAGACGGGGTTTCTCCATGTTGGTCAGGCTGGTCTCGAATTCCCGACCTCAGGTGATCAGCCCGCCTTGGCCTCCCAAAGTGCTGGGATTACAGGTGTGAGCCACTGTGCCCAGCCAAAAAAAAAAAAAAAAATCTTTATACTTTCTGGATTTTCCACTTTTATAATGATCATATAACACAAGAGGTGTTATGATTATATATTTTATGCATTATGATTATATATATTGCATTTACTTTTTAAAATTTTTAACTGAAATTCATAATTTTTTCTACTTTCTTTAGTCTTTACCTAATATCCTTTTTCTGTTGCACCCAGGATACCACATTACAGTTAGTCATCGCATTTCCTCAGGGTCCTCTTGCCAGTTACAGTTTCTCAGACCTCTCTTATATTTGATGACTTTGAAAATTTTGAGGGGCATTGGTCAAATATTTTGTAGAATGTCTCAACTGGGATTTGTGTGATGTTTTTCTCATGATTAGATTGGATTTTTAGGGAGGAAAATCACAGGTAAAATGCATTTCTCATCACATTGTATCAAGGGTACATGCTGTTCTGCATGACTTATTTCTGTTGACTGTAAACTTGATTACCTGGCTAAGATAGGGCTTGTCAAATTTCTTCATTGTTAAGTTACTACTTTATTCACGCTTTTCATACTGTACTCTTTGGAAGGAAGTCATTGCACAGTGCACACTTAAAGAGTGAAGGTTGTGTTCCACTTCCTTGAAGATAAAATACCTACATAAATAAGTTTTTCTTCATTTAAGATTTGTCTGTGTATTCAGTCATATATTTATGTAATTGGACTCATGGATATTTGTTTCATGCTTTGGTTTATAATCCAGTACTACTTTATTTTCTTGCTCAGATTGTTCTAGCTTTGGTCATTGGGAGCTCTTTTCAGTTGGCTGATAAGTCCCTTTGACATACCATTGTCATGATGGCTTTGTTTGATTTTGTTTGTTTTTTAAGTATTTCCTTCCCTTTCTGGCACTACAAGATGCTCCAGGTTCATCTTGTATATTTCCTCAGTCATAGAATCAGATATTTCTCCAAGGATCCCTGATTCCTTTTATTGGAGAATGGTATTAGAAGCCAAGAGCTAGGTGTTAGGTGTGTTTGTTGCTACTGGGGCACAATGTGGTTTTAATTTGCATTCCTGTGATGATTGATGACATCAGACACCATTGTATATGTTTATTGGTTATTTATATATCCTGTTTGTCATGTGACAAGCCTGTTTAAGACTTTTCCTAACAGCAGTGTTGCGGTTATGACAGAGACTATATGGCTCACAAAGCTTAAAATATTTATTATCTGGCCGGTTACAAGAAGAGTTTACTTGCCCCTATAGTTATAATAACTATGTTAATGTCAGTCCTGTTCTGGGTTGGTTTTGATTGGTTGATTTTTCTTATATTTTCTTCTTTCCGTGTCTGGTTATCTTTGAGTAGATAGTAGACATTGTAAAGATACTTGAGTTTTTTTTCTTTTTTATAAATTTCTTGAGACTTTTCTTGGCACGCAGTTAAATTATTTGGAAATATTTCTGTTCTTTAAGGTCATACTTTTAAGCTTTGTTAGGTGGATCAGATCACCGTTTAGGGCTGTCATCACTAGGGCATATAACTGTACTAATGTGACATGACCCTTCTGAATGCCATACCAGGGAATTATAAGGTTTTTCAAGTCTGGCTGGTGGGAACAGGCACTATTATCGCTTGTGTGTGAGTTCCAGGCTTCCAGGCACTGTTCCCTCTAATCCTCTCAGATGATTCTTTCCTCTCTGGTAGTTTTCTTCTACACATGGGCTTATCAGTACTTGGCGGAATACTTGAGAGAAACTCTCCCTAGATCTCTAATATTTTCTCTCTGTGCAGCTTTCTCCTCTACAGCATTCTGTCCTGTGCACTCTAGATGCCTTAGCGTCTCTAGACACTCAGCTCCATCTTTTTAACTCAGGGCCTCTGCCTGAGTTCCTCTTCCCTGCGCTACATCCTAGAAATGCTCTCAAGGCAGTCAGCTGGGGTAGTTGTAGGCCCTCCCTTCTTTTGTCCTCAGAGATCACTGTCCTTGCTGCCTAATGTCCAATGTCTTGAAAACCACTATTTAGTCCAGGGATGTACAATCTTTGGCTTCCCTGGGCCACACTGGAAGAAGAACAGTTGTCTTGGGCCACATATAAAATACACTAACACTAATGATAGCTGATGGACTAAAAAAAAAAAAAAATTTTCACAAAAAAAGTCTCATAATGTTTTAAGGAAGTTTGCGAATTTGTGTTGGGCCACATTCAAAGCCATCCTGGGTTGCGTGTGGTTCATGGGCCATGGGTTGGACAAGCTTGATTTACTCTATTTCATCTGCTTTCTTCCTTTTTTTCCAGATAGGAGGGTAAATCTAGTCCCCGTTACTATACCTTGGATAGAAGTAGAAGTCTTTGAGGTCTTTTTAAAAAATTCTGAATGGATGTTTAATTTTATCAAATGCTTTTTCTGTATCTATTGAGAAGATCATATGATTTTTTTTCTTTCTCTTTTTTTCCTTCTAATGTGTTGAATTAATTTGATTGATTTTTTTTTTAAATGTTAAACCAACCTTAAATTTCTGGAACAAACCCAACTTAGTCACGATCCTTTTTTAACATATTGCTGAATTCAATTTACTCATATGTGTTTTAAGATTTTTACATCTATATTTTGTACATACACTGCCCTTCTTCAGGTTTGGACATCAAGATTTTCCTTATAAATGGTTATCCAAGGTTATAGTGGGTGGGAAATGTTCTCTCTTTTTCTCTAGAAAAGTTTGCATAATACTGGTGTTCTTTTTTAAAGAGAAGCGGTTTAATTGGTTCACGGTTCCACAGGCTGTTCAGGAAGCATGGCAGCATCTGCTTCTGGGGAGGCCTCAGGGCGCTTTTACTCATGGTGGAGGCAAAGCGGGAGCAGGCCTCTTAAATGGCAGGAGCAGAACCATATTAGTCCATTCTCATACTGCTATATAGAAATAACTGAGACTGGGTAAATTTGTAAAGAAATAGGCTTAATTGGCTCACAGTTCTACAGGCAGAACAGGAAGCACAGCAGCTTCTGCTTCTGTGGAGGCCTCATGGTGGAAGGTGAAGGAGAAGCAGGCAGGTCTTACATGGCTGGAGCAGGAGCAAGAGAGTGGGGAGGCAACCAGATCTCACGAGAACTCACTATTGCCAATTGAAATCATGAGGAACTACCCCCATGATCCAATTCCCTCCCACCAGACTCCACCTCCAACATTGGGGATTGCTGTTCAACATGAGATTTGGTCAGGGATACAGATGCAAACCATATCAGTCGTCCAGGCTGGTCTTGAACTCCTGGCCTCAAGTGATCCTCCCACCTCAGTCTCTTGAATAGCTGGGATTATAGGTGTGTGCCACCATCCCCAGCTAATTTTTAAAATTGTGTTTTAGAAACATAGTCTCACATTTGGACCACTGTTTAATTACAGATCTACTTCTCTAACAGATATAGGATTGTTTAGGTTTTCCATTTGCACTTGTTTCGGTTTTGGTCAGCTGTGTTTTTCTATGAAGACAAATGATCTGTTCAAGGTCATACATCTTATAATGAATAAACTTTCCAATCTTAAACTTTTTCAAATGGTGTCATACCAACATAATACGTATGTTTAAATTTGTAAACTCTTTTATCCTCTCTACTAGAATATCAACTAGTGGGTAGATTCTGTATTTACTAAAACTTCCTATCATCTGAGTCTTAAGGCCTATAAACAGATATTTGAATTAAATTAAAGCATGCTTGGGGCCAGACATGGTGGCTCATGCCTGTAATCCCAGCACTTTGGGAGGCCGAGGCGGGTGGGTCACTTGAGGTCAGGAGTTTGAGACCAGCCTGGCCATCATGGCGAAACCCCATCTCTACTAAAAAATACAAAAATTAGCTGGGCGTGGTGGTGCGTGCCTGTAATCTCACCTACTTGGGAGGCTGAGGCAAGAGAATTGCTTGAACCTGGAAGGTGGCGGTTGCAGTGAGCCGAGATCACATCACTGCCCTCCAGCCTGGGAGACAGAGTGAGACTGTGCCTCAAAAATAAATACATAGATAGATAGATAGATAGATAGATAGATAGATAGATAAATGGAAACCTTGATTTAAGTAGTTGCTTCAGTAGTTCATTTGGGCTTTGTCAGTCAATAACACATTTTACTTCTGTAGTAATGGGTTACTGATAAGGGAAAGATATGTTAGGGTATGTATTGAATAAAAAGGTGGGAATGGTGAATTGAAAGTATAGTTCTTTAAATTATTTACTCATTTTTTTAAAATTGTTTGGTGTTTTATTAAATACATGGCACTTTAATAACAAATGTAAGCTCCTCTTTCTCTGTTACCAGAGACCTGTCTTTTATTATTATTATTATTATTATTTTTTAAAATTGATAATTCTTGGGTGTTTCTCGCAGAGGGGGATTTGGCAGGGTCATAGGACAATAGTGGAGGGAAGGTCAGCAGATAAACAAGTGAACAAAGGTCTCTGGTTTTCCTAGGCAGAGGACCCTGCGGCCTTCCGCAGTGTTTGTGTCCCTGGGTACTTGAGATTAGGGAGTGGTGATGACTCTTAACGAGCATGCTGCCTTCAAGCATCTGTTTAAGAAAGCACATCTTGCACTGCCCTTAATCCATTTAACCCTGAGTGGACACAGCACATGTTTCAGAGAGCAGCGGGTTGGGGGTAAGGTGATAGATCAACAGCATCCCAGGGCAGAAGAATTTTTCTTAGTACAGAACAAAATGGAGTCTCCTATGTCTACTTCTTTCTACACAGACACAGCAACAACCTGATTTCTCTATCTTTTCCCCACATTTCCCCCTTTTCCATTTGACAAAACCGCCATCGTCATCATGGCCCGTTCTCAGTGAGCTGTTGGGTACACCTCCCAGACGGGGTGGTGGCCGGGCAGAGGGGCTGGCTCCTCACTTCCCAGAAGGGGCGGCCGGGCAGAGGCGCCCCCCACCTCCCGGACGGGGCGGCTGCCGGGCGGAGACGCTCCTCACTTCCTGGACGGGGCGGCTGCCGGGCGGAGGGGTTCCTCACTTCTCTGACGGGGCGGCTGCCGGGCGGAGGGGCTCCTCACTTCTCAGACGGGGCGGCTGCCGGGCGGAGGGGCTCCTCACTTCTCAGACGGGGCGGCTGCCGGGCGGAGGGGCTCCTCACTTCTCAGACGGGGCGGCTGGGCAGAGACGCTCCTCACCTCCCAGATGGGGTCGCAGCCGGGCAGAGACGCTCCTCACATCCCAGACGGGGCGGCGGGGCAGAGGCGCTCCCCACATCTCAGACGATGGGCGGCCAGGCAGAGACGCTCCTCACTTCCTAGATGGGATGGTGGCTGGGAAGAGGCACTCCTCACTTCCTAGACGGGATGGCGGCCGGGAAGAGGCGCTCCTCACTTCCCAGACTGGGCAGCTGGGCAGAGGGGCTCCTCACATCCCAGATGATGGGCGGCCAGGCAGAGACGCTCCTCACTTCCCAGACGGGGTGGCGGCTGGGCAGAGGCTGCAATCTCGGCACTTTGGGAGGCCAAGGCAGGCGGCTGGGAGGTGGAGGTTGTAGCGAGCTGAGATCACGCCACTGCACTCCAGCCTGGGCAACATTGAGCACTGAGTGAATGAGACTCCGTCTGCAATCCCGGCACCTCGGGAGGCCCAGGCTGGCAGATCACTCGCGGTTAGGAGCTGGAGACCAGCCCGGCCAACACAGCGAAACCCCGTCTCCACCAAAAAAATACGAAAACCAGTCAGGCATGGCGGCGCGCGCCTGCAATCGCAGGGGTTCGGCAGGCTGAGACAGGAGAATCAGGCAGGGAGGTTGCAGTGAGTGGAGACGGCAGCAGTACAGTCCAGCTTCCGCTCGGCATCAGAGGGAGACCGTGGAAAGAGAGGGAGAGGGAGACTGTGGGGAGAGGGAGATGGAGAGGGGAGAGGGGAGAGGGAGCTTATTTACTCATTTTAAAATTTATTTTTAGAGATGGGGTCTTGCTCTGTTGCCGAGGCTGGAGTGCAGTGGCACAATCATAACTCACTGCAGCCAGGCTCACTCCCCAGCTCAGGCTGTCCTCCTGCCTCAGCTTCCTGAGTAGCTAGGACTGCAGGCACATGCCATGACACCTGGGTAATATTTAAAATTTTCTTAGAGACAGAGTCTCACTATGTTGCCCAGGCTGCTCTTGAATTCCTGGGCTCAAGTTATCCTCCCACCTCAGCCTCCTGAATAGCTAGGATTACAAGCATGAGCTATCTTGCCTGGCTCTGGTTCTTAAACCTTGGAGGTTCCATTTATATGGTTGTATTTCTTTTTCTTTTCTTTTTCTTTTTTTTTTTTTTTGAGACAGTGTCTCCCTCTGTCGCCAGGCTGGAGTGCAGCGGGGCGATCTCGGCTCACTGCAACCTCCGCCTCCTGGGTTCAAGCGATTCTCCTGCCTCAGCCTCCCAAGTAGCTGGGACTACAGGCCCACACCACCACCCTTGGCTAATTTTTGTATTTCTAGTAGAGACGGGGTTTCACTATGTTGGCCAGGATGGTCTCGATCTCCTGACCTTGTGATCCTCTCCCCTCGGCCTCCCAAAGTGCTGGGATTACAGGCGTGAGTCACTGTGCCCAGCCTGTTGTATTTATTTTTCTAGATTACAGTTAATTTTGTTTTCATTTCTTGAAACCTAGTAGAATATGTATCTGCCTATAATTCAAGGGCAATTGAAAGAAAGAAAAATAACTCAAGGCCAGGCATGGTGGCTCACATCTGTTATCCCAGAACTTTGGGAGGCTGAGGCAGGAGGATCATTTGAGCCCAGGAGTTCAAGACCAGCGTGGGCAACATAATGAGACTCTGATGCTACAAAAAACTTAAAAAAAAAAAAAAAAAAATTAACCAGGCATGGTGGCACATGTCTAGCTACTTGGGAGGCTGAGGTGGGAGTATTGCTTGAGCCCAGGAGGTCAAGGCTGCAGTGAGTGGTGATTGTACTCTGCACAGTGAAACCCTGTCTCAAAAAAAAAAAAAAAAAAAAAAGGAAAAGAAAAATAATGCAAGTTCAGCATATGATTTAGCAAAACCATTTTTGATTTCTCTTTGAGAGAGATTGTAACTTGAATCCTCCTTTTAGTGGGGAGAATTTAATGAATATTTTACATTTCAGTGTAATAAAATGTGTCCAACTTGTTACACAAGACTTAGTTTAAGATTCACATGTTTGGGAAGAATGTGGGTTTGAGTGGTGAGGGTTCAGTTGAAGGTCTCTTTCTATAAAGTATATAATTTGTTGCCAAAGGAAATATTACCTAGCAGCAGTTTACATGTGCCAAGAGAGGACAGAGAAGTCTTATAGTAGAAATTGTACAGAGGAGCTGTCAAACTAGATCCCTGAGGATGTCAGACAGGAAATAAAGCTTATGATGCTAAAAAATTTTACTGGATGACTAGGCCATTGGAAATGAATCTTCCAATGCTTGTGTTTTTTTTTTATCATGCTTTTATTTGAAAACAGTTACTTACACTTACAAATTTAAACTGTTTAAGGTATTTAGACCAAAATTTAAGAAACTTTATAAGATCTTATTGGCTAAATATTGACTTAACTATATATATATATATATATATATATATATATATTTTTTTTTTTTTTTTTTTTTTTTTTTGAGATGGAGTCTCACTCTGTCACGCAGGTTGGAGTGCAGTGGTGTGATCTTGGCTCACTGCAACCTCCGCTTGCTGGGTTCAGGTGATTCTCCTGTCTCAGCCTCCTGAGTAGCTGGGACTACAGGCCCGCACCACCACACCCAGCTAATTTTTGTATTTTTAGTAGAAACGGGGTTTCACCACATTGGCCAGGCTGGTGTCCATCTCTTGACCTCATGATCTGCCTGCCTCGGCCTCCCAGAGTGCTGGGATTACAGGCGTGAGCCACCGCGCCCGGCCAACTATATCTTTTTCTTAGAAAGTGTTTATCCTCTGAGATTAAGGTTTGGAAAGTTATAAGGAGAGAGACTTTAGGTTCTTGGAGATAAAATATAGTAATGTAAGCAATTTCCTTCTCTATGCCAAACGTGGAAATACAGACAATATGTATAAGCAATTGTGCCAAAGTATTTATCTGTGGTTCTCTTTATTCCTAAAATATATTGCCCATTTCTACTATACACATTCAGATACACTGTACAGAATTATAGAGATTTGGAACCTGAAGGACTTTAAAGAACATTCAAATTTCTTTATTTTGTGGAGAAGGGACATGAGACAGGTAACATTAAACTGATAAGAACAGATACTACACTTGATCTTGGCCAAAAGGCCAAGAAGCGATAGGTAACATAAAAATACAGATAGTTTGCCCAGTATCATGAAGGGAATAGGAGCAGACTTAGCTCTTGGAGAAATAGAATCTTTCCTTATTTACTGTTGCAGTAATGAGTTATTTGAATTTTTATTTATTTATTTTAGAGACAGGGTCTCACTCTGTCACCCAGGCTGGAATGCAGTGGTAGCAATCTTCCTGCCTCAGCCTCCTGAGTAGCTGGGACTACAGGGGCATGTCACCATGCCCAGCTAATTCTTAAAGTTTTTTTTGTAGAGATGGGGTTTCACTATGTTGGCCAGGCTGGAGTTGAAGTTTTAGAGGTACATGATGGCTTTGGTTTTCTTACCACCAGATGATTTATGAAAGTTGATGTATCAGTTGACTGTCAGCAGAAGTGAAAAACTGTCAAGCCCCTTTGAAGACTATTATTATTCAGGAAACAAAACAGTGTTGACACTAAATTTTTTTTTTTTTTTTTTTGAGACAGGGTCTTGCTCTGTTACCCAGGCTGGAGGGCAGTGGCATTATCTCAGCTCACTGGAACCTCCACCTTGCAGGTTTAAGCTATTCTCCTGCCTCAGCCTCCTGAGCAGGTGGGATTACAGGTGCCCACTGCCATGCCTGGCTAATTTTTGTATTTTTAGTAGTACATTACCAGTGTAGTTTGTTTGTTTGTTTTTTGACAAACAAAGGGTTTTGAGAAAGATGGAGTTTCACCATCTTGGCCAGGCTGGTCTTGAACTCCTAATCTTGTGATCCACCTGCCTCACCCTCCCAAAGTGCTGGGATTACAGGCCTGAGCCACTGCACTGGCCTTTTTTTTTTTTTTTTTTTAAAGTAAAACACAGGATCAGAAATCTCTTTGTTTTGCATCATTTGTGCAATATTTGTTTTGTTTGTTTTTTCCTTAATGTCTTGAGAGCCAGCAAAGATTATCTGACAGACAGAATTAGACTGAAATCTCTTAGGGAGGTTGTGAAGTATTTAGAGTTAAAGGCTAGAGTTAAGAATAAGCAGTGGCAAAGGTATAACTATAAACCTCAAAGTGTTACTGACTTAGGATTCATTCATGACTCTTCTGCATTAAGATTGGGAGTTAACTTTTAAAAACTAGGTACCTCCGTGAAACATGTATGCATCTTACTGGACACTCCTTTGTCGTTTTTCCAATCACTTCTGCCAGATGGGTTTTAATATAATAGGAAGAATTGTTACGATGTCAGCTCTGTTGTAATTTGGACTGGAATGATTCTGTTCTCTTGTGAACTTGAAGAGTCCAGTTGAATCACTTTCTAGTTATTGTCTTTATTTTTTTATTGTAGTTTTTAAGTGTTTGTTTCTACTTGTGGTAATAATCCTGTTAGGATGCATATTACCAACTATATGTGAAGGCCTGGCTATATGGAGCATAAAATTAGATATGCTTCTTTCCTTTGGCTCACAGTCTAAATTTAGTAGGTGAGAGTTTCCTTTCCTAGATGTCATTAAAAATAGAAGATACCCATCTGTCTGGAATGGGTTAGATACACTTCTCCCTACAGGCTGAGAGATGAATTATATAACACTAACTTCCTTTTAGCCCTAGGATTCTTAGAAAAAAATGTTTCTCTTTTAATACAGAGGCCAAGAGTGTATAGTTTGAATGTTAACCTTAAATTATCCTATAAGTTTGTGAAACTCAGGAAGTCCTAAGAAAATTGAATTTTGAGGAGAAATCGAAAAGATAAGGTGAAACAACATCACTTGATTAAGAAATTGGCTTTGAGGTAAAATCTGTTCCCAGCCCTAGATTTACAATTTACTAGCTGTGTAAGAAAGTTGTTTAACCTGAGACTGTAACTTCATTATTGTGGTTGGAATAGTAAGGACCGCTTGTTGAGGGGCAAATTAAATGAGTGAATATTTATAAAGTGCTTTCTTCAGTGCTTGGGATGTAAAAGACATTTCTGGTGGTGGTTATTACTGTTAATGTTAATATTACTTCTGGTTCTTTTTATTAAAAATCTGCCATCTCACTATTAAAAATCTTAATTTGGAGCTCAGGATAGAATATGAGGTCAGAGTTAAATAGGGAATTCCTAGGTGTATTTGGAGTCCTGGAAGTCATTTAGAGGAGGACTGAAAAATCATCCTCAAAGGACTACCTGTGTTAGTGGATGCAGAAGAAACAGGAAAACAGACTGCGAGAAAGCCATCAATGAGGTGAAAAGAGAACCAGGGGAATGATGTCATGGGATTCAAGAGAGAGATTGCTCACTGGGTCAGAAAGTTTCTTCAGGAGTTCATTTAAAAATATTTTCAGCACTAGGTGATGTCAGGTAGGGAAGGCCTCTGAGGAAACCATTGAACTGGGCAGGTAAGAGGTCCTCATCTTTGAGAGAGTGGAAAAATGACTGTAGACCTAGACTTGATTAGGCAGAGAAGGAAACAAGCAGTGAGGAAAAGCAGAGGGCAGGTGTCTAAGATGGAACCTCATGAAAATTTAGCTGTATAGAGAAAGAGAGAGATGACTTAAGGGAGAGGAGAAGGTGTTTGGGTAGGGCTGGGCGCGGTGCCTCACGCCTGTAATCCCAGCACTTTGGGAGGCCGGGGTGGGTGGATCACCTGAGGTCAAGCATTCAAGACCAGCCTGGCCAACATGGCGAAACCCCGCCTCTACTGAAAATACAAAGATTAGCTGGGCATGGTTGCGGGGTCCTGTAATCCCAGCTACTTGGGAAGCTGAGGCAGGAGAATTGCGTGAACCTGGGAGGTGGAGGTTGCAGTGAGCTTAGATCGTGCCACTGCACTCCAGCCTGGGCGACAGAGTGACACTCCATCTCAAAAAAAAAAAAGTGGGTTTGTTTGTTTCATTTTGGTAAGAGAAAAAATTGGCATGTTTGAAGGCTGAGGGAGAGGTTAAACTTACTGGGCAGGGAGTAGCTGATGGTGAAGTTGTGGTCAGAGGCAAGTGGGACTGGAATCCAGTGCACAGGTGGTGGCTGGAGGAGCAGCTGATCTTTATGAAAGAGGAGGACTGAGGGAGGGTAAGTAAGATAGAGGCTGCAGGGGAAAATGAGGAAATTCATGTCTAATGGCCTCTTACCGATTTAAGTAGGGAAACGGTAATGAACTCATCATTGGGATAATTAGGATAGATGAATAGATCCTTTTCTGCTGCTAAATAAATAAAAGTAGACTTGGGAAAAAGGAATATCATTATTTTCCTATGGAAGCATATATTAAAACATTAGACCAATGGTTCTCAACTGAGAGTGATTTTGTCCCTTGGGACATTTAGCAATGTCTGGAGACATGTTTGTCACCGACGTGGGGTGTGTTACTGGTGTCTAGTGTGTGGAGGCCAGGGATGCCGCTAGACATCCTGCAGTGCACAGGACAGCACCCACATCAAGGAATGATGTGATCCCAAGTGTCCATAGTGTTGGAGTTGAGAACTTTGCCCTAGACCAGTATGTGCCTACAACATACACTTCAACAAAAGCTAAGAAGTTCACATAACAGCTTGATGTCTCTATCCCCTTGTGGAAAGTCACAGTATATGTTTAGTTTATTCAAGTCTGAAAAATTCTCAAAAGGAAATCTAAACTGTTTAGCTGACTGACATTTTCCCTGCTCTTTCATAGCAACTGTTAACAAACACACTGAGAAATACATTTAGGGGGAAAGGATGTACTTCAGTCTCTTGGCTGGTCAGTACTATGTATTCATCCCTGTATTTCTAGTGTCTGACACAGTTCTTGGCATATTTTGTGGTACTAAATTGACTCCAGCCTATACCATTCCCCTGAACTCTAGACTCAAAATTCCAGCTGCCTGTTCTGCATTTTTGCTCAGATGTCCAGTAGCTTCTCAACCCTAACACTTCCAAAGTGGAGCTCCTAATAGACCTCCCAGACATGTCTGGAGGTCTCATCTTAGTCAGTGGCTATTCCATCCTTCCAGTTGCTCAGATCAAAGGCCTTGGAGTCATTCTTCACCTTGTCTTATCCTCTGCATTCCCATCCATTGGTAAGTCTCAGCTCTATCTCTAGGAAATATTCAGCATTTAACTATTTTCCACTCTCTCTACTGATTTAAACTGTGGCCTGAGTTGTTAGAGCAGTCTTACAACTGGCTTCCCTGCTTCCGTTCTTGTCTCCCAATACAGTAGCCAGTGAGATCCTTTTAAAATGTCAGTCAAATCACATCACTCCTTGTTCAAAACGCTCCATTGGCTCCTCATTTGCTTCAGTATACAAGCTGAAGGCTTTTCAGTGGCCTACATGGCTGTGCGTGAACTGGTTCTTCAGTATGTCTCTGACCTCTTCCCCTCCTCATCAATCTGTGCCTGGTTCCACTTCAGTCTCAGTTGGGTTTGTTGTTGTTGTTGTTGTTAAGAGATGGGGTCTCACTGTGTTGCCCAGGCTGGATTCAAACTCCTGGACTCAAGCAGTCCTCCCTTTTCAGCCTCCTGAATAGCTGGGATTGTAGGCATGCATCACCGTGCCCAGCTCAGTCACAGTTTTTAGTTCAGTGTTTTGCTGTTGCTCAAACACATCAGGCAAGCTAACTCGGGGCCTGTGCACTTGCTCTTTTCTCTGCCTAGAATAATTTTCTACCACATTTCCCTCACGGTTTATTCTTTCACCTCCTTCAAGTTATTTTTGCTTAGATGTCATCTTAGTGAGGTCTTTTGTGATCAGCCTGTTTCCAATTGCAGCTCTTTGTCCCCTTTGTCTGCTTGCTTTTTCTCCAGAGCACTTATCACCATCTAATATACTATGTAATTTATATAATTTGTACTGTCTCCCCCTACTAGAGGTAACTTATTTTAGTCCAAGAACATTTTATGTGTGTTTTGCTCATTACTGTGTTACCTGCAATTTGAACATTGCGTGACATGTAATAGGCCTTTAATGAATGATTGTTGAAAGAATGAATAGTGATTAAAGCAAAGGCTCTGACTTAGAACCGAAATTGAGTCCTGGTGCTGGCACTCGTCTGCTTTGTGATCTTAGGCATGTCATTAACCTATCTGGCCTGCTTACTCTTCTCTGAAATGGAGATAGTAGAACCAAGTAGGTTTGTCTTGAGGATTCAATGCAAGAATCTGTGTAAAGCTCTCAGCTCAGAATCTGGTGCATAATAAACAGTCAATAAGTGATTGCTTTTATTACTACTTTTTCTTCCCTTCCAATGTGAAAACCTGGGCCACTTCTGACATATATGTTGCAAGTTGCAATTCTAAGCTAAATGTTGGCAATCACCACAAGAGACAAGAGCTACTTCTCATAGATCTGTAGAATACACTGATATTTGTGCTTTAAAATCTTACATTAAAGTATGGCAGTTCCTTAAAAAATTAAACATAGAGTTATTATATGATCCAGCCACTCAACTTCTGGGCGTGTGCCCAGATAAATTGAAAGCAGGTACTTGAACAGATTGGTACACCAAGGTTAGTAGCAGCATTATTCACAATGGCCAAAAGGTGCACACAACCCGGATGTCCATTGATATAGATGGACAGATAAACAAAATGTGTTATATCCATACAATGGGATATTATTTAGCTATAAAAAGCAATGAAATTCTGACACATGCTACAACATGGATGAACGTTGAAGACACTATGCTGAATGAAATAAGCCAGACACAAAACGACAAATATGATTCCACTTATACAAAGTACTTAGAGTAGTCAAATTCATAGAGACAGTAGAATTTAACACCTGTTACTGACAGACACATGATTTCCTCATATTCATTACTCACTCAAAGTCTGGAATGTTCAAGGCCAGCCAGAGCCTAAGCCAAAGTACCAGTGATAATTCTTATGTTTTGCTTAAACATAAGGTTTGTATTTGTTTTTCTTTGAAGGATGAAAAGCTGCCGTCTGTAATCCTAGCACTTTGGGAGGCTGAGGCGGGTGCATCACTTGAGGCCAGGAGGTCGAGACTAGCGTGGCCAACATGGCAAAACCCTGTCTCTACTAAAAATACAAAAAAATTAGCCAGGCATGGTAGCGCACATCTCATCTACTAGGCGGGCTGAGTCACAAGAATCACTTGAACCCAGAGGCGGAGGTTGCAGTGAACTGAGATCGCACTGCTGCATTCCAGCCTGGGCAATAGAGTGATGAGATACTGTCTCAAAAAAAAAAAAAAGATAAAAAGTGATTTCTTTCATAACAAAATTCTATAGGAATTACATCATGCTTAGTTTAATTTGGGGAAGTATCTGCATATATATTTTCTCTATTTTTTCCTGGATATGAATATGTATTCTTAAAATTCCTAAAGGATGCCAAGAATGTAGCTAACAGTATCAGAAATAAACTTCAAGGAAGTGTTTCTCTACATCTCAACAAAATCACTTCTCTATATCTCAACAAAATCCCTACAAGTAAATCTGTTTTTAAAATTTGTCTCAAAACATTTGCGGTAAAGACAATTTTGGACACACATCTAATTTTTTTTTTTTAATCTGTGATTTTGCCAATTGAGAAGAACTGGAAACAGGAGGGAGAATTTTGATGTCGTAGATGTTCTTGTTGATTAAGGGATAAGGGCACATACAGACAAACCCAGGAATTATCTGACTTCGGCTAAAACAACAACAACAAAACATCTCCAGTACTAGCCTGAGTAATTGCTTTTGGCATAATAGCTGTTACCTCAGACAGACTGAAAGTTTAATAACTAGATTGGAGACTTCCCTTTGCAGTTCACAAATAGGAAAAACACCACCACAGAAGTTCTGTCACACATCTGACCCCCTTCGATTCTTAATTTACAGTGTGACTGCATCTTGCAGCCATGCCCCATCTTAGCATTCTTAAATTATAATGTTACAGGTTATTGGCCTGCCAAAATGTTCGATATGTAACATTGAACAGTTCCAAATGAGATGAAAACAATCTTGTTACTCATGAGAGTTTGTTTTTTCTAGGCTTCTGTTTCATTTTATGCACCAGTATAGTCATTTTGTGGAAAATAAAGGTTACACTGCTTTATTAAGTCTCTTTTATAATTGTAATCCAGATTTACCATCCAATAAGAGATAACATTGTTATATTTTCTGTCATGTTCTAAATATGTGCTGGGCATGATGGCTCACACCTGTAATCCCAGCACTTTGGGAAGCCGAGGCAGGAGGATTGCTTGAGGCCAGGAGTTTGAGACTGGCCTGGACAACATAGCAAGACCCAGTCTCTCCAAAAAATAAAAAAAAATTATCCAGGTGTTGTGGTGTGCATCTGTAGTCCCAGCTACTGAGGAGATTGAAGTGGGAGGATCTCTTGAGTCCAGGAGATTGAGGTTGCAGTGAGCTATGATTGTGCCACTGTACCCTAGCCTGGGCAACAGAGTGAGACCCTGTCTCATATATATATATGTGTATATACACATATATATATGTGTGTGTATAGATATATATATACACACACACACACATATATATATTCTTATATAGATCAGAATTTATATACATATAAGAATATTCTTAGAGGAATATTCATATTCTTGTATACATTCTTATATATGTAAGAATATATACATATAAGAATATACATTCTTAAATAATGTTGGTGTTGAAATATTGAAGTTTCCATTGCTATTATTTTAATTCTTGAAGGTTCACGAAATATCTGTAATCTTTCTTCCTTGAAATATATATTTCAAGCAACATATCCTTCTGAAATATCCAGAATGCATTTTGCCAGTAACAAAAGAATATTCTTTTGAAATACCAGACTTGTAATGGGAGTTAGAGAAATCTTCCTACTTCTTTCTCTTCTTCCTGCCTTTTTAAATCACAAAACTGTAAGACTATCCTGGTATTTGATATAAATTTTATTTGTATATAAAATATTTAAATATTTTAAGTATTAATATATTGAAGATTACATATATCTGTGTCTATATCTATTTCAGGCCTTTAAACTCTTTGGGGAGTTCAAAGAACTAGAAAAAAGAATGATTTAATTTATTTACTTTTTTTTCTAAATTATTACTTTTTCCCCGAGACGGAGTCTCACTCTGTCTCCCAGGTTGGAGTGAAGTGGCATGATCTTGGCTCACTGCAATCTCTACCTCCCGAGTTCAAGCAATTCTCCTGTCTCAGCCTCCTGAGTAGCTGGGATTACAGGCACACACCACCATGCTGGGCTAATTTTTGTATTTTTATTAGAGACAGGGTTTCACCATGTTGGCCAGGCTGGTGTCAAACTTCTGACCTCAAGTGATCTGCCCACCTCGGTCTCCCAAAGTGCTGGGATTACAGGCGTGAGCCACCGCGCCCAGCTAATTTTTTAACTTTTAACAAATTTTGCATTGTTTCTTTTTGGTATTCCTAGAAGTAATTGTATACGTAATATAATCTTTCTTTTCTCATTGATGAGTAGAATGATAGGAGTGAATCAAAGAAGTTTCCTACCATTTTAAAATTCTTTCCCTACTTCTCAAAAAAAATGTGTTTGATATTTATTTAAACGTTAAGTTATAGGCAACCATGTATCCTGGAAAATAGTCAGGAGTATATATATTTTACTGTCATAGGATGTGGTCCATGCAATACTTTAAGTGAATAAGGCCAGTTGCATAGTTTATATCATATAATTTCATTTTCGTTTAAGAGAACCACATGTTTGATTATGCAAAGACAAAGGTTTGGAAAGGTGTACAGTTATTGAGTGTGATAAACCCTGGGAGAATGGGATAGAGGCAGGGTACTGCCTCAGGTTGGGTTCCCCAGAAGCAGGAGTTGAGATAAACTTTTATGGGAAGACAACTTACTGAGAAGAGTTTCAGAAAAACCTGCTAGGGAGTGGGAAAGTAGGACTGGGGACAGGAAGAGGAGGCTGGTATCAAGGATGTGATACCAAGAAAGCCTCAAGGTAGACAACTTTGGCTAGTCTTGCAAGGGAGTTCTGGAGCTTATACCTAAGAGTTGTCACTGCCAGGGACCAAAGAAATAAAGTAGAGCCTTTATACTTTCATACCCATCAGTAATTGCTAAGGACCATCCCTGGTGGGGAGGTGATATGGTTTGCCTGTGTCCCCACCCAAATCTCATCTTGAATTCCTTTGTGTTGTGGGAGGGACCCGGTGGGAGGTAATTGAATCATGGGGGCAGGTTTTTCCTGTGTTCTCCTTGTGATAGTGAATAAGTCTCACGAGATCTGATGGTTCTGCAAGGGGGAGTTCCCCTGCACAAGCTCTCTCTTTGCCTGCTGCCATCCATGTAAGACATGACTTGCTCCTCCTTGCCTTCTGCCATGATTATGAGGCACCCCCATTAAACCCTTTTTCCTGTATAAGTTACCCAGTCTTGGGTATGTCTTTATCAACAGTGTGAAAAACAGACTAATACAGGATGAGTGTATAAATGTCCAGGAAGTGCTGGCAGACTGAGGGTAGCCCCTCTACAAAGACCTGCAGGTGCTGGCTGTTGGGAGTGAGAGCACAGGGTTGGGAGGAAATGTGGGCAGAGCACTGACAGCAGTTGTAGCCCTCACCCAAGTTACAGAGATTTTAAAAAGATTGGGGTTTAATTCTTTCTCAGTTTAAGCCTCCCAGGGCCTTTATGGTGGCTCCACAGAGATCCAGGCTCCTTCTATTCTTTTGTTTTGTTTTGTTTTTCCAGGCTTCTTCTCTCTTGTTGCTCTCTCATCACTAGCTTATTGCCCACATCCACGTGGTCCAAGATGCTCAATATTATGTCCATATTCCCATTAGAAAAAAGGGGGAAAGTCAGGAGGAAGAGAGCACATTAATTCCTCTAAGGACAAGTTCTCAAAGTTACATCACTTCACCTCAAATCCCACTGGCCATCATTTAGTTCCATGGCCATACCTGGATGCAAGGAAGACTAGTGTTTATTATGGTTGGCCTTATGCCCAGT